>NC_000010.11:120370700-120995784 GCF_000001405.40 Homo sapiens | reverse complement strand
ATCAAAATGAAACAAGGGGGTAAGGACAGCTTAAAAATCCTGAGGCTGCTGGAATGCCCAGATAACTGGTGGCTATAGTTTTGCTTGCTAAGAGTTGGGTTCATGGGGCTTGGCTTTGGTTAGCTCCACTGGCCTTATTTTCCCAAACAAAGAAACCTCCAGGTAATAGGCACCCTATTTACTCCTATCACCTGGCAGGATTTGCAGGATAATTGCTCAGAACTAGAATGTTGATCTAGATTTTTACATTACCCATCCCTTCTGTTTCTTCTAAGCTGCACCCAGAGACCACTGGTTAGTTCACAGGAATAAGCAGTCTTAGTCTAAAATGTAAGCAAAAACTTAAAAACAACTGAGATTAGAATTCAATGACAAATATAAGTTTTGAAACATAATTTTTTTTCTCTCCAATCCACATTTTTGTCAAAACAAATCATGATAGGACTGAGTTGTTTTCAAAATAAACTTTAGTCTTGGCTTGATCATTTGCATAAAGTGTAACAAGAATAATTATCTTTCATGTAGGCTTTTTAAATTGGCTTTGATGGAACTCCATTCCACAAGGAATCTCAGATAAGACCTTTTAAAGCCGAGCCTAGCCATGGGTTTGTACCCTCAAATACCTATGAGTTGGATAAATCCCTCTCTTCTTCAAGTCCCAAGACAACATGGGGCTCCTGGGCCTGTTAGAAATGACACTGTTTACTCACCACAGGTTAGGAACCCTGTATAGGAACTGTTTTGACAAGGTATGAGGCCAGTTTTCCCAAGGGGATTTTATTGGCTTTGCAAGTCAAGCTCAATTCCTTAAAGGGAAGCACACATTTCCAGTCAAAGACTTGGTAAAACAACCTGTTTCTCCAATTGCATCCTGTTGCAAAAGAAAATGGATTCTTATTGCATTGATCCAAATAACTGTATTCCCATAACTTAAGAATACTCACAGTTTCCAAATCTAGAGAAACCAAGCAGAGAGAAAAAAATATGCTCCAAATTTTGTTTATAAGAGTATACCTTACTCATGTTAGAAGCTGTAGATGCTCAAAAAAGTTTCCTTGGCTCTGAAAAAATAAAGGTCTGCAGTGTTTTCAGAAAAAGTTTAAAAAATTACTTCAATTTTCTGATACTTCAGTGTCTTCAGTTAACTCTTATTCTGCTTGATATTCATAAGCATTTCAGTTCTTCATGAGTCCTGTATGTTCCCCTCTATTCCAATGTCACAATCTCCAAAGCTATCAGAAACCTGCATTTGACAGCACCTGTCAAAGTCCTATAGCTTTTGCAAAGGATCAAAGCATGACAACAATCATCTGTGAATGACAAAATGTCCAGGGTAGTTACAGTCAAAAACATGATTGACAAAGAAATTTGGTTATTTCTATGGTTTAAAATAGCTTAACATAATAACCTTAATTATGATCAATGGCGTATACTCAGACATTAGATTTTTAGAAATCCCATACAATTTTGGAACATATATTAACATTATTCACTAAAATATAACCTGAAGAAGGTTAAACATTATTTTTATTTTGGCAATCCCACGTGACTAAACATGTCAAATAATCTTGTTTACCTCTCCTTCAGACGCTCCAGGGGCCCTCTGTAGCATCCAAAAGTTAGGGGTCAGGAAAGACAACCTTGAAACTCAAGTTTGATTTTGGGAAGACTGTTAAATATGTTAGAGGTTCAAAGCACTTGATATTGTGAAGTAGAATTCCAGATTACTGTAAGTCATTTTATTTAGTCAAAATGATGACTCAATAATTTTTTAAAAGACAAAAACCATTCATTATTGTTTACTATTTTTCTTAAAGAGCAAGTCAGTGCCTTAATAAAACCTTGTTGTGCTTTTATTTCAATGCTCAATTTATGGAAAATCCATATGATACCTTTTTGAGGTTAGTCAATATGTTCACACACAGAGTTTCTTTTTGCAAGATTTCCACCTTTTTTTAAACCTTCAGCATTATCTTTTTTTTTTTTTTTTTTTTTTTGAGATGGAGTCTCGCTCTGTCACCCAGGCTGGAGTGCAGTGGCGGGATCTCGGCTCACTGCAAGCTCCGCCTCCCGGGTTCACGCCATTCTCCTGCCTCAGCCTCCCAAGTAGCTGGGACTACAGGCGCCCGCCACTACGCCCGGCTAATTTTTTGTATTTTTAGTAGAGACGGGGTTTCACCGTTTTAGCCAGGATGGTCTCGATCTCCTGACCTCGTGATCCGCCCGCCTCGGCCTCCCAAAGTGCTGGGATTACAGGCGTGAGCCACAGCATTATCTTATCTAATTCAAAACAATCCTTTAACCCTCTAAACTAGGCAAAACTTTACACTCCCATGTCTTCTTATAATCTTTTACTCAAAACACATGTTACTTTCCTTGCACATTTTGCATGTAAATCTCTTTTCAGTAGTTTCAATTGCATGTTATAATGGCAACTCTTAGCAATTTTAAATTTTAATTTAAAACCTGGTGAGTTATTTTAATCATGTACTCAGTGCACATAAAATCTGACTCTTTCCAGCATAGTTAAGGGCGTGGTTAATTTCATATGTCCCCAAGCCTTACCAAATTATAAAACAGGCAAGTCAAACAGTTCTCAAAAGCCAAAGAAGAGGTTATAAGCTTAAAATACTTAGCAAACCTAGTATCTTATCCGCATAATTTAGGCCACATATTTACATTTTGAAGACATTTGTATTTTACCAATTATCTTTAAAACTGTTTTTATTTCTCAAAGATTAAAGTCTCATGAACTAAAAGGCATTACAGCTTTTATTTTTCCTTCAAAAAATATTTGATCTAAGCACTTCATTTTATTTAAGCCAATTTACTAGACCTCTTTTTAATATAACCATCACACACATAACACATACATGGTTACACAGATGGACAGAAGAAGATCCAGTAGTTGTAAGATTTTTCATTTGCCAATATCCTAATTGGATTACTGGCCTCAGGGTGGAGCCCTTCAAGAAACAGGGCTAGGAAAATATGCAGTTTCTAGGGCCTAATAACAAGCATAGCTGAAAGACAAAACCAGTTTTAAGAGGGATCTAGCTGCTTTTTAATTCCTGGGGTTCCAGAAGGAAAACAAAGGTTTTTTTCCCCAAAAAATGGGGTCTGTGGCAGCTTCTCTGTTTTTGCAAAGGAGTCCCATGCTCTCAGAAGTTATCTTAGGGCCTCTCACGCGTGTACTGAGAGTGGCAAGACAAAATGGAGAAAAGTAATTCAGTCGACTGAGAAAAAAAATCTTTTTCCAGAAAAACAAGATCCATGAAGAGAAAAACACAAAGGCCTTTTCAATATACCTACAGCTCAGATAGCCACTTTTAATTAAGCTGACTTTTAACGATAGTGCTCTTTAAGAAAATCCTTTTAAATTATTTGTTACCAGACTTTAGCCACACCAAGTGGCCAATATTTCTAGCCTTTGAACTTTACCAAAAGTACCTTCACAGTTGAAACCAAGAAGCCTCAACTAAGGTTATGACTTAACCATGAATGTACAAGGTATTTTTTATAAGGTAGTAAGTAGTTTTTACAAAATCTGGAATCTTTAAAGTAGCTCAGAGAAACCTCCGCCTCCCGAGTTCAAGCAATTCTCCTGCCTCAGCCTCCCGGGTAGCTGGGACTACAGGCGTGCACGACCACACCTGGCTATTTTTTATATTATAGGCTGGTCTTGAACTCCTGACCTCATGATCTGCCTGCCTCGACCTCCCAAAGTGCTGGGATTACAGGTGTTAGTCACCATGCCTGGCCGAGAAAAGAAGATTTAAGAAAGGAAGCTAGAAGTTGTTCATCGAAGGGAAGAGAATCAGGAAATGGTAAAAGTCACAGATATTAAGCAGAAAGTACTCATTCCCTAAAGCCAGGATTGAACCCTGGCCACCACTGTAAAATGGTGGAGACCAAAAGAAAGGACTGCCACGTGGTTACAAGGTCAAGCTGCCAAGGACATAAGACAAGATGGAGACCTGCAGCACAGTTCGTTACTGACCAGTTTGCGGGGCTGGCTTGAACAGTGGGCTCATGGGGTACTAGGCCATGCTCTATCCTCAGGTATTCCTCCTTATGACAGAACCATGCAGAAAGACACACAAAGTACACCAGATTGGCTGCAGCTTAAGATTAGCCTCACAAATCCTTTTTTTCCATGCATCAAAATCTTACAGAGGATATAAACAGTGATTTTCTCATTCATTCAACTGGTTTGCACAGGGAGAGGGAGACCAGAAGTCTGACTGGTAAGAAATCTTTACCCTTTTGCTGGCATTTCAGGCTTCTGAGTTCCCTTCACCCAAGCTCAATTTTAAGCCAAGCATTTTAAGGGTTGGGGAAATTAACTCTTCCCAGTTTGGGGGACACATCCAAGGGGAATGTCCTATGTTAGGTACAGGGACACAATTACCCATCCCCAAAGAGAGGACAGAGGAGGAAAAAGCAGAAAGAAGGCATTTTTTTTTTCCAAAAGAATCACAGTGATTCAGGAGGCATTTCAGAGAAGTACAGACTGAAGAAGATTGGTTACCCATCTCGAAAGAGGGGAAGAAAGTGTCCCTAGTTACTTTCTCTTCCCAGTGAATACTCAGGGTATGTGAGGGAGAGAAAGAAGAGGCATCTCCATTTGTTTTTTGGGTCCTTACATCCCTGAGTCCCAGTGACCTTGGCAGGGTGCTGCCCATGGGTGCCAATGAGGCTTTCACCCATGTTAACAGGGGGTGCCTAGGGGATGGGAATTATCTGCATTTGCCCACATGCTGCCTGTCCCCCATGCTATCAGTAACCTTTGGGTTCCCCAGACCTCATTTATGGCATGGATACTAGCATGACCTCTATCCTTGAAATAAGGGGGACTTAATCAGCAGGAATTAGTCAGTCACGCTCACCTGTGCTGTGCCCCTTGACTTCCATTGTCATCTGCCTCTGGATCCCTCAGATCCCGTTTTCCTTACTAGGGCTTCAGTCTGAAGCTTGGAATTGAGTTTGAGACAAAAAGCTGCCTCAGGAGGGTTTATGGACTCATCAAGTCCCAGGTGGTCCTCACCAGACTGCAGCCAGCAGCCAACAGCCAACAGGGTCGCTCCTCTGCTGCTTCCTTATGTAAGTCAAATGCTAAAGTAAAGCTGTAGAGCTGGGTCATCCTCAAACAAGGGAGAGAAAAGGGAGTTCTGTGATTTTGGGTCCTGGCCTAGTAAAATGCCTTTCAAAAGGAAAAAAAAAAAAAAAAAAAAAAAACCTCACATAGAAAAGCTTCCTGTATTCGCAGGGCTGTGTTAACTACCGACATGTTGGAGAAAAGAAAAAAAAAAAAACAGCTTAAGTGCAGGGCAGGGAAGGTGCCTGGGGGGAAAAAACTTCTTGCTCTATGCAAATGGGTTCCTCCAAAGGGGAGAGATTCTTAGTCACTGGACCCTCCTTCTCGTTCAGACTGAGCCATGAGAGGAAAGATTCAATGGGTGTGTGGTGGGAGGGGGCGGTGGGCAGAAAATGCTGACCAGCTGGCTGTGCAGGGCCCCTGGCACCTAAGATTTCCCTGGGTCCCAGGCAGCAGACACGGCTCACTCCTGCCCTGCGTGGCTGTTGGATGCAGCACAGGCATGCGTTGGACACAGCCACATGCCCCAGCCAGGAGGGGAGGGGGGAGCGGGTAGCTGCGGTGCACCCATTTGTCCACCATGTGTGCTTGTGGCTGTTGGGATGGGGGTAGGGGACGTGCCTCTAAGAACAGATGAAAATCACATTGTTCTGAATTGCATATCTGATGGCTAGGCCAAATGCTCATTCTACCTGGTAATATTTCTGCAGTTTGCAACAACACACTTAATGCTGTAAAAGAAGAGATAGGAGCCACTTCAAACCATGAAAGAAGAAAAGAAAAATACCATAGAAAAGTCTGCGGGTCTTGGCTGATGCCATAATGGGGTGGTCAGGGGTGGAGCCAAGTCTAGGGGCCTCCTGGCAATTAAGTCCTCGGCCAGATGCCTTCAGTTGCCCCAGGACCTTATTCTGGTTCCACGTGATGGCTAGACCTCCATGAAGGGAAACAAAGCCAACATCTCTTTGACCTGAAAGAGAGAGAGAGGTGGCAGGGTTGTATCCTGTCCTCTGTAACTGCGTCATTCATTCTTAATTGGCTCACCAGAGGTTTGGTGCTTCATCTGCCTTCAGAAAAAAGTCTGAGGATGAGAAGCCTCAGAAACAAAGGTGAAAGAGGGTTTGGGACCACATTTACTCACCCTCCAGGTATCCCCATATGAGCCACCAAAATGTTGCAGTCTTTCTGCTCCTCAGCTCAGCTAGGCCTGAGTTTTTGTCTCACAACCAGGAAGAATTAGGTGTGCAGCTACTGGAGAGTGAGTGGAGTGAATTCATTAAGCAAAAGGAAAGCTGTCAGCAAAGAGTGGACCCAGGGGTGGTTCCCCTATCCGAAGGTGGGAAAGGCCCCCCATGTGATTGGGTCTGGGGTCTTTTATGGACTCAGAATGGGAAGTGCATGCTGATTGGTTTGTGAGTAGGCAAAAAAGGTCAAAGTGAAGACACCACTCAAAGGTGGGCATGGCAGTGTAGAAAACCAATTAGGAAAGGGTAGGTCTATGTAAAATAGGTGAAGGGTGGGGATCAATCAGAGGAAAGTGCAACAAATGGGAAGACAAGTTTGCAAACTGGTCCGAGGATTTGACTTGTAGCTTTAGGCTTTAAACTGTCTTCGGCTTGAAGATGGGGTTTCACCAGTGACCTGCCCCTGTCTGCCTAGGCATTTGGCTGCCTTCTGCTGCTCTCAGCAGCAACCATGTGGGGATAGAGAGAGAGCCTTCCTTCTGTATGTGCAGGTCCCTGAGTGCAGAGACAGTGATGACTCCACACAGGCAAAGGCAGGAGATGCTGGCCTGGAAGTATCTGCAGAAGGCTCTCCCCTTGGCATCAGGGGGTGCAGAGACGTTGGCTGAACCAAGAGCTTGCTGAAGGAAGTTTTTTCTATATTCCAGACATCTGAGGGTTCATCACCAAGAGAGGAGGCCTTGTGAGCAGTGCTGATCTGGGAAGAAGGAAATATGGGCAGAGACAGAGAGGTCAGGGTGACAGCAGGAGCCCAGGGGACTGAGGGAAAAAAATCACATTATTTAGGAGAAGGCAGAGGAGTTGAAGAGATAGGTTTGGAGCTGACAACTTGGGTTGAATGCTGCAAGAAAGAGGACTGTTCATGTAATTCAGAGTCAAATACTTAGAGAGGACAGTGGACCAGCATGAAGGCAGTGGGCTCCCCGGGAGAGGTGTTCCTGCCTGGATTTAGAGCTTGTGGCTAAATGAATATGGTAGGCAAAATAAGGCCCCCAAAGATAGCCACATGCTAATTCCTCAAACCTGTGATCACGTAACCCTATGTGGCAAAGGGGATTTGGCATATGTGGTTCAATGAAGGACCTTGAGATGGGGAGATTATCCTAAAGTGTCCAGATGGGCCCAATCTAATCACATGAATTGTTTAAATCAGAGAAACTTTCCCAACTGTGGTCAGAGGGAGACGTGATCACACACACAAAAAAAGTCAGAGAGATGCTGGCTTTGAAGACGGAGGAAGGGGCCACAGGGAATGGAGTGTGGGCAGCCTCTAGAAGCTGAAAAAAAATCATGAGGAAATGGATTTTTCCCGAGAGCCTTCAGAAAGGGGTGCAGCCTGTGACACTTTGACTTTAGTCCAGTCAGACCTGGCTAAAACTCTGACCTACAGCACTGCAAGGAGTTGGTGGGGTTGGTTTTTTGTTGTTGTTGTTTGTTTTTTTCGTTTTTGTTTTTGAGACAGAGTCTCGCTCTGACACCCAAGCTGGAGTGCAGTGGTGCGATCTTGGCTCACTGCAACCTCTGCTTCCTGGGTTCAAGCAATTCTCCTGCCTCAGCCTCCTGAGCAGCCTCCTGAGCAGATTACAGGCATGTGCCACCGTGCCCAGCTAATTTTTTAGATACCCAGCTAACTTTAATAGATACCAGGTTTCACCATGTTGGCCAGGCTGTCCTTGAACTCCTGACCTCAAATGATTTGCCCACCTTGGCCTCCCAAATGATCTGCCCACCTTGGCCTCCCAAAGTGCTGAGATTACAGGCATGAGCCATTGTGCCTGGCCTGTGTTATTTTTAAGTCACCATCTTTGTAGTGATTCGTAACAGCAGCAACAGGAAACTCTTCTCTCCACCCACACCCTGCCCTGGCCACCAGCTCCGCCTCCCCAGTGTCTCTGTCCCCACTGCTTCTACCCAGACCAGCTCCTCCCTTCCTCTTTTCTGAACCACTGGCATACCTACAGCTGGGCCACCTGCTTAGTGCTGCTCCCCTTTAGTCCACTCTGCTAGGTGCTTGAGTTATCTTCCAAAAACCCAACTTAGATGAGGACAATTTCTACTGAATACTGGTTTTAGTTTCTGTTACTTAAGGAGGTGTGTCCAGATGTCCCAACTTGGCATTCAAGCCACAGCTTCCTTCTTGGTCTTCTCTGCCGCTCTCCTTCTTGCCATGTGCCAGGCAAACATGTCTCCACACCAGTTCTCTGTGTCCTCCCTCTCCTTCACCACCTCTCCAGCGTTTCCCATGTCGCCTGGACTGCCTTTCATCCTCCCTAGTCTAGACATGCTCAAGGGATATTGCTGCTCTTAAGTCACCCCTGCTGGGTAATAAGATCTAAAATTACCCTCTATAAGACTGCTCACAGCGTCAAGTGGCATTTTCTGGGGTGAGAAGACCTCATTCTATCTTGTTTGCTGACTGCTTTACCATCTGGCCTCCCCCAGTCCATGCTAACTCTTCAGGACAGGAATGGGTCTTGCTTTTCTACATATTTCCTTGAGAAATGCCAGTGGAGAGTGTGCCTTAGTCTGTTCCAGCTGCTGTAACAAATTGTGATAGACTGGGTGGCTTAAACAACACAAATGTATTTATCACATACTGAAGGCTAGAAGTCTGTGATCAGGGTGCCAGCATGGTCAGGTTCTGGTGAGATCCCTCTTCCTGGTTTGCAGATGGCTGTTTTCTTGCAGTGTTCTCACATGGGGGAGAGCAGAGACAGGAAGCTCTTGTATCTCTCTCTCTTTTATTTTTTTTCACCGAATCTCACTCAGTCACCCATGCTGGAGTGCAGTGGTGCGATCTCAGCCCAATGCAACCTCTGCCTCCTGGGTTCAAGTGATTCTCATGCCTCAGCCTCATGAGTAGCTGGGACTACAAGCATACACCACTGCATCCAACTAATTTTTGTATTTTTCCTAGAGACGGGGTTTCACCATGTTGGCCAGGCTTGTCTCGAACTCCTGACCTCAAGTGATCCACCTGCCTCAGCCTCCTAAAGTGCTGGGAATACAGGCATGAGCCACCGTGCCTAGCCTCTTGTATCTCTTCTAAGAGCACTAATCCCATTCATGAGGGCTTCACCTTCATGACCTAATTCACCTCCTAAAGACTTCACCTCGGCCGGGCACAGTGGCTCATGCCTGTAATCCCAGCACTTTGGGGGGCTGAAGTGGGTGGATCACGATGTCAGGAGTTCAAGACCAGCCTGGCCAACATGGCGAAACCCCGTCTCTACTAAAAATACACTAATTAGCCAGGCCACGCTACTTGGGAAGCTGAGGCAGGAGAATTGCTTGAAACCAGAAGGCAGAGGTTGCAGTGAGCCGAGATCACGCCACTGTGCTCCAGCCTAGGCAACAAGAGCAAAACTCCATCTCAAAAAAAAAAAAAAAAAAAAACTTCACCTCTTAACACCATCACATCAGGGGTTAGGATCTCAACATAAATTTGAGGGGAACAAACATTCATTCAGTAGGTAACAGAGGGTGAGCTTAAGTAGCTCATAGAAAGAGGCAGAGTGGTGGAGACATCTAAGACCTTTGGAAAATAATCCCAATGGCTACTTTCTACTGCACTTGACAGTTGTCTAATCATGTACAAATCTATGAGCACATTTGTGTCTCTCAAGCTGGTTTTACCAAGAATCTTTAAATCCAACTGCTGACATTTACTAAGCACTTGGACTTTAAAACAAACCCCAGGAGGCAGGGAAAATGCCAAAAGTTTCCCTACAGCTCACTAAAGGGAAGCAAAAATAAATTAGAAAAAAAAAATTAAAAAGGAAGTTGTCATTCAAAGTTGTCATTCTCACAAATGTCAGCTGGTGGAACTGCTACACACAAATTACACTGTTAACTCCTCACCGTCAGCCTCCGAGACCATGATCATTCTCCCTCCTGAAACAATGAAAGCATGGCTTTGAGAAGAGGCGTACCACCTGAGGTTCTGTGGCCAGGACATGGCAGACTGGGACTAGAGCTGGACATTTTGCCCCAAGGTGATGGATCCCATCCTGAGCCTTATACACTTGAGGAATTTTCTCTACCTTCCTCACACAGAAGCCACTTGCTCACTTGTGTTCCATCTTGTGTGCTTGAGCTGACATGTGCATACACCACCTGTTATGGGCTGAAGTGTGTCCCTGCCCCAAATTTAGATGTTGAAGTCCTCACTCTCAGCACCTTAGAACCTAACCATGTTTGAAGAAAAAATCTTCTGAGAGGTAATTAAGCTACAATGAAGGCTTCAGGGTGGGCCTTAATCCAATGTGACTGGTGTGCTTATAAGAAGAGGAAATTTGGACCCATGGAAAGACAACAGAAGCATACACAGACAGAGGGACACCGCGTGAAGACACTGTGAAAAGGTGGCCATCTGCAAGCCATGGGGAGAAGCCTTGAGAGAAACTAGCCCTGCCAATGCCTTGATTTTGGACTGCTAGCCTCTATAACTGTGAGAAAATAAATCTCTGTTGTTTAAGCCACTCTATCTGTGGTACTTCCTAATGACAGCTTGGTATAGTTTGGATTTGTGTCCCTGCCCAAATCTCATGTTGAATTGGAGGAGGGGCCAAGGGGGAGGTGATTGGATCATGGGGGCGGGTTTTTCTCATGCTATTCTCGTGATAGTGAATAAGTCTCACGAGATTTGATGGTTTTATAAAGGGGAGTTCCCCTGCACATGCCTTTTGCCTGCCACCATGTAAGACATGACTTTGCTCCTCATTCACCTTCCACCATGATTGTGAGGCCTCCCAAGCCATGTGGAACTGTGAGTTGATTACACCTTTTTCCTTTATAAATTACCCAGTCTCAGGTATGTCCTTATTAGCACTGTGAGAACAGACTAGTACAGAAACATAGAAACTGGGGGCTGGGGAGTTGCTCCCTGGGGTACCCTCCAATTGGTGGTCCCATGAGGCAGGGGCTGTGTCAGGGCTGCTGAGCACACAACAGTGCTCGGAGGTCATCGGCAGGTGCAGAGCTGAACAGTATGACTGGCTTGGACTCTTATGGACTTGGGCAGAAGAGGAGCCTGCAGCCCATAGGAATGGGTGGTTTTGCACAAAGGACACTTGTTAGCAGCCCTCAGCCTCAGCCCAGCATGGCCCAGCCTGGTGATGCCACACACGGTGCCACCATGGCCACAGAGCAGCAGAACGGGGTTGGATTTCATTAGCTGTGACCCCTGTGACCAGAGCTGCCCTCTGTCCCTCAGACACAAGTATTTTAAAAGGAAAGTTTTATTATTAATCAGGTACAGTGAGGCCAACAGATCAGGAGATGGATGCCATTGAAAAGGAATAGTGCTACACTCACAAATCCCAGGAGAAGGGGCAGGACACACTATGGGGCAGGGGGTATGGGGAGTGGGGGTGGGCACTCGGGGAAGCACCAGGGCCTGGCAGGAGGGGGAGGGGGAGGGGGAAATGGGCAGGAAACTTTATTGTGGTTTCCAAGGGAGCAAACAGGTAAGTCAGGCCCAGCAGGCGGAGGGCTGGCTGGTGTGCCTCATTCCAGTGGGCTCTGGGGTTGTAGGGCTGTCCCTAGTTGTCTGGTTCCTGGCCCTAAGGTAGCTAGGGCAAGAGAACAGTGGCCCAGAGTGTGAGAGCCCCATAGAGGAGGGGGTTGTGGGTGTGTGGTTGGGATTGGTTGGTTTGCTTGTGTGAGTTCTTGTGGGAAACTTGTTTGCTGTTTGGGGGAACTGGCTAACCCTGAGAGGGACTCAACCAGCAAAACCAGTAAGTACTCACTGTTCATCAAAAAAAAATGCTTCATCTCTTTGAGCTTCAGATGCCTCATTAAAACTAGGGAAATAATGCTGACAGCTGACTTCTCAAAAAGAACCTCAGGAAAGTATACTAGAAGGTAGGGTGCCCACTACCTGCACAGTCTCAGAAGGTAGGAGTAGAAAGAAGGGTATTGACAGGGCTTTCTCTTCTGAGCTGTGTGATTTTAAGGCAGCTCTTGAAAGACTGGACCTTTTGATCAGTGTGCACTGTCAGGCTAGGGTCTTAGAGTGAGTAATGATTAGCAAGCTTTTGGTCTTGATAAGAAAACAGGGCAGCAGCTTTGTTTTCCAGCAGGAAGTATTTCCTAGAGCAAGCAACTAAATTATTTTTCCTAGTTTCAGTATTGTTTAGCACAGAAACAGGAAGTATGCTAGTTTCAATAATAATAATAATAATAATAATAATAATAATATTTACTCATAGGATTATTAGGAAAGTCAGGTGAAATTATGTAGGAAATGTGCTTAGCAGAGTCTCTGCTTAATAAACGTAGCTATTAATTAGGGTGAGGCAGCAAATAACCAGAGCAGAATGTGATGAAGCCATTTGGGTAGGGTGATCCATTATCCTGGTTTATCTGAGATTGGAGGTGTTTTGGGATGGGGAATTTCAGTGCTAAAACCAGGAAAATCCCAGGCAAATGATGTCAAGTTGGTTAATCTCGGTTCAAGACAGGAAAACCCAATTGTTGCACATAAATTTTTTGGAATTTAACTTGGATTTTTTCTTTTAAGCATCAGAAATGTCTAATAATGTTTGTGAGTCCCAGAATAGAACATGTGGTCCTTAGGGAGTAGGGAGTAAGGTTTCCCAAGTAGCAGAGGCCCTATCCTGCGGCAGGTGTTTGCTAGAATCCTGCACTGGGGCCTTTGCTGAGGGTGCTGAGATATCCCTTTGGAAGCATCTCGAAGGCTGCATTGGAAATAAATAAGCCCCGGGAGGATCACACTGCAGGTGAAACCTGAGACCCTAAGCCAGCCAGAATCACCTTGGTATGACAAGCAGAGCTCTGCCTCTTTCTCTCATTTCTCTCTTCTGTTCAAAGAAAAAACTGAACTGGAATGAAGAAGCACCCAAAACTGGGGTTAAAAACTAGATATTTTGGGTTCAAAGTGAGGTTTTTCTGTCCCTCTTTTTGCACATATGGAGCCCAACACTGCTTAGTGAGCTGCTTCTTGCCAAATGCTTGGACAGCACCAGCCCATTTAGTTCTCACCAGTGCCCTGCAAGAAGTGTACTATTACCTTCACATTACACACCAGGAAATTAAGGTTGGGAGAGGTTAAGGGACTTGCAAAAGGTCACGGAGCTATGAAGGGATGGGGAGCTGGGATTCAAATTTGGGTTTGTAAGGAGAGAAGAGACGTCTTTCTTCTCAGCCTAGTAAGTGTGGGAGATCAACCGCAGGGTGATCGGATCTCCAAGATGAATGAGTCAACAGGACTTTCAAAGCACTATCTGAAGGTAAACAAGTCAGTATCATCTCTCCTTAGGGTCTGTGAGTTACTTTTGCTCTCTTGAGGGAGAAACTGAAATCTACACCGAATTGAGCGAATTGAGCCCAAAGCAGGGGCTCAAGTTTCTCTCAGCCTTCCTTTGCTTACAGCCCTGAGGGGATCCTGGCTGGGTGCTATTTCCAGGAGGGTCTCTCCCTCAGCAGGGAAAGGAGAGCAGGATTTGCAGAAGCTCCAGTTGGAGACAGAGCCCTGGGGGCGGGGGTTGGTGGATAGGGGTAGGCACTTGGCTTAAGCCAGATCTGAACTGTTTCCTTCTATCCTGCTCCTGGGGCAGGAGGCCCCCTGCAAGGCCCTAACTATACTGATCTTATCTCCTCCTGGGGAATTTTCCCACAGGGAGGCAGGAAAGGTCAGCAGTGTGTCCTGAGAGCCCTAAGGCAGGCCCACCCACTTCTACCACATGAGTGCTTTGGGAGAGGTACTGGAGGCCACACCTGTAAACCCAATAGGTCCTTTTAATACATACCAGGGAGCTGCAACTGGGGGATGCCACCGTGGTGCTGGGCCTGCAAGGGAGCCCCCAGGAGACTCTATTAAGCTCCCATTTGACAAGTTTTAAAACTGGCCCAACCCAGGCATGTGCACAGGATCAGAAGCCCCATCTCTCTAAATTACTAGGTTGAAATGCCACATCTTAACGACTCATGCACCGTCCACACTACTGCTGCGGTATCTGTGTCCCACCAGGGCTGTGTTTGATTTTTTAAATGAACTCGATTTGTTTTATTGTTTTGTAATTTGAACATGTAGAGATGGAGGTAAATAGAAAACCGGCATCTGTGTATTACACATAGAAAGTCACCATAAAAATAAACACAATGAATACTCTTCAGCAAAGGGAATGAAAAATCTACAACTACATACCACTGAACACAAATGGAAATCACCAACAGGTTGAGGGAGAGAAGCTGAGCCCAGGTGAGTCCATTTAAATGACTGATGGAAAACTAAACGCAGGCAAAATTATCTTCTGTTGGGAGTTAGGAGAGTGGCTGCCCTTCTGGAAGGAGGGATAGAGAGTGGAAAGGGATGGGGGAGGGGCTTCCCGGAGCCCAGAAAAATTCTGTTTTGTGAATTCAAAATTAGCAAATTCTGTTTCTCCATCTGGGTGCTGGTTTCACAGGTTGTTCAGTTTGTGATGATTCACTCCGTTTTACATCCAGTTAACATCACGGATGGTGCTAAACTTCAAAATAAAAAAAAATTAAAAGTTAAGTAGAAGGGAGTTAACACACTACGGTGCGTATTAAATTCTGGCCAGAAACCAGGGTCAGTTTAGGGCCTGAGGTCTGCTCTCCTCTTTTAAGAAAAGGCTGAACAGGTGCGCAGCAGGGGTCAAAGCCTGTGCTGGCCACGTTTTCTGCTCCTCCTCCTCCTCAGGTTTGGAGGGGCATTGGAAAGGAAATGACTTTCTCACTGTGCAATGCCAGGCTTTGTTCAAGCATTTGGGAAAACAATGAGGAGGCAGCTTATTCCCAGCTCCAGGTAAGTGATTAAAATGTGATAAGGGTGGGGAGCTGGGGCAGACAGAGGGGTGAGAGGTGGGCACCTGAGGGTGGGGGGCGTCAGCATATGTCAGAGTCTGGGGATGCCTCAGTGCTGGGGTTGAGTGGGGTGGGGAGGGGCGCTCCAAAGAGCCTGGGGATGCCCATGTCACAACCCTGGCAGAAGGAGGAAGCACTGCGGAGGCCCCACATTCGCAGGGGACCACAGGCCAGGTGCGCGTGGATTTGCGTGGTTTACTCGGATTTCAGGTCGGGCCTAGAAAGTAAACTAATGCTTTCACCTTCCCAGGGCAAGGGGAGCCTGTGGAAAGCACTCAGTTCCCCAGTTGGTGCCTCCTCGGTGACCACTCCCTCCTTTCTCACGCTCCCACCCTGAGCTTCAGCAGAAACCCCCTTCTGCAAGGATGGCCCGGAGCCCCAACTCCATAGCAACCCACGACAGCCCTGAACCCGTCCGACCCCCATAGGGCCCCTCAGCCCCCAAGGGCTGAGCCAGGGCCTCCCGGCGACCCTCTGCACCCCCCTCAGGCGGGCCTCCTCTGGGCGGGTTTAGTATTAAGCGTTAATGATTAAATGGGGGTTCTCCATTAACCCCGCAGCGGGCCTTTGTCTGTGGACTGCCTAGGCCTCCTCCTTTGAAATGCCACATAAAAATGATAGATGTCCTTCTCTCCCTCCCGGGATCAGCGGGCCCTGTTTCCCTTTAAAGTTGCAGTGGGCAACACAAGGGCGAGGCTTGTTTAAACACAGAAGCGCGAGGCCGACCCAGGGCTGCGCAGGAACGGCCGGGCGGGGCGGGGCGGGCGGGCAGGCAGAGTTAAGCGCGCGGCGGCAGCAGGGACGCGGGGAGCGGCTCGCGGTAGGGACACGTGGGACCGCGCCGGCTGCACCCGGGTGCGGGGCTGCGCGCTTAGGGCCTGAGAACATTCGGAGACCGGTAAGACCCGTCTCTTTGCCGAGGTTCGCGTCGATGGCGAATAATGACATCGACTCCGAGAGTGCTGAACCTGTCCACGCGGCGGAAGGAGTTGCAATGAGAAGTGAACGAGAAAGCGTGTAGAAAGGGTGTGGGCGTGGCTTGTGCGTTAGGCGAGCTGTTCACCTGCACTGCTCAACGCGCGGTCCAGGCGCCGGCAGCATCCGCACCTCCTGGCAGGCTGCTGCAAAGGCGGGTCTCAGGCGGCTGCATCAGGGCTGCACGTTAATTCGGTCCCTAGGCGACTTGTGTGCGCAGTAGTTTGAGAAGCCCGGTCTATGTAACCAGTGGCTCTAGTAACAATAGGAATAATACTGGCTAATATGTATCGAGTGCCTAGCGTGAGTCCAGCACTGTTTTAAGCACCTTACAAAACTGTCCTGTTTAATCCTTATGACATGACAGGTGCAGCATGTTGCTGACGAGAAGGTTGAGGTCCGCAGAGGTTTGGTGCTTTGTCAGAGATTACACAGCTGATGATTAGAAGCCCAGGCTACCATAGGCTCGCATACGAGCACGAGTGCAGAAGCCCCTTCTAGGTTAGCCCTGGTGTGTGTGTCACTTCAAGTTGGAAACTGTCCTTTGAAATAATCAGGGGCCAAATCTTGTCTGCTTAACGTGCACCCAGCTGAGATGGATCAGTAGGAAGCTCACTTGGCTCAAGAAGACGCACTCCTCCTGCCTCCCACCTCAGTCTGCTGGAGATAAACATGTGGCATGTCTCCTCTCCACCGTGCAGTGTTTAGAAAGGAACATCAGTGCTGATGGAACCCACCCCCACCGCACACATACCCTCAGGTCCGCCGTGGCCCCATGAAAGGGTTAACTTAGGGCTCCCTCACTACATAAATCTGTGTTTATCTGCTGCAAAGTAAGCTATTTAGGTTTCTGATTTACAATCCTTGGTTTTCATAAAAGTCAGTCATTCCCAGTAAAAGAATGTGGGTTAGATTTATAGGATCTGCGTTAATCTTTAAAGCCCAAAGCCGGTCTATGACTCACCCTCTGTAATGTTCTTGCTCTAGTCCGGAGATATTCATGTGTAAAGAGAAAGAGTCGGATCTCTGCCCTGAAAAATAAGACTTTTGGGGGGAACTAATTATAATGGCGTCAATTGTACTACGCTTGTAAATTTGCCGTCAGCGGGCCCCCCGGAGCCTGTATTCCAGGGGTTTTATTCCTCAGTAAAATGTGCTCTGGTTTGCAGTTTGGCATATAAGACCTCCACTGGTATGAGCCAATGTTTTTTTCTACCAAATTATTAGAAATAAACAGCCCACCAGTGGAAAGGCAGCAAAATTATAAGCAAGGAAAATAAATCTTGGAATGTTTGCATTTGGCGATTTTAATAAAGTCAGTCACTTAGCCCAGCAGCCCAACTGGCTAAATGGAGCTGTCCTGGTATTTTTACTTTAATTTGAGTTTGTGTTTTGCCAGTGTGAAATGGGGTCAAGGCAAGACACCATGGAAAAAGGCTTTGATGTCTCCTTGAAAAATATCTTGCACTGTGACTTCATGATACTTAGTGTCCTCTCCCCTTCCCCACCCTCAGCCTCCAGCTTGAAGAGCTGAACGTCTAACCCATGACCATCACACGTAATAAAATATCGCCGTCATCAACAATCCTCTTTCCAACTCCCTCCCCTTCCCCAGTGAAGTCAGAATTCAGGCCAGAATCTTACAATGTGAAATACAAATGCTGATCAAGATAACATAATATTATTAAAGGGGACGGAGGAGACCGGCCTTTTAAACTTTCTCCAAAGTAAAGCCAAGGTGAGAGGCCCAAGTGCGAGAGGAGAGAAGGGAAGGAAGGTTGTATGGATTGGGCTGATGGCCAGTCCAAATAGAACTGGTTTAGGAGGTGAAGATTTAGCGGTGGGTGGACAAATGGAGAGCAATGGATTGGGAAGGATGGCAGAGAGCAATGATCCCAGAATAAAAGCCAGTGCTCCCTCACCAAATGTATGAAAGAGAAAGATGTGATTATATTTGCAAGAGCCTTAATTTAGTCTTAACAAGGGTAATGTGAAAGACTTTGACATTTTCGCTCTTGGTTGGGGGTCAGGAAATGTTTACTACAGATCTACAAGGTGTAGCTCAAGGCCCCAGGACACATAGACTAACGTGACATACCTTAACTTTTTCCCAGACCAATGAGAAAGCAGATGAGTGGACAGAGGATTTTAGTACAAGTACGCAGTGCATACAGAATGCTTCAAATCTACCATGTGTAACCCATTAATATTTCAATGTAAACAATGAAATCCTGTTGGGCCTTTTTTTTTTTTTTTTTTTGAGACGGAGTCTTGCTGTGTTGCCAGGCTGGAGTGCAGTGGCACGATCTCGGCTCACTGCAACCTCCGCCTCCTTGGTTCAAGCAATTCTCCTGCTTCAGCCTCCCGAGTAGCTGGGACTACAGGGGTGCACCACCATGCCCAGCTAATTTTTGTATTTTTAGTAGAGACAGGGTTTCACCATGTTGGCCAGGATGGTCTCAATCCCTTGACCTCGTGATCCACCCACCTCGGCCTCCCAAAGTGCTGGGATTACAGGCGTAAGCCACTGTGCCTGGCCCTGTTGGGCTTTTAACTCACCTCCTCCTTCACCTCAGTGCAGGGCATTGTGGTAGGTAGGCCCTTTGGGAGCCCTCAAAGATGAGCAATGTGTGCCTGCCCTGACTGAGTTCAGTGGGACAAGGAAGATACATGCAATATACCATGTAGAAAATGATAAGGGCAATGCACGGAGAAATTATGTGTGAGTCTGGAGACCAGGGAAGGCTTCAGGGAAGAGGTAGTGTTTCTATGGCTCTCAAAGGCTCAGTAGGAGTTTGACATGTAAAGGTAAGGAGCAAGAATAACCCAGAGAAAGAAGAATGAATAACAACAGTTAGGAGTAGGAGGGTGCTGGCTTGTTTGGAAAGAGGCAGGAGGACCTCTTTGTGGGTGCTTCATGGACATGTGAGGAGTCTAGAGGCCAGATAAGGGAATCTAGGCCAGGTGTGGGTATGCTCGCACCCTTGCTGAGGAATCTAGACTTGATCTTGAGGGTACCTGGGGCTTTCCCTGACCTACTGAGTCTGGGGTTGGTACCTTATTTGTGGTCCCAGAGGATACTCACTTCCTCACTCTCTATTGCAGCCCTTTTCACCCTATAGTCCGAGGTCACACTTACTTTACCTATTGGATCGTGAGCCCCCTGAGAGTCTTGCTCACTCTTTTGATACCAGTCCCTAACACCATGCCCAGCACAAAATAGATATGCAAGAAACTTCTGATACAGAATGAGGGAAATGGAGTTTTCAACATTTCTATGATAATGAATTGAAGGCTTATAGCAGGGGACAGGTAGCTTGGAGCCAGGCCTTCAGAGAACTTGGACATTGGGTCCAATGGTAGACTGCCCCTTAGGGAGAGCCAGGAAGCAGAGATTCAATGGCTTTGGCAGGCAATACGGGTTGGGTATATGGTGTCAGATGCCTCACTTCCAATTTGCTAGGAAATGTGAAGGCTGAGTGTGACAGTCCTTGTGAAATGCTGAGCACAGTGCAGCTGTGAGGCTGTGGTCCCAGGAAACGGAAGGGATGTGGATGCCAGAGACTAGGAGGTTCAGAGCCAGGGTGAGGGGAAGTGGCAGTGCCAGCATGACAGATAGGGAGGCCAGGGTGCTGAGTAGTTTGGAGATGATGGTGACAAGAGGAGCACAGTGAATGAAGGAAGGAAAGAGGAGTTCAATTTGGAATATGCTGCCTTGGAGGTGTGCTATGACTCCCAGCAGAGGGTTTGTAGCTGGCAGATAGAAATATTTAGCACAGAAATGTCTAACAGTGAGTTCCAAAAGAGACAAGGCAAAGAGAAAGCCAAGGACAGAGCCTGGGAGGTTGCCTATTTTTAGGAGGTGGAGCATCAGACACTAAATCTGAATTTTCCTTTTTTATCATCTCCATCTTCTCTGTCTGTTTTAGTTGAAGTCACTTGGACTCACAGTGGGTCAGCCAATTTTCCTCTGACCTTGTTTTCTTCTTAAAGCCCCATAAATCAGGGGCCTCTCTAGGCATGTGAAGGGCAACCTCCACCCCCTCCAGCATACTGAGAAATAACCCAGCTGGCAGAAACCCTGAACTTTGTGTTACGCTGTGATTAGCACTCCTGGACAATGGTCAGCCCTCCCCTCCATAGGCTCCATGCATTGGCTTTTTGCAATGACACCCATTGTCTCCTGTGAGGGTCTAAAAGCAAATGTTTTCTGCTCATAAGTTGAGCTGACTGGGAGGATCCATGGGTGATGGAATGGAACATTCATGTACAAGTTTTTATTTGAACACCTGTTTTCAATTATTTGGGGTATATACCTAGGAGCGGAATTGCTGGATCACATGGTAATTCTACATTTAATTTACTGAGGAACTGCCAAACTGTTTTCCACAGCAGCCACACCATTCTACCTTCCCACCCGCAGTGTATGAAGGTTCCACTCTCCACATCCTCACCAACCCACTTGTTGTTTTGTTTTGATTATGGCCATCCTACAATGTGTGACGTAGTATCTCACTGTGTTTGGATTTGTATCTCCCTAATGACTAATGTTGGGAATATCTTTTCATGTGCTTGTTGGCCATGTGTCTCTCTTCTTTGGAGAAATGCCTATCCAAGGTCTTTGCTCATTTGTGAATTGGATTGTCTGTCTTTTTCTGTTGATTGGTAAGAGTTCTTTATATTCTAGATACTAGACCCTTGTCAGATCTGTCATTCTGTGGGTTGTCTTTTTCACTTTCTTGCTAGTGTTCTTTTATGAAAAAGTTTTTAATTTTGATGGAATTCAGTGTATCTATTTTTTCTTTTGTTGACTGGGGTTTTTTTGATCATATCTAAGAATCCATTGTTAAACCCGAATACTTATTGCTATGTTGTATTCTAAGTGTTTTATAGTTTTAGCTGTTACATTTATGCCAAACAGGGACTTTTACAGAGATGTGTACAGGGTTAAAGGAAACCAACAAGGAATGTTGCATTACCTTGGAGCTAGCCAGGCAGGGAAGCGGCTACCATCCCTAGGCCTGAGGGGCAAGAAATGGAAATAGAACAAGTGGAGCTGGAGCTGTGTGGAAAGGGTTGGCCACCAGGAGTGTGTCCTTTGATAGAGGGATGCATTCAATCCTCAGGCAGAGAATCAGGGACTCCTCTGTTCTCTGATCTTCACTGGTGCCCCCCGTTGGCTAAATCCTACCAGAAGCAAGAGGGCAAGAGAGCTGGTAAATGCAGTTCATTCAGCAGTCTCTTAGGGCACTGAACAGCAGGGAGGAAGTAAGGAGAATGGATCTAGAGATGCGGTCAGCTCAATAATGGCCACAAAGATGTGCAAGTCCTAATCTTCAAAATCTGTGAATATGCCACACTATAGAAAAGGGCACTTTGCAGATACAGACTTTGCAGATGGGGAAATTATCCTGTATTATCCAAGTGAGGCCAGAATAATCACAAGACTCCTTATAGAGGGGACCTGAGGGTCATTGTAAGAGAGTGAGAGATTTGAAGATGCTTATCTACTCGTTTTGATGATGGAGGAAGAGGCCACAAGCCAAAGAATGCAGGAAGCCTCTGGATGCTGGAAAAGACAAGGGAATGACTTCTTCCCTAGAGCCTACAGAAGGAATGTGGCCTTGACGACACCTTGATTTTGGCCCATGAGACCTATTTTGGATTAACAACCTGTAGAACTGACAGGTAATAAATTTGTGTTGTTTTAAGCCCCTAGGTTAGTGGTCATTTGTTATAGCAGTCATAGGAAACTTACACAGGAGGGTTTAGTGGAGGTTCACCTCTGCCTGGGGAGACCTGAGGTTACTGGTATGGGAAGAACTCCAGGTCACCATGCGTTTACTTTTGCTGGGGAGACCAACTTTCATCCCAGCCCCTGGTTTCTCTAGCTGGGGAGATGCCACAGCTGCCCTTGGTGATTGCATCTCACAGGTTCAATCAGAGAATCAGAATCACTCTGAATGATAGAGAATCAGACATTTCTCATAGGAATTGGGCTATACACAGTACAAAAAGCTGGTGGAAAAATCTATGCAAGGTGGTTGCCTCTGGTGTTAAGCCTGAAGTCGTTATAGGTCAGCTAGACCCAGCAGAGAGGAAAAAAAATTTGGATGTGAATAGAAGGGAGCATGGATAAGCTGGAATCCATAAGGACTAACTGGAACCCAAGCTTGTCTCCCATGTACCTTTAATAACACAGATGATCTGCTGAAGAAACTGTGCCCTTTGCCATGGAAGTGCACAGACACCTGGCCCAGGACTTACAGAAGTTGAAGGACCAGATCCAGTGGGAGCTGACAGAGCTGCAGGGGCACCTGCTGCCTCATGGCAACAAAGTGAGACAGCAGAGCAGCAGCAGCATGCACGAGCTGCCATGGTGCACTGTGCCAACCTTCAGAGCATGAAGTGGCTCCTGAGCCACCTGTGTCTTCCAGAGTTCCCACTAATATCTCCCCTGGCCAATCCTAACCCAGAGCCTTACGGGAAAGGGAATCTGGTTATCATGGCTCCAGACTGTCTACGTTGACATGTTTCAAATATCAGTGGTGTGGAAGGTTAACCTTCCTTAAGTGCCTACTGTGTGTCAGGTACTCCAACTTCATTGCCTCATTTAGTTTAATCACCTTGTCAATTACTCCAATTTATAGGCAAGGAAACTGAAGCTCAGAGGTGTTAAATGCCTTCCTAAATTAGGTACTCCAAAGAAGATATACAAAAGGCCAATCATTATAGGAGATGCTCAACATTATTATTTATTAGGGAAATGCAAATATAAGTCACAGTGAAATGCCTCTTTGCACTCAGTAGGGTGGCTATAATTTTAAAAAAAGATAGAAAATAAATGTGTTGGCAATGATATGGAGATACTGCAGCCTTTATAGACTGCTGGTAACAATGTAAAATTGTGCAGTCACTTTGCAAAACAACCTGGCAGTTCCTCAAAATGTTATATATAAAGTTACCATAAGACCTAGCAATTCCATGCCTAGCTCACACAAGAGAAATGAAAGCATGCCTCCATGCCAAAAGCTTGTACACAAATGTTCATAGCAACCTTATTTCCAATAGCCTCAAACTGGAAACAGCTCAAATGCCCATCAGTAGATGAATGGATAAATAAAAGCTGGCATATCCATGCAGTAGAATATTACTCAGCCACGAAAAGGAATAAGTACTGATTCATGGTACAACACGGATGAACTTTGAAAACATTATGCTAAATGGAAGAAGCCAGATACAAATAACCACATTTTGTAGGATTCCATTGATATGAAGTGTCTAGGATAGGCAAATCCATAGAGACAGAAATAAGATTAATGGTTGCTTAGGGCTGGGAGCCTAAGGGTAAATGGGGAGTGACTGCTAATAGACACAGGGTTTCTTTTGGGGGTGATAAAATTGTTCTACAATAGATTGTAGAGATGGTTGCACACCTCTGTGAATGTACTAGAAACCACTGATTCGTGCATGAGTGAATTTCATGGTATGTGTATTCTATCTTAATAAAGCTGTTTTTAAAATCATGCCACTAGCAAAGAGCGAAGCACAGAACCCAGCAAGGGTTTCTCTGACTCCAAAGCCAATATCCTCCCTCAGTACAGCAGATCCCCAACTTCCTTGGGCCAAAAATCACCTGGGGAGCTTGCTTAATATGCAGATTTCCTGGCTTACTTCCAGAGTCTAATTCAGTAGGGATGGATAGGGTTCGGGGAAGTTAGCTGCTTACCAAGGTCCCCGGGGGAGTTGAGAACAGGTGGTCTGAGACCACACCCAGGCACACACTGTCACCACTCTGGAGAGGACTTCTACATCTCAGAGCCAAAAATGGCATCTGGGAAGTCAATGAGACTGGAGAAAGTAGAGATTTTGGAGGCCAATTTTTCTATACAGGATGATTTTATTTTTCAGAGGAGGATGGAGAGAAAGAAAGAATTGAGAGAGAGAGAGAGAGAATGGAAGGCCATGAACTGTGAGTTGTATTGGACAGAGGTATGGGGGAGGCCAGGCGAGAGACCAGTTTGATGGAAGGTGCATTGAAGATAAGAGGAATGTAAAAAGTTTGTGGAAACCACTCAGAGAAAGCAAATTGTTCACTAGCCGAGTTCATTGCCTGCCTAGGGTTTCCAGGATGACTTGCTTCATAGTCAAGTGTAATCCTTGAGAGAAAGAGAATTTCAGTGAACTTGAGGTAACATCAGTTCTCTGGGGCTTTTTTTTTTGACGAACTAATCTGAACAAGCTTGGAAAGCACCCAGCGGTGGAGGTTAAATTTCAATCTTTTTGTGCTGTTACATCTTTGTTCCCTTTACCTTCTCCTTGAAATGGAAATGATTGATGCTTAAGTAACTCCAGCTATTGAGTAATGTTTATTCAGACTGCAGGGGAACAAGATAGGGCTTAAAAATAAGGTGGAAATTTTTCCTTTGAAAGGTACAAGTTGAGCCTTTGAGAGTCAAGTGTATTCCCAACTGCACAGTATAATAAAGATAAAGGAGCCAGCAGGCAAAAGGGCTCCCACAGATGATCAATGTACAGTAGTTAAGTGGAGCTCAAATAGTCTCATGAAGCCACCTGAGCTAAAGCCCTGGGTTATAAATATTGACTGGATCTTGGATTGTTTTGAGAACATCTTACGTCTTTCTGCAAGCCCTTTCAACCCAGGACCAGGAGGGCTTTGTAAATAAGCTTCTAAGGCTCTGAAGAAGTAGACAAATCATGTTCCCATATCCCAAGGTCTCTCGGGATAACACCAGCCAAACCCTCGGAGGTAAGTGGGGACTGGTGAGGAAAAGCAGACACTCCCCCACCCCACTGGTGATGACGGTCTCTGGAGGGGCCCCAAGGTGCTACCCGTCCACTCTCTTGTATGTGGGAGAGTTGTCCTATCAGCTCAAGTTGGTCATGTAATAGTGGCCAATAGGACTCCAACCAATCCAAAACACATGCAAAACTAAAATCATCCAAGCGAAAAACAGAGAAATTATTTCTATTTTGCTAGGATACTCTAACAATTGAGTTGGTGATCTTTGAAACTATAGATTGAAGATGGGAGTGAGGGGCTGAGAGTCTTCTGTGAAGCAAGAAGAAGTTATGATTTTCTGGGTGCTTTGCAGTGGGTCCATCGACAAGTGTTGGTGGAGCGCTGTAAGGAAATGACCCTTCCTTCTCTTGTAGGGGGAAGAATGGGGAATGGAAGGAATAACTGAGAGTCTTCATAAATGCCCCCCTCCCCCACTCACCAGTGCCTTGGTCCCTGGGTCTGTGGGGGAAGAAAATGGTGTTCTATATGGAGAGGACCACCAACCCATTGCCATCCATTTCCACTACACCATGACCAGTGAGGGCTCAGGCCCAGCATGAACGGGAAGGGAGAACGGAGGAAATTGTCCAGAGCTTCCACATGGGACTCCAGGGCCGGTTCCCCTAGACAGGGCTGAGGGGGTGGGAAGGACACAAGACCCAGAGTTGGCCTGAGCTTGTGGCTACTTCAGTGTACAGAATATGATCTCCAAAACACTTCCATCTTTTATGTGTTTATATTTTTATTCCCTATGTGTTTAATTTTTTTTTTTTGAGATAGGGTCTTGCTCTGTTGTCCAGGCTGGAATGCAGTGGCATGATCTTGGCTCACTACAACCTCCACCTCCTGGGTTCAAGTGATTCTCCTGCCTCAGCCTCCCAAGTAGCTGGGATTATAGGCATGCACCACCAGGCCCGGCTAATTTTTGTATTTTTAGTAGAGATGGGGTTTTGCCATGTTGGCCAGGCTGGTCTTGAAACCCTGACCTCAGGTGGTCCACCCGCCTCGGCTTCCCAAAGAGCTAGGATTACAGACATGAGCCATCGCACCCAGCCTCTTTTAAAATTTTTAATAAAATGGTCTTTGAAAACTCCTAACCATTTCCTCTGAGCAAAGCAACAAGAGACCTTTCCCCTTGCTGGAGCACGCGGCATCAAAAGAAAAGAAGAGAGATTTAGGAGGAGAACAAAGCAAGATAACACTGACAAGGCTGAGAAGAAGGGCTGGCGTGGCAATGCTCCTCCACCTGAGCCAGCAGCCCCTGGGACTCATCCCTCTGCGTCCTTCTGAGGTTGTTGGGTTTTTTTCAATATTAAGATATGATTCACACGCCACATGTTCCATACTTTTAAAGTACATGATTAAAAAAACGAAAGTGTACAATTGAGTGGTTTTTAGTATATTTACAAAGTTGTGCAATCATCACCACTATTTGACCACAAAACAGTTTCATTACCTCAGAAAGAAACCTCATACCCATTAGCCACCAACCCTCCCGCTCCCACTCAACTCCTCCATACTCTGCTGCCTCCCAGTAAATTAGATAACCACAGATCTACTTTCTATCCCCCTGGGCTTACCTATTCTGGGCATTTAATGTAAATAGGATCATACAGTGTTTGGCCACTTGTGACTGACTTCTTTCCTCTAGCATAATCTTTTCAAGGTTCATCTATGTTGTGGCATAAATCAGTACTTTATTCCTTTTTATGGCTAAATAATATTCCTTTCTGTTGTTTTTACTTTGGGGCTATTAGAAGTAATGCTGCTGTGAACATCTGTGTACATTTCTGTGCATTTTTTTTCCAGGAATTTTCACCCCCTCCCTCAAAGCACCCAAGTTTAGGGCATGCAAGATGCTAAAAAAGTACACTTGAAAAGATGAATCTGATCAAGTAGCTAAGGGAAAGGGGAGGACACCTAAATTTATTGAGTACATATTGTGAGCTAGGTGACATACCTCCACATTGTGTGATAACTGTCCCTTTTACAAATAAGACTTTTAGAAACAAAAAGAGAGATAAAAAAGTTTGCCCAAGAATACATAACTGTCATACTAAAAATTTGGGGCAACTTCCCTGGCACCATATACCATCTGCAGATAATTCATTAAGGACAGAAGTCAAGTGTCGAATAATAGGCTAGATCTCCAGAATCGCTGATTCTGAAGCCAGAAGAAGCTTTTATCTATTGGTATAAAAATCTGAAGCCAAAGATGTGAAGTGACTTTCTCAAAATCACACAGGTTGCAAGTGGTAGAGCCAGGGCTGTAACCTGGGTCACCACTGGGGAGGAAGGAAAGCTGGATATGCCCTGAGCTGTCCAGTGATGACTTCTGTATTTGTCAGAATTTGCTAAGTTATGCTGCAATAACGAAAACCTGCAAATCTTATTGGCTTACAGCAACAACAGCTTCAATCTCAGGCATATTGAGAGCTGCAAGGTGAACATGGTGGCTCCATTCCTTAATGTCTTCTCATTCTGGGACACATGCCAGAAAAGTATCTTATAGTTTGGATATTGTATTCTCTTGGGAAAGGGAAAAGAACAAGAGGCAGAGCAAAGCCATGGAACTGCTCTAAGAGCTGCGCAGACATGGCTTCTGTTATATTCACATTCACATTCCATTAGCCAAAGCAAGTCACATGACCAAGCCTGGCAGTGGGGCAGGAAGCAGCCCCCACAGTCACAGGCCAATGAATGGGACGCGTAATCTTCCTACAGGGAAGTGAGTAGATGGGAACACTAAAGCAATCAGCCACAGCTTCTACAAGGCAAAGGAGTAGTTGCTTGTCATCTGTAAGGCTTCGACTGCTGACAAACATTCATTCGTTTAACACATTTTTATTAAACATTCACATGTGCTCTACAAGGTGCTGGAGTGCAAAAGCAAGTATGTATTCTGTCCTCATGGAGTTTACCGTTGAAAGGGAAAGGCTGAGATTAATGACAGAGGTACATAAACAGTGGTAGAATCCTGACAAATGCCATGGAGGAGAGGCGTGTGGTAATCATTTGTGTGTAAAGGTGCATAGACCTAGTCGAGGAGATCAGAGTTGTCCAGAACCATGGGCACCAACCCAGAGAGAGAAACTGGCTTCCTGGGCCCATGGCGATGCACACCCAACCTGATGGCAGTAATTTTGTATCAGTAACTGGGTGCCCACGAACCTGTCCAACAAAAGTGTGTGGAAATAACCACCTCCACAGGAGGGCAGGGCAACAACTAGGTGGAGGATAACAAGCATATAGTTTCACCTTTGCTCTCTAAAACCTAGGTCTCTGGCTACATGTCAGTTTTGTCATTTGCCAAATGGGTATAATAACGCACAGCTGACTCACGTGGCTGTTGTCAGGGCATGGAGATGGAGTCATGGCTCCCCCAAAGAGGTCTATATCCTAATCCCCAGAACATGTGAATGTGACCTTCCATGGCAAAAGGGACTTTGTAGATATGACTAAGGGAAGGATCCTCAGATGGGAAGATTATCCTGGTGGGCATGATGTAAACACAAGGGTCCTTGGAAGACAGAGACAGGAGGGTCAGAGAAGGAGATGTGAGACAGAGTAGAGGTCAGAGTGATTTGAGGAAGGCAATCACCAGCAGAGGAACACAACAGCCTCTAGAAGACAGAGAAGTGAAGGAACCCAATTCTCCCCAAAAAGCTCCAGGAGGAATGCAACCTGCCGACACCTTGATTTTAGTGCCCTGGAACTATAAGGCAATTAAGTCTGTTGTCTCAAGCCATGACTTTTGCAGTAACTTGTTACATCAGCAATAGAAAACTAATACACAAGATAAAATAAGATCATTGGTGTACACGTTCTCTGAAAAATGAAAAGCGCACGCATCTTGGTGGAGATTTTAAGTGTCCATAGCAAGTATTCAGAGGCTAGCAGAGACAGGGGCAGCTGCTGCAGAATTGACTCCACAGCCCTGCAGACAGATTGGTCACACTCGCCGTCCCTATACACAGTTTGGTAAAATTCCCAAGGAGTTGAATGCTAGAAATCACCCCTCCTGCACCCACTGAGGCCTGTATGCCTGCCTAGTAGAGGGGAAGACCCACCCAGGAGCAGAAACATTAAGGGCCCACCTGCTGTCCTCGAGCCTGGAGCCTTTGGCCTCAGCCTATGATTCTTCATCCTGACATCACATTAAAATCACCAGGAGAGCTTTAAAAATCATTCAGTTACTGGGCTCCAACCCCAGTGGTTCAGATTTACTGTGTCTATGGTGTGGCCCAGTCATCAGCATTTTTTAAACGCTCTCCTAGGAGCATCCAATGTGCAACCAGAGCTGGGAGCGGCTGGCCGAGAGGGCCCACCACGCAGGTCTATGGGAGAGTCATCCCTCCTCACAGCCTTGCTGGTGTCCAATTTCTTCCAGCCCCTGCAGCCTGGCTGGCGTCAGCCTTGCCCACTAAGCCAGCTCCTCCCAGACAGGCAGACTCAACCATAAATTTTAATTCAAACTATTCCTTTTTATTATTTTCAAATGCTCAAGGCCCTAAACATGATGAGAAAGTTGTTCTCACGCTGTGACCCACAGATCGGCAAGGTAGAGAGCTTCTCTGCAAGTTCCCTTTAGGGTACATCATATCTCAGCAGCCCTGAGGTCTGACCCGCATGTCTCCTACACACACACACACACACACACACACACACACACACACACACACACACACACAGTTAGACTGGTTATTCTTTACATCTGTGGATACTGCTCTATCCAGGAGTAAGGCCAGTGACTTCGTTCTGCTGAACTCTTTGTGTGGCAGCTCCTTCTCTGGGGCCAAATGAAAAGAAAATCCGGATAATCATGGATAATGTAAGTGCTGACAGGCACGGGTGCGTGACTCCACCTGTACAGGCCTCCTCCTCTATAAAACACATGTAACTTGTTGCAGCATGAATTACTGCTGCTTGGCGGCATGAGCTCACCTGCATTCCTGGGTTGTTTTGCTTCTTGACGGTGTGTCTGATGCCCGTGTGCCTGAGACTGACTGAGCCCTTTCTGGCTGGCCTCCCACCTAGAATATCAAAAAACTGAAGCTGAAGCCTTGCTTAGAACCTGGAGGGAATTTCTGGTTTTGCTCCTGCCCTGTCCTCTGTGGCCTGAGCCTGGGAGCGGAAGGGTCCATCCTTCAGGTCACATTGCTCCAGGGAGTGGCCACTTTTGGTCCAGGAATGCTTAGGAAGTCACACATGGCTCTGGAGAGCTAGGGAAATCTGATGCAGTGGGTCTGGGTGGGGCCTGAGACTCTGCATTTCTCACAAGCTCCCAGGTGATGCTGATGATGTTGCTGTCCCCAGGCCACACTGTGAGGAGCAAGGCCTGGGGTTTCCAACTGGCCCTGGATCTAGATCCAAACCCATCTCTGGCCTTCATGAAAACACTGCTGGTTTTTAGATACAAAAGCTATAAAGAAAGCCAGGCGTACGTTGGAAGGGTGAAACAGCGGTGTGACCCCGTCATGGCTGTGACTGGTGCATAGCGATGATGTTGCTAAAAAGCAGTCAGTAGATGAGGCCTCTGTTTTCCTTCCTGTCCCTTCCATTTTCTACTCTGCAGCCTAGAAACACACAGATGTCTCCTAGTTGGGCTTTTTCAGTAGCTCCCATAGACTAGGAGGTGCTCTCCCAATTGCTCAGGGCAGTATGAGGGGTCTCTCCCTTGAATTACAATCCACTTCTCCAGCCTGGGTCCTGCCTAGCACCTCAGTCCCTCCCCACTAAGTCCACACCGTCTTTCAGGCCTGGCCCCAGGGACACCCTTGCCATCATCGGAGACGTGGCTTGGTGGTGGCCTGCTCTGTGAGGCCTCCCTACCTTCAGCTAGAATTAATCCTTCATTCTCCAGGCCTCTCCACACTCGGTGCCTTCCCCTGCTCTGGGGAATTTTGTACTGCCAGAATTATCTCCCTGCCAGCCTCTGAGCACCTCAAAAATAGCACCTGCTAGGCACATGGTAGGCATTCAGTCAATGCCTGTTTAAGATACAAATGTGGAAAGCGTCTTGTCTCTCTCGCTTCACCGTGTGCACGGAAGCCATGGTTTTCTAACAATATAACCACAATGCAGCACGGTTCAGAGCTCAGGGAAGCAGACAGGGCACTTCTCAGTAAAGGAGTGCAAGCAGAACAGAGAATTCTTGATCCAGGATAGGAGAAGATAGATGGAGTTCTCCTTCTCTCCCTCGAATGCTCCCACTTAATCATCCTTCCCAAAGAAGGAAAGCCAAAATCTGTGGCACCGGCCTCTCTGTGCATGGACCACATGGCTTCCTCGCCAGGTTCTGACCATGAACCTAGCAGGTGAGTGCAGTTTTGAGGGTGGGAGTGCTGAGGATCTCTTTGACAGAGAAGTTTTTTCCTGGAGCCATGTGGCTGGCCCCAGACCGGAGCTGTGGTCCCTGAGATGCCTCGGTGCTTTTGTGACTGAACAGATTCATGTTCCTTCCGTCTCTTTGCAGGTTTCTTTTGGGAGGGGTAGGTCTATGTGAAGAGGTTTACAGGCCTCAGGCACTTGCTTTTGGGGGAATGACTCCCTGTTATATGAAACAGATTAAAGTACATCCCTGGCTAACATTAGAACACAGTTTTATGTAATGATTGAAGTAGAGTGACCTCAACTTTCAGAGGTAATACTATGTTTTGGAGACATTCACTTTAACATTATTGCAGTTTTGTTTTTTCACTTCCTGTCTCTGAGGAAGGCTTAAACCCTTCTGTAGGGTCTTGGGTTCAATAAGCCTAGGCAGACCCCCCCGGCAGCCAGGTGACGTGAGGGTGGATCCTGCTTGGGAGCAGGCGGCCCTGCTATTTCCTCCCTTTGTCTTCTTGGACAGGTGTTATTTCCCAGCTAATGACCTTTCTTTTTGCCCTCAAGATTCTTCCTCTAAGCTTCCTCCTGTCCAGGAGAGAGAGAGTTTCCTCTAGGGTAGAGTCACACACTGCAAGCTGGAAACTCATTGACAGCCCAAGCCTTAAGCCACCAGGGAGTCATGAGGACCGAGAAATCAGCTTACAGGTTTGCGCTTTTCCTTGAGAGGAACCCTCAAGGTACAATTGTAGTTTCTTCCTTTTAATGTTGCACAAGCCCAAAGCCCTTTCTAGGGCCATGGCTGTGCTTAGAGGGAAGCTCCTGCTGCACAGGGTGACTTCTGCCCAGGGGCCATCCCAGCCCTTACCTCTCCCAATCCCCTCTCCCCCACCAGCTGGTATCAGACAGCACCCTTTAACTCCAGGTGCCTTCAATGACCGGTCCCTGCCCTGTCAGGTGCCCCTGGAAACACACCTGCAGCCCGCAGCCTTCTGACCTGGGCTGGGCCGAGCAGGTGCAAGTGGCTGCAGCCGCCGCCACTCCACATTCCATGGTGTACCTCACCCCCGGGCCGGTCCAGACAAGCACCAACCCCCAACCAGCTCCGGAGGCACATACAGAGGCAGCGAGAGCTGCTCAGGACTCTCTGTCGCCTCACCTGGGCCTAATTGCAGCCTAGATGTGAGTGTCAGGAGGAACCGAGGAGAGCATGTTAACAAGCCAAGAGGCTCCTGCTCTGAATTCTTTGGCAGTCAGGACTGAGCTGAGCGCTGAGCGGAGCGTGAGGCGAGCCATGGAGACAGTGCAGGGATGGGAGCTAATTAAGCTGTAAGCCATCCCCAGAGCCCCGGTTCATTTGTAATTATGCTCTCTGATCTCAGAATCGCCTCGGGCTCTCGGGAGAACTGGGCAGAAAAGGGGGAGCAGGTGATTGAAAAGTTGATCGGGGCTTTTAGAATGGATTTTCATGAAACTGACATTTACACCACTCTTAGAGAATTTGGCTGCTTGAAAAGAACCACAAACCATGGCTAATTCTGCCACGTGATCCCAGGAGCTCCAATCGGCCAGCCCCAGGGGGTAATGCCTTGTTCTGTGTAGGTCAGGAGACCCCTTGTGTGGTGTGATTTTTGGAAGGTCCCCCTGCTCCTGCCCACAGCAATGCCGCCCAGCTAAGCTCATTGATGCTGAAATTGAGTAGCCCATTTTGTTCTCTGATTGTACTTCAACATCACAAAATCCAAACACTGGGTTTTGCCATGACAGACACATGCCTCCGCAGGCAGGAGTATGATCCAATCTCCAGGATGGGACCTCATTGCTGTATGCCCAACCTGCATTTTTTTAAGTCGACAAATCAAAACATGACCTAATTTTTCGAACTGATTTTCCAAATGGGTAACCCAACGGCCAGAAAGGATGAGTGGCTTAGTCAAGGTCACACAGGCAGATGAGGCAGACTGGCACCTGCATCGAAGTCCTCTGGCCTCAAATCTAGTAGACTCTGCAGTTTTTAAGTAATGGAGTAAAACGAAAAAGCTGGAAAGTCGGGGATTCGTCAAATATCACACTAGAGAGACTGGTACTAGGGAAGGTGCCATGTGGAAAGGGTGGGAGCCCAAACTCGGTCCCCATTATCACCTTTGGTCATTTTTTGATTTGTTGACTGTTAGAAAAATATAAGTTGGGGATAGAGCAATGCTCCAAAGGATAAATTACAAGCAGAAACTCTCACGCTGATGGGCTGACATCTGTTAAGCTCATCTTCGTGCAGTAATGGGCCCTGCTGACAATTGAGTTGTTTCTGGGCAGAGTACCTTCTCTCCCAGAAACCCCGTTCCCCAGACAGTCCCACATAACTGGATAGCGGCAGCTCGTCTTTGCTCAGGCTTTGAAGAAAACCAGATAATACAAGGCTCAACCCAGTTTAGGCAGGGGCTATTTCTTTTAAAAATAGAGGAGACAGACAAAATTCCTGCCTGAATCTGTTAGTCCTGTCCCTGTGGCCAAGCCCCAGGAATTCTGCCCTGGCTGGAAAGACTCAGACCTCAGCACTTTTCTGAGCAGTGGGGACTTGGGCCAGAGTCTCCACCTCTGATTCCGGTTCCCAGAATGGCAGCAAGATGTGTCGGGGGGAGCTGGCCTTCGAGGGCCTTCCAAATCTGAGGAATGAGGCTAGGGAATCTTGAGGTTTTTTCTATTTTTATTATAAATAGTGAAATATAAATGATTGTTTCATACAATTTTAATAAAAATTCAAGAGTTAAGGAACTTAGCCCTATGCCTGGCAGAGAGTAAGAACCTTAAAAATCTTCATTGTGAAACAATACATTTCTAATTATAGAAGCAGTTCTTTCACTGTAAACAAATTTAGAAAACACGGAAAAGTACAAAGAACAAAACTAAATTGTTCTATAATCCCAACTCCCAGACATGGTACCTTAGTAATATATATAATTTCAGAATTTTTTCTACTCAGAAATTGAAAATATCTGGATTATAAACTAAATATATCTGTTTTAGACATCGTAAATAAAATATATTAATCACAAAAATGGGCCTATGATGTGTATATTGTTTGACTGTATTTTCATTTTGCATTTCATAAATTTTTCATGTTAATAAATATTCATCAATGCATTTTCATGATTGCATAGTGTTTCATTAAATTATAAATGAACATCCTTGTACACAATCATTCACTCATTTGCCTGATAATTTTCTCCAGATAAGTTTCCAAAGTTGGACTCCCAGCATCAAAGATTTTAGGTGCACACAACCGAACTCCCCTCCCAAACAAGTGTACGGGGTTCCATCGTGAGCTCTTCTCTGACACCAAAAATATATATAATTGATCCTCATTGTTCATAAATTCCATGTTGGCAAATTCTTCTACTTGATAAAATTAACTTGTAACCCCCAAATCAAGACTTGCAGCATGTTCACGGTCATTCACAGACAAGCGCAGAGTGATGAACACGTATGTGCATGTTCAGCTCTCACACTATGAGCAAATGTCCTTTCATGCTCTGTTTAGTGCAACATTTTTCTCATTTTTGTGCTTTTTTCTTGATGATTTCGCTGTTTAAAATGGCCCCTAGGCACAGTGCTGAAGTGCCGTCTGGTGTTCCTAAGCGCAAGAAGGGTCTTTCCTGCCTTATAGAGAGAGTTTATGCGTTAGATAAGCTTGTTCATGCATAAGTGATAGTGCCATGGGCACTGAGTTCAATATCAGTGAGTCAACAGTATACATTAAATAAGGGGTCTTTAAACAGAAACACACATAAAACACGGTTATGCATTGATCTGTTGACAAAAACAGTATGATCAGAGGCTCACAGGGACCAAACCTTGTATTTCCCCTGGGAGCAGTGGGTCAGGACGTGCTAATTCGGTGTTCAGAGTGCCTGTATTGAACATAACCACCACAGATGATGAGAATGACTGTATGTATCTTAGGTGTATGAATCTTTCAGACTGCAGAGGTCTTGCCTGTGGATTACAGACCTCCTCTATTCGTGGACATCCTTTCCCAAAAGCTTTCCAGAAAGTCTCTTTGGCAAATAGAATTCAAATTTTATCTTTTAACTCTTAATGCCTGGTACATAGTAAGCGCATAAATACAGTGTGTGTTGAATGAGTGGGAAAATAAATGTTAGAGGTTGTTATACACTTTGGATCCCAGTTCAGCATAATGAATTTCTCGGTTTCTTCTTTCATTAGCCCTGCCTTTGGCTGGGTTCCTCGTAGACATCTCTGAGGCATAAGCACCCAGCTCACATGTGCCTTCCCAGAGAAGCAAACTTCTGATGACTCCCTTGACCTTCACCACCCACTTAATCTAAAGGCCATTGATAGCATTGAGAAAAGCAGTGACGTGGCATGGATAATCACATTTCCCATGTCAAAAAGTAGAAAACAAGGATGTTATCTGATTTATAAATGTATTTATGTGGAAGAAGAAGAAGATTTGCAGAAGAATAACATTTTATGAAATTATGCAAAGTGAAAGTTATACAAAGTTCAAATTTCAGTGTTCATAAATAATTTTATTGGAACATGGCCACACCCACTTATTAGCGATCATCTGTGTCTGATTTGTCGATACTACAGTAGGGCTGAGTGGTCCCTACAGAGACTAGACAGCCCCAAAAAGCCTGAAACATTTGCTCTCTGGTCCTTTACAGAAAAAGTTTGCTACTCCTTGGTCTAGCGGTATGAGAAGATATTTGGTCACAATATACTTTTAAGTGTACATACGTGTGCATGCGCAGTAATGTGTACCTGCACACTAATGTGTATGAAAATTCTTTTGCTTAGAATAGTGGTTCTAAAACTATTTGGTCTCAGAGCCCCTTTTGAATCCTGAAGATCGCAGAGAACCCAAAAGAGCTTTTTTAAAATGGGGATTTTGTTTATTGCCATTTGCCATATTTAGAAATTAAAACTATGAACATTTTAAGTATTTACTTGAGGTTGAGCATGGTGGCTCACGCCTGTAATCCCAGTACTTTGGGAGGCCGAGGCGGGCGGATCACCTGAGGTCAGGAGTTCGAGACCAGCCTGACCAACATGGAGAAACCCCGTGTCTACTAAAAATACAAAATTAGCCAGGCATGGTGGTGCGTGCCTGTAATCCCAGCTACTTGGGAGGCTGAGGCAGGAGAATTGCTTGAACCCAGGAGGTGGAGGTTGCGGTGAGCCGAGATGGTGCCAATGCACTCCAGCCTGGGCAACAAGAGCAAAACTCTGTCTCAAAAAAAAAAAATTGATGGATCATTGGATGAGGGTCTAAAAAGTAAAATATTAATTTATTTACAATAACATAATAAACCTGTTATATGTTAATATAAATAATACATTTTTGTGAAAAACAACGATATTTTTCAAAACAAAAATATCAGCTGAGAAGAGTGGGATTGATTTATATATTTGCAAATTTCCTTAAAGTCTGGGTGAACAGAAGACAGGTGGATGTTCACTCTGTTGTGACATTACGTACACACAGCCACTACCGTACACTTAATGAGGAAATGAGGGTGAAAAAGACAAATAACATCTTAGTAATAATATGAAAATAGTTTTGATCTAGTAAACCCTCTGGAAGTTTCTTGGAGAACCCTAGAGTGTCCAGAGCCACACTTTGAGAACCACTGGTTTAGAAACACAGGATCCAAAACATTCATAGGGCTGGGCATGGTGGCTCATGCCTGTAATCCCAGCACTTTGGGAGGCCGAGGCAGGCGAATCACCTGAGTCAGGAGTTCAAGACCAGCCTGGCCAACATGGTGAGACCCTGTCTCTACTAAAAATGCAAAAATTAGCTGGGCGTGGTGGCAGGCACCTGTAATCCCAGCTACTTGGGAAGCTGAGGCAGGAGAATCACTTGAACCCGGGAGGTGGAGGTTGCAGTGAGCCAAGATCATGCCACTGCATTCCAGCCTGGGTGACAAGAGTGAAACTCTGTCTCAAAAAATAAATAAAAATAATAAATAAATAAAAATAAAACATTCATAGGGTGAAGCCTCTAAGAGATAGCTGACTAACCTGGGGCAAAGATGGCCTCTCCTGCCTCTGCTTCCAGGAAGATAACCAGAGAGTCAGAGATGGAAGAGGTTAGAACACCACAAGCCATTCCCTTATTTGTTGCGCAAACCTAGGGTAGGGCCAGTGGCTCCCCTGCAGTCTTGGCAACCAAAGGCTTTGGGGACAAGGTTAGGGAGTGGCAGTTTTTCCCAGATCCAAGGCTTTCTCCAAGTCTCATTTGTCTTCTATTTCCTCTTCTTCCCTCCGCCCTTGCCCATGAGCTTGGGAAGAGAAGCTACCATTGACATGTCACCTTATATGTCCTTGAGAAGAATCAGAGCAGTTCTCATTGGCATTGCATGTGGCCACATCTGTCTGAAACCCTCCCACTAGCTGGAGGAGCATGTCCCCTGTACCAACTGCTCCCCCAGGGCTCCCCTTGCAGCACAGTGTACCAATGCCCTTAGCATCATTCAGGTGCAGGTATGTTCTCTCCCAGGGAACCTAAGATTCAGTCTAACTATTCCTATGCCAGCTTTAGCTCTTTTTATGTTTTAATTGTTGTAGCTACTCCGTTAAAGCAGAAGGGCAGTCTGTTTACTCATCCTGAGCATGAAACTCAGCCAAAAAAGTGCTCTGAGCACGGTGATGAGGCCTATGACGTGCTTGAAGCATGACTAGCTCCATCCAATATGGCAGACTTCTGATAAGAGTTAATAGTTTATGTTCATTGTCTGCTCACTGAGTACCAGGCACTGTTTCAAGCAGACTACAAATTATATACTTTGATACCTGCTTTCCTGCTTTTCTTTAACTAAAGAACCCAAGGTTTTAAGCTAGGCATGTGGCTTCCCTGTATAGAGACCACATTTACAAGCCTACAAGCCTCTCTCATTTAGGGGCAGCCATGGGACCAAGTTCCAGTCAAGGAGACATACAGAATGAGCCCTTTGCCTTGTATTTCTCTCTTATTCCTTTGTGCTGGCTGGAGTGAAGATCTGATGGCTGGAACTCCAGTTGCCATCTTAGATCATTAAGTGGAAGAGACGTGTTGAAGATGGTGGAGCAGCAACAACTTAGAAGGAGCCTGGGTCTCTGACACCGTGGACCACATACTATTGCCTAGCTTTGGTCTTTCTTTGGGCGTAAGAGAAATAAATCTTTCTTTTTTTAAGCCACTGTATTATAGACTGAATGATTATGTCTCCCAAAATTCATATGTTAAAACCCTAAACCCCAACATGATGGTATTTGGAGGTGAGCTTTTGGAAGGTCATTGGGTTTGGATAAGGTCATAGAGTGGAGACCCCATCATGGGATTACTGTCCTCATAAGAAGAGGAAGAAAAATTAGAGTACTCTCTTTCCACCATGTGAGAAGTTTGCAAGCCAGGAAGAGGGTCCTCACCAGGAACTAAATCTGCTAGAAACTTGATCTTGTACTTCCCAGCCTCCAGAACTGTGAGAAATAAATATCGGTTGTTTAAACCACCCAGTCTATGATATTTTGTTATAGAAGCCCATGGTGACTCAGATACATTGTTATTTGAGGTATGCTATTACAACAGCCAAACGTAATCCTAATGCAGTTACTGCTTTTAATCGCCATAACAATAATATGACATCAATATTTTTCAAATGAGGAAACTGAGGCACATAGAGATTATATAACTAACCCAAGGTCATACATCTGAAGAGGGGTGCAACCAAGATTCTAACTCAGGCAGAGTTCAAAGAATATACTTTTTTTTTTTTTTTTTTGAACAGAGTCTCATTCCATCACCCAGGCTGAAGTGCAGTGGCATGATCCTGGCTCACTGCAACCTCTGCCTCCTGGGTTCAAGGAATTCTCATGTCTCAGCCTCCCAAGTAGCTGGGATGACAAGCATAAACCACCAAGCCTGGCTAATTTTTGTATTTTTTAGTAGAGATGGAGTTTCACCATGTTGGCCAGGCTGGTCTCGAACTCCTGACCTCAAGTGATCTGCTCACCTTGGCCCCCTAAAGTGCTGGGATTATAGGCATGAGCCACCGCACCTGGCCAAAATGCACTTTTAACAACTATATTTCACGGCCTAATATTTTAGTATATAACTGGCCTTCCTTTGGGGGCTGATTTTCTGGCCTCTGACTTAGTTTATGATAATCTCCTATTATTTGATATCAGCTTCTAGTGTAGAGCCATTGGGTTGCCAGCTACAAAATATGCAGATTAAAAACTCCCATTTATTATATTCTCAACTCATCTGAACTTTATAGATACGTGGACACACACACACACACACACACACACACACACACAAGTGATGTTTACATATTCTCAGAATGCCAAATGTTCACCTAGCTCATCAGACATTGGCTTTTAGACTCTCTACACATGGTCATAATCCTGAACCCACAAATATATCCCATAATAACAATAATGTCAAATGTCAAATATTTATTGTGTCCAAAGGAAATGTCCTTTATTGGCCATTGAGAGTCTCATTTTAAGTTTTCCTAAAACAAAAGTTAGGTGGAATTTTTCCCACTAGCCAAGTAGCTTCTCACACCTGGACCAGCTGAGTGGTGTGCTTTGTATATAGGACCACTCAGCTAGCCTCTCATGAGACCCTTGCCAACTCCTGCTCCTGCTCTTTAGTTGTGGACCATGTGTATTAGTCAGGCTAGCTGAGGCTATACTGCAAGAACTACTTACCCCTAAAACTTTAGTGTCTTAATGTAACCCAGTATGGGTTGGCCAGGGGCTGCGGGATATTCAAGGGAGCTAGTGCTCTACATAGCCACTTAAAGAGCCAGACTAATGGTGATTCCTGCATCTTGTGGCTACATTCTTGGGAACATATGACCTCTATGATTATCATGGAAGAAGAGAACCCTTGGATATCCCAACCCAACCTGGAATCATGCATCAACCTGGAAGTTTCTTGGAGAACCCTAGAGGTTCCATGTATCATTTTCTTTCTCAGCTCATTGGCCAGAACTAGTCACACAGCCCCACCTATCTGCAAGGAGGCTGGCGAATATGCTCGGGAAAGGGGATATGGTATTTGGTGAGCAGGAAACGTCTCCACCATCCCATCTAACCATCAATAAGTCTACAATCATGAGTCTTACTAAAAGATTGTTTTAGTTTTGGGGACACGGAGGGGAAATTCTGAGCTTTAATTAATGAGAAAGTACAGATACATAAGGACTTTTATGTGTATCTCTATCCTAGTGGCAGAATAGGTTAGGACCTTGGTAAATATTTGATGGTTGATTCATAATTGGTCAAGTGGGGTCTAAGAACTAAAAGAAGACGCTTAGTGGCTTGAGCAGAAATAAGCCAGTTAAGGTTTATCTGGGTCTACCTCAAGGCCATGAAGAAACCTGGAGTAGCATCCATTGTTCCCACCCCTCCCCTCTATGAGCCCTGTCAACAAGGATGGCAGGAAATAGATTTACGAAGTTTAGAAAGAGATAAACTAAGAAGTGTGTATCAAGAGAAATGTACATTTGTATTCATATCCCGAGTCCCCCAGTTTAAACACATTAGAATTTCTATAAGTGGTTTTGATGAGAAAGGGTCACCTTCTCTTTTGATAGTTGGCCAAGTCCAACTAATGCCTAAGGACCTAGTTGAACCAGGGACTGGCTTAGCTATATCAATCAGTCACTCAGATATTTACTTTGTTTCCATCATGTGCCTGATACAATGCAAAATATTTTGATGGTTACCAAAGAAAAGTGCAATGTGGCTACAAGGCAATGAGACAGGTTTCATAGTAAAACATGGCACTTTTGTAATATGTAGTCCAGAACACCTTGTCTTTCACAGTAGTCCCTTAGAAGGCTGTGCATTTATTTCTGAGATGTAGCTGAGAAGGGCTCCTCCATCCTCTTGGAAATGTCTCCGGGCCCCTGGTCAGGTCTCAGCTGGCTGTTACCATTGTAACATTTCCTATTCCGGATCCATTGTCATCCTGCAGAGTTATCTGCATTGTTTGCTGGAGTCGGCTTTCAATATCTTTTGTCTGTTCTCACAAATCAAATATATGCCCAACAGTGGAAAGGTAGCCACACCCACCAAATAGCTAGAAAAATGTCCAGTAGCCTTGAAAGGCAAATCCCAAAGTATACTTTTAAACTCTCTGGCAGATTATATTTTCCAAAACAATACTTCTCATCCTACATGCTTTTTGAGAAACTTACCATTCACCCATTGAGAGGTGGAGTGTAATTCCTCTCCCCTTAAAACAGGATGGGCTTCTGACTCACATGTACTCAATAGAATGCAGTGGAAGTAATGTTGTCAGACTTCAGTAGCCAGATCATAAAGCAATTCAGCTCTGCCATGGCAACAGAAAACTAACTGGAGCCCTGAGAATCACTCTGACTGTTCTGACTGCCATGTTGTGAGGAAGCCCAAGCTATCCTACATGCAGAAACCACGTGACAACAAAGGGTGAGAGATTCCCAGTCAACCCCCAGCTGCTCACCCTCCCCCTCTCCCAGCCCCAGCCACACTGTCTGACTGTAACTGCATAAGAGACCCAGGACCATTTAATCAAGCCCCTCTCAATTTCCTGTCCCACAGAAACTGGGAGAGACAATAAAATGTTGTTTTAAGCATAGCCATTGGTATGCTGTAGATTTTTCTCCATAAAAAAAAAAAAAAGCCACCCTGATTTGTAGCGTTCGGCTATTTCTGTGGTGTAAAACTCCTACAATGGCCAATCTTAAGCTACTAATGTGATAAACAACAGTTGGGAAGAGATGCACACAATTGGTTCTCACAAGTAGCATGCGCGGACTCCTGCACACCCCTGTATACAGCACTAGAGTAAATCTTTAAAAGGGACGGCTCTGAAGGCCAATTGTGCTCCTGAGCGTGTTTTAAAGTTCTTTTTCCAGTTTATGCGACAGAGTCCAGAGCTAGGAAGCATTGGGATTGGTGGAGTCTATCTGCGCCTATCTTTGGCCAAGACACAGAATCATGGTAGACAGAGCACAGAAACATCTACCCAACCCTAAGCCACCCCTAATTTGACAGTATCTTCCACAATACACAAAAAGGTAGGGGAGCAAGACCCGCACCTGCGGAGAGGTAGATACACAGATGGCTGTGGGCAAGAGAGGCCACAGCTCCTTGAGGGTTTTGAAAACTCTTCTTCCCTGACTGGGCTGCTCTGAGGGATTGGATGAGTGCAGAACAAACATTCAAGAAGCTCATGGGGTACCAGGCCCACTTCGTGAGAACGCAGCCATGTCTCCTGCTAAGCATATTTTCACCACCGCCTGGGAAAAACATCTGCCCCCACCAGCTGCCAACAGAGTCTGTGTGGGGAGATCAGACAGAGATGGTCAGGCTATTTTCAATAACTTGTTTTCTATCATAAATTTATATATTTTATTGTGGAAAAAATGAGCACATAAAAAGAGATAATTAAAATTATACACAATTCTCACTAACCCCACTGAAAACTTTTGGATTTTTTCTTTTAGTGTTTTGCTATATTCAATATGTACCTTTTGACATCCAAAGTCTTGCACTTAGCATGACATCGTGATCATGCCCCCACATCCTTAAATATTTAAAAAGTTAATGGCTGCGTATTATTCTAGCATTTGGATGATAGCCATTCTTGTTACTGGTTATATAGCTTATTTCTCAAAATGTTTAACTAATGCCCAAAGTGGACATCCCTGAAAATAAGTCTTTGTACTTTTATCTGATTGTAGAGCATTTGTAGAAATAGGAAAAAATTACAAAAGGATATGGCCACTTTTAAGGCCCTCAATCAATTACAGAAAGTTTCTGTCAGTGGAAAGTCACACCTGCAATGTGTAACGGTGCATGTCGTATAGGAATTTGACGGGCAAAATGAATTTTTATTTTGTTTTTGATATTTGAATATCTTGTTTATTGAATATTTGTATTTTTATTATTTACTTGTGTTCTTTGTCCAACTTAACTGTATTAGGATAGCACTTTTCTCATTGTTTTGCAATAAACTTTCACATAAAAATAAGATTCTTTCTGATATTTATCCAAACATCTTTCCAGTGTTACCGATATCTAGAAGTTTTAATGTTTCTGTCATCAAACTCAATAATCTTTTACTTTTTAACCTATTCCTAAGCTTTTATATCAACAAAGTCCTGCTCTCAAGATCTGAAGTTTACCTGTCTTTTATTTTTATGTTATTTTTGCATATAACTGTTAAATGCATGTGGAATTTATTTTGGTATAGGGATTACCTTTAATTTTTTCCATATGATTGGTCTTGACATCATTTATTGACTAATCTCTCTTTCCTCACAGATCTTTACCACATACTAATTTTTTTGTCTATATTACCTCTATTAAGGCCTGTGGTTGAGACATTCTGTTACATCGATTCTTCTGTTCACAGTTTAATTTGGCTATTGAAGCTTTAAAATACCATCCCCCCACCCTTTTCTCCCCATTGTGATAGAATACTTTTAATATACTTCTTTCTCAAAATATTCTGGGCTGAATTGTGCTACCAAAAATGTCTTAAAAGGCACAGTCCAGGCTACTGCAGACCTGGTGTGTATATAACTCTTGTTGACCTGAACAGCCAACATTGTCTCCCTCTATGAGGTCAAGTTTACAACTTTCTTCCAAAAAACTGATCTTTTGATTTTTCCCGGCTCACAGTGGCCTTTTGCTTTGGAATGGAGAAGCAAGAAGGACAGAGTGAAGGAACAGCTTGGGCCTTGCTGGGTCACGTTGACAGGAAATTAACATGTGTGGTCACCCTCTTTTTATTAAGAGGATCATGTGCTATTGGCCAGAAAGCAATAACTTGCACTTAGCTCTCTTCACCGCACCCTGGCAGAGGGGCACCCATAAATGAGACTGGTAGCTGCCAATTAAGGAACACTCAGCAAAGGGTAAAGTCTCTATCTGCAACCTTATCAACGAATTATCTTGGGTATGCTGCTATCACATGGCGGAATTCCACCATACCACCTGTGACATCCTTCCAGCTCTACGGTAGGGCCACTGGTTACAGGCAGCCCTATCCAAATCTTGCAATGAAATCCTCAAAGTGTCTGCCTTTGTTTCCTGAAACCAGCATTTGTCAGAACTCTTCAACAGCGCTGAATTTAGACATCTTTTTGTTTTCCTGAGCCTTCTTGCTTTGTGAATGATCCTTTCAAGATCCCAGGGATAAAAGTGTCCCCGAAGCATGAAACAGATAAAAAGCAATCGCTTTTATACGAGAAGAAGAAAGTTGAGTTTTCTTCCCTTCCTCTCATTAGTTTAAATTCTGACTGATTTAGACATTTGTTACACTTTCCCTGGAAATGTAAAAGTTTAATTTGGAATGCAGTCACGGAGCAAAAATTCTGCTGAGTATATAATGCAAAAATATGGTTGCTAATGAGTGGCACTGATTTAACAGGAAATAAGGAAGAAAAATACAAATTTTGGAAGAAAATAAGCAATTTTATAATGTTTCCACTTGTTCCAAATCCAACTTCATTGCTTCAAGGGGTAGCTTGGAAATTTTTCTCAAGAAAGCACAGTAAATATTCCTGAAGGCGATCTATTTTCTGGCCTGGAAGAAATGGGTAGAAATGACAAATTTCCTACAACAACCTCTGAGAAATTTGTGCTGATGACACCTCTGATGCTAAATTCTTCTTTCCACTAGCTATATACATATATATAGTGAAGAACAAAGAAGAGGGCAGCAAATTCCTGCTTTTTTTTTATTTAAAAAGAAAATCCTTTAAGTCCTTGTGGCTGCATTGTTTGTGTGTGAATGTTTGTGTGTGTGTTTTAAAGACATTTTGAGATAGTTTAGGGAGATGTCACAAAAACATCTTCCTCCCATTAGAAATTCTGATTTTACACCGTTAATTGGCATTTTCAAAACACCAAGCGCCCAGTTTGAAGTCTACAAATAAAACACAAACCCAGATGTTGCAGTTTACACTTGCATGCATTTAACACTTCATAAGTAGTTCATTAAACTGATAACACTTTAAACACTAACACTGGCTCTTTCAGACTCCCTCGGCTTGTAATTGTCCTGAGGCACCGAGTGAACCCTTCCTAGTCTGGGAACCACAGGAATTTACATTCTTGACGTGTGTCTCTTAATTATCGACACTCCGGGGTCCCTGGCTGACTCAGGGAGGGCCGGCTCGGGTCTGCACGCCCCAGTGACCGCGCAGAGGGACAAGCCGGAGGGCCGGTGGGCCAGGGACACCGAGCAGGGACACAGCCTTGGGACGCACGCAGGGCAGACGTCAGACACGGAACGGAGCGAGCTGGAGCCTCCCCACGTCCTCAAGCACCGCGGCTGGGTTTCCGCTGAGCCTCTTGGGTTTACTAAGCAGCTTCTTTCTGACTAGAACAGTTTTCCAGCAGTGCCTCTCCCCATGTTTAACGGCCTTGGAATGAATGTTCACCTCCCTCTTGCCTTTCCTTCCAAGGATGGCATTCCCGGCTGCCCAAGTTCTCTCTAGAAAATGGGAGACCTTGGCTTGGCGTGGGTCCCATCTCCAGGGAATAAGCCTCTAGGCCCTGGGGTGACTAGTATCGGACAGGCAGCGGAGGCCCTGGGTGTCCTCCTGTCCACTCACAGGACAGGCGCAGAACAAGGGAAGGGAAGGGTTGCTAACGGTGTGCCAGGCACCGTGCGCAGCTCCGCAAGCGTTTCGGTCAGTTCCACCACACGCAGATGCCGCAAGTACAGGGCGGACCTCGTCCCTGCTGCGGAGATGAGTCCAGGTCGCCTTGCCCGAGCTCACGCGGCTGCAGACGATGCGTCCCGCGGTGCCGACTGGGCGCGGGGCACTGTGCTTAGGAGCCCTGTGCTGCCCCATCTCCGTCAATCCTACCAACTGGTCGGGACCTTTATCATCCCCATTTTGCAAAAGAGAGAATGATGGTAGAAAGGAAGGAGGAATTGGGACTCAAGTCCGCCTGGCTGCCTTCTGACAGCGGGCTTGGCCTCTGAACTACAGCCTCCTCTGCAGACACAGGGTGTGCAAGGCGAGTTAGAGGGTCTCAAAGCCTGGGCCCAGAGATTTCACCCCAGGGGATGGAGAACCCGCTCTGTTCGCCCCTGTAGCCGGATCCGGACCCGGGGCGCCCTGCGCTCCCACGCCTCCCGCCCTAGGCATGATCCCCAGCCCCACGCAACTGATGCGGAAGGGATGGGTGACTGAGCGGCTGCTGATTGATTAACCTAGCTGGGCTGCAGCGAGGCCCGAGGAGGCCCGCAAGCTTCCTTCCCAGGCAGAGAGCCCCGCGGTCCCTCGGAGCCGGGAACCGTAGCCCGAACCCCTGCTCCGAGCCTGGAGTCCGGAGCTCGAGCCGAGAGCGCGAGCGGGAGCCGGACGTGCAGGGGCTCCGCGGCCGGGTGCACAGCGCCATCGCGTGGCCAGCTCGGGGCCGCGGCTCCCTCCCTGTAGAGGCGGCGATGGGCGGGACCACTGCGTCCCTTTAGGATCATCCCCTTATCTAATTAAACTAAAGAGCTGCACAGCAAAAGAAACTACCATCAGAGTGAACAGTCAACCTACAGAATGGGAGAAAATTTTTGCAACCTACTCATCTGACAAAGGGCTAATATCCAGAATCTACAATGAACAACAAATTTACAAGAAAAAAACAACCCCATCAAAAAGTGGGCGAAGGATATGAACAGACACTTCTCAAAAGAAGACATTTTTGCAGCCAGAAAACACATGAAAAAATGCTCATCATCACTGGTCATCAGAGAAATGCAAATCAAAACCACAGTGAGATACCATCTCACACCGGTTAGAATGGCGATCATTAAAAAGTCAGGAAACAACAGGTGCTGGAGAGGATGTGGAAAAATAGGAACACTTTTACACTGTTGGTGGGACTGTAAACTAGTTCAACCATTGTGGAAGTCAGTGTGGCGATTCCTCAGGGATCTAGAACTAGAAATACCATTTGACCCAGCCATCCCATTACTGGGTATATACCCAAAGGATTATAAATCATGCAGCTATAAAGACACATGCACACGTATATTTATAGCGGCACTATTCACAATAGCAAAGACTTGGAACCAACCTAAATGTCCAACAACGATAGGCTGGATTAAGAAAATGTGGCACATATACACCATGGAATACTATGCAGTCATAAAAAATGATGAGTTCATGTCCTTTGTAGGGACATGGATGAAACTGGAAACCATCATTCTCAGCAAAATATCACAAGGACGAAAAAACCAAACACCGCATGTTCTCACTCATAGGTGGGAATTGAACAATGAGAACACACGGACACAGGAAGGGGAACATTACACACTGGGGACTGTTGTGGGGTGGGGGGAGGGGGGAGGGATAGCATTAGGAGATATACCTAATGCTAAATGATGAGTTAATGGGTGCAGCACACCAACATGGCACATGTATACATATGTAACAAACCTGCACGTTGTGCACATGTACCCTAAAACTTCAAGTATAATATAAAAAAAAAAAAAGGATCATCCCCTTATCTCCAGCTCTGGTCTCCGGAGGCCCGTGTGGCTGGAGCAAAAAAGGCAATGGGCCGGTGGAGTCTTGTTTAGTGGGGACGCCGTGGTCAGCTCTGAGCTGTTCCTACTGTTCTTAGTGGAGGTAGCAAGACCCCCGTCTCTCCTGGTGGGTAGTGTGGATGTCGCACAGACAGAAGCTCAGGTGGCAAAGGGTCGTGGAAACTTCTGCACCTTCCAGAATACGTGGGTCCATGGACGTGGACCCACGGCCACGTTAAGGCTCATGTTCATTTGTTCAGTTCACTTATTTAATTCATTTGTTCAGTGGTTCCTTCATTAATTCAGTCAATAATATTGTCTTGAGCACTTACTGTGTGCCAGAACCCAAGGTCGGGGCTAAGGATAGAAAAGAGAACTCGGGAGGCTGAAGCAGGAGAATCGCTTGAACCCGGGAGGCGGAGGTTGCAGTGAGCCGAGATCACCACTGCACTCCAGCCTGGGTGACAGAGTGAGAGTCTCCGTCTCAAAAATAGAAAAAAAAAAGAAAGAAAGAAAGAAAGAAAAAGTAACAGAAAAGATGGCTTACAGTCTTTCTTGCCAGTCTCATGAGGCCAGAATATTTGAAAAAAGCATAAATTAAGATACACAGGATTATGAAACAAACCGATTATACTGTCATGCAGTTATCAAAATATTTTTAAGTGGTGCTATACTCGTATATGTTCTTCGTTGATAGAGGATGTAACAGGATCTACAGACCAATCTATTAACTACAGTCATTTCAAAATAGTGATTAGCCCAGCTGATATTTTGAGATAACTGCATCAACTACGACGTGATAGAAAAACAGCTGTGATTTCTGTTGGAGACAAAGTCACAGACACTGCTAATACACTGTGGCTTGTTGCCGATTTTCATAATTGAGTAAATTGTTAAATCTCAGACAGTGAAAATAATGATATAAATATTTTCCTGTCCAAGTTCATAGACCCCCCTCCTCCAGATTTTATTCACAGACTCCTCGATTAAAAAGCCAGATCGGTGAGCAGAAATAAACAGGGTGAGTGTGGACAGTGATGAGCACTTGGAGGAAATCAACAGGGAGAGAGACTAACGATAAAATCAGAAGGGAGGCCCTGTGTGGGATGCAATGGTCGGGAAACGCCTGGATGAGACCACAGTTCACTCTAAAAGCCCCATACAGAGGTCGGAAACAGCTACCAGGGACTCTGATTTAGCCTGTAAATCTGCACAGTCTTCTTGAACATTTAGATCTGGTGTTCAGGACTGGACTCGGCTTTTGACCACAAGGCCTCCCAATCCGGGAAGTCCAGGTCAGCCTCGTGGACATCCAGAGATTTCATCCCAGGGCACTGAAAGTGAAATCTCTGCCTGGGCCCTGAAGCCACTTGATTTTGCAACTTTACCACCTAAACTTTCCTGGGTCACTCTTGGGGCAACCCATCCAGGGCAAGGGTAGTTTGCATGGCAAATGGAACTTTCCAAAGTTTAACTTGAAAAAGATGGTCGGCATCGGTGTCCTATTTAGAAACCAGGCTCCTTCCAGCCTGGGGATCCCCTGAACCTTCCAGATCTTTATCCAACTTTCATTCAAGCTGTGATTCCCCGGTGCCCCTTCTAAGCCAGCAGCTGTGTGACATCTCTGTTCTCATCCACCCATTTCCAGGCAGCAGCGTGTTGGGGGTGGTTAGGGAGTGTAGTGCTGGGTCACAGGCAGCCTTTGTAACTGCATATGAACCAGTGTGGCAAGCTTGCAGGATGATGTCAGAGCTGGCACCGGCAAAGAACAACTTTGTTGACAAGAAGATTAATTAGACAAATGTAGTGCCCATCAGTTATTGCCACCGCCTCCTCGGGGGTCAGCTCTAGTCAGGCCTTTGCTAGAGATTTTTTTTTTCATCTTTTTAGAGAAAGCTTAATCTCCTAACAAGGCAGCCAAGAAACAGTTCATGGCGTGCCAGAAGAGCAAGTGCATACAAGCATGTTCTGAAGTGAGGGTGCCTGCACACCGCCAGGCTGCAGGGCTGGGGCTGGCCCAGGCTTGGAGCCAACTGGGCCTCTTCCTTCTACCTGTACAGACCCAGCCCCAGGAAGCGTGTTGAGCCCCGAATCCTTCCTCACAAGAGAAGACACCCATTTGTGAGCTCTCTTGGCCTCTCTTCCTCTCTTTCCTGGGAGAGCTGCCCCTTTCATGGAGGGGCGGGCAGACAGCCATGCAGGGTCTTCAGAGCTCGGAGGCTTCCGCCACCTACACCTTCCCTCTTTATCCAAAAGGCACCTGCCCCATTGTCCCATTGTGGGAAGAGGCAATGAATGAATTGCTGAGTGGTAGCGGCCTTATTCATCATTCATCAAATACTCAGTAGGTTTATGGGCATATTATATCCCAGCAACACTGCAGTAAAGGAATGATTCCCATGTATCAGGCCCTGGCCCTGGGGAAGGGGTTATATTCTAGAGGGGGAGGCATGGCAATGAGTAAAATAAATACTCCAAGAAGCTCATCTGCACCAGTGGTAAAGGCCAAGAAGGAGCTAGGAGAGGGGATGTGGTGTTGAGGGCCGGGAGATGGCAGCCATTTTGGAAAAGGTGCCCCTGAGGAGGTGAAATTGAATTGAAACTTGAGGAGGGAGAGAATCTGTGGGGAAGAGCTGACTTCCTGTTGGCTGCAGGGGACAGGAAACTGAGAGTGCCAAGGGAGGGGATGTTCTGTGGATATCTGTTGACTGCATGAATAAAACAAAATGTTTCCAAGCTGTGCTTCTCACACTTTAGTGTTGTGTTAGAATCCTTGGGAAGGAGGGTCTTGTTAAAACATAGATGTCCAGCTCCACTGATTCAGAAGGGCTGGTGCAGGGCCCAGAGAGCTGCATTTTAACAGCCCCCGCCTCCAGGCAGCCCTCCCAGTCCCTCCTGGAGCCCCATCTCCAGGCAGGCGCTCAGCCCTGGATTGCAGCCCTGTCTGTCTGTCAGGCCTACCTGAGGTTTCAGAAAGGCCTCACAGTCAGGCTCCCAGGGGCCCAAAGCCAGTGTGGCTTCAGTGGGACCAACCTGACAGCTCCTTATAACTCTAAGGCCTCCACCTCCCACTGGCCAGCAAGGAGCCCTGGTGGGCAGGGGTGGGGCCTGCTCTGTCTCATCAGGCTATGCCCTATCTAGGGCAAGGGGTCCCTGGGGCTGGGGATGGGCTTCCCCTGGATCCTGTACCCTGCCTTTTAGAGTCACGGATACCTGGAACCCTGAGCCAACCTCCAGGTTTGTGTGGGCCTCTCTCCCTGGGTCCATCATTCTTCTGTGGGTGATGGCTCAGCTGGAACTGGGTGGGGGCGTGGATATGTGGGGCTAGTGGGTATACACACCTGTACACACACACACACGTGTGTGCACTAAAAAGCCAAGTGGGGTGAGGCGTGAAGGGGGTAGGCTGCAGCCTGGCTCTCTGTGCTGCCTTTTTTCGAAAGTCAACTCCTCAGAATTCTAAATTCAAACCTTGCCTTCATGATGATGAAGATGTATTTACCAAGGTAGAAAAATTATGGGTTTTATCTTCTAACAACTGATTGGATTGGTAACCTTTTTTTTTTTTGAGACGGAGCCTTACTCTGTCACCCAAGCTGGAGTGCAATGGCGTGACCTTGGCTCACTGCAACCTCCACCTCCTGGGTTCAAGCGATTCTCCTGCCTCGGCCTCCCAAGTAGCAGGGATTACAGGTGCACGGCGCCGTGCACGGCGCCATGCCCGGCTAATTTTTTTTGTATTTTACTAGAGACGGGGTTTCACTGTGTTGCCCAGGCTGGTCTCGAACTCCTGAACTCAGGCAGTCCACCCGCCTCGGCCTCCCAAAGTGCTAGGATTACAGGCATGAGCCACTATGCCCGGCCCCGGATTGATAACTTTTTAATAATTGACACATGGTATGGGAACTTCGCTTTTATTCTCATCTTGGGCCCCCAGAATGTTAGGATGATTGGAGAGAGTTGCAGGGAAGGTACCAGAACCAAGGAATTTTCCCCGTGGATGAGAAGTATGATTCCAAGAACGGAGACTGTGAATTCCCAGTGTTGCCTGCCACCTATCTCTTCATCTTCACCACCCAGGCTTAACCTCCAGGCCAGAGATTGTCCAGGTCTGGTTGGGCAAACCACCCTCAGCGTCTGTTTAGCACGTGGATTCCAGGACCGCACCCAAACCTGATGAATGGGGTCCCTGGAGGTGGGGCTTGGGAGGCAGAATTTTCTGCCCCCTCCTGGTGACTTAGAGGCACCAGGAAATGTGAAATCCACGGTGGGGGAGAGGTGTGGGCCCTTCATTCTGATGGATCCACACTTGGAAACGAGGAGGGGGTTCTGAGCTTGAAGACCAGCTGGAGAGGTGCAGTCTGGGATTTATCTGCTGTCTCTGAATAGATGTTTGGGGACTCCAGGGTCACACATTTAAACGGAACTCCCTTTTCCAGCTCCATGTAGAGGGGGCTCTAAATGCAAGGGGCCCTACTTGGGAAACCTCTCATGTCCTTCCCACATCCATGAGTCCCTGGGGTTCCTCCTGCCCCCCAGCACCATGGAAGAAAGCTACCCTCATGTCCACTCGCCAATTCTCGTCTAGGAGGGAATGTAAAACTCAGCTTGGGACGGAGCGGAAAGGCCCATGCGTGTTCCTGAACTTACCACCAGCAGGAGGCCGCGGGCTTTTCCTCCCCTCTCTGGGCTGCAGTTTTCCTGGATGTAGAGGGGCTTTCAAGATGATACAAGTATCCAACTTTTAAGAAATACATTTCAGTGTAAGGCATCACTTCACTTTTCTTAGTCATTGGAGAGCAAAGGGATGAGGAAATGTCTTTCTTCTTTGGCTAATGGTTTCGGAGTGCTGAGCGACAGTTGAGAGAACTCATTTCAGCAGTGGGAGAAGCCGCCTGCCGGGACGCCATTTCCTGATCTCTGCTGCCCTCTGCTGCCCGGTGCCGGCTGAGACATGCCGATGCGACGCACAGGCCACAGCATCACAGAGCCGCGTCCTAAGACGCTGTTTACCAACAAGGAATCCGAGGCTCAGAATGGGCAGTGACTTCCTCCAGGCCACACAGCAGGTCACCAGAGCTCCTGCCTCCCTAGCAAGTCGGGGCAGAGTCCTCTGGCTCACGGAGTCTCCAAGCGTGGTCGCCAGACCAGCAGCATCAACCTCACCTGAGAATTTGTCTTTTGGGGTCCCACCTCAGACCTCCCGAATAATAAACTATGTGGGTGAGGAGCGCTCAGCATCCTAGTAAACTCTCCAAGTAACCTGAGAACCTTTGCTATCTCTTTGGAAATAGAAATCCAGAAGAGAAACAGACTTTCTTATCATATTGTCCATCTTTAAAACTGAAATAAGACATGGAAAAATGCAGGAGTCTGACTATTCGTTTTCATTTTCATGTTTAAAAAGGTCAGTGCTGTGTGAACATTCAGATGTCCACAGCTCACAGGTATCTTTTTTTTTTCTTTTTTCTTTTATTTATTTATTTATTTATTTATTTGAGATGGAGTCTCGCTCTGTCGCCCAGGCTGGAGTGCAGTGGCGCAATCTCGACTCACCGCAAGCTCTGCCTCCCGGGTTCACGCCATTCTCCTGCCTCAGCCTCCCGAGTAGCTGGGGCTACAGGCGCCGCCACCATGCCCGGCTAATTTTTTTGTATTTTTGGTAGAGACAGGGTTTCACCATGTTAGCCAGGATGGTCTCGATCTCCTGACCTCGTGATCCGCCCTCCTCGGCTTGCCAAAGTGCTGGGATTACAGGCGTGAGCCACCGCGCCCTGCCGCTCACAGGTATCTTAATCGGAACTTTGCAGCGGAGACTTCTCAGGAACAAATACTTAGAAAGTCTCCGTGGTCAGGTGATGTCTATGGAACTCCAGTGAGTGGTAACATGCCTCTGCTCTCGAGTAGGATTTCTGCATTTCGGGGACGCACATCTGATGGCAGACACAATCAAGGGCAGGGATTTCAACTTCGGAGACAATCCTGTTTTGCATTCATTCATTCATTTGTTCATTTAGCAACTGTTGATCGAGCATTAACTATGAATTATAAAGACTACGCTAGCAATTAGGGTAGATGATCCCTTGTTGAAATTACAGCCCGGGGAAGACAGCAGGCCAGAAATTGCACATAAAATGGATTAGCTCAAATTAATTAGTCACAATCATTAATGAGTGAAGGCTATGAAGAAGACATTCTGGGTGCTCCCATAGGCAGGAGGGCGCAGGGAGACGGAGGATTATGAAATGGTGATGACTCATCTTATGAAGGAGGCAGTCCCAGGTGCTATGGGACAGAGAAGGATGCCTCAAGCTTCACCTTCTCAGGTGTGTGGTGCAGATGGAGCTTAGAGGAAACACTTCACAGAGGCTGGGGATTTGTGGGCAGAGTCTTTTTACAATGAGAATTAAGCAAAATTTTTATTTTTTATTGCGGAATAATTGCTATTGTTACCATTTTTGAAAAATTGATTCAGTCTGGGCACTGTGACTCATACCTGTAATCCCAACACTTTGAGAGCTGAGGCGGGAGAATTGCTTGAGGCCAGGAGTTTGAGACTGGCCCGGGCAATATTGCAAGACCTCTGTCTCTACAAATAAATAAATACAATAAAAATAAAAATGTATTTAAAATCTGGAAAATATAGATAATACAGAGAAGGTGAACATTTGAAACCATCTATAATCCCACCATGTATACTTAACCACTGACAAGAGTTTGTGGAAGAGTCTTCTGGATTTTTTAATATTAATCCTTGTACTCTTGTATTATATTGGATTATACTATGCTATGTTATATATGCCATCATACTATTTTGTAGTTTGCTTTTTAAATTACAATGTAGCAGGGGCATTCTTACATGTTTATCGAGCACCTCCTCTGTGTGAGGCGTACAGAGTGTTCAGTGCTGGATGTACTCTGTCAACAAAGCCCATCAGGATGCTGTCCTTACAGATTTACTGGGTGTAATAAATGGAAAAGGGAAAACAGAAAGAACAAGGTACAGTGAGGAATAATAGCAGCAACCCCATTTGAACAGAAGGGTTAAGGGAAGCCTCTCTGAGAAATGAAGGATGTAGAGAAGTTACCCCGAGTGCCAGGAAGGGGAAGCCGACTGATGCAGGGACAGCATATCCAAAGTCCAGAGATGGGGCAGAGCTAGGCTTATCCCGAGGCGCTGATAGAAGGTGGGTGTGGCGGGAGGGAGGCACTGTTTGACAAGGGTGTGACAAGCTCAGGGCCCAGGCTGAGGCCGGTGTCCTCCTGTGGGACCCCCCAGGTAGACAAGCGCCTGGTTACAGAGCACGCAGGGCCTTGATGGTGCACAGCTTGGGGAGGGAATTCACATGCTCATCTCATTACAATGGAAATGCCTTATGGGGCTTTAAGCTGCCCGATGGCATGATTCAGGCTTTTAGTTCTCACCCAATACCAGGTGCAAATGATTTGGAAAGGAGCAAAGAGGGACACCTAGAGGCCTGTTAGGAGGCTTTGAGGAAGTCCAGGGCAGACGTGACGGTTCGAAAAACAAAATTTACATGTGCCTTAATGTTTTTAACGCCTAGGATTCCACTGTATAGATGCACTAGGATTGCTTTAAGCAACACTGGGGTGTTTCAAATTGCTACAAGTACATCTTTGCAGCTGAATTTTTGTGCCCATTCATGTTTGCCGGGCAAAATGTCTACAAGTGGAATTTCATAGCCACTTTAAAGACTTTATTTGTCTCACCAAATGATGCTATAAAAAATCTGTGTCAAATTGTACCCCCAGTAGGCGAGGGTCAAGGGCTTCCCTCACTGCTCAGGCCTCCTCTGGAAGAATGAGGAGTTCCTGGACCACCCAAGGTGCAGAGGGGCATCTGAGCAGCAGAAGCTGCTACCTGGGATGAATGGGGCCTGGAGTGGGGTGGGGTGGGGCTGGGAGGCTGAGCCCCGGGAAGCGTCTGGTGGGAGGGAGTGCCAGGCAAAGATGGGGGCATCATACTGAAGATGGCAGGGAGGCTTCGAAGGGCTGGGGCAGCAGATGGGGCAAGCTCTTATCTGTGATCAAGAGATACCCCCTGCCCACGCTGGAAGTGTGGAGGATGACTTCCAGGCACCTGGATTGGCTGGGTGGTGGGTGGAGTCATTAATTAGTCAGGGAAAGGGACAAGTAGGGAAAGGGGAGCTATAAAGGGATGTGCATCCAGAGCCCACGTTATTCTCATCCCCTCGGGGATGGTCCTCGGCCCCCAAGTGTACCCTGCACCATGTCCGATCACTGGGAGGGCCTTCTCTTCCTGAAAATATGGCTACTTAAGAAGACAGTGGCAGCGTTCTAGGGCTTCCTGTGTGAAAAAAAAAAAAAATCATGACAGAATGCAGAGATACTGATGGCCCAACAGCCAGGAGAGCATGCTATTGGAATCTGAGAGCTCAGGGAAGGAGGAAGGGAGGGGGGCAGTGAGTCTCTGCTCAGACGGAGCCTTAGAGGGGAGGCGCAGAGACAGGGTGGGGGCACGTGGGGCAAGCCAGAGTGGGCTGGAGCCTGGGAGGAGAGCAGAGGGGCAGAACTGAGGTGCTCATGGCCGACTCGCCTCTCTGAAGGGGCTGACGTCAGTAACAAGGGCCAAGGTCTCCTTTCCACAGTTGGAGCCGATAAGCATGGGAAGCCACGTTCCAGCCCTGTGTCCTGGACCAGGCATGGCCCCAGAGCTCAACCTCTGGGGGTGATAGGGCCCTTTGCAAAGGTTCTGGTGACACTGAGGCAGGAGGGCCTCCCTGAGGACAGTGGGTCCCATGGCAGGACCTGTGTGAAGCAGTGTGGGAGTGTTTCCTGGGAAAGCAGAGGAGGGGCCGAGGCTGGACACACACCAAGGTCTGGGGGTAGGGGACCTGAGAAAACTAGCACCCATGTGTGCACCGCACTCCACAGCTTGCTAGCTGCTCGCAGAATCTTCCATCTCACCAGCACCAGCATTACCATCTTGTTAAAAGTAGAAAAAATGGAGGTCAAATAGGCAAGTGCCCAATCCAGCCAGGAAGTGACAGAGGACACCACTCCAGGTATTTTGTTGCTAGATTTCATGCCCTTTCTCCTGTCCTGTGACAGGTCCGGAAAACGGGCCCAGATGTGTGTAGACATGTTGCTCGGAAATCGTCCTTTCTAAGCTATTGGGGACTTTGGCAAACGGGGTGGCCATCAGGGGCTTAGTCCCATCTTGGTCACCATCCCTCCACCAGGAGGACAGGGGAGTGCAGAGCGAAATGAACTCAGCTCTGGCTGTACATTAAATCACTTGGGCTGCTGTTCAAACCTCAGATGCTCAGGCCCCAGCTTTCAGAACTCCACCTGAATAAGGTGGTGTGGTCATACTGCTTTAAACAAAATTCGCACATACAACTCAGGTGATCGGGAATGAGGCAGAAACATCTGGGCCACTACTCAAGAAGCCCCAAGTGTGTCCAGGATGGGCCCTAAGTAGTACAGCAAGACCAAGATGCCCTAAAGTGTTGCTCATATGTCAATTTTCTTGGTGTCTTAAGATAGTGAATAAAAGATGCACCACAGGCCGGGTGCGGTGGTTCACGCCTGCAATCCCAGCACTTTGGGAGGCCAAGGTGGGGGTGGATCACAAGGTCAGGAGATCGAGACCATCCTGGCTAACACGGTGAAACCCCGTCTCTACTAAAAATACAAAAAAATTAGCTGGGTGTGGTGGCGGGCACCTGTAGTCCCAGCTACTCGGGAGGCTGAGGCAGGAGAATGGAGTGAACCCGGGAGGCGGAGGTTGCGGTGAGTCGAGATGGCGCCACTGCACTCCAGCCTGGGCGACAGAGCAAGACTCTGTCTCAAAAAAAAAAAAAAAAGAAAGGTGCACCACAATGCTATGCTTATTTTTATTATATCAAAGTCACAAACTGTCAATACAAGGGCTGATGTTGGTCCAGAGATATATTTTGTTTGGCTTACACTGGATTTTTTTTTTTAGTCAAGCCAAAAACTGGCTATTTCACCTAGTTATTTGAATTTCTGGCTTCTTTTGAAAGATCAAGGGATCTGACACTCTGGATCCCAATTTTTCTGTGCCAAGAGTCAGCTGGAGCTTCATGGCTGATCCTGGTCTTTGAGAACCTGCAGCCCTGGAACCCCCTCACACAGGGTGGGCATAAGTGCTACACTTTGACCATCCCCTCACACTCTGGTTGCTCCACCCCTACCAGCACTTGATTTTCTGACTTGCTCTAGATCCCGTGGATCACAGTCATCCATAAAAGAAAGAAGTTTGGGTTCATCTCAACCTAGCCCGTACTCCAATCCAGCTGCACAAATCAAGGAGCCCATTGGCTCTGTTTGTGTGACACCAGAAATGTGTAAACATTTCATTCAACCCCACAAACCAGCCAAATGACGCCAGCCAAGTAGCCAAAAAGACAGCAGCACTGCGTGTTTTTATTTTCTTAAATATTAGAACCACAAACACATCCAGAAAAAAAATAGCCCTTGACCTCAACATTACTGGTCACCTCCACACTTGCTGTTATGCACTGTGTTTCATCCTTTTGCTCATTAGCGGAAGATAAACATCATGAAAACCTGTGGAAGATTTGACAGAGACTTGCTTTCCTTTGGTGAGCTGGGGAGAGCATACCTTACTTGGCCATTATAGCAGGGCATGGTGCAGCCTGTAGGCCACATAGATAGGGCAACGGGGCCTCTGGAATCTTACCTCCATCTTCAAGAAGTGGCCAAAATGTTTTTTCCTGGGTTTACAAGAGGTGACTGAGAAGCTGAGAATCTAAGTGGAGCTTTTAGTAGACACAAGGAGTTTGGAGGGCTCTGTAAGGCTACACTCTAAAAAGTGCACCAGAAATAGGCCAAACCTCACAAAGGTCAATGCCTAGTTCTGAATCATCTCAGGTCCTATTGGATTTAAGTAACCTGGGGTTTCTAATGTTTAGCTGCCTGCAAAAAGCAAAAGTAAATCCTCTCTGGAGGAAGACAACATCATCCAAATTCTCAAATTAAATATAATTTTTAAAATGTTAGTATTTTAAAATACCTGGTGCAGTGGCTCATACCTGTAATTCTAGCACTTTGGGAGGCCCAGGTGGGCAGATCATGAGATCAGGAGTTTGAGGCCAGCCTGGCCAGCATGGTGAAACCCCCGTCTCTATTAAAATATATATATAAAAATCAGCCAGGCATGGTGGCACACACCTGTAGTCCCAGCTACTTGGGAGGTTGAGGCAGGATAATTGCTTGAACCTGGGAGGTGGAGGTTGCAGTGACCCAAGATTGCACCATTGCACTCCAGCCTGGGCAACAGAGCGAGACTCTGCCTCTCTCTCTCTATAGATAGATTAGATAGATAGATAGATAGATAGATAGATAGATAGATAGATAGATAGATGATAGATAGTGTCTGACAATCAAAAATGATCAGGCATACCCAAAGGAATGTCACTAAAACTGACAACTGACATTTCTATAGAAATAGCAGAAGCTAGAAGACAATGGAATAGCTCCAAAGTGTTGAGAGAAAATAATTCCCAACCCAGACTAGCCAGTGAAAACAGCCGTAAAGCAGGGGGGTGACAGATTGTTGTTTAAACTGCGTGATGTGTCCATAGAGGTATATTACATTATCTTCTCCATTTCTGTATGCTTGAGATTTTCCATAAAGGAAATGAAAGCAAAATGAAGCAAAATGAAGACAGCTAAGGCAAGCAAAAGCTGCAAGAATTTATTAACAGTACCAAAGGAAATACAGAAAAGTGTTCTTCAGGCAGAAGGGCACTAAGCTTCCAAATGGCAGCTGAGAGATGCAGGAAGGTCTGAGGAGAGATAATGTGGGCGAGCCTAAAGGGGTATTCACCAAATAGAATCATAATTATTATGTCTTGAGGGAGTTTTGGATGCATAAAGAATTAAAATACACAATAACAATTGCACCTAAACCAGAAGAGGGATAAACAAAACTAGAATGTTCTAAGGTCCTTTTCACTTGTCTGGAAAGTGGAAATACAGATTTACATTAGGCTTTAATAATAAGTCAAGGACAAATGATGTAATCCAACACATAATCACTAAGTATATAGAAAAGAATCTATAAGCAACAAGATAATAGAGTGGAAAATGGAATAATAAAAAAAAATACTAATCCAAAAGAAGACAGAAGGGAAAAGGAACATCAAACAGGTGAGAAAAATTGAAAGTAAATAATAAGATGATGGATTTAAACGGAACCACATTAGTAATACCATTGTATGTAAATTGTCTGATCTCCAGTTGGAAGACAGAGCAAATAAAAAACCAAGAACCCAGTTACTTGGTACTTAGAAGGGACACATTGTTAAGGATAGAGGAGGCTGAACATAAAACAATATAAGCACATGGGAAAAGAAAAATAAGTGTGGTTGTGCTAATGTCAAACAAAGTAGACATGAAGGCAAGGAGCAAAGACTGTAAATATGGGTGACTTACAGACCTGATGGTCTTGTCCTTACCCTCCAGTAAAAACATGGCTGGTGGGCTGGGCACAGTGGCTCACGCCTGTAATCCCAGGACTTTGGGAGGCCGAGGCAGGCAGATCACCCTAGGCCAGGAGTTTTGAGACCAGCCTGGCCAAAATGGTGAAACCCCATCTCTACTAAAAATATAAAAATTAACCTGGCGTGGTGGCATGCGCCTGTAATCTCAGGAGGCTGAGGCAGGAGAATCACTGGAACCCAGGAGGCAGAGGCTGCAGTGAGCTGAGATCGTGCCACTGCACTCCAGCCTGGGCGACACAGCAAGACTGTCTCAAAACAAACAAACAAACAACAACAAAAAACAAACAACAACAACAACAAAAACATGGCCAGTGAATGTCCAGGACCCCAATTTGTCAAATCACGAAGCAGGTGCATGGAGACCTGGAGTGTTCAACACTGTAGAAAATGCTGGAGATGGTGTGGTGGGCAAGACTTGTCCATAACTTACCATCCAGGTCATCACAGACAGGCCAATGAGTGGTACATTATCGTGATGGTAAATGTTAGGTGTCAAATGGATTGGACTGAGGGAGGCCTCGATGGCTGTGAAGCATTGTTCCTGGGTGTCTATGTGGGGGTTTACATAAGATTGTGATATGATTCAGTGGACTGAGGGAGGAAGACCTGCCTTCGATGTGGGGCCACCATGCAATCAGCTGGGGCCTGGCTGGGACAAAGCAGGCAGAGGGAGGGGGGTACCCAGCTGGCTCTCGTTCTTCTCTCTCTTTCTCTTCTAGAGTGGGATGCCATTTTCTCCTCTTGCTCTTGGACATCACTCTAGATCGTTCGGCCTTTGCTGGGCTTGCACTAGCAGTCTTCCGGGGCTCTCAGGCCTTCAGCCTCAGACTGGGGCTGCACTATCAGCTTCCCTTGCTCTGAGGCTTTTGGGCTTAGACTGAGCTGTGCTAACAGCTTCTCTGGTTTTCCAGCTTGCAGACTATAGTGAGACTTCACCTTGTGATCATGTGAGCCAGTTCCCCAGAATAAATCCCCTTTCATTCATATATACATACTATTGGTTCTGTCCCCCTGGAGAAATCTGGCTAATACAATTATTATGTAGAGAAGCAGATCTTGTGGTAAGCTCAGGGGTGTGGGGCTCAGAGGTGGGCTCCTGATCCAGATAAGGGGAGGCATTGGGGGGTGGGCACAAAGCCTCAAGGATGTGTCCTTGTTTGTCAGACAGATGAGCCAGGCAGCTGGTGTTTCAGACAGCAAGAGCAACACTGTGATTGTGCTGTGGGTTCAGAACCACGTGGGTTTCAGGCCCATTTCGAGGGGTACAGATGGTAGACACTGAGCAGGACAGGTTGCCTGGCTCTGGATTTTGGGCGGATCTTTTATGCCATTCAAAAGTGAATTCTGGCCATGGGGGCTCGAGACCTAGTGAAAAGTTCTGGACCAGGAAGCTGCATAGTTACATGGATTTATGGGAGAAACTGGAAGGGTAGAGTGGCTTCCTTAAAGCATGGAAGAGAAGCAAGGGAGGGATTTCTTCATTGCTGAAGTTCATAAAAGCACAGTCAGGCAGAGGCAGGCAGAACACAGAGGAAAACCTATGATTAACAGGCTTGAGAATCCCCAAATACCACATCCTTTACTTGGAGGGGTACAACTTGTATTTGGCATATTAAAGGCTCTGAGAAGTTCTGCAGTAAGAAAGCCATTTAATTATATTTATGTTGGCAGTTCCCAGACATATTTGATCATGATGCTTTAAAAATGTTTATTAATATTTTGCAGGGCATTACAGTTCCAAGGAGCACAGATTGGAATGTATTGGCAAAAGGGATTCTGGGCTCCAGAAAGTTAGAACGCTAAAGCCAAAGAGATTCCCTGACTCTGGAACCTTCCCCAAGCCACCATCATGGGTCCAATGTCTTTGACAAGCTGGACGTTCCCCAGGCTATGAGTTTGGGACTTGCTGGGTGTTCATAGTTCCCTCTGATCAGCAGCAGACAACAGAAAGAAATGCCACCAAGCCTGGGAGGGCTGCTGAACATGGTGATGGAGGCCGAAGGTACTGAGCCTGTGGTGTAAATCTGGCTGCAAATGGAATTTCTAAGTCCAAAGGTGCAACTGAAGGACATCCTTTTCTTTTTAGAAAGTGGGTCCTTACCTGACAAGGACTCCAAGTAAAACAAACACAAGCAAAAGGCCTCCTCCTAGCCACCCTCAGCCAGAAAGAAGGACAGGAGGGTAGAGTTAGAATTCTTAGTCTTTTGGGCAAAATGCAGGGGGATTATCTCTACAACTTGAAGAGGACCCAGAAGAATTCTGGGTCCTCATTTTTGTTCATTGGAGGTGGTTAGCTTCCTAGAGCTGCCGTAACAAATGACCACAAATGTGCTAGCTTAAAACAATAGAAAACTGTTCTCTAGCAGTTCTGGAGACCAGGTGTCTGAAATCAGGGTTGGTAGGACCAGGCTCTCTCTGCAGGTTCTAGTGGGGGGACCCTCCTTGCCTCTTCTTAGCCTCTGGAGGTGACTGGCAAAACTTGGGATTTCTTGGCTTATGGCAGCACAACTCCAATCTCTGTCCCACATTATCAAATGTCCTTCTTCCCTCTGTGTGAGTCTCTGTGTCCTCTTCTCTTCTTGTGAAGATAGGAGTCATTGCATTTCATCTCAAGATCTTTAACTAATTACATCTGCAGTGACCCTATTTTCATGTAAGGTCGCATTCTGAGGTTCCAGATGGAGGTGAATTTGGAAGGGATACTATTCACTCCACTACAGGAGAGTCAGGTGTTCCAGAGTCCTGATTGTCAGCTCAGGTGGACGCTCATGTCTGTGGCTCAGGGTGTGGGAGGATGGCCCTGGGAAGGTCCATCAGAGGCCGGGCCTGAGGCTCACCAAGCATCGCGATGACTTTATGAAAAGCCACTAGCCGCTCAGTTCTCAAACACAGCATTTCCATTCATAATCCCACTCATGTATACGAGTTAAGCTGCCTCAACCACTGATGGCTTAAAGCCTACTGACTCTAATGAACATAAGGGTCAATCTGATGACCGAAGGCCAAAAGTGCCATTTGCTTGACAGGCCCAGGCCACAAAGGGAGGTTTTCCCAGGAGTATATTCCATGTCATTGGTTCTCCAAGGCACAAGTGCCTCCCTGTGTGTTCAGATGGGAGCTGGGTCTTCACGAACTTTCAGATGAGCCTTTGCCCTCATTCTGGCAGCTGGACAGTGAGGTCAGGCCACTCTGTGTTAGTCGGGACTTGCTTCTCCACTTAACATTCTAATGACCTCAAGTGGTTTCACGTGGTCTAATTCACACCCAGCAAGACTCTCAGCCAGCCTCACTAGGAGTGGCCAACATCCAAGTTGGTCAGGGTAGGAAAGGAAAATGGGAAGGAGGAGATGAGAGTAGGGGTGGGCCAGGAAGCAAATGCAAGGAAACGGAGCAACCTCTCTGGAGCTTTCTTAAATTCTCATCCCCCTGCAAGTGCAGGCAACATCCTGACTGTTTATGGTATCTTAACAGTCACAATGCTTCCGCCTGCAAGCAGTGTTACAGCTTTATTTAAACCTCATTGGTGGTTTATTTAGTTTATTTATTGAATCTGATCTCACCAGGATTCCTGAGTAGATCAAACAGTGGAAGGTGGCCCTGAGCATGACAATCTCTGAGACCAGCGTTGGAATGAGTAGTGGCCACTGTGACCCTGTCCTCATGAAGAATGACCCTGGTGCCATTGTCAGGAGCGAGCACTGTCATTTGCTGGCCTTGTAATTAAAAACAGAGCCACCCCCAAGGTAGCAGGAAAAGAATCCTGGTTCTAAAGCCCAGATGCTGTAGACTGATGTTTTGGTTTTCAGCCAACATGTTCAGTTTCATTTCCCCTAAAGCATCTGCTATTCGTTCAAGAGAAAAATAAGGACAGAAGAAGCAGCAATGGCTTTCTTTGGTAGTTTTTGTATGAAAGGAAAGCACCCCAAACCAAAATGGTATAACTTGGTCCAGTGTTGCAAATAGATTTACTTGGAATGTCCAAAGTCCACGGCGCAAAAAAGTTTAAAAATGTTTTGAAAACTGCATTCTTTCCAACAGAGCATGGCTAAGAAGACAATCCTTTAATTCTGGCCCCTGCTGGTTTCTGGGCCTTCCTGTCTCATTTGCTGACCGAACTCAGCTTCCCCCTCCTGCAGGAAGAGAGCACTTGTGATTCCAGCATCACTGGGGATCAGATCCTTCTAAATTCTCCCTCCTCTGGAAAGCTGGTTAGAGTGGAAGTGGCTCAGACCAGGATGTCAGGCAGGGCTTTGACTTGCATCCCAAATTTGTCACTTAATTGCAGCACAACCAACTGTCCCAGTTTGCCAAGGACTGTCCTAGTTGAAAGTCTGGTGTCCTAGGAAACTCCTCCTTTTGGGGCAATCCAGAATGGTTGGTCATCCTGGTTTTCTCAACCTCTCTGAGCCTAGTTCACTCCTCTGTGAAGTGGGGTGATCGTGGCTACCCTGAAGCTCTGAGGATCATATGGCGCATGGTTTGGCAAGGGTGACTCAATGGAAGCTTCACTCCCTGAGAGTCTGAGGTTAGGGGGATGCCCAGCAGGACACCCACTCATGGGTGCTCTCCCATCCGGGTCACTTGGATGTTTTCCATCTGTGATGTATTTTGACCTGGCCCAATATCCTTTCCATCCCCCTGTCCCTCACCTACTCTCTAGCTGCTTCCAGTGGGGCACCTGTGTACATCCCCAGGAGAGAGACAGGCAGGGCACTGCCAGGAAACTGGGTCTGTGGACTGGGGGATGAAGCATCTCTGGGGACTAGGAGTGCCTCCAGATGTCCTCAGGGCCATCTCCAGCAAGAGGCAACAGGTTCCTGGTCCCAGGGTCCTGGGGAGTTCCACCTGGGACACTGCTTCTTTACCAGGTCCCAAGGCTTGAAAGCAGATGGTGAGTGAAGTTAAGAGACACCCCTTCATTATTGGCAGCCACATAGGTTCCAGCAGAAGGAGAAGAGGGTGATGAGCTACACAACCATTCACGTCCAAAGTCTCAGTGAATGAACCTCAGTGAATCAGAAAATGAGGCCAGGAGGCCATAATCTAAAGGGAGGATAGTTTGGATTGAGGACCTGAGCTTTCAGCACAAGAACTTACCACAGTGGATGGGCAGAGTAGCTCCCAGTGTCCTGGTCGTTCCCTGGCCTTTTCCTCCTGGTGCCATGGCTGTGCCTTTGGGACATGGCTGCCTGGTATAAGTCCAAAGGGCTGATGTCCAGGCTGGGTGCGCAGACCTGTATGTGCTTGATGGAGAATCTAGAAAAGACTGCGCTGCTGAATGTCCCAAGTCATCACAATTTAGAAAAGAATAGCATCAAACCCTTGCATAGCACTATGCGCCACACACTGATATGAGTGTTATCACTCAGCAACCCTATGGGATAAGTACAGTGTATGATCCCCCATTTTGCAGGTGAGTAAACTGAGGCACAGAGGAATGTGGCATGTTGCCTACTTGTACATAGCTCATAAATGGTGGAGCTGGGGTTCTAATCCAGGAGGCCTAATTCAGAATCCAGAGTTTCAATGCCTACACTAGACAACCAGTCTGATGTGGGGGATCTCTGGAGTCATCTTACTGTTACCTAAAGCACATTCTGGTGATGGAAGTTAAGAGTAATACAAGGGACAGCCTGGGAGGTAGTGAGCAGCCCATCATTGGAGGTGTGTAAGCAGAGACAGGATGCCACTTGGAAGGGACCATGGCAAAGCTGAGTCCTCTTACCCTGGGAATCCTAAGAAACAAAAAAGAAGGAAAGTTGTGGTTGCACGAATTATTCAGAAGCTTTTAAAGGCTCAGAAATCTCATTAGTGTGTTTCTGTTCTCAGGGTTGCTTTTGTTTTGGTTTGGTTTGATTTGGCTTACGTGTTTTTGTTGTTTTCTTCCCCATGAAACTTCTAGGCTTGGAAAAAAATTGTCTGATGGTCTCTCAGCTTCGTATATAGAAAAGATTTAGTTTCACTCTGGGAAAAGACATTAAATCCTTTAGCGTCAGCCAAGGTCAGATCAGTTGAAAGGGAGCCCTGAGGCTGTGCTCTGGAAAGAAACCATCTGTCTCCATGGTTGAGGTACTAGCCTCCTACAAGGCTTAGACCCCTGGATCCTCCCTGGTACTGCAGTGCTGGGCCTTCCAGAAATCCTATTGAGAGAGTGGCATCGTTGCTCTGTTGCCTGCTTAGAAAGGCTTTCTAGGCCGGGTGCGGTGGCTCACGACTGTAATCCCAGCACTTTGGGAGGCCGAGGTGGGCGGATGACGAAGTCAGGAGATCGAGACCATCCTGGTTAACACGATGAAAACCCGTCTCTACTAAAAATACAAAAAATTAGCTGGGTGTGGTGGCGGGCACCTGTAGTCCCAACTACTCGGGAGGCTGAGGCAGGAGAATGGAGTGAACCCAGGAGGCGGAGCTTGCAGTGAGCGGAGATCGCGCCACTGCACTCCAGCCTGGGTGACAGAGTGAGACTCCGTCTCAAAAAAAAAAAAAAAAAAAAAAAAAAAAAAAAAAAAAAAGAGAGAAAACAAAGGCTTTCTGTAGCACACCCAGCAAGTTCCTGTGCTTCTCGAGCAACTGTGCCCACTCCTAATCCAGCATGGATTCCATGGGGCATTCACAGCATGAACGGAAGGGAGGGAGAGAGGGAGGGAGAAGGGAAGGGAGGGAGGGAAAGCAAAGAGGGGAGAAGGAAATTCCTCAGCAAATGAGTTTAGCTAGTATTGGCTGAAACACATTTAAGCAGGTGTCTTTATGGTAGGACTTCTCAGAGCCTTTGAAGTGCAAGCGTGCACTGGGAATCTCTGAGGGGAGACATTGAATGCCCTGTTTTCCCAGCTCATTTGGTTCCTATCCCATTTGTTTTTTCTCAGGAATATCTTGTGGGACTAGTGTTTCACGGCATTTTCTTTTGAAATGCTGGGAAAATAATATGTTAACCTTAAACTGTCACCTCTGGATTCTGATCTTCCTTCTGCACAGATACTCACTCCCACAAACACTGAGCCCTTATTGTGAGCCTACCAGGGGCTGAATAGGGATCTAGGGAGATCTCAGAAGGGACCTGTTTCTCCCATTGGTTTACTGAGCTCCATTCGGCCAAGAGGTAGGGCTTTTACAGCACAAATAGTGACAGGCAACATTTTTCTGCCAAGCTGTATTCTAAGAGCTTTATGACTGCAAGAGGGAAGCACTGTCATTAAGCCAATTTTGCAGATGGGGAAACTGAGGCATGGCAATGGCAGAGCTGGGAATCACCTCTGGGGGTCTGGCTCCAGGGCCTAGCTCTTCACTGCCTGGGGAGCCACAGCTCAGGCACTCACAGGGCTGCCGAGGGGACACGCGTGGGCAGAGTGAGCAGACCAGGTAGTGGGTGAAGGACTCAGTTCATCCCTCTATTCTATACCCCACCCCAAACACACATACGTTCTAGAAACAGAAATACCAGCTTTTCAAGACAGAGATTGCTGCTCGGTTTCATACCTGCCTACAGATTTGAGAAAAGAAAACACAAAACAATGACACATCATTTTTCTTCCTTGAAAGTACTTTTTTCTGTATTCATCGCTTCAATAAATGTTGTCAGACTAATTAAACACTGCAGTTATTAAGTTTTCTGAGAATTGCACTTAAATCGAACACCGTGTGCGTTTGCTAAAGGAAATGGAATCTGATGAGAAGAGGGGAGAGGACTAGTCCTGTTATATGTGCCGGGAAAAAAAAAAACTTTTTTGAAATGTAATTAGCCTACACCTGTTGGTCACCTTTCTAGAACACCGCAGACAGTCAGGGCACTTGTCATGGCAGAGTCAGGTGGGAAGGCCTCTGGTGCCCGGGGGCTGAGGACTCAGGCTGGTGCTGGCTGGTCTCACCTGGTTCCGCTGAGCCCTCCAGAGGCCCCAGCTCTCAGCACAGATGCAGACAGACCCTTCCTGGGCCAGACCAGTGTGACCCTATCAGTGACCCTTTTGGGGACCTAAATGTGTGGCTGCTCACATCATCATGTGGGCTGAGGCTGTTTCAATCTTGATTCAACATTCAGTTCCCCTCTCTGGCTTTTCCCCCAAACCGAATCACATTAAGCATTTGGTGGATTTCAGAATTTCACTAAGGCTTTGTAAAGTCCCGAGGAGAGGCCTATGTCACAGTTTATGGCATTCCTGAGAAAGGTCCCCATTACCTGTGCATCTCCTTCCAAGGCAGCTCAGTGTCATCACAGCAACCGTGCTGATTGCCGACAGAGCAGGGCAAGCACCAAGCTCTGACAACACCCTGGAGGCTGTGGGCAGCTCCTCTCCAGTCTCCCACCCCAGCAGGCTGAGACGGTTCTAAACGAGCCCTGCAATCTGGAAACGGTGCTGCAGAACCACTTCCCTGCTGTAGCTGCTGCAGGACTCCCCTCAGTTCCGATCTTTTCTTTCCCCTCCCTGAGTTTCCCTCTGCCTGCCATGGCTTTGCCACCTTCTTGAGCTCCTGGGGCTCTTCGGACCACACTGAGGCTGGTTCCTCTGCAGGAGGGACCCTGGCTGGATCCCCTCGCTGAGCTCACACCGGGCCCTCAAGTGGCATGTGCCCTCCCGCCTGCTCACTTCTGCCCCACTGTCCATACTGCCTGCAGGGGTCTCCTCTCCTGCTGCCAGCCTCTGGCCGGCCCCCTACCTGCAGGGCTGCTCCCTGGCCCCCTTCACTTACCTACATCTCCTCCCACCTCCCCAGAACTGCTGCCCTCCCCACTCAGTTTCCATCCAAGCCCCAACTCTGGTATTCCCAATGACCCCAGCTGGCTGCTCTCCACTGCAACCCTGCATCCCCCGACAGGGGTGGTGAGTCCCTGGAAGAAGGTGGTGGCTCAATAAGTACTTGGAGCTTGGTGGTTCCCATGGATGGGATGGGGCTGGGGGTCCGGTCCGGGGGTGCAGGGATCAGGGGCATAAGGCAGCAAAAGGACTGGAGAGACTTTGTTTCCCAGGCAGGAGGAGACCTGCAGAGGGTGAGATTCTCAGGGGAGGAACTGCCAGAAGCCTAAGAGCCTTTTTCCAGAGCTGCCTCCAGGAGAGAAGGTGATCTACCTGGCTCCGGATCAAGTCCTTTCTGCTCAGAACAAGCTTTCTGCACTTGTAGGGTGGGTGATTTTAGAGATTTGGAGAGTCAATCTTTGCTTCTTTCCTTTTTTCTCTCTCTCCTTCCCAGTCCCACCCACTCTAATCCCAGCTCCTGTTTGTCCAAGCCCCTCAAGCAAGACTCTCTTTAGTGAGTGAAAGCTGACAATGTGAGTCTCAGCCTCCTTCCCAGGAGCAGCTAAGCTGACAGATCCTTGATCTTGAGAAGCCCTCGCAGCTCCCTTCTCTGACTCTCAGCCACCCCTGGAGGGAGACCCTATTATCGGGAGACCCTATTATCACCATTTTACAAGTGAGGCTCAGGTGATAACTTGTCCAAGGCCAGGCAGCCAGATTGCCGGGAAGCAGGTGTTCCCAGCGCCGCTGCTTTCACCCTGTTCCACATCTCTGGTCCTTGTGTTTAGAACCATTCTTGAGTGGGTTTGCCAAAGGCAAAAAGCAAAACCAAGGCTTGGCTGACAGTTACTGAGGCCCTCTGAAATGTGCATTGGCAATTCCAGAAACACAAGCTCAGATCAGATCCTTAGCATTTAAATGAACTTATGTCAGGTTTGCTACAATATGATCTGCTGGAACAGCTTTCTAACTCCTTAACGGGATGAGGTATATTTTCCTTGGCCTATTCTAGGCAAAGATCAGCAACTTCAAACAAGGAGCTGTTCTTCAAATAAATTCCTCATTGATACACATTTTTGAAGAACACTGGGAAGTAAAAACCTGGAGGACTGAATTGTGTTGTTGGGCAGATAGTTCTTAAGAAAATGATCTGCATCATGTCTGCACAAATCAGCCTTAAGAAATCTCTTGTTTCTTAGGATTCCCTCCTTTCCTTCCATAACGTACCTGTGCAAACATAGTGGTTTGCCAATTTCCTCCTTGAATTGTCTCCATTGGATTATATTGCAGACTTGTCCATTTTTCACTTCTAATTATTGTTCTACTTCCTGGCTCAGCTCTGTGGGATTATTTGAAGCCCCAGTCATTGGGCCCTGTAGGAGTCCCTGACCTGAGATGCACTTCCCAAGAGGGAGGTACGTGGGTCCCTGCACCCCATGGATTCTCTTCTACGACAGTAGTGCATGCCACTTATTTGGGACATAAATATTTTTTCATCTTCTAGCCTGCCTGAAGTATTTTGGCTTAAAAATGATGGTAGAATGCAAAAGATTGGAATAAAGTGAAGATCTCATAGCAGAACGTGTTCAGAAGTATCTGGAGTAAAATGGAGATTTGCTTAAAAATATTTGATAATGAAACGGCACTTGGAGTTAAACTTTTCAATCATCTGTTGATGCCTTTGACCTCAGATTTATCAACAATAATGTGTCCGGAATTGGTGGGTTCTTGGTCTCACTGACTTGAAGAATGAAGCTGCGGACCCTCGCCGTGAGTGTTACAGCTCTTAAGTTGGCGCGTCTGCAGTTTGTTCCTTCTGATGTTTGGATGTGTTCAGAGTTTCTTCCTTCTGGTGGGTTCGTGGTCTCCCTGGCTCAGGAGTGAAGCTGCAGACCTTCGCGGTGTGTGTTACAGCTCATAAAAGCAGAGTGGACCCAAAGAGTGAGCAGTAACAAGATTTATTGCAAAGAGCAAAAGAACAAAGCTTCCACAGTGTGGAAGGGGACCCCAGCGGGTTGCCACTGCTGGCTCGGGCAGCCTGCTTTTTATTCTCTTATCTGGCCCCACCCACATTTTGCTGATTGGTAGAGCCGAGTGGTCTATTTTGACTTGGCGCCGACTGGTGCGTTTACAATCCCTGAGCTAGACACAAAGGTTCTTCACGACCCCACTAGATTAACTAGATACAGAGTGTGGACACAAAGGTTGTCCAAGTCCCCACCAGAGTAGCTAGATACAGAGTGTCGATTGGTGCATTCACAAACCTGAGCTAGACACAGGGTGCTGATTGGTGTGTTTACAAACCTTGAGCTAGATAGAGTGCCTGCTGGTGTATTTACAATCCCTGGGCTAGACATAAAGGTTCTCCACGTCCCCACCAGACTCAGGAGCGCAGCTGGCTTCACCCAGTGGATCCCGCAAAGGGGCTGCAGGTGGAGCTGCCTGCCAGTCCCGTGCCGTGCGCCCGCACTCCTCAGCCCTTGGGTGGTCGATGGGACTGGGCGCCTTGGAGCAGGGGGCGGCGCTCATCTGGGAGGCTCCGGCCGCATAGGAGCCCATGGAGGGGGTGGGAGACTCAGGCATGGCCGGCTGCAGGTCCCGAGCCCTGCCCCGTGGGAAGGCAGCTAAGGCCTGGCGAGAAATCGAGCTCAGCGCCGATGGGCTGGCACTGCTGGGGGACCCAGTACACCCTCCGCAGCCGCTGGCCCGGGTGCTAAGCCCCTCATTGCCCGGGGCCGGCAGGGCCGGCCGGCTGCTCCAAGTGCGGGGCCCGCCAAGCCCACGCCCACCCGGAACTTCAGCTGGCCCGCAAGCGCCGCGCGCAGCCTCGGTTCCCGCTCGCGCCTCTCCCTCCACACCTCCCTGCAAGCTGAGGGAGCCGGCTCCGGCCTTGGCCAGCCAAGAAAGGGGCTCCCACAGTGCAGCGGTGGGCTGAAGGGCTCCTCAAGTGCCGCCAAAGTGGGAGCCCAGGCAGAGGAGGCGCCGAGAGCGAGCGAGGGCTCTGAGGACTGCCAGCACGATGTCACCTCTCAATAAGACTAAGGTCAGCCTGGCGGATAAACCTTGGAGTCTCCTGGGCCCATTCCCATGGCAACATGGGCCTATGAAGAAGCCAGATGGGACGGAGCTTATAACAACAACCTTCTAAGGAGGTAGGTTCTAATGCACCTAGCTGCAGAAAAATTACAAAGGACCTCATACCAGTCTGTAAACAATACGGCAGTTAGACAGCTGAGATTTCATCACCAGGAAGCATTTCGACCCTAGAGAAGGAGTTATTGAACTATTTTTCTGTAAAGGCCCAGAGAGTAAGTATTTTAGGCTTTTCAGGCCACTTGATTCCCTTCTAGCTTTTCAACCCTATCATTGAAAACAGTCAGACAATGAACAGGTGGGCACAGTTTTGTTGCAGTAACACCATATTTCTAGAAAGAGGCAGGGATTCGGGCTGCCGGCTGTGGTTTGCTGACCCTAAACCTGCAACATCACTGACCAGGAACAGGAACAGGAACAGCAGAGGCCGCATCGTGTGTAGCTTTTCTCGCTCTGCTTTCACGTCGGCTGCCTTGCTTCAAGTGGTGGCTCACGCCTGTAATCCCAGCGCTTTGGGAGGCCAAGGCGGGCAGATCACGAGGTCAAGAGATCGAGACCATCCTGGCCAACATGGTGAAACCCTGTCTCTACTGAAAATACAAAAAAATTAGCTGGGCATGGTGGCATGCCCCTGTAGTCCCAGCTACTCGGGAGGCTGAGGCAGGAGAATCTCTTGAACCTGGGAGGCAGAGGTTGCAGTGAGCCAAATAGCGCCACCGCACTCCAGCCTGGCTACAGAGCGAGAGCTCCGTCTGAAAACAAAAACAAAAACAAAACAAAACAAAAAATACCCTAACTGCAAAGCGAAAATTGACCCCTCTGGTTACATTTTGTTTTGGTTTTGGTTTTTGAGACAGAGTCTCGCTATGAGCCAGGCTGGACTGCAGTGGTACGATCTAGGCTCACTGCAACCTCTGCCTCCTGGGTTCAAGCGATTTTCCTGCCTCAGCCTCCCGAGTAGCTGGGACTGTAGGCACATGCCACCACACCCAGCGAAGTTTTTCTATTTTCAGTAGAGACAGGGTTTCACCATGTTGGCCAGGATGGTCTCGATCTCTTGACCTTGTGATCTGCCCGCCTCAGCCTCCCAAAATCTGGTTACATTTTTAAGGCAGTGATTACTGAGGATTGTCTTTTTATCTGTTCTTAAATTCTCAACGATTTGTTCAAATCCTGTCTTTCTGAAGCAGCCCATCAGAGCCTCTTTTTTTTTTTTAATTATACTTTAAGTTTTAGGGTACATGTGCAGATTGTGCAGGTTAGTTACATATGTATACATGTGCCATGCTGGTGCGCTGCACCCACTAACTCGTCATCTAGCATTAGGTATATCTCCCAATGCTATCCCTCCCCCCTCCCCCCACCCCACCACAGTCCCCAGAGTGTGATATTCCCCTTCTTGTGTCCATGTGATCTCATTGTTCAATTCCCACCTATGAGTGAGAATATGCGGTGTTTGGTTTTTTGTTCTTGCGATAGTTTACTGAGAATGATGATTTCCAATTTCATCCATGTCCCTACAAAGGACATGAACTCATCATTTTTTATGGCTGCATAGTATTGCATGGTGTATATGTGCCACATTTTCTTAATCCAGTCTATCATTGTTGGACATTTGGGTTGGTTCCAAGTCTTTGCTATTGTGAATAATGCCACAATAAACGTACGTGTGCATGTGTCTTTATAGCAGCATGATTTATAGTCCTTTGGGTATATACCCAGTAATGGGATGGCTGGGTCAAATGGTATTTCTAGTTCTAGATCCCTGAGGAATTGCCACACTGACTTCCACAATGGTTGAACTAGTTTACAGTCCCACCAACAGTGTAAAAGTGTTCCTATTTCTCCACATCCTCTCCAGCACCTGTTGTTTCCTGACTTTTTAATGATTGCCATTCTAACTGGTGTGAGATGGTATCTCATTGTGGTTTTGATTTGCATTTCTCTGATGGCCAGTGATGATGAGCATTTTTTCATGTGTTTTTTGGCTGCATAAATATCTTCTTTTGAGAAGTGTCTGTTCATGTCCTTCACCCACTTTTTGATGGGGTTGTTTGTTTTTTTCTTGTAAATTTGTTTGAGTTCATTGTAGATTCTGGATATTAGCCCTTTGTCAGATGAGTAGGTTGCAAAAATTTTCTCCCATTTTGTAGGTTGCCTGTTCACTCTGATGGTAGTTTCTTTTGCTGTGCAGAAGCTCTTTAGTTTAATTAGATCCCATTTGTCAATTTTGTCTTTTGTTGCCATTGCTTTTGGTGTTTTAGACATGAAGTCCTTGCCCATGCCTATGTCCTGAATGGTAATGCCTAGGTTTTCTTCTAGGGTTTTTATGGTTTTAGGTCTAACGTTTAAGTCTTTAATCCATCTTGAATTGATTTTTGTATAAGGTGTAAGGAAGGGATCCAGTTTCAGCTTTCTACATATGGCTAGCCAGTTTTCCCAGCACCATTTATTAAATAGGGAATCCTTTCCCCATTGCTTGTTTTTCTCAGGTTTGTCAAAGATCAGATAGTTGTAGATATGCGGCGTTATTTCTGAGGGCTCTGTTCTGTTCCATTGATCTATATCTCTGTTTTGGTACCAGTACCATGCTGTTTTGGTTACTGTAGCCTTGTAGTATAGTTTGAAGTCAGGTAGTGTGATGCCTCCAGCTTTGTTCTTTTGGCTTAGGATTGCCTTGGCGATGCAGGCTCTTTTTTGGTTCCATATGAACTTTAAAGTAGTTTTTTCCAATTCTGTGAAGAAAGGCATTGGTAGCTTGATGGGGATGGCATTGAATCTGTAAATTACCTTGGGCAGTATGGCCATTTTCAAGATATTGATTCTTCCTACCCATGAGCATGGAATGTTCTTCCATTTGTTTGTATCCTCTTTTATTTCCTTGAGCAGCGGTTTGTAGTTCTCCTTGAAGAGGTCCTTCACATCCCTTGTAAGTTGGATTCCTAGGTATTTTATTCTCTTTGACGCAATTGTGAATGGGAGTTCACTCATGATTTGGCTCTCTGTTTGTCTGTTGTTGGTGTATAGGAATGCTTGTGATTTTTGCACATTGATTTTGTATCCTGAGACTTTGCTGAAGTTGCTTATCAGCTTAAGGAGATTTTGGGCTGAGACAATGGGGTTTTCTAGATATACAATCATGTCGTCTGCAAACAGGGACAATTTGACTTCCTCTTTTCCTAATTGAATACCCTTTATTTCCTTCTCCTGCCTAATTGCCCTGGCCAGAACTTCCAACACTATGTTGAATAGGAGTGGTGAGAGAGGGCATCCCTGTCTTGTGCCAGTTTTCAAAGGGAATGCTTCCAGTTTTTGCCCATTCAGTATGATATTGGCTGTGGGTTTGTCATAGATAGCTCTTATTATTTTGAAATACATCCCATCAATACCTAATTTATTGAGAGTTTTTAGCATGAAGGGTTGTTGAATTTTGTGAAAGGCTTTTTCTGCATCTATTGAGATAATCATGTGGTTTTTGTTTTGGCTCTTGTTTATATGCTGGATTACATTTATTGATTTGCGTATATTGAACCAGCCTTGCATCCCAGGGATGAAGCCCACTTGATCATGGTGGATAAGCTTTTTGATGTGCTGCTGGATTCGTTTTGCCAGTATTTTATTGAGGATTTTTGCATCAATGTTCATCAAGGATATTGGTCTAAAATTCTCTTTTTTTGTTGTGTCTCTGCCTGGCTTTGGTATCAGAATGATGCTGGCCTCATAAAATGAGTTAGGGAGGATTCCCTCTTTTTCTGTTGATTGGAATAGTTTCAGAAGGAATGGTACCAGTTCCTCCTTGTACCTCTGATAGAATTCGGCTGTGAATCCATCTGGTCCTGGACTCTTTTTGGTTGGTAAACTATTGATTATTGCCACAATTTCAGCTCCTGTTATTGGTCTATTCAGAGATTCAACTTCTTCCTGGTTTAGTCTTGGGAAAGTGTATGTGTCAAGGAATTTATCCATTTCTTCTAGATTTTCTAGTTTATTTGCGTAGAGGTGTTTGTAGTATTCTCTGATGGTAGTTTGTATTTCTGTGGGATCGGTGGTGATATCCCCTTTATCATTTTTTATTGCGTCTATTTGATTCTTCTCTCTTTTTTTCTTTATTAGTCTTGCTAGCAGTCTATCAATTTTGTTGATCCTTTCAAAAAACCAGCTCCTGGATTCATTAATTTTTTGAAGTGATTTTGTGTCTCTATTGCCTCTTTTTTTTTTTTTCTTGAGATGGAGTTTTGCTCTTGTTGCCCAGGCTGGAGTGCAGTGGTGCAATCTCAGCTCACTGCAACCTCCTTTTCCCAGGTTCAAGAGATTCTGCCTCAGCTCACTGCAACCTCCTTTTCCCAGGTTCAAGCGGTTCTCTTGCCTCAGCCTCCCAAGCAGCTGGGAATACAAGTGCCCGCCACCACACCCGGCTAATTTGAGCATCTTTCTTTTTTCTTTTTTTTAAAGAGATGGAGTCTCGCTGTCGCCCAGGCTGGAGTGCAGTGGTCCCATCTCAGCTCACCTCAACCTCTGCCTTCCAGGTTCAAGCAATTCTCCTGCCTCAGCCTCCTGAGTAGCTGGGACTACAGGTGCACACCACCACACTCAGCTATTTTTTTTTTTTTTTTTTTTTGTATTTTAGTAGAGATGGGGTTTCACCATGTTGCTGAGGCTGGTCTCGAACTCCTGAGCTCTGGTAAGCTGCCTGCCTCGGCCTCCCAAAGTGCTAGGATTACAGGCGTGAGCCACTGCACCCGGCAATTTGAGCATCTTTAATTGTCCTTGGCTTTGCTCACTTTAAATATGGAAGACGGGAAAGCTAAAAATCATGCCAGGTCACCTGTGGAACCCAAAATGTCCTTCTTTCTCTTATACTTAGGACATATTTTATCTTAAGTCATATTTCTCAATGTTCTTGAAAAAAATAAGGTGAGGGTGGTTTTTATTTGGCATTTTTAGGCATGATGCCAAACACCAAAGAGAAAGGCCTGAAATTGTCCACAGGGACTCCTGTGAGAGCCTCAGTCGCTCATCATCTCTCAGCGGGAGAAAAGCGGGGCTTTCCCGGGTTATTTTGAATGTGTGCTGCGTGCTGACCAAACAGGCATGGAAGGAAAGAAAACATGCAGGACCCTTGCAGGAAAGGCAAGGCGAGGTGGCGGCTGTCTGCCCTTCTGATTTCCTCTTAGACCTGACATCTCATTGGATTCCAGCAGTTTTCAGAAGTGCCTTCCAAAAGCGCAGCTCCTCCTTCCTTCTTTTAAAGTGGCAGCAACATGTCCTTGATTAAAACTGCCATTACGTTTTAATTAAAAGGGTTCTTTCATTCACAAGTCATTTTGAGTCAGTCAAAATAATCTCATGCAGGCTCCCAGAGAAACGGCCCCGTTGCCTGGAACATTCTCCCTTGGGTGCCTTCCCTGCGTGGCCCTCTTTTATTTCAGCAGCACAGTTACAAGTTTGTGCCTGAATGCTTTACTTCAATCACATCCTGTTGCTGAGAATGGAATATCCTGGGTAGTCACAGAGCTCAGGATTCACTGAAACCTAACACCATCCTGAGGCAAGAGGAAGCCTCAGGAAACAAATAGATGAGAGAGAAATTGTTTTCTTATTTCATTGTGTCTACATGTTGAGACTTTCTGATCGGGTACCTGTGTGAGAGGGACATGAGGCTTGTATGAATCTGCTCTGTTATCTCTTTTGAAAGAACAAAATGTCCTGCTACTACGTCCAAAGCAATGATTAAACCTAGAGCAAGACCGTGGTGGGGCAGCCAGCCACATTTGGCAGAGCATTTCGTTAGCAACAGAGGAGGAAAAAGGTAACGGTGAGCAGTAGGAAATGGCTCAGAGACCAGTCAAGGGGAAGCACCTACCACCCACCACCTGGCCTTCTTCCTGAAGAAGCCCCACCTCCAGAGTGGCTCCTCCACCCCCACCCAGGCTTTGTGGCAAAGGGAAGGGCCCAGGCCTTGCCCAGCAGCTTCTGTGGGGGCTGGCACTGGGGCCAGGGTCTGCTGTCCTGAAGTAATTCTCAGTCTTATTCCCAATTTCAGCTGCTTGTTTCAGCTCGTGAAGCCACCTCATTAGTGTGTTGACAACACGTATTCTTAATGATCTTTCGTGAAAAGATATTCAGAAAGGCTAAATGTGAAAAACAATTCATACTTGTTCAGCTCTTGATTTCCAATGCTTGATGGAGGTGAGTATGGCAGTTTTCAGCAGTGTGGCTGTGAATATCACCAGAGATCACCTGTTCTGTTTGGAAGGGGATTTTCAGTGGTGTCTCGACCAGGCTTGGTCTCTGTGTCCCCGTGGGAGTCCTAACTGCTACACTAGCCAGCTGGACTGACACAAACCCAGGCTCTGGGCCTTGTCTGCTCACTGTGTTTATACCGAGCTGCCGTGCCTGGCCCTGCTTCACTCTCACCATCAGGCAATGCCTTAGTACCTATTTGTTGGCCTTAATCCAAAGCATTTTCATTTTTCAGAAAGCACGACTCTGGTATAAAGTTTCTTCTTTCTCTCTGCTTCGCAAGTCTCGTAATTCACATGTTGAAGCCTTACCGTCCAGTGTGATAGTATTTGAGGGTTCAGCCTTTTTTTTTCCTTATTTATTTATTATTATACTTTAAGTTTTAGGGTACATGTGCACATTGTGCAGGTTAGTTACATATGTATACATGTGCCATGCTGGTGTGCTGCACCCACTAACTCGTCATCTAGCATTAGGTATATCTCCCAATGCTATCCCTCCCCCCTCCCCCCACCCCACAACAGTCCCCAGAGTGTGATGTTCCCCTTCCTGTGTCCATGTGATCTCATTGTTCAATTCCCACCTATGAGTGAGAATATGCGGTGTTTGGTTTTTTGTTCTTGCGATAGTTTACTGAGAATGATGGTTTCCAATTTCATCCATGTCCCTACAAAGGGCATGAACTCATCATTTTTTATGGCTGCATAGTATTGCATGGTGTATATGTGCCACATTTTCTTAATCCAGTCTATCACTGTTGGACATTTGGGTTGGTTCCAAGTCTTTGCTATTGTGAATAATGCCGCAATAAACATACGTGTGCATGTGTCTTTATAGCAGCATGATTTATAGTCCTTTGGGTATATACCCAGTAATGGGATGGCTGGGTCAAATGGTATTTCTAGTTCTAGATCCCTGAGGAATCGCCACACTGACTTCCACAATGGTTGAACTAGTTTACAGTCCCACCAACAGTGTAAAAGTGTTCCTATTTCTCCACATCCTCTCCAGCACCTGTTGTTTCCTGACTTTTTAATGATCACCATTCTAACCGGTGTGAGATGGTATCTCATTGTGGTTTTGATTTGCATTTCTCTGATGGCCAGTGATGGTGAGCATTTTTTCATGTGTTTTTTGGCTGCATAAATGTCTTCTTTTGAGAAGTGTCTGTTCATGTCCTTCACCCACTTTTTGATGGGGTTGTTTGTTTTTTTCTTGTAAATTTGTTTGAGTTCATTGTAGATTCTGGATATTAGCCCTTTGTCAGATGAGTAGGTTGCAAAAATTTTCTCCCATTTTGTAGGTTGCCTGTTCACTCTGATAGTAGTTTCTTTTGCTGTGCAGAAGCTCTTTAGTTTAATTAGATCCCATTTGTCAATTTTGTCTTTTGTTGCTATTGCTTTTGGTGTTTTAGACATGAAGTCCTTGCCCATGCCTATGTCCTGAATGGTAATGCCTAGGTTTTCTTCTAGGGTTTTTATGGTTTTAGGTCTAACATTTAAGTATTTAATCCATCTTGAATTGATTTTTGTATAAGGTGTAAGGAAGGGATCCAGTTTCAGCTTTCTACATATGGCTAGCCAGTTTTCCCAGCACCATTTATTAAATAGGGAATCCTTTCCCCATTGCTTGTTTTTCTCAGGTTTGTCAAAGATCAGATAGTTGTAGATATGCGGCGTTATTTCTGAGGGCTCTGTTCTGTTCCATTGATCTATATCTCTGTTTTGGTACCAGTACCATGCTGTTTTGGTTACTGTAGCCTTGTAATATAGTTTGAAGTCAGGTAGTGTGATGCCTCCAGCTTTGTTCTTTTGGCTTAGGATTGCCTTGGCGATGCAGGCTCTTTTTTGGTTCCATATGAACTTTAAAGTAGTTTTTTCCAATTCTGTGAAGAAAGGCATTGGTAGCTTGATGGGGATGGCATTGAATCTGTAAATTACCTTGGGCAGTATGGCCATTTTCACAATATTGATTCTTCCTACCCATGAGCATGGAATGTTCTTCCATTTGTTTGTATCCTCTTTTATTTCCTTGAGCAGCGGTTTGTAGTTCTTGAAGAGGTCCTTCACATCCCTTGTAAGTTGGATTCCTAGGTATTTTATTCTCTTTGAAGCAATTGTGAATGGGAGTTCACTCATGATTTGGCTCTCTGTTTGTCTGTTGTTGGTGTATAGGAATGCTTGTGATTTTTGCACATTGATTTTGTATCCTGAGACTTTGCTGAAGTTGCTTATCAGCTTAAGGAGATTTTGGGCTGAGACAATGGGGTTTTCTAGATATACAATCATGTCGTCTGCAAACAGGGACAATTTGACTTCCTCTTTTCCTAATTGAATACCCTTTATTTCCTTCTCCTGCCTAATTGCCCTGGCCAGAACTTCCAACACTATGTTGAATAGGAGTGGTGAGAGAGGGCATCCCTGTCTTGTGCCAGTTTTCAAAGGGAATGCTTCCAGTTTTTGCCCATTCAGTATGATATTAGCTGTGGGTCTGTCATAGATAGCTCTTATTATTTTGAAATATGTCCCATCAATACCTAATTTATTGAGAGTTTTTAGCATGAAAGGTTGTTGAATTTTGTCAAAGGCCTTTTCTGCATCTATTGAGATAATCATGTGGTTTTTGTCTTTGGCTCTGTTTATATGCTGGATTACATTTATTGATTTGCGTATATTGAACCAGCCTTGCATCCCAGGGATGAAGCCCACTTGATCATGGTGGATAAGCTTTTTGATGTGCTGCTGGATTTGGTTTGCCAGTATTTTATTGAGGATTTTTGCATCAATGTTCATCAAGGATATTGGTCTAAAATTCTCTTTTTTGGTTGTGTCTCTGCCCGACTTTGGTATCAGAATGATGCTGGCCTCATAAAATGAGTTAGGGAGGATTCCCTCTTTTTCTGTTGATTGGAATAGTTTCAGAAGGAATGGTACCAGTTCCTTCTTGTACCTCTGGTAGAATTTGGCTGTGAATCCATCTGGTCCTGGACTCTTTTTGGTTGGTAAGCTATTGATTATTGCCACAATTTCAGCTCCTGTTATTGGTGTATTCAGAGATTCAACTTCTTCCTGGTTTAGTCTTGGGAGAGTTTATGTGTCAAGGAATTTATCCATTTCTTCTAGATTTTCTAGTTTATTTGCGTAGAGGTGTTTGTAGTATTCTCTGATGGTAGTTTGTATTTCTGTGGGATCGGTGGTGATATCCCCTTTATCATTTTTTATTGCGTCTATTTGATTCTTCTCTCTTTTTTTCTTTATTAGTCTTGCTAGCGGTCTATCAATTTTGTTGATCCTTTCAAAAAACCAGCTCCTGGATTCATTAATTTTTTGAAGGGTTTTTTGTGTCTCTATTTCCTTCAGTTCTGCTCTGATTTTAGTTATTTCTTGCCTTCTGCTAGCTTTTGAATGTGTTTGCTCTTGCTTTTCTAGTTCTTTTAATTGTGATGTTAGGGTGTCAATTTTGGATCTTTCCTGCTTTCTCTTGTGGGCATTTAGTGCTATAAATTTCCCTCTACACACTGCTTTGAATGCGTCCCAGAGATTCTGGTATGTTGTGTCTTTATTCTCGTTGGTTTCAAAGAACATCTTCATTTCTGCCTTCATTTCGTTATGTACCCAGTAGTCATTCAGGAGCAGGTTGTTCAGTTTCCATGTAGTTGAGCAGTTTTGAGTGAGATTCTTAATCCTGAGTTCTAGTTTGATTGCACTGTGGTCTGAGAGATAGTTTGTTATAATTTCTGTTCTTTTACATTTGCTGAGGAGAGCTTTACTTCCAAGTATGTGGTCAATTTTGGAATAGGTGTGGTGTAGTGCTGAAAAAAATGTATATTCTGTTGATTTGGGGTGGAGAGTTCTGTAGATGTCTATTAGGTCCACTTGGTGCAGAGCTGAGTTCAATTCCTGGGTATCCTTGTTGACTTTCTGTCTCGTTGATCTGTCTAATGTTGACAGTGGGATGTTAAAGTCTCCCATTATTAATGTGTGGGAGTCTAAGTCTCTTTGTAGGTCACTCAGGACTTGCTTTATGAATCTGGGTGCTCCTGTATTGGGTGCATATATATTTAGGATAGTTAGCTCTTCTTGTTGAATTGATCCCTTTACCATTATGTAATGCTTTGTCTCTTTTGATCTTTGTTGGTTTAAAGTCTGTTTTATCAGAGACTAGGATTGCAACCCCTGCCTTTTTTTGTTTTCCATTTGCTTGGTAGATCTTCCTCCATCCTTTTATTTTGAGCCTATGTGTGTCTCTGCACGTGAGATGGGATTCCTGAATACAGCACACTGATGGGTCTTGACTCTTTATCCAATTTGCCAGTCTGTGTCTTTTAATTGGAGCATTTAGTCCATTTACATTTAAAGTTAATAGTGTTATGTGTGAATTTGACCCTGTCATTATGATGTTAGCTGGTTATTTTGCTCGTTAGTTGATGCAGTTTCTTCCTAGTCCCGATGGTCTTTACATTTTGGCATGATTTTGCAGCGGTTGGTACCAGTTGTTCCTTTCCATGTTTAGCGCTTCCTTCAGGAGCTCTTTTAGGGCAGGCCTGGTGTGACAAAATCTCTCAGCATTTGCTTGTCTGTAAAGTATTTTATTTCTCCTTCACTTATGAAGCTTAGTTTGGCTGGATATGAAATTCTGGGTTGAAAATTCTTTTCTTTAAGAATGTTGAATATTGGCCCCCACTCTCTTCTGGCTTGTAGGGTTTCTGCCGAGAGATCCGCTGTTAGTCTGATGGGCTTCCCTTTGAGGGTAACCCGACCTTTCTCTCTGCCTGCCCTTAACATTTTTTCCTTCATTTCAACTTCGGTGAATCTGACAATTATGTGTCTTGGAGTTGCTCTTCTCGAGGAGTATCTTTGTGGCGTTCTCTGTATTTCCTGAATCTGAACGTTGGCCTCCCTTGCTAGATTGGGGAAATTCTCCTGGATAATATCCTGCAGAGTGTTTTCCAACTTGGTTCCACTCTCCCCATCACTTTCAGGTACACCAATCAGACGTAGATTTGGTCTTTTCACATAGTCCCATATTTCTTGGAGGCTTTGCTCATTTCTTTTTATTCTTTTTTCTCTAAACTTTCCTTCTCACTTCATTTCATTCATTTCATCTTCCATTGCTGATACCCTTTCTTCCAGTTGATCGCATCGGCTCCTGAGGCTTCTGCATTCTTCACGTAGTTCTCGAGCCTTGGTTTTCAGCTCCATCAGCTCCTTTAAGCACTTCTCTGTATTGGTTATTCTAGTTATACATTCTTCTAAATTTTTTTTCAAAGTTTTCAACTTCTTTGCCTTTGGTTTGAGTGTCCTCCCGTAGCTCAGAGTAATTTGATCGTCTGAAGCCTTCTTCTCTCAGCTCGTCAAAGTCATTCTCCGTCCACCTTTGTTCCGTTGCTGGTGAGGAGCTGCGTTCCTTTGGAGGAGGAGAGGTGCTCTGATTTTTAGAGTTTCCAGTTTTTCTGTTCTGTTTTTTCCCCATCTTTGTGGTTTTATCTACTTTTGGTCTTTGATGATGGTGATGTACAGATGGGTTTTTGGTGTGGATGTCCTTTCTGTTTGTTAGTTTTCCTTCTAACAGACAGGACCCTCAGCTGCAGGTCTGTTGGAGTACCCTGCAGTGTGAGGTGTCAGTGTGCCCCTGCTGGAGGGTGCCTCCCAGTTAGGCTGCTCGGGGGTCAGGGGTCAGGGACCCACTTGAGGAGGCAGTCTGCCTGTTCTCAGATCTCCAGCTGCGTACTGGGAGAACCACTGCTCTCTTCAAAGCTGTCAGACAGGGACATTTAAGTCTGCAGAGGTTACTGCTGTCTTTTAGTTTGTCTGTGCCCTGCCCCCAGAGGTGGAGCCTACAGAGGCAGGCAGGCCTCCTTGAGCTGTGGTGGGCTCCACCCAGTTCGAGCTTCCCGGCTGCTTTGTTTACCTAAGCAAGCCTGGGCAATGGCGGGCGCCCCTCCCCCAGCCTCGCTGCCGCCTTGCAGTTTGATCTCAGACTGCTGTGCTAGCAATCAGGGAGACTCCGTGGGGTAGGACCCTCCGAGCCAGGTGCGGGATATAATCTCGTGGTGCGCCATTTTTTAAGCCCGTCGGAAAAGCGCAGTATTCGGGTGGGAGTGACCCGATTTTCCAGGTGCTGTCCGTCACCCCTTTCTTTGACTCAGAAAGGGAACTCCCTGACCCCTTGCGCTTCCCAGGTGAGGCAATGCCTCGCCCTGCTTCGGCTCGCGCACGGTGCACGCACCCACTGACCTGCGCCGACTGTCTGGCACTCCCTAGTGAGATGAACCTGGTACCTCAGATGGAAATGCAGAAATCACCCGTCTTCTGCGTCACTCAGGCTGGGAGCTGTAGACCGGAGCTGTTCCTATTCCGCCATCTTGGCTCCTCCCTCGAGGGTTCAGCCTTTTGGAGGTAATTAGGCTGAGGTTGACCCCATGATGGGATTAGGGCCTATATAAGGGGAAGACAGACAGCCTGCTTGCTTCACGTGCATACACAGAGGAAAGGCCACATGAGTACGTAGCGAGAAGGCGGCGCTCTACAAGCCAGGAAGTTCCTCACCAGGAACAAATCTGCTGGCATCTTGGTCTCGGACCGCCAGCCTCTAGAATTATGAGAGATAAATGTCTGTTGTTTAAGCTACTCAATCTCTGTATTTGGTTATAGCAGCCAAAGCTAAGAGAATGGTTGAATAAAGAAATCTGGACAAATAATAAACAATGTAAAGAAAGTGGCGTTTGCATGTGGCCTTTAGAAAGTCTACTGCTGTGTGTCTAGGCAAAGAAAGGACAGGAAACACGAGCCAGGTATGGGACCAATAATGGATCCTGAATTTCTTCTAGAACTGAGAGGTGAAGCCAGCTGGACTTCCTGGGTTGAGTGGGGACTTGGAGAACGTTTCTGTCTAGCTAAAGGATTGTAAATGCACCAATCAGCATTCTGTGTCCAGCTAAAGGATTGTAAATGCACCAATCAGCACTCCGTAAAAATGCACCAGTCAGTGCTCTGTGTCTAGCCAAAGGATTGTAAATGCACCAATCAGCACTCCGTAAAAAAACACACCAATCAGTGCTCTGTGTCTAGCTAAAGGATTGTGAACGCACCAATCAGCACTCTGTAAAATGGACCAATCAGCAGGATGTGGTCAGGGGCAAATAAGGGAATAAAAGCTGGCCATCCCAGCCAGCAGTGGCAACCTGCTTGGGTCCCCTTCCATGCTGTGGAAGCTTTGTTCTTTCGCTCTTCACAATAAATCTTGCTGCTGCTCACTCTTTGGGTCCGTGCCACCTTTAAGAGCTGTAACACTCACCGTGAAGGTCTGTGGCTTCATTCTTGAAGTCAGCGAGACCAAGAACCCACCGGAAGGAACCAACTCCAGACACAGAACTGCTCGCCAAAGCACCGAGCTACGGACAAATATTCCTGGGACAGGCCTTCCTTTCCATGGAGCTCAGTTCCTTGGCAGAGGGTGTCAGACTGGTTGGTCTAACGGTAGAAAGAGGCTATGCTTCTCTTTAAAAATTGTACCTCTTAGTGGGTATGATGTGTCACCCAGCAGGCTCAGGAGGGAAAAGATGGAAGTGCTCACCCCCTCATCTCCAAAAGCTGTGCACTAAGCCACATTCCCACTCGGGAACTCAGAGGTAGACTTGCCCGGGGTGTGGGTGTCATTCCTGCCCTGTACCGCACCCATGGGATTCCCACATACAGGTTTCTCTGGATACAGCAGGAGCAGCCAGGCTTTAGAGGCTGGGCGACCAGATGACTCCTAAGGAGCCACCTCATGACCTGGCCTCATGCACAGCAATGCAGAGAACACAAAGGCCTGGATGGAATTTTTAATTTATTTATCATGTTTGTAAGTTACAGACATTTATGTTTTCAGCAACAGTTTATAATAGTTACATCTCATACTTCAACTATTAGAACAGAGAGAACATTAAAGTACAAAGAAAGACTTCAAAAATGAGGTTACTGTGATGTATCATAAAAGGAGTTAAAATTCAAAATATCAAAGACCTCACCTATCGGACTAAACATAAATCTTAAAACCTCCTATGGTCCTCTGAGCCTAAAATTACAAAACTTAGCAACTGCTTAAACCAAGGAATTAACGGTTCTGTGTTTTCAAGGTAAGAAAACAAAAAATGCTTTGGTAAACTACCTTTAATACTAGTTTAAATGTTTCTGCCTTGTTTGTATCTCTCTTGAAAGACTGTATATAAGTACAGGCACAGCATATATTTGAGAAAACATCTCACAAATTTCATTTACTATAGGTTTCTCAATAATCTTTACATTTAATCAATGAGAAAAGTGATTCAGTCTCTTGAATTTTAAGTTAAAAAAATTAAAAAGTATTTCCAGGGACTCTTAAAGCTCTCTCCCAAAGTATAAAATATTATGTACTTTCAAAATCTTAAGCATTCACGTTCTTTCTGAGACCAACGCAGGATACAAACTTACTCTCAACATAGATGCTTATGTGCTTTTGGGCACACATAGTCTTAGAACAGTGGTCAAACAGCTCACAGGACCCTGTACTCCTCTTCATCCTGGACTGTGACGGTGGCCACAGCCAGACCAGCCCCCTCCCATCTGCCTTCCAGGTCAGATTCCCTGGCATTTATTAAGCTGTCACTCTTCAATGGGTTCTTCCTTGGGGGACTCAAGCTCATTCAATAAGTCTTTGCCAGCTGCTCCGGCTTTTGAAGCAAAGAGAACTGCTCCCTGCTTAAAACCGAGGTTCTTCAAACTCCGGGCATAATCTGCATATATAGCAGTGATGAGTTTCTGTAAACCATAGTTAAGGAAAAGAAGAGTAAAAAGGGCTGTGATGAGACTCTTCACAGGCTCCCAGAAGCAGGAAGGGTGAGTCGCGTCTGCTCTGCTGGCTGCTCGGAAGGGACCTGGTGTCCACAGCGGGCAGCACAGGATGAACACAGGAGACTTTTCGCGGGCAGAGGGTGATTCCCGGCCATAGTAGGCCATGTCTCAGTCTGTACCATCATTACCTTTCGTACCAGCTGAGTCCAAAGCTTCTCCTTCCAGAAGACCCAACCAACATCCTCCCATAACCTACACTCAACTGAAGATTGGAAGATGAATGATAAGAGAGGAGAAACTTAACCTGCATATCCTCATTCCATTTGAAAGTCTGAGAGGCTGGCAGTTTGGGGGCAGATATTTATTTCTGAATGTTCCCTATATCTGGTTGTTGGGTTTTTAGAAAGCCCTGTCCTATTGGTTTTTTTTTATTTATTTTTATTTTTTTAAACAGCCTATTGGGTACTCTGTGCTGATGCTTTGATCCTCAAAATGCATACACTGAACCAGTCACCTTCCCAGTGACTAGGTACATGATCTTGAGTAGGCTCAGCCTTCAGTTTAATTTTAAAAAACTTTCAGTGCAGGGCTGGGTGGCTCATGCCTGTAATCTCAGCACTTTGGGAGGCCAAGGTGAGAGGACTGCTTGAACTAGGAGTTCAAGACCAGCCTGGGCAACATAGTGAGACCCGGGTTACTACCAAAAAAAAAAAAAAGCCAGGCACAATGGTGTGGACCTATGGTCCCAGCTACTGGGGAGGATGAGGTGGGAGGACTGCTTGAGCCCAGGAAGTCAAGGCTGTAGTGAGCCATGATCGTGCCACTCACTCCAGTCTGGGCAGAAGAGTGAGACCTTACCTCAAAAAAAGGAAAAAAAAAATTTTTAGTTTAGTTTTAATTCTCTGTTAAAAAAAAAAAAAAATTATAAACACACACAGAGAAAGAGGGAGAAAGAGAGAGAGAACCAAGTACCTGCCATGTAGAAATGAGAGCAAATGTAAGAATTTGAAGCAAAGTGCAGTGAGCAGCAGCAGGACCATGCAAGCACTGGCCCAGTTTCATTCTTTTCTGGTCCTGGGAGTTGCATTCTCAAGTTCATTCTTTTCAAAGAAACCAATGTTGCTCAAGTGCCATTTAGAAGAAATAAAATGTTCTGGCTGATGGGTGGATTATAGTGGCTGGCCTGAGCAACACCTCTCTTTAAGTGCTGTATTTTGTCCCATATCATATTGTCACTAGAGGTGATCGTGAGACTTTTTTAGTTATTCCAGTATATTTTTTCTAGATAAATATATAAAATTTATTCCATGGAATGTCTGGTCTTGAAAAAGTACTATTTCAAAGTACCAGGTCCTTCTACCTGTTTCCCAAATCATTCCTTCATCTTCTTTTTAAGTTCAGACAAGACTTGGGGGCCCTGTCCTCTATAGTCCTTCCTGCCTCCCTCCATCCTAGTCAAAGCTGACACCCATGGTGCAGCCACCTTCTTATCTGATTCTTTGTCCTCTAATTTCTCCCTCTTTCCTGGCTTTGGTGAATCAGAAAATCAGAACATGGATCTTTCACAATATAATATAGTTCCTGTCCAGGCAGCACAACTAAGGGAAATTCCAAAACCCATGCATGTCACTTTCTTCCTCGTCACTACAAACAACCTTGCAAAGGATATCTGTGTCCTCAGTGACTTCAAATGCTCCATACTTGAGGCAAGCTTCCACAAATAAGGCTGCTCTATCAAAGTATCTCATGCTGCTCAACAGAACAAAACAAGAGTTATGCTTTGTGATTTACATCACTGGTGGGCAGCAGCATCGAAGGGTATAAAGACATTTACACATTTTCCCTGGAAACCTGCATACTGCATTAAGATACAAGCACTTTTCTAAGCCCTAGTTTGTTGAAAAAAGGAGGGAAGAATACTCACATCTCCAAACACAAGCTTTTTAAAATTAATACTTTAAAAAATTGTGAAATAGTTTAAATACACAAAAATCTACAGAGATATGACAAGTGCCCATGTACCCCTGTCCAGAGTTGACAAGTAATCTTTTGTCATATTTCCGTAATCTACCTCCCTTAGTTTTGAATAAATGAAATGCTCCACAATTAGTGATGGTTGTTCCTCTTCCAGATTTTCAGACGGGATGTCTCCACCTCACCATGCCTTCTGTCGCCTCTCCCCCTGCTCTCTGGGCCTCCTCTCAGTTGCTCTAGTCAAAGCTGAATGGACCCCAATTCTCTGAAGACTTTTAAATTCCCTTTTACTAGGTGCCTGTTAAGTCTGATCAGCATATTAGTAGGAAACTAGCATAGCTCCTAGACCGAATGAAGATGTAATGAATACGGACAGTTCCATTCTCCTTTGGGTTTTTTGACAAACCTGAAATGTATACTTCTCCTTTCACTTTACACATCGAGTACCATGACCTGCTAGAACCGCGAGAGAACATGAAGTGACTGCTCACGGGCAGGCCTGAGCAGCCCATGTGAACTCTCGGTTTACCTGTGAAGCGTCTCTGCCACGCTAAAAAAGCAGCCCAGAGAGAGGAGAACCAGGAGAGCCTTTGATTTCTGATTGACTTGTGGAGAACAAAGGTGGTCAACCCACCGCCTTAAAACATCGGCACACTCCTCAGGATTCAAACGGACCTGAGAAAGACGCCTGTGTTAACAACAAAAACATCCTGCACTCTATAAAGAAAAAATAATAATTCAGTTAAAGTGAGATCTGTTTCTATGAAATACAGGCTATGCTCTGCTTGACTAGCACACTGCCCTGAAGCTGCTGCATACTCTGAATAATGATAACGGTCTGTGCCTACGGGACCCAGGGCCTGGCTATACCTCTGGACTGTAGTTTCGGCTCAGACTCTGGGAGAAAGAGGAGGCAGCTGCTTTTACTTAATTGCTACCAATGCAAGATCCATTTTTAAATAAGTAATGCAATTTACACTCATAAAGAATAGGAAAAGGATAAAGGTTCCAAGACAGTATTTGCAAAGCAGCTTTGCAGGCCAAAAAATGTTTCTAAGTCATAAGTCCAAAGTTCAGGACTGAGCTTTCTATCCCGAATGTTGAGGGCACCTATTGAAACTTGGAACCACCTACTTTTGCCAGCCATGCAGCCCGATTCCACTCGCCGTATGTCTGCAGGTAGCGGCAGGCGTCTGCAGCCTTATCTATCAGGCAGAGCAACTGAACGCCCTCTGAAAGACAAAAGCGCATCCCCTTAAGTGACACTGCAGCTCCTTCTTTGAGAAGTCATTAAAAAGTTAAATCCCCATTTGACCTTATCTAGTCGTGCCCATTTTATACCTACTGAAGACATTCTTGATTTAAATTCTGAAACATAATATTAAGAGTTTTACTGTTATTACTCAAGTAACCAGGGTAGGAAGCACAATACAGTCTGGAGAATAAGTAGGGAGAGCATAGTTCTCTCACAGGTTTTATTGTTCTGATTTGCCTAGGATTGTTGGATTTATGCCTATTATCTCAGCAATTATTAACAGTGCCCCCTTTCACTCTGAAAAGTGTAAACAATTAATTCTGGTTTAGACAATTATATTCATCTGATTTATAGGTAGCAATAATTTTTCTATTTTTCTTCAGCATATGTAAAAGAGAAAGAAATGTCCCTACTAATCAGATACTTTGCTGGGAACAAGGTCTCATTTTTCAGAGAGATGACAAACATATCAAGTGTGCCTTACCTGCCAATTTGCCATTGGCAATCATATTCGTTGCCACCAACTTAATGGTGCTCTGAGAGGGGCCTGACGAGGTGACAGTAGTGACTAAACAGGCTTTCAGTGAATCACAGTAATAATGCTGGTTATCTGCACTTGTTTCCAACAGCAACTGCACAGCTCTGTCTGTCTAGTAAGAGAAACGGTTTTTCTAATTATGAGAACATTTTCCTCCAACATAACTTTTTAAAATTCATAAGGTAGAAAACTAAAGGAAAACACTCATTTTCAAAAAATGCAATTGAATATTTTGTTTACAAATACAAACATTAAACAGAGGTGCTACACTACTTTTTTGAGACAAACATAAAGCCAGAGGCTGGTGTATCTAGGTGCTCGAGTAATTGCCTATTTTAGCTTTGTACCAGTCAATTCAGACACAAAAACAAAACAAAACAAATAGCTGGGCTCCACTGGGCATTATGGAAGTCTAAATTACAAGCTGGTTAACCATATGTTTTTTCTCATGAGGTTTATTGGTATTATTTTGAAAGAAAGCCTAAACTGTCTACAGGGAAGGAGGTACATACAAGGGGAAAATATTATGAAATATATACATACAGATATATTGCTCTGAAATACGAATTAACTAGCAATTTAATGAAGCATGTAGAGTTATAAAAACTGACATACTTGACCCAAGAGCAGTAGCTGGTCTGTACATTTCCTTGTATGATCATAAGTTGACCGTTTCACTTCCTGCAGATTAACCCTTTCTAGCTGAAATTTCTAGAATTGGAAAAAAAAGAAAAATTAAGCCTGGATTATAAGAGTTTGGAATTATTTAAATTTTACTGTACTTAATAAGATCATTTTAATAAACTACTTTGACTTTTCAGGTTACTAGATAATCAACTTTACAGCACCCCAAACATTTAATAAGAATTTGAACAGCAAAAATGTTGATAGATATTATCACTTGGATGCATACCTGCCTGCCTACAGAAACTGACACTTAAGTAGAGCCGGATGAAAAACCTATGTGCACTGAAGGATTCTGCAGGAGGTTAAAGAAATTATCATGTGAACAGCAAATTCAAACCAAGTGTATAAAGTATTTGTTATTTATAGGAAATTAATGACAGAATTAAAATGAAGCCAAGTTAAAAATGTAAGACAAATTAAACAAGCCTGTTTAATAATAAAATTTTAATGTTTAGTAAACAACGCAGTAACTGTCTATGAGCTTTTCAAATCTTGATCAGGCTTTTTTTTTAATGCAAATGTACCGAGGGCTTCTTTCTTTTCTTTCTTTTTTTTTTTTTGGAGACAGAGTCTTGCTCTGTTGCCCAGGCTGGAATGCAGTGGCGTGATCTCAGCTCACTGCAACCTCCGCCTCCTGGGTTCAAGTGATTCTCCTCCCTCAGCCTCCTGAGTAGCTGGGACTACAGGCACGTGCCACCACACCCAGCTAATTTTCAAGGGCTTATTTCTATTACTGAACAGTAACTTAGTTTGAAAGTTTCCCAAGTTTAAGATATTGACAAAGATATAAGTAATCAAGATGACAGCTCTAAAGGTTTTGCTGTGTGAAGCAGACTACCTGAAAGTAGGCATTTTCACAGAGCACGTCATAGCATATATCCAGTGGGTTGCTCAGTTTGTCTCGAGGAGCAGCTTCTTTAGGAGCTGTTGTGCTGGCTGACTTTTCCTGGGATAAGCTGTGCAGGTAGTGGGCAGCGACAGTCCAGAAGTGCAGCTCCGATTCATCACCATAGAGCCTGGCAAGGATGAAGCAAAGTTTTGACTGCACTCAGCACACCTGGCCTGGATGGCTTCCTAGAGTAGACTGAGGGACTGGAAGGGAGTGTTGTCACATATCCACTGGGATACTGGCATGGGGCCTGACAGGGTGAAAGGGGGAGGCAGCAAGTTCTCCTGCCCTGCTACTGGGCCTTCAACAATACGGGGGCCTGACTGCACAGGACCCCTTCAGACTCCAGCATCTTTCTGTTCTGTGTTAAGAACAATTATTTACCTGGTTTGCCATTAGCACACCTTTCAATGTGGGCCATTGATTCACATTAGGAAGAAGTTCCTCTGGGATAACTGGCTAGATAAGGTATGAAAGTAATGTGCTATTTATTCTGTGGGGAGAGGAGTCTTTTTTATAAGTGACAAACTCTACTGTAAGTCAGGATATAGAGGTTATCGCTTCTAAATATAATTTATTGGTATATTTAAATATACCTGTATCTGATATTTTAAAACACATATTTTAAAAAGCTGTAGGAGGAAGTGCTTTCCAGAGAGAAGGCCTAGATCTCACATTTAAAATGCAATTTGATTTTTCCCTATTTGTTATTACTACTGTCAAAATTATTTTAAGTTAAATCTAAAGGATGAACTGATACATTTTTCTAAAATCTAAGTGTTTCTAACTAAAAACCCTTAAAAGAAATGAGTTAACTTGAAATCCTGTCTCTTATACAGAATACATCAAACAATATTACCTTGAAACAAGCAGGCACCTCTGCAAGAGAGTGAATTCTGGATCAAGCAACAGTTTCTTTATGTCACTGTGGAAGAAATCCGGACAAAAGTGAGACAAAAGTTTTCAATCAAACAATAAAGCATGGGGGTTGATCAATATACTCTTGAAATGAAAAATTCCAGTCAAATAACATGTTTAGAATTTACACAAGACAAGGTACTTTACCATGACCCTGAAATTATAAAAGTTGAAGGGGGCTGAGAGTGTTCTCAAGGCTTGGAGAAGCAGCAGCTTTCAGCCACCACAGGGAGCTGCAGCGCTCTCATTTCTGGTTTATAGGCTTACAACAGTTTTTGAAAGTATTAGCTGCCTAACTACTGGAACAAGAATGCCATTGTTGAAAAAATCATCAAGAACAGTAAATACTTTAAAGAAGATGACATTCGTAATTTATTCTGAAACTATTCCAAAAATAAAGTATCTAAGGAAGAATGGCTTGTGCTTTTATAAGTTCGTATTTCTAAAATAGTAAAATACTGAATATTCACAAATCAGAAAGGAAGACATTCTTTAAATCTATAGTTTCCCATTTAAACATAAATGTTAATCTTTGCATAGAAAAAACTAATTATTTTGAATTTTCCGTCAATAAAATATCATGCTTAATTTGTTAAATACTATAATTATATGTAACAGATTCTAGATTGCAAAAATGTGTTACGCTTTCCCCAAGAACTCCTTGTAGACCCATATTTTTTCCTTTCTTATTCCCAGTACATTCTGTTAAATGCCCTTGGCTCTAGGGAGCACATTAATTTCTTAGCCAGACCTGTGCACACCAGCACCTGACACAGAGAACTCATTTTAGAAGCGGGAAGCAGACCCAGAATCACCCTGCGATTCGTCTCCCGCTGTGAGGCTTCATGGAGGTTTGTAGTAGAGGCAAGCTGAGCTACAAGGATGCTCCCACTATGCATCTAGTCCTGCCTTGATGTGAGATCAGAGCAGCTGGTGCTCATGAACTTGGTGAAGACAGATGCTCTGTCACTGTAACTACTGAATAAGTACTTTTTCTGCAAAACACAGACTCTAACGGGAAGCAAACCTCTAAACAGAATGGTCTCTTCTTGGGCCACTAATATTTTCTAAAACGTAACTTATTTTAATTTTGAATTGCATTTAAAGTTGAATTGCATTTTTCTTTCTCATATTCCTATCTTCTAATGAAACATGGAGTGCTTACTTAGACAATGAATTCAACTGTTCTTGGAGGAGATTCTTTATTTCTTCATTTTCTGGATAGTCACTGTAAAGAAAAAATTTTGAATGAGTTCATTATCTCTTCACTTAAAACCACGTATTTCTTCACCTGAAAAAAGTTGTGTTAATATAGAGATAACCTTCTTCGTAGTTCTTGGTTAGAAACCTGGTTATAGACCAAAATAACAACAATCTACTCAGGACCCCACCAATCAACTTTAATATCTGCTTTTATCTTATTGAGTCAAAAACAAGAAAATGAGTAAAGAAAGTCTCCTTGGCTTTCAAGAAACCAGGAAATTTATAAGCAGGCTTTAAAATCTATCAGGTTTAGATTCCTTTTAATGAAGAACTTAACAATGTTACTAAAGGAATCTGCTCATTTAGAGCTCTGCAGAATGAATATTCTGAGGAGACAGTGCTTGGAGAACAGACACTTCCTGGCATTATTTTTAAATCCTCCATCCGTGCTGCACATGGCAGGAGTTCAGTAATATTTGTGAATTTAATTAATAAACACTAATAGTTTCTGTGAATATTTTTTTGCAATGAGGCAAATATTGAGATTTTTAAGACACAGTATATCCCTGAAGCTAATGATGCTGCTTTTAAAAAGAACGTGCCCGGCTCCAAATTCTCCTGCCTTCCATTGCCCTCTTCACACGCATCCTTTTCATCATCACGACACATCCATGTTCAGACCATAAGACAAGCACACAGCCACCTGAGAGCAATACACGCCCTCACAGCTCCTCACTGACCCACACTTCCACAAAGGCCCGAGAACCCAGAGGCAGCCTGGCAATTCTGTAGTGTCTCTGCCTTCTCTCGGCTTTAAAGGCTCCATTCCCTTTAAATGCTGGAGTACAGGCCATGGCTGACTTTCATGGGTGTCTTTCAACCCCAAGTAAATTATGAAAGAAAAAGAAAAGTGAAAAACTTACACATGAGAAATGTCCAAAGAATACTGTCCATTCCAAGGCTGGTGTAATAAGAAGGCTTTCAAGGCAAGAGAGGCCCTTGGAACAAGGAGATAGGGGCACCACACAGGCTCTAGACAACAAAGAAAGGTTTTTAAAAATAAAATGAAGTTTTATACTACAGTGAAGCTTCAGCTATAAACCATTTACAGAGCAGTCAGCAGAGAGCAACAGGTAAATCTGGAACAACTGAGAGTATATTCAATGTAGTCACCGCTTAGGAAACACAAGCCAAGAGCAGAGAGAGTCTCTGCATTCAAATCTGATTAACATATTTTTCTTTTCCCCCTTTTTTGATTTTTTATTTTATTTTTTTTTTGAGACAAAGCCTCGCTCTGTCACCTAGGCTGGAGTGCGGTGGTGCGATCTCGGCTCACAGCAACCTCCGCCTCCCGGGTTCAAGCGATTCTCCTGCCTCAGCCTCCGAAGTAACTGGGATTACAAGCACCTGCCACCATGCCTGGCTAATTTTTGCATTTTTAGTAGAGATGGGGTTTCACCATGTTGGCCAGACTGGTCTCAAACTCCTGACCTCAGGTGATCTGCCCACCTTGGCCTCCCAAAGTCCTGGGATTATAGGCATGAGCTACCACACCCGGCCTTCTTTTCCCCTTTAAAATTTAAGTATCCTGTGTGGTATACAACTCTGGTACTACTTGAATAAAGGATTCAATGCAATGATTCAACAAATAGCAACAAAGTTCATTATTTTTAAATATTAAAAATAAATATATTTACCTGTATGTACTTTTGTTTTTCCGAGACTATTCAACTAACATGGCCTATCAACCTTGAGTATGTCACTGAAGGGATCATGCCACCTGTGATCACTAGCATTCCCAGGTCTCACTTATAAAGGTAGCTGTTGAACACAGGGGCTATCTTCTTAGACTCTAGGCCCTAGCATCCCCCACATCCAGCAGCTGGCTTACTTAGAACACTAACAAGCAAGATTTGCCTAGTTGTCAACATGTTTCAGTGCAAAGAAGCAGAAGACCTAAAGGCTGCAATGCCCAGCAGCTCTGCTCTGACCACCCTACACTCTATCGGACTCGACCTTAGCTCCAAATTTCTAGGGGTGCCCTGGCTTTTACAACTTGGCCTTACTACCAACTCCCCTCCAGAATCCTGAAGAGGCTTTATCCATGGATCCCTTGAATAGACACAATTATGTAAAATGACACAAACTTATACATGGTGTTGGCTTATTTAAGTGACTGTATTTGTCTGTTTTCATGCTGCTGTAAAGAACTACCTGAGACAGGGTAATTTATAAAGAGAAGAGGTTTAATTGACTCAACAGTTCCGTATGGCTGGGGAGGCAAACTTACAATCATGGCAGAAGGTGAAGGGGAAGCAAGGCACATCTTACATGGCAGCAGGAGAGAGCCAGCGAGGGGGCAAGTGCCACACTTTTAAGCCATCAGATCTCCTAAGAACTCACTTACTATCGTGAGAACAGTAAGGGGGAAATCTGCCCCCATGATCCAATCACCCCCTACCAGCTGCCTCCCCTGACCTGTGGAGATTACAATTTGACATGAGATTTGGGTGGAGACACAGAGCCAAATCGTATCAGTGATCCACATCAACTCTGGACTGTGCAATTATCCAGTATGATATCCAATATGATAGTCACTTAACATATGGCTAGTATAATGAAGGAAATGAATGTTTGTCTAATTTAAACTTAAAAAGTGATTATTGATTCAGTCATTGGATAACTTTTAAATATGTTTGAAACAACTTGAATACATGCCTACTTTTTCAACTGAAAATTTTATAAAATCTAAATAGAGCTTAACTGTTTGTGCTGAAAATTTGTCCTATAAATTTTGAGGGCAATTCATTTTACAATAAATGTAAAATACTGACAGAATTTTGAAGAATGAATAATTTTAAAAAAGTAAAATGTCTCACTAGTAACTTTTAATACTGATTATATGTTGAAATAAAACTTTGGATATATTGGCTTAAATAAAATTTTAATTAAAATCAATTTCATCTCTTTTTACTTTTTAAAATGTGGATACTAGAATTTAAGCTTACCTATGTGGCTCACATTATGTTTCTATTGGAAAACTCTGCTTTAGAAAACTTTATTCTATGTAGTTAAATAAAAATTAAATTATACACAAAATATTTTATGTGGATTTTTCAATTTAAAAGCCAGAAAGTGATTGGAAATATTTTTAATAATACTTTTTTTTTACACCCAAGAATTTTAATATTGATTCAGTAAAATCACTTAAAATGCAGTCCAAATTCAAAAGTCCCTTGTTATTCCCCAAATGTCCTGGCAGCTGTATTATTTTTAAAAATCGGGTCCAGTCAAGGCTGGTACACTGCATTGTCATGTCTCTTTAGTCTATTCCAATCTAGAATGGTCCTCTTCCTTTTTGGTTTTGGCCTTATGTGACCTTTTCATTTTTGAAGAGTCCTGGTCAGCTGCTGTGGAGAATGCCCTACGTTCTAACTTGTCTGTTTTCTGATTATCAGATTCGGGTTAAACATTTTTGACAGAGTCTGAACAAAGGATGCTGTGTACTTTTCACTGCATTGCATCAGAAGGAACATGTTAGCTGTCTGGTTACAGGAAACACTAAATCTGATCATCTAGATAAGGGGTATTCACCAGAGCTCTTATCAGGGCACCTTCTCCACTGTATAATTAATTAGTAAGTAATATGTGGAGGAAATATTGTCAGATTGAATTTCCTATTCTCAAACATCCTTTTACTCAGTGATTTGACATCCACAAGTGATCCTTGCTTGTGTATACAATTAATTATTGTATCGGGGCTGCAAAGTGGTGATTTTCTAATCTTATTCTTTCCGCATTTGTCAGCTGGCATTCTTCTGTCCACCTGAGCTTTTGCTTCTTGCCCACTTCCCGTTTCCTTACTGTGACTATTACTATGGAGTGAGGGTTTCTTTGGTATTCTGCACTTACATCAATACCACCATTAGTTTTCGTGATGCTCAGACTACCCCCAGTTTGACAGGAGAAGCCTCTTATGTCAGGTCCTCCTTGGTTTTTCAATTCCTTACTTGAATTCTGGCACCACAAGATGCCCCAGACCCATCTTGCACCTTTTGTGCCTCTGTCCTGAAATAAACTTTTTGTCCAAAGAGCTCTGGCTCCTTTTAGCCTGGAAATGGAACTTGCAAAGTAAAATCTGGGTGCTATGTGCGCTCACTGCCATTGAGTGTCATTGCAAGAAAACTCTCTGTGAGCAGAGCCAGGGAACATACATGTTCAAGAAGTCATGATTTTTTACCAACCCAAATCCACCCCTGGAATGTTTCTTCCCACCACCGCCATTTCCCATCCATATCTCCCTTTCTATCAGCACAGATCTTGGCTCCCCAAAACTGCAATTTGGTTACTAATGTGTTCCAGACTACAACATGCACAAAACAGCTTCAGAATTACTAGTGTCACCATCAACTACCCCGGTAAAGTTCAACATTCCTTAGCAATTCTGTCCTTAGAATATAAACCACTAAAGGTGTGCAGTGAATGGGAAGTTCTGTGTTTTAGTTATTTGAACTGTTTTTGTGTGTGTGTGTGGTTATGTTACCAATATTGTTGTTACACAGTTTGGTTCAACTGTGTCTTGCATTCAATTTTAGGGTTTGCTTTTTCTTCACTCTTGTTTTCACTGTGTATTTTTAATATATAAAATATATAAATGGTTCAAAACTTGAAACTGTATAACAAAGATAGAGAAGTTTCACTGCTATCCCCATACTCTCCATTTTTCCATCTACATCTTCTAACTATTCTCATTGGTTTCTGGATTATTCTGTGTATGTGTGGTGTGTGTTTTAGTAAGCAAACGTGTGCATGAACCTATGTATAAAATCCGCCTTTGTACACAAGCAGGCTATACGTGCTCTTTTACACTTGCATTTTTCACTTACACATATCCTGGATATCACTCTACATCAGGTCACAGAGCTATTCCTCACTATTTTACAGCTGCATAGATTACTCCATTCTGCAGATGTCCCCAGATTTATTCAACCAATCTCCTACGGCTAAGCAGTTCGGCTTTTTTCAAAATTTTGCTATGAATAACTTTGTGTGCATTTTGGTCACAGGGTATGAATGTACATCTTAAGATAAATTCTTAGCGCTGGGATTGCTGGGTAAAAAGGTAAATGTGCATGTAGCTCTGTTAGATATTGCCAAATTCCTTCCTATAGGGATCTTACTGTTAGCAATGGATGAGAGTGCTTGTTTCCTCATAGCCTTGCCAACAGAGTATATTTTCAAGCTTTTGAATCTGATAGGTAAGAAACAATTTTAATTTGTATTTTTCTCTTTTTAAAAATTTACTTTTTAAAATTATTTTCTTCTTTTATCCTTACCAGTAGGAGGTCAAATATTTTTCTTATTATAAATAAAGTTGAGTATCATTTCATATGTTGAAGCATCATTTGTTTATCTGTTTTGCCCCTCTGTAGACAGTCTGTGACTTGTGAATTACTTTCCTCCAGGTAATCATTTGTATTTGGCTTTGCTTATTGAACACTTTCGTTTATTCTTATTAAAGATTTTCTTTTGCTTTGAATTTTTTTTTTTAATTTCCACTTAGTCATCTTTTCTTTTACATCTGGGCTATAAAGGAAGGATTGCATCTTGGAAAAATGAGGCTTATCTAACTACCTACAGAAGCACTGAACACTTAACACTGAAAGGGATGCAGGTGGCTAGCTTACTTAACTTTCTTTCTATTCATCCTTCATAGACGACAATCTATATAATTCTCAAGTCAGCCCCATTCATATTTTAGATAGCATATGTATATGTTTTAGGTAGATTCATGTAGATAGTTGTTGGTATTATATCACAGTATGTTTGGAAATGGTAAATGTCAGGGAAAAAAATTAACTATACATAATAATCTTGGAATGGTTCAGGGAAAGTTCTCATGCTGTGTGGTAATTTCTTAATCAATGAACAAACGAAAAGATACAAGAGAATCCACGTAGAAGGCAGCATCGAGTGTTTACATCATGCAAGCAAGACAACATTTACCAAGTCTGAATAAAAGGAGGGAAATACCTTATTTTTTAAAACAAATATGTTATTTCTCCAAAAGCAAAATATTGTTGACAGCATCCCAATGAGCATGAACAAACTGAAAGTGACCCTTAACTACTTCCCTCCCTCAAATGAATTGAAATCTTTCTTCTGAAAGGTAAAGATCAGCCATGAAAAAGTAATAGGAGATCATCTCACATCTGGAGAAACTCACATGCAAGAGCTCATTCACCTCTGAAAATTACACAATTAGAATGCAAAAGCAGTTAGCATCATTGCTGTTTGTCACGGATTCTGCTCCATCTGGGCTAAAGTTATGTGAGGTATGAATCATAACACCCAGGTTTTTAGCTACCTACATGACAGGAATGCAGAAAATCAGTAAGCAAAGAGCCAAGAAGAAAATCAGTAGAAAAAAGTTATTCCTCCACCACTTGGAAATGGCAACATTAAGGTGAGCTGGAAGTCTGGGAAGGAAAGGACCATATTTTGTGATTTTGTTCAGTGTGATTCAATGAACGGTGAAAAAGAGAGCTAAGGAACACTACTGGCGTTTGGGGCAGGACAATTCTTCATTGCGCCAGATCGTTCCAGGTTGTTTAGCATCCCCAGACCTCCCCACATCGGCAAGTCATTGTGAGACATTTCTGAATGCCCCAAGATTACCGAAAATGACTGTGGAAAGCTGTGGCAGATGAAGAGGAAAGGTTTGTGCAGAAATCTGATTTCAGAAAGCTTCTTTCTATATATGCTTACTTAGGAAAAATGTGCTTAGCAGTGGCCTTTAACACTGGGGAGGGGAAAACTGGCTAGCCATATGTAGAAAGCTGAAACTGGATCCCTTCCTTACACCTTATACAAAAATTCATTCAAGATGGATTAAAGACTTACATGTTAGACCTAAAACCATAAAAACCCTAGAAGAAAACCTAGGCAATACCATTCAGGACATAGGCATGGGCAAGGACTTCATGTCTAAAACACCAAAAGCAATGGCAACAAAAGCCAAAATTGACAAATGGGATCTAATTAAACTAAAGAGCTTCTGCACAGCAAAAGAAACTACCATCAGAGTGAACAGGCAACCTACAGAATGGGAGAAAAATTTTGCAACCTACTCATCTGACGAAGGGCTAATATCCAGAATCTACAATGAACTCAAACAAATTTACAAGAAAAAAACAAACAACCCCATCAAAAAGTGGGCGAAGGATATGAACAGACACTTCTCAAAAGAAGACATTTATGCAGCCAAAAAACACATGAAAAAATGCTCATCATCACTGGCCATCAGAGAAATGCAACTCAAAACCACAGTGAGATACCATCTCACACCAGTTAGAATGGCAATCATTAAAAAGTCAGGAAACAACAGGTGCTGGAGAGGATGTGGAGAAATAGGAACACTTTTACACTGTTGGTGGGACTGTAAACTAGTTCAACCATTGTGGAAGTCAGTGTGGCGATTCCTCAGGGATCTAGAACTAGAAATACCATTTGACCCAGCCATCCCATTACTGGGTATATACCCAAAGGATTATAAATCATGCTACTATAAAGACACATGCACATGTATGTTTATTACGGCACTATTCACAATAGCAAAGACTTGGAACCAACCTAAATGTCCAACAATCATAGACTGGATTAAGAAAATGTGGCACATATACACCATGGAATACTATGCAGCCATAAAGAATGATGAGTTCATGTCATTTGTAGGGACATGGATGAAGCTGGAAATCATCATTCTCAGCAAACTATCAAAAGGACAAAAAACCAAACACCGCATGTTCTCACTCACAGATGGGAATTGAACAATGAGAACACATGGACACAGGAAGGGGAACATCACACACCTGGGACTGTTGTGGGGTGGAGGGAGGGGGGAGGGATAGCATTAGGAGATATACCTAATGCTAAATGATGAGTTAATGGGTGCAGCACACCAACATGGCACATGTATACATATGTAACAAACCTGCACGTTGTGCACATGTACCCTAAAACTTAAAGTATAATAATAATAAAATTAAAAAAAAAAAACACTGGGGAGGAAATTAGGTTGAACAGTCCCTGATATCAAGTCAATACTATTTAAAGGGTGTGGAAACTGCATGATACCAGAATGCTATTAAACAGTCTCATATTCTTGCATTCCTTTTAGATGCTGCTAAAAAGACTATTAAGATTTATTTTGATGGCTCTTTGTGTCCCTGACATATTAGGCAGCCGATAAGAAAGGTTCTCCAACTCAAAAACAGGAATTCTAATCTTCTAATTTGTCTGACTGCCCCCTCTTTATTGGAGGAAGAAGTGGCCTATCTAAGCTGCTCTAAGAAAATGTACAGATGTGAATCAATATTTTACGTTCTCTACTTGTTTTCAAGGAGAATTGAAGAAAACATAGGAAACACCAATGTTAGGACCTATTTTATTTTTATCCCATGTCAGTAAGCCCCAAATATACTTCTAATTCCTCAGAATAGAAATATACTACCTCAAACTTTTTTTCCTCAAGACCAAATCGGCCATGAATCTGGAGGTGAACACACAGATGTCTTTTTCCTCACTCCACATTTACACTACCATAGTTTTCATTCTTTAACATTTATTAAGGGTTGTTCTGAATTTGAAGTTCAATTTGTGGAATGAATACACAATTGCATGACCTTTCCCAATTGCTATTTAGTTTTCTCTTTCTGGCTGAGGCTGTAACATTAGAGATTGAAAAGAATATAAAAAAAAATCAGAAAAATTTTAAAAGAAACATGTGATCTAAAATCTGGCCACAGGCCAGATGTTCAAGTATGGTATTGAACATGGGTTAATACAATGGACTCCATTTCTGTAGTCAGTTTAATTTAAGAACAAGCTACACCTTGACTTTGGAGCTTTTTAGATTCAAATTTTATATTAAAAGTGAAGGAAAAGCTCTTCAAACATTTAGATAGCAGTTCCACACTTCTTTATCTAGAATTAGTAACCAATTTTTTCAAAAACCACCCTTGAAGTTCCTTCAATGTCCTCAATACCTTTAGGTTTAAAATGAATACCAATGCTTGCCCTTTCCTAGGAGGCCATCCTGGTGCTTCCCCAGAGCTGGCAAACGACACAAGGACAGACATGGGAATGTAGGTCTTGAATTCTGGCTTCACCTGATGGCAGTCAGTTACATAGTAAGAAGTGGTGGTGCCCAAATGCAGTGGGCAGGGGTGGGCAGTGACAAAAACCAAAGCATACCTAACTAAGTTAAAGGCAGCCCTGCTAACATTAGCAGCAACTCAGTAGTGCCTCAAGCATGAACACAAAGTGAAAAACCAGGTTTTTAAAACCTTACTGTGTCTGAAGTGCCAAATATTGACTCTACAAAGGTTCAGAAAAGTCTCATGAAATTTTCTACATATCAGCCTAGAGTGTGCACCAAAGTTTTGCTGGGAGAATACTCAGGCAAGAAGTTCCCTCCTCCACTCCAAGTAGGATCAAGTATCTTCCAAGGATGAACACTGTATTGCATCAGCCAAAAGCTGCCTTTTAAACTGATAAATGGATGCATTCACAATTGTCCCATTCTTTTTTTTTTTAGAAGTCATATATGGAGTATATTCTACTAAAATGCTTTTTATTCTGGTAAAAAGCAATGTCAAAACAACCATACAAAACAGAGCAAGATACTGCAATCTGCTAATTTGCTTGACTGGTCATTTTACTAGTCACAGATTGGCATCAAAATTCATAATACTCAGAACACTTTCTAAAGTGACTTTTCAATGATATATGGTTGCAAAAGACATAAGGCCATTATTAAAAAGCCAGCAGCCTTATCACTAGATTTATGTCCTCTGATGAGTTTGCCTAAATTCTGAGTAAGCCATTTTTATAAACATAAACATCTTTTATCTTGTTAACAAACCAAAGAAAAGAGTCAAAAGGGGCACTTAAAAAACCTGAATTGAGAATGATTGACATCTATAGTTACAAAGATTGCAGCATCTCAGCAGTAAAAACACTCAAGCTTCAAGTTAATATATTTTCTTAAACTCAGATTCTAAGAAAATAAGACTGAAATGAAACAGAAGCAGCAGCTCTCTCCCCAAAATACAAGAGCTTGTGGCAAAGTAAAGACAGGTTTCAAAGCCCCCTATCATTAGGATTCCATACCGGTTAACTCTTGTTCATCCATTCTAAAGCACGCAGACTTCATAGACATCTCTAGGACTCTGATGCACCCATCATCTGAGGCCAAGATCACTTTATCTGACGTACACCAGTCCACATCCAATATACGAAAGGTCACATTTCTGCCACTTCTTAAACTGCTCACCATCTGAACCTTCAAGAGTGAATTTGGGCATCACTTCCAGACAGAAAAGGAAGATCTTTATTATTCTAGATTAAATGGTCAAGGAAGACAGTCTGTGGCAAAGGCCCAGTTCAAGTTTAGAACTGAACAGCCTCTGGCAATCTATCTTCCACAAATAGGCAGCATTTTAAAGGTCTCAGAGACAGTGATAATATTAAAAAATAAATAAATCGGCTGGGCGCGGTGGCTGACGCCTATAATCCCAGGACTTTAGGAGGCTGAGGCGGGCAGATCACCTCAGGTCAGGAGTTTGAGACCAGCCTGCCCAACATGGCGAAACCCTGTCTCTACTAAAAATACAAAACATTAGCCGGGCGTGGTGGCACATGCCTATAATCCCAGCTACTAGGGAGGCTGAGGCAGGAGAGTCACTTGAACCCAGGAGGTGGAGGCTGCAATAAGTCGAGATCGCGCCATTGCACTCCAGCCTGGGCGACAAGAGTGAAACTCCATATCAAAATAAAAAATAAAAATAAATAAATAAATAAATAAATAAATCTTGAGTTGTTACCTTTAGAACACAAATACTGTAAAGTAAAGAAAATAATTTGTTATGGGAAACTTGACGAACTCATTAAGTACTTTTCATTTCTAAATCAGAAAGAAGTTTTTTAACAAAGCACAGTTCCTATGGCTAACAATTTATTTACGTTTTATCCTCATGGAGAGGGCCTACCTCTTTAGTATCCCACACTTCAGCTCCATCATTGTACATTGCTATTAATTTTTGATTTCCTTTACCAGGAGCAAAACGAATCTTCCTCACCCAACTTCGGTGTGTGGGTATTCCTCTGAAGACAAAGAAACAAAAACATCAATACAATGTAGAGTGAGATCTGGTCACCAGAAGCTATGTCTAACATCTCTCACTATTTCCATTTCTAACAGGTCTGATGATGGGAGAACCCTTTACTTGCTGGGACTGGGGGCCACATCTGACAGAAAGGGCCTGCCCTTTAAGGTCAGCTAAGACTTCTGCAGGGGCCACTTGCAGATAACTATCTCCTAAGAATGCTTGGCTCAAGGCCCATCCTCCCAAGTTTAGGTGAAGGGACCCAAGGGTCCAAGCTACACCTCCACGAGTTTACTGATCCTTCTTGCCAAGTCACAAGCCTCTAATGGAACCATATCAAGATGTCATTTTTTGGCCGGGTGTGCTGGCTCCTGCCTGTAATCCCAGCACTTTGGGAGGCCGAGGTGGGCGGATCACGAGGTCAGGAGATCGAGACCATCCTGGCTAACATGGTGAAATCCCGTCTCTACTAAAAAAATACAAAAAAATTAGCCGGGCGTGGTGGTGGGTGCCTGTAGTCCCAGCTACTCGGGTGGCTGAGGCAGGAGAATGGCATGAACCCGGGAGTCAGAGCTTGCAGTGAGCCGAGATTGCACCACTGCACTCCAGCCTGGGCGACAGAGCAAGACACCATCTCAACAAAACAAAACAAAAAGATTTCATTTCTTTTTTTTAATGAAATAACAAGATTTCATTCTTGGCTTATACCTGGATACTCTGCCTTTCAAGTCCCAGAAATTTAAATTTCCATCCATATCTCCAAGCACTAATGTATCACCTTTCCAAGCGATGCAGGTAATACTACCCATACTTCCCTAGAAAACAACAGCAACAAACAAATATAAATTTCACTATGCTGTATAAGACATTATAATAAATATTTTAATAAAACTTAATTTAAAGGGCTGTGCTTTAGTATGCTTTTAGTCATCAAATCCTAAAACAGACTTTAGACACTAACAAAGAGCTACATTGCCTATCAATTTCAACTATGAAGAAATAGGAGATTTCAACTTCATAGACATTAAGTAGTTACTGGAACTAGATTTAAAGAGAGGGGATGTCTTTTGAGGAACAAATACCTCAAAAAAAAAAGGGGGAAATTAAAGTAAGAAAAACAGAGAAGTAAAGGGAAGGTTTTCCAGAGAGCCAACTCAAACTTATCTCTCACTGCAAAAGGATAACTAAATCCATTCCAAGGGAAACTTAAAGCTCTTTTATAACTAATTGTGCCGTGATTTTTCTATTGAAAAAAGGATCCAGAGCTTCACTGACACGTTTTGGAACATTGTGGAATCATGAAGGTGAAGAGATGCTGTTTACTAAAGGCATATGCAGTTTAAATTCACAGAAAGCTTTGCTCAGAAGTTACATATAGAAGCACAACATAAGAATGAAATGCTGCTGTAGTCAATCTAACTTGGAGGAAGAAAGGAACTTGCAGTTCTAATAGATGCTCAGAGGTGGTATCATGGAGGGCTCAGCAGCCTGGGCTCTGCAGTCACACTGCCTGGGCTTGAATCCCAGCTTGAAACTGGTATGTGATTTGAGGCATGTTTACTTAACCTTTCTGTCTTGGATTTATTGTCCATAAAGTAGGGTAAGTTCATGAAACTTGAGTTGTTGCTAGTATTAATAAATTTATAAAGGCAAAGGCCTTAAAGCAATGCCTGCCATGCAGTAAATAGTCAATACATGTTAGCTATTAAATAATATTACTGCTCAATTACTTCTCTATTTATTAAAAGAAATTTTATTTTTGCATTTATTGTACAACATAAAAATTCAAATGGTATCCATGGTAAAAAGTAAGAAAACTCTAGTGGTTTGAATAATTGACCATTAGTGGACTAGCACACACACTGAATACCGTAAAAACTCTGGTAATAGTCAAGAAACAAAACAAAAACTGGATTTAAAAATCAATATTATAATAAAGTCCATTAATAAAAAAAAATATTAAAGAAATGAAATTCTGTATATAATATGAAGCAACATTTTAAGATATCTACTTTCCTAGCCATAAAATAGAATGTTTAATTAAGAAGTTGCCTTTGAAGAGACTTCTGAAACCAGGTCATAATAGACTCTGCAACTTCCTTCTTGCTTTATCAGATCACTTACTCTAGGGGAGGCCAGTTGTCATGTCGTGAGGACACTCAAGCAGCCTTATGGAAAGATCGACATGAAGAACTAAGGTCCCTCGTCAACAGCCAGCATTAATGTGCAATAGCCTGTGAGGCAGCCAACTTGGAAATAGATCCTTCTGTCCCATTACACTTCAAAAGACTGTAGCCACAGCCAACATCTAGATTGTAACTTTATGAGACCCCAAAGCCACCTATAAAATTATGGGGGTTGGCATTCTACTAGAGCATTCCATTTTTAGATAGCAATTTAAAATAAATATACCTATTTTAAAAAATCCCCTCATGCCTTCATTTAACCATTATAATAGCCTGCATTAATTAACATAAACATTTTCATGATCCATCTATTAAAAACTATCTATGAGATGCATGCTGACACAAATGATTAATGGCAAAACTTTAGTTACAGATTCCACAAGGCCATAAGAATATATGTAAGTTAGTAAATGTTAATAATACTATTACACTTACAACCTGATTACTATTATCCAAAAATAATACTAGATTGTAAGTCAAATCCTTCAGGGTAATGCCTGAAATGGAAAGAAGACAGATACTGAAGTCAGACAGGCCTGAGTTTAAAACACTGCTCTGCCATATGAGTAAGCTGGATAACTTTGGGAAAGTTACTTATTCTCCCACAGTTTTGTTATGGGTAAAATGGAGATAACTCCTCATGGATTATTACAGGGATAAAAATGAGTAGCACACAGTAAACATTTAATCAAAATAGTTACAGCGTTATTCTCTAGCAGTATGGAACAAGTTTAATCGATAATATCTCCTTAAATAAAGTTTATTTACATTAGGCTTTTCTGAAGTTTCCAACTTAACTATGCCTTCACTGGATATGGAACCAACAAAACAAAATCTTCTTGATGAAGATTTAATCAAGGTTGTACTCACATCTGGTGGAATCCGAGCACTGTCTTTTACTGAGTTTCCTTCAACAGTGAGATGATACACTTGGCCATCAATATCGGTAAATACAAAATGTTCCCGGGCAGAGATGTTCTGACTAAGTTCAGATTTACTTTCTGCCTCCTGCAGCAAGCTTTGGGATAGTGAAACATATGATAAAGATGTTTTTTTTTCCCCTAGAGTGATACTCATAATTAATTAACTTGCCCAAAGTACAGACGCATTAAGAGGAGGTCCAAAACTATTTTTTTAAAAGTCTGAAACTAATATTTGCCCAGCTAATTATGGGTAAACATGAATCACTCCTTAACAGCCACAACATCAGAGGAAGTTTACCCTGCACAGAGAGAAATGGTGATCTAAACTTAACACAAGAAAAATAAAATTCATAGAGATTTTGGCTATAGAACTGTGCTCAACAGAAGGGAGGCTGTACAGTGACCCAACATTATCTCTGAAGCCTTTTATCTGTAAGATTGGTATGGATGGGGATGATACACAAATTTAGGATTCCCAACACATTTTCTTTGGTGTGTATAAATGATAATATGATCTATCTGTATGTCTATGCTATGTTCATTTGAATTTCAGAAGCTGAAGTGTATGGAGTAGAAGGGCACTCGGAATGAGCACATTTACTACTAGATGCTGATGGGTGAATATTACTGCATATGTTATTAGTTATAACAAACAGTATAGTACAATACTAAAAATGATAAAATTATCTTTTTAGTAATCTGGGTATGTACTGAAAGATGAAACTAAGTATGTTCAAAAGCAGAGTCCAACTTGCTACCATAGACACCTTCCGATGATACTTGTCAACTTCCCAGACATGATGCTAATGGCACAAATGACAGTGTCAAGAAACACTGTACTGTACCTGATCACAGATGATTCAACAATACTCAGCTCTGTGTCTGAGACTACGGTCTGGCGGGCCATGGCCTCTCGAGTTGCAAGTTGCTTCTTTCTCAGGCTCTTCAAGTTGTGAGATGGTGACCACTCCTGTAAAGCAAATGCAGACAAACCTAGAAGTGCTAGGTTTCCTTCTGTCAAAGAATCGTCCAGAAGAGCTGGGCACACACACCACTGCCCAGTATCATTTATTATTACTACACATGAATCCACATTTGTTCTTTAGATTTTACCTACTTAGAGAAAGGCTAAATGAATGCATTTTAATTGGAGCTTTTATGGCAAACTTCCAAAAGGTCTGACCTTTTGATGTTTTTATAAAATACTTACAAAATGAAAATAATGAATTCAATGATAGTATTGCCTATTCCTCGTCTCCTCCCCCATCTCTTATGTGCACACGATAAGACAATCACAGTTCTCGAACCAGGGTCCTTTATCATCCATAGATTCCTCCAAAATCACTTGTTTTATTTATATATTCTTTTATATTCCACCTATTGTAAAGCCTTTTAGTCCAATATCCTCGCATATGTATAAGTTCTTAACATGTAGTTATTATCTAATTTACCTAAATAGTATTGTGTTTATATGTGTGTGTGTGTGTGTGTGTGTGTATATATATATATATACTTCATCCTGTTTCTTACTCTTTCCACTGTATTTAAGTCCTCTTCCTCCTGTTTCTGCATGCTACGTAATACTCCATGGGTGCATCAGCCAATTGTTAATCTGTCTCCTCTCTCAGTAAAAACACACAGATGGTCTCCAAACTCACATCATGACAAAACACACCAGTCAATATCCTTGCAAAAGTTCATTTACGACCAAGAGCTCAGCGGACACAGAAGATGTCTGTGTTTGCCCAAGTGCTGCCAGCGTGCTTTACAGAATGGCTGCATTGGTCTACATTCCTACCAGCAATGCACAAGGATTCCCATACCCTATGTTCCACCCGTACTTAACACTATATGGCTGTCCAGTTTTTGTTAGTCTAAACGGTAGATCCATATCATGGTTTGAACATCTCTGAAAACTGATGAGTTTGAACATTCCTTTATATGGCTTGTTGGCCTTTTAGGTTTCTCTGCCTCTCATTAGCTCTTCACAGACTTTGTTCATTTTCTCACTAGGGTTCCCGCTTTTTTTCACTGTTGACTTGCAGGAGTTTCTAGTTAAATTTAGACACTGGAAAATTTGTTTTCCCAAAATGTCTTCTGTATTTAACTTTGACATCTTCATCAAACAAAAAGCATTAATCTTGATTAATTAAATGCATTGTTTCTTTTTTTTTTTTGCCTTTTGGTTTGAGCTTCTGATGTCTCCTCCTGCCTCTAGGTCACAGCAATATTTTGTATTTTGTTATATTCAATTTTATAGCTTTACATTTTTACATTTAGGTCTTTAGTCCTGTGACACTCACTTCTCTATACGGTATTAAGTAGAGATCAAGTATTTTTCTCCATAAAGTGAGACAGTTTTCCCAACACCGTCTACTACACAGTCTGTCCATCCTCTTTGATTTGTGCTACTTTACTGTATATTAAGTCCCCAAATATTCATGGGTCTGTTCCTGAGCTCTTTATTAGGTTGACTCACTTTCTATTCTTGTGCCAATACAATACTGATTTTATTTCCATGGTTTTGTAAGATGTACTAATATCAGGTAGGAAGGGCCAACCCCACCCACACCTCCCACATTTACTCCTCTTTATTCAAGGATGACTTAGCTATTTAGGACCTTTATTCTTTCATAAACATTTTTGAATATGTTTACCATATTCCTCAAAATATCCAAATGAAACTTGAATTGGAATTGCACTAATATGATATTAGGTTGATTTATCCAAGAAAATAAGAATTATCTCCATTTATTTAGATCATCTTCTCTGAACACACATTTTTAACCAAAAAAATGACATTGGCAGTAATGATTTTGATTCAAGCTTAAGCAAAACATTCACCACATACATATATACCTAAATAAGCTATTAAATTCTTAAATTGTAACTTACCAAAGCAGTTATTGTAGGGAAGTTTTTGGACATCTCTCTAAGAAGGGTACAAGTCCTAACATCCCATAGCTCCAGGGGTTTATCTCTGAATACGACTGCCAAATACTGCCTAAAATAAACAAAATTACTAAATAAGCCCCTTTTTGCAAAAATTTCACCATGAATTAGAGCAAATAAAAAGTTCAGTAAATTGAAAAACTCAGCTGACGCATTCTAAATATAGACAATTTAAACTACCATTTAGCACCATGATTAACAGTCATAAGAAGGTAAAGCTCTAAGTGACCTGTAAGAGAACATACAGTCTCACACAATTAGGCAAGGAGTCCAACTTGGAAGAAAGAGTGGCATAGATTCAAACCCTGATGCCACAACTTATGTTAACCCTCCTGAGGCTCAACTTCTCACACATGACAGGAGAATCTCATCATGTACCTCAATTAATTGATATACAGATTATGGTAAACATTCAATGAAAAAGTATGTAAAGTTTCTATCATTCTACTACAGTTGGTATTCAACAAATGCCACTTTATTCACTTTCTGTTAAGCCTGAAAGAAGTACTGAATGACATCAACGAGTGCAATTCAACAAATATAATTTGAGCACTGATTACTCAATAAGCATTATGAGGAACTAAAATATTATCAGCAAATGATGGCTGACATAGAGGAAATGTGACAGAGTAGGAAGATCCCTGTACTCCCTGTATCAAAGGACTGAGATTCTTCCACTCAGGACCATGTGTGACCCCAACAGAAAGTAGAAATTTACAGAAAGATACCTGGCAAAACACCCAAATAGTTTGAAGTTAAAAAATATACCTCTGAATAACACCCCATGGAAATTTTTAAAGATTATAATGTGAATTAAAATGAAAACATATAACCATAACAAAAATTGTAGGATACAGGAAAACTGGTGCTCATATAGCATTAACTGTTTACATTACATTTTAGAGAATCAACTTAATTCAATTATCTAAGTTTCTATTTTAGAAAACTATGTAAAAAAAGGAGAGCATATTTAAAAAGTAAGCAGAAGAACAAAAGATAAGCATGACAGACAATGAAATTGAAAATGGAAAAATCATAGAGAAGAATCAAATGAATCAAAAGTAGTTTCTTGGAAAAGATCAATAAATAAAATTGGTTGATATAATTTACTGATATTAGGAGTGGGAAAGATAATCACTGATCATAGATCCATGATGAACAAGCTTATTTCAATAAATTAATAAACTCAGCAACTTCAACAAAATGGACAGATTACTTGGAAGACACCAATTACCAAAGCTCAAAAAAAGAGAATCTAAATAGTCCTATATTTATGAAAAAAAAAAACAAAACTGAATTTGTATTTAAAAACTTTGCCACAAAGAAAATTTTAGGTTCAGATGGGTTTCCTAATAAATTTTTCCCATTTAGTAAGAATAATATCAATTCTACACAAACTCATTCAAAAAAAAAGGAGAGAGAATACTTTACAACACGTTCTGCAAGGTCAGTATTACCCTGATACCAAAACAAAGGATATTACATAAAAACGACACCAATATCCTTCATGAACATAGATATAAAAACTCTTAATAATATATCATAAAACTCTTAATAATATATCAATAAATCAAATCCAGCAATATGTCAAAACAGTAATACATCACGACCAACTAGAGTTTATTCCGGGAATGTCATGTTGGCTTAACATCTGAAAATCAATCAATGTAATTCACCATATTAGTGAACTTCAAAAAGAAAAACAAAATAACACACACACACCATATGATGATATCAATGAATACAGAAAAAGCATTTGATAAATTCAACACCTACTCATAATACAAAGGCTCAGCAAACTAGGAATAAAACTTTTTCAACTTGATAAAGGAAATATACAAAAAATCTACAGCTAGTATCATACTTAATGTTGAAAGACTGAATGCTTTCTCCATAAGGTCCAGGATCAGAGCAAAGATGTCAGCTCGTAGCTGACATCTCAGTTCTAATCAACACTATACAGGAGGTCCTAATTAGTGCAAGCAAAAAGAAGGCCTATAGATCGAAAAGATGTAAAGATGTCTTTACTAGCAAACGAGACTGTCTCTATAGAAAATCCTAAAGAATTAACAAAAGCACCTATACTAGAAGTAATAACTAAGCTTAGCATGGTCACAAGGCACAAGGTCAATATCAGAAAATTAACTGTATTTTAATATACAAATAATAAATAATTGAAATTTAAAAATGTCATTTATAAAAGCATCAAAGAAAACACAAAATAAACAAATAATATGTAAGACTTACACACTGAAAACTACAAAATATTGCTGAAATTTTAAAAGACCTAAATAAGTGGAGAGACATACCATGTTCATGAGTTACAAAACTTGTTAAGATACCAATTCTTCCCCTCACTGATTGATGGGTTCAATGCAATCCCAATCAAAATCTCAGGAAGATTTTTTGATAAAACTGATAGTCTGATTCTAAAATTTATATGGAAATGCAAAGATCTTAGAAAAGCCAAAACAAGTTTGAAAACTACTTTAGAAAGCTTACTCTTTCTTTGTAATTTTGATTGATTTTCATTCAGTTTCTATTTTTAATAATACTGCTTTACATGTTATTTTCCCCTGAAACAAAAAAACTCAATTTCTGGAAGCAAAATGAGTTTAAATTATACATAAAGAAAATGAGTTCTTTCACTCAGTAACTCCATGCTTAGATAGAAGTACATAAGAACTTTATCCGAAAGTAAATAACGATTCATGCAAAAGTTACTTCATCTTTTTAGAAGTAGAGAATTAAAAGTGATAGCAACTTAATTTTGTAATCAAAATATTTTCTTTGGGCTGCATATCACCATTTGCTATCACTAAAAAGATTCCATATGCATTCCAGCACATTCCCATTTTCTTAAAGATTAAAAAAATCCACGAGATTTCATTGTGATAACACCATAGATTTTTTTTTAGGTTGACACTTACTTCAAATGAGATACTTTAATCATTTCGATGGCAGATTCATCATTGCCTCTTTCACCACGAAAAGCAATGCTCCTACCTTTAATTGCAAATATTTAAAAAAGTGAGAACAGTGCATAAAACATGTATGAAAAACAAGAAGCCACGCCAATGTAATTTGATCAGTCCTACCCATCCTACCCTCTGTTCTCCTATTCATTCTTCCATTTGCTTCTAATCTGTTTCTGTTTTTTCGGGTTTTTTTTTTTGAGATGGTCTCACTTTGTTACCCAGGCTGGAGTGCAATGGCGCAATCTTGGCTCACTGCAACCTCCGCCTCCCAGGTTCAAGTGATTTTCTTGCCTTAGCATCCCGAGTAGCTGGGATTACAGGCGCTCGCCACCACGCCAGCTCATTTTTGTACTCCTAGTAGAGATGGGGTTTCACCATGTTGGCCAGGCTGGTCTCGATCTCCTAACCTCTAGTGATCCATCTGCCTCAGCCTCCCAAAGCACTGGGATTACAGGTGTGAGCCACGGCGCCCAGTTCCTTCTAAGCTGTTTCTAATAATGTAAGTTCAAAGAATATTCTTAAAAGTGTTACAAACTAATGATCAATAATATATCACATATTCAGATATTTATTTTGTAAAAAGGCATTTTCATTTGTCACACAGTTTCTTGAATTCTATAATTCAATTTTAGAAATTTAAAAAAACAATGTTAAGTTTTAAGATATTTATGGTACAGCAATTGTCTGGTGCGAAAACTACTTATTTAAAGTAATATTTAATACAAACATTCCCATGTTTCCAAATACTAACTAGTGGGGGAAAAACTCTTGAAACATGTATTTAAGATCTTCTTGTCCCATGTGCAAAATACTAGTTAAATATTTTGAACATGTTCCTCTCAAAACATCTTTATAAACTGGAAACTAGGGAATAACTACGGTGTTCATGTATGCTGTGAAAGAATGAGTTACCCGCAAAGGAAGTTACATGATTTTCTGTGAATAAAAAAAGTATAAATTCTACCTTGTATGTTTTAGTATCTTGTGTTAGATTTTTATCTACATTAAACAAAAGAGAGAACATACTCAATTCAAGGACAACTGAAGGCCTAAACGCCTTCCTACTCTTTGTTGAGATTCCATCATGTGGAATCTCACTATACTCACTATTATTATACCCCAAACAGCCCATGTCCTGTCCTGACTGCACTAGTCTGCTGCCCTCCTTAGAAGCCCAGGCTATAAAAGTCTACCATCTATGAACTCAAATATCCCACTTAAGGAAATCTGTAACTGTTACTGTAGATGTTTGTTCCTTAAAAATACATCTGTGCAAAGCAGATTTTAAGTTATCTAACAGTCCTGAACTTGAGCTGACCAAAACAAATAAAACAGGGATTTTTTTTCTTTTTTTTAAGTCAATGATACTAGACAACAGCATTTTATCCCTGGGATCACTAGACACAGGGCCAGTACCATTCTGCTGGCAAATTAGGAACTTGGGGATGAGAGTCAGTGGACAGGTCACTTCCAATGAGACTAGAGCAGCAACACTGGACTAAAGACGGGAATGATTCCTGGAAGTTCAGCAACATACCCTGAGAAGTAAGAACAACTGGATCTTTGAGAGCTTGAAAATACATATGGAGAACATAAAAAAGCAACCATGTACTTCATTTATTTACAACTTACTTGATTTACAACCATTTATTTGATTTAATTCATTTTACACATACATACACATGCTCTCATTGGTTAAGATCATCTACATATGATTCGTGTTGCTATACCATTTTAAAGAAACTCATCACAATTTTATTTTTAAAAAAACCTCTTTGAAACTACTGCATACACCAGAAAATAATTTGAAACTCTTTCCTTATTATATTTTCAAATTCTTTATTTTGAAATTCACTGGGTTTAGGCTTTCAATTCTGAAAAAGTTACCTTATTGGGACGTTTCCTACTGTAGAATCTTCAAAATCCCAAATTAAGTTTCTCTATTCATTCAGCCAGAGACTATTACAAGTTTTAAATTTGAGCATTTAAAAACAATCCTTAACCTATAAATTTTCTAAGTGTTTCCTATAAAAGCCAAAATTTCCAGCACAGACTCTAATAAAGTCCATTGACAGAGTTATTTTTAAATCGATCTTTTAAAGTTGGTTACATATAACAATGCACTTAAAAGTAGAACCGGTATCCTATTTTTTAATGAATCTGTCTGTTCAGGCTAATGGTCCTCCATTTTACCATGTATTTGTGCCAACAACATTTCCATGTAAACAATGATGAGGCCTTTCTAGGGCAATTATTAGAGAATAAAAGAATAAATATATAAGCATGAAATATAAAAAAAAATTCCAAGGTGAAAGAAGTACTTTCAAACATGTTTTATAAATGGCAACATGTTTATTCAATATGACAAACCTATTTGGATCTTTAAAAACAAACCTGTTGGAAGATCAACCAGTTGAAGTTCATTTCTCACTAATCCCATATTGTTTGGTGTTGAGGTAGCAAAAGAAAGAAAACTAGTCAAACTTGTCCATTCAATACCCCTATAATAGGAAATGAGATAAAGGTTAAACTAATTCTCTTTTTTATTTGAAAGGTTCATTTATTTGAAAAATAAGTTTTCCAAAGACCTAAATTTTATTACACAAATTAATTAAAAAGTAAGCATGACCTTTTATCTTAACATGACCTTTTATTTGAGACTGTATTACCATACCTAACACATACAAAATCATTTCTAACCAAAACTTTATCTACAAATGTAATGACAAGATAGTTTAATTATCAGGATTCACATCAGTATTAGTATGACTATTAAAATCTGGCCAGGGAGAGAGTCATATGACAGTAGTTTCAGCCTACCAGACAAAGACACAAACTAATGACCTAAGAAAATCTACATATACCTCTCTATTTTGTTTACTTCTAAGTATCTTCCATTGCATTATAAGCTTCAAAGGCTTTCTCTGTTTATAAGCATAGAGAAGATATTCAACAGATATTCATAAAGCATCACAAGTTAAAACATCATGGTTTTAAAAACACACACACTTTGTGCTATCTGCTGTCATGAGTCCCCGGCACAGTATATACAACCTTCAAGTGCTTTAGATTATGATTTTTTAAAAACACACTTAATAAAAGGTAGAAAAACAACTTTCTAAAAGTTAACCTTATTTGGACATGAAAATCTAAAATGTTTTGAGTTTACTGCTAATAAATTCAGACATTTTTATAATACATCGTGAAAGTTTTGTTTTGTTTTGTTTTGTGTTTTTTGAGACAGGGTCTCACTGTCACCCAAGCTGGAGTGCAGTGACACAATCTCAACTTACTGCAACCTCTGCCTCCCAGGTTCAAGAGATCCTCCCACCTCAGGCTCCCAAATGGCTGAGCCTACAGGTGTATGCTACCACGCCCAGCTAATTTTTGTATTTCTGTGAAATTTTCTTAATGGCTTTTGATTATAATACTAAAATTGCATTAACTGAAACACAAAGCAGGATTTTAGTGTTCTCTTGGGCAGTATCTCTGAATATAAAATACAAATTATTTTCAAAATGGCAATGAAGAGGAAAAATTCATATAAAAATGGAGTATCTTTGTATGATCATTCACATTTATCTGATAAGTAGTATATCCCTCAGAGTTAGTATCCCAAGTAACACTTATAATCAATTTCAATGTTACTCAACCATAAATATTATCTTAACATGTATAAGTCAAGTATTTAGTGACATCTATAACCTGACTAATCCAGGATAATAAACCTTACTTAAAATTAATACCTCTCTGATTAATTAGCTATTAAAACTTTCTGTGTTTGAAAAGACAACATGTTTGATTTTTCAGAAGCATGTGTGAAATTCTTAGCACAAATCTTGGCTCAGCCAACATTTTAATTTTACTGCCAACATGATTCCTACTAACCTATGTGCGTATTTTAGCAGGAGATGCAGCACATGCACTGTAAGTATAAGTGAAGAGTTCAGGTTCTGAGGCTTCAAAGGCCCAGAGTGAATTCCATCTAGCTCCTTCACAGATTACTCTGTAATTTTCAGTTTCTTACTCTGTAGACTGGAAATACAATACCTGCCCCATACGATTGTAGTGGGGATTCAATGAAATGATACGTGTGAAGTATTAATAGTTAACATAATCCCTAGAATAAGTAGTGATTAAATGGAGAGTTTCGATTGGTTAGTGCTGACCATAAAAGGAAACACCAGACACACAAGGCAGGGTGAAAGGAAATGTCGAGAGAAGAGGAGATGGGAAAGAGAGAGAGAGAAGATTCAGCAGTGTAAGCAGAGACTACTAGAAGTGCCAGAATGGCAAGCTACAGACACTGCAACAGAAGAGAAGAGATGAATAACAGCCTGAAAGAGTCCAAACAGATACCTGTGTCACTGCACCTCAAAAGCCCAAAGCTTTTAAAGACATTATTATTCCACGTAAATGTATCTGGGGAGATGCTGTATAGGAACAGCGTAAGGTGGCAATAAACAGTCACCTGGGCTGCACCACACAACAATGCACTTGAAACAGTAAGACAATGCAAACTTTTCAGAGATTTCCATCACAATCAGAAGCTGTGATACTTAAAAGGTTAACCTGGCCTGGCGCGGTGGCTCACGCCTGTAATCCCAGCACTTTGGGAGGCAGAGGCAGGTAGATCATCTGAGGTCAGGAATTCAAGACCGGCCTGACCAACATGGTGAAATCTTGTCTCTACTAAAAAATACAAAAATTAGCTGGGCGTGGTGGCATACACCTGTAATCCCAGCTACTTGGGAGGATGAGGCAGGAGAATTGCTTGAACCCGGGAGACAGAGGTTGCAGTGAGCTAAGATAGCGCCATTCCACTCTAGCCTGGGCAACAAGAGCGAAACTCCAACTCAAAAAAAAAAAAAAAAAGAAAAAAAAGGTTAACCCTTCTCCATTAAGAAAATGCATGTACTCAGGATAATGTGTTTGCTAAGGGTTCACTGAGAATTTTTATACACAAGACCTACAATTATTTAATGTACAGAAAACAGAAAATGACTTCTTATGCTTTCACTGAAAGATCATAAAAAAAAACTGGAAACTGGCTGGGGGTGGTGGCTCATGCCTGTAATCCCAGCACTTTGGGAGGCTGAGGTGGATGGATCACTTGAGGTGAGGAGTTCAACATCAGCCTGGCCAACATGGTGAAACCCCGTCTCTACTAAAAATACAAAATTTAGCTGGGCATGGTGGCACGTGCCTGTAGTCCTAGCTACTCAAGAGGCTGAGGCATAAGAATCACCTGAAACCAGGAGGCGGAGATTGTAGTGAGCTGAGATCGCGCCATTGCACTCTAGCCTGGGTGACAGAGTAAGACTGTATCAAAAAACAAACAAAAAAGTGGAAATTCATATTTTATATATGTAACTCTACGATCTATCACTGATAGGACACAAAAGGAAAATAGCCTTGCATTCAGCGAAATAATGCTATGGACAGCACAGGTAGGCATTTTGGAACAGAAAGCAAGAAGCACTTTTCCGTCAATTTAGCTTTCCCTCGGACAGCTCTGCATACACAGAACTCATAAGCAGATCATGTCCTAAAAATCAAATAAATGCTATGCAGCGTTCTGATGATGTTTAAACAAAGAATAAATAAGACAAATTAACAATTAAAATGACTTTATTTGAATTTGTCATAAGCAGTCCTACTGATGGATCGTTATAGAAATGAAAAATACGCAGCCATAAAAAAGAATGAGTTCATGTCCTTTGCAGGGACATGGATGAAACTGGAAGCCATCATTCTCAGCAGACTAACAGAGGAACAGAAAACCAAACACTGCATGTTCTCACTCATAAGTGGGAGTTGAACGATGAGAACACATAGACACAGCGAGAGGAACATCACACACTGGGGCCTATCGGGGATTGAGGGGCAAGGGGAGGGAGAGCATTAGGAGAAATACCTAATGCATGTGGGGCTTAAAACCTAGATGACGGGTTGACAGGTGCAGCAAACCACCAAGGCACATGTATATCTATGTAACAAACCTGCACATTCTGCACATGTATCCCAGAACTTAAAGTAAAATTAAAGAAAAAAAAAGAAAGAGGAAATGTGGTACATACACACCATGGAATACTATGCAGTCATAAAAAGGGAGATCATGTCCTTTGCAGGGATATGGATGGAGCTGGAAGCCATCATCCTCAGCAAACTAACACAGGAACAGAAAAACCAAACACTGTATGTTCTCACTCATAAGTGGGAGTTGAACAATGAGAACACATGGACACAGGGAGGGGAACAACACACACTAGGGCCTGTTGGCGGGGGCATGTGAGGGGAGGGAGAGCATCAGGACAAATAGCTAATGCATGTGGAGCTTAAAACCTAGGTGATGGGTTGACAGGTGCAGCAAACCACCAAGGCACATGTATAACTATGTAACAAATGCACGCATTCTGCACATGTATCCAGGAACTTAAAGTAAAAAAAATTTTAAAATAATAAAAAATAATAATTTTGAGCAAAATAAATAAATAAAATAAACCTGAACAAGGCAACGTAAGGATATCCAGTGAGAAAACAGCCTGGCCCTTAGGAGAAATAAATGAGGTGCAACAATATTAGTTGGTACAAAAATAGCTGTGTTTTTTGCCATTTAAAAAAAACAAAACAAAACAAAACAAACAACAACAACAACAACAAAAAAAAAAAAAAAACTGCAAAAACCGCAATTACTTTTGCACCAACCTAATAAAAGAGAAAACATTCTCTACTGCTTATGTTCTTTACACAGCAAAGAATTAGTTATCATCCTTGATTAACATAGCCATTAGTTGGACATGAATATTATTCAAACTTTTCAAATAATCACCACTGCAGATATTACAGAGTACTCAATGTAGAAAAGTCTATGAGAATTTTTTTTCTGATATGATGTTTGTGATGTCATCATCACAATGACATACTTACTTGACTTCACATGAGTGGATGCTTAACTCTTTGTGTAGCAGACCACTGGTGAGATGGTACACCAGGACAGAACCATTACTTGTACCTTTCAAAATGACATCATGGAAGAGCATTAATTCAGTGGGAGTTCCAGCACTTTGCAAGAAAAGTCTTTTCTCAAGACTTTAATCACTTAACACATTTATCTTTTATAAAAGAAACCCAAACTATGTGTTTAAACAAACACACAAAGAAGAATGAATTTCTCTGGTCCACTTCCTTATAAAAAAAATGGGCCTAACCTCACGTGCTCAAAAGCCTTGCCTAATTCCAGGAATAGATTTTTCACAGAAAGACCTTAAAACTTACATTAATACACATACAATTTGAAGAAACACTTTCCTAAGCTTTTATACACATGGGAATTTATACTTTTTGAGACTCAGAAGGTTTATTATAGCTGGTCCTCAAATAAGCAATCTAGCAGAGCTCACTAACCAGGGTTATCCATTTTTCTTTCCAAAGTTTTCTTTTTGTTTTGTCTCTTTTATTAAATAAATCCTGACAAGAGAGTAAAGTATAATGGTTAACTGTGGTTTCTGCAATTAAAGAAACCTGGGCTTAAGCCCTGGCTCTTCCTTATACTCTTGGATGAATTACTTGCCCACACTAAATCTGTGTTTTCATCTCTTTAAAATGGGAAGAGTAGAAAATCTAGTTGTTGGAGATTAAATGGGGAAACATAAAGCACTAAGCACAGTAATTGGCACAAAGTAAGCACTTGGTTAACTATTAGTATTCTGTCATCACTATAATTAATAGTTTACAGGTATTATTCTAAAGCTTTTCATGGTCTCAGGTAGTATGTCTAAAGTTTAAATGTAAAGGACACGGACATACATGAGAAAGTAAAGCTTCAGTCTCTATAGTGTTTTTATAAGTTAAGCAAGAAAAGTGAACAGTCTATATGGACAATCACTTTTGCACTGCACATGATTTAAAGATTAATGAATTCATGCAAAGCAACAGAGTGGAAGTAAAAATGCTGGGCAAATTCCAATATTATCTTATTTGCTGAATAAAACTCCAGAAATCTTTTGCAAAACTATTCTAGAAAAACACATTGTACAGTTGTTTACATTTATCATCTATTTCATAATAATACCTTTTGGCACTGAGAAAATAACTAAATTACTAAAATTTTTCAATTAACAGAACTTCATAATAATCCAATGATTTCTGCAATCTGAAAGTTTTAACAATGCTGAACCTATGATCTAATGCACTAGGGGCACCACAAGGAGAATTAATTCCATAGCTGAACTCTTATTTATCTTTCTTAGTGACACCTCTAGACAAACTTTTAGGTACTTATATTTTTACTTTGTTATACTAAATTCAGTAAATGATATTCACTACATACCAATACAGCTTATTCTACAATGGAAAGCTCAGACCTTGCCATAGCTCTTATTACATAGCTATCCCAAGAAGTAGTTTTCCCCAAGAAATTGACAAAATCCTAACTGACAAATCAGGAACACTGACATAATACATACATGCACATATGAAGCACACTGATGAATCCTAATTAAAATCTATTAGTGGTGAAATATTAATCAACAGTTTCTAAAGCAAAAATTAAACATTTATCTGCATTATATAAATCGGGACACATATATAGACAATTGAATCATAAAAATCAAATCGCTTTCAAAAGATAGGCACAGAAAAAAACAGAAGGGTACTACCAAACAGTAATACCCAAATGAGTCTTTAACACTGAGAAGTCAGCCATGTTGGCCACAGAATAAATATGGTGAGGTTTTCACCACAAATCACATGTTAATAGACTGGGGGAGAAAGCCAGAAGCCAGCCGATAGCATCTTAAGAAGAAATGTTGAGTTTCAAACAAATACACTGTTTTTCAGAAGTTTTGGAGAAATGTATTTTAATAATGTGTACTTAATAGCAAACTAAATTTTGTTTTTTTCTCTATGCTGTAAAGAAAATTAGGTTCATCACATTACTATGAAATCAATGTGACAGCAAGTTGGAACCCAGATAAATTTTTCTACCTATAACATACAAATACACAATTTCACACCAAAAGGCAAATCTTAATTTATAGGGACCATAGCCACTTTAAATAATATTTAATATATAACTCTTGGCAAAAGAAGAACCCTGCTATTATTAAGCTATTAACCCTGACTATATTTTTAGTCAATAAAGACCCAACGAAAACTGACATGACATAAAGACTGGGGTGGTCCAATTACAGACAAGGAGCCTGGGATTCAGCACTGCAGGGATGAGCCTCCTGGTATTTCCGAGATGAATGGACAGCGTCAGAGACTCGACTGTCCAGTCTCAGGTGGATGAAGACTCAGCATTCCAATTCAATATAAGACAGTTGGAATAAAAGGACAGAAATTTTTTTTTTTTTAAGTTCCAGGATGAGTATTTACAGTTTCACTTAGTCTCTATCTCCTTTTAAAGCATCCTCAAAAAGAATAAAGGATCTTCTAGAAACTAGAAAACCTAAACATCTTATAAAGTGAGTTAAAAAAAAAAAGACCAGGTCAAATACTCACCAACAGCCAGCAGTGGCTGATACATCTTGATGTTTTTTGTGGTCAACGGTGGACACATACGAATAGCAAACTGTGGTGCGGGCAGTCCTGAAAGCAGTCCCGTCAGCAGGAACTTGAGGTGCACTTCCCGCAGAATTGAACCTCTGGGATGTTCTTCCCCAGCAATTGCACTTTGCCCTGATTTGTAATAAAAATAACAAATATATTAACTACAGTGTATGCTGATCTTAAAAAGCTAAAGAAAATTTTCAGTAGAAATGCTCTTCAGGTCTAAAAGTATAATGTAGTTAATGTAGTACTTTAGTGGCTGTAGTTATTAAGGACACAATGACTCTGTACCTGGCTATAGGACTTAAATTGCATCAACTAACACCTCAAAGGATAGATTACTCCCGAGTCCTGCTATCCAGAATGCAGGGACCTATGTCTTCTAAGAAACACTGTTTCAGTCAATGTTCCTGGTATTAAAGCACTACACAGGCTTCAGAACAAAGCAAGAGAACTTGCATTAGAGAACAGTTTCTGCAGAGTGAACTACTGTACCACATTTTTCTCATTTTACTGCCTTTTGAAAGGGTTACTTTTCAATCTGATGTACTCTGTAAAGTACATACAAAATTGGTATTCATGAAAAACAGATTTAAATAACTTATTCATAATTTCTAATAAGAAACCTTAATGTGTCAGTGTAATTACAAAATGTTTTATAAGTAAATATAAAACAAATACAAATATATATATTCATAAATCACGTGTATAATATATACACCATCACTGTCAATAGTTAAGACTTCAATGGCATTATTTTCACATATACCATTCGTACTTAGGTTAGCAAGTCTCAAACTAAAAAGATGACTCCAATAAAAATCATTCTAACAAAAGCTAAATCTAAACAGTACAATGAAATCAAGACTGTTCATTAAAAAGGTATACAAATTTCCTTCCTATAAACCACTACAGAATATTGGGATTAACTTGCCAAAAATAGAAAGAATATGCATGAGTATATACATACATGTCTACACACACATAAACACAAACATGTATATAGTGTGAAAGGAAAAGTATAAATAATTACTAAGAGTGGGTGATAAATACAACCTTTTGAAGCTGTAAAGTTGTTTTAATAATGTTATTTTAAAATCCACAAAATATATAGAAAAAATAGCATTTTAATCCTATTAAAATGATCCCTTAGGATTAGCCACATACTCAATATCAATCTCTCTACATAACTTTGGTTAAAAAAAGATGGAGGCCGAGTGTGGTGGCTCACGCCTGTAATCCCAGAACTTTGGGAGGCCGAGGCAACCGGATCACGAGGTCAGAAGATTGAGACCATCCTGGTCAACATGGTGAAACCCTGTCTCTACTAAAAATACAAAAATTAGCTGGGTGTGGTGGCGCACACCTGTAATCCCAGCTACTCATGGGGCTGAGGCAGGAGAATCGCTTGAACTCGGGAGGTGGAGGTTGCAATGAGCCGAGATTGCGCCACCGCACTCCAGCCTGGTGACAGAGCGAGACTCCATCTCAAAAAAAATAAAATAAAATAAAAAAGATGAAATATGAAGGAATGGGAAGCTTAACATGTAAGTGCCACACATACATATGTTGGCTTTGAGTTGACATCCAGGGAATGCCACATTTTTCTTCAAGTATTTTTCATAAGAGGCAATTCACAATGTAGGGCAAATTAGGCCTTAATAAGTATCAGCATTTATCCAGTGAATATAAATCAGCCTCTTTATTTACCTGAATTGCTTTGAATTTTCACTAAGAACACAGTGAATTTCAAATTAAAAGTTTAATTAAAAGTTTAAATTAAAATGTTTTCAAGTACGAAGCTTTATTTAACACTTTAAAATCAACTACATTGTCAAGAACTGCTATACAATCCGTATCCATTTGTCTCTTAAAAACTGTAATTTGGCCGGGCGCGGTGGCTCACGCCTGTAATCCCAGCACTTTGGGAGGCCGAGGCGGGCGGATCACGAGGTCAGGAGATCGAGACCATCCTGGCTAACACAGTGAAACCCCGTCTCTACTAAAAAAACACAAAAAAATTAGCCGGGCGTGGTGGCGGGCGCCTGTAGTCCCAGCTACGCGGGAGGCTGAGGCAGGAGAATGGCGTGAACCCGGGAGGCGGAGCTTGCAGTGAGCCGAGATCGCGCCACTGCATTCCAGCCTGGGCGACAGAGCAAGACTCCGTCTCAAAAAAAAAAAAAAAAAAAAAACCTGTAATTTATATCACTTAGATACCTAAACAGCATAAAATTTCAAACTCCTATGGGCTCCATATAACTGATTAGTGCTGTTCTTGTGTGTGTTTATAATTCTTTTCACTTTAAGTTTTCATATTAAGAGTAGACAAGGTGAATTAACTCAAAAAATTGTGTTACTGATAAAATAAATTTTGCAAAACATGTGTCCAGGCTTCCTCATATGGATTTATGTCTGGTAGAATAGATAGTGGAGAGAAATAATTTTAGATATAATAGTAAGTATCACTGAACAAAAGGATTTCATAACTGGCAGAAATCGTGAAAAAACTGAGGCCTAGAGATGAATGATGGTCTTACCCAAGATGACAGTGGAGCTGTCAGGACTGGAGGCCATTGCTAAGGAGCAGGCTCTGGAGCCAGGATTACCCGGGTCACACTTGGGCTCTTCCATTGTGTGACTGTGTGACTGTGTGGTTTAAAGTTTTAATCTCTCTGGGCCTCAGTTCTCATATGTATCAAATGGAGATAATATTACTTACATTGCAAAGCTGTACCAAGGTAATATGTAGAATATTTAGCACAGCACTTAACACAGTATGAAGTACCCAATAAATGTGATCTAATTAATGTAATTAATAATGTAATGCTTTTTTTTTGTTTTTGAGATCGAGTCTCGCTCTGTTGCCCAGGTTGGAGTGCAGTGGTGCAATCTCGGCTCACTGCAACCTCCACCGCCTCCCAGGTTCAAGCGATTCTCCTGCCTCAGCCCCCTAAGTAGCTGGGACCACAAGCACATGCCACTGCACCTGGCTAATTCTTATATTTTTAGTAGAGACAGGGTTTCACTATGTTGGCCAGGCTGGTCTCGAACTCCTGACCTCAAGTGATCCTCCCGCCTCGGCCTCCAAAAGTGTTGGGATTACAGGCGTGAGTCACTGCGCCTGGCCAATGCTCTTTCTAGTGCATCACTTATTTAGCGTTTCAACAACAACAAAAAAACCCTCCTAAATAATATCGTTTTCAATTATATTATGGTAGAATAAATAATAAAACAGAAAATCCTTTATAAACCATAGCCACAACTGTAAAAAAATTAGATGTCCAAATTGCTTGGCATATTTACAAAGCCTTATAATTTCAAGTAGCATAAAATTTGAAATCACAAACTCTCATTCTTCCTTTAATACATACTGGCCTCATAATTAAATAACTTTGAACACTTTATCTCCAAAAATGATTTTTTGAAAGAATCCCCAACATAAAAATAATTCATGTCAAAAAGTTAAAATAATCTTTTCTAATACTGCTCAGTTACTTTATTCCTTCAGTAAATATTTACTACAAAACAGGCATGCACAAGGTACTGTGCTGAGTGCTGGGAAAGACAAAATAGAATCAAACACTGTACCACCCTTGTGATGCTTACAATTGATGAGATGAAACAGAAGAAAAAAACCCACAATTAAAATATGCTGATAACTGTTAGGAAAAACAAAAGAAGAGCATTTAAATTAGACTTGGGAGATTAAAGAAAACAACATCTGAGTTGAATTTTGAATTAGGAGTAGCAGACAGAAAGGAAGCATGTACTTCATTCCAAGCTGAGGAACCAGCAAACAGCAAGGCCCTGAGTTGGCATGGCATAGCTCAGCATCGGCTCTAGGTCCAAAATCCAGATGCCTAATGTCATTGCTTTCATTTACATCAGTCTCTCACGAATGAACGTTTTCTATTTCTAACAACTATAATGCAAACCCGTGCTACTTCAGGCACTTTTCTACCTAAGTATTTTAAACCCCTCTGATTTATTTAGGAAAGAATGATTCCATGTTCTAGTTTTCTCAAGTATTAACTTTTTTGACTTTAAAATAATTACAAGTGAGTGATTCTATTAATTTTGCCCTTCAGAAAGAATACTTAACATGGAGTTAGAGGGGAAAAAAGCTTACCAATCATGTTATCTAAGGAAAGGTCTGGGAGTTTATTCTGTAGCACTCCTACAGGAATTCCACAGAAAGACACTGGTGAATATAAAGGTGACACACCAGAACTACTGCAAAGACATAATAATTAGAAGGTTTTACATACTTAAAATCTGCATTACGTATTAGGAATTCAAAGTATTAAGTCCAGATTATGGCATTCTATCTATTTTTATATTATTCATTCATCTTACCCATAGGTGAAATAGCTCTAGCAGATTTACATAATTCCCTAATAATCTAAAGCCTTAATTATTACCTTAAAAATATTTTTATAGAAAACCAGCCCTCCTATTTTTATGATTATGGAAATTTTTTATAAAAGGAAACAGGAAACAAAAAACAAAACCATGATCCTGTTGATTCATTTACCTGTTCCGTGAATTTCGATTACAAACTGCAGACTTGAGTTCCCATATCATGACCCTGCCATCACTCACTACGAGGGCGGCTGCATTCTCATTGACAGGACAGCACACCATACTGAAGGGACGGACGGTTTTTGTCACCCTGATTGCATCACACTGGCTTCGTAAATCATAGGTAAGCTCCTGAACTGGATCTGGATCTTCACATAAAATTGTTTTAAATATCAGAAAGCAGCCATATCGATACCACTACTGTTTGTTTCAATTTAAATAAAACCTCAACTAAATTTGGGCATCACTCCTTCATGAATGCAATGTCAAGCATGGCTTCACTTTTTACAATTACTACTAAATTTTTTCCAAATATAATTTACTTAATGACTGTACTAAGTTTAATTTCCAAAATAACAACTATAATCAAGATATCTTTTTTCAATATTTTAAAATAAAGACGATACTTTGAAAAAGGATCAACAGTGATATATAATTAATGAATAAATTTCCATCATAATTTGTAGTAGTCTATAAGCCTGAAAATAACTGTACTTTCCAAAAGATGTGAAAATCACTTTGATCTTTACACAGTATATAATTTCACAAAAACATTATTTCCATTCTCCAAGATAAGACTGACTTGACAACTGAGACTTAATAACCTCTGTCACTTTACAATGGAAGTTCTTACAGCCAACAAGTCAAGGGGGTATAATAATAAAGGCACACAAGGTTGGACTTGTACTGAAAAAAAAAAAAAATTCCAAAAAATAATATCTACTTGGCTCATGGATATGATCAAGAAACACAAAATTTTACTCTCTTTGATGTATACAGGAGGTGCACTGTTTTAACATCAAGAGATTAATCTTGGGCTTATACTTTTTATGCCTCTTATTATAACCATATTTTAAACTTCCTCAAAGCAAGGAGTATCATTAACTATATACCTTGGCTGGTATTTGCCACATCAAGCTTTATAAAATAATTTTGAAGAAAAATATAACATTATTGTGAGACAGAAACTCACCTGGTTCCTCATTTGAAGTGGTAAAAATGTTATTATAAGATCTTCGAACACGTAAAGTTATACAACCATTTTCATGTAGACAAAATAAACCATCACGCTGAAAGCAGGGTATTACCTTTAAATAGATGATATATTTATTTTTTAAAACACAATAGATTAATAAAGTATATACTGTGAAACTCAAACTCATATTTAGATAATATGGGCAAAAGAAAAAAAAATAGACAAATCCCAAACTTTAAAACTAAATGTACATTTAAAATATCCATTTATAATCCTAAAATAATTTGTCTTTACCCATGTGACTTAAATAGTTCAATAAATATCTCAGGATCAGTCACAATTTCTAGGGTAAATCAAACCAATCAAAAGTGCAGACAAAAAAAACAATCTAAAATAGTGTTGCTAGTCTTTTGATAAATTGAAAAGAGAAAGTGGAGAACTGAAGACAAGACTTATGCAAGATTATGGCCTTCTTTTAATATAACATTCTTAATAATTTTGGGGAATATAATTTATGAATTGTAGATACCTGTAAAAATGGAACTCCTGTGCGTTCTATTGCAATCACACCCACCGTCTGATTCACCTCAAGGTCAAGGATTAAAATCTCTCGAGGATAGAGCAACAACATGTGATTCCTTTTTGAAGGCAGGTATGCCAACTGAAGGCAATCATTGAGAGTTATGAATTCAGCACTGAAAAAAGTAAACATTCACTTGGGTCAAAGACTTCATTTATATCAGACCTAATAAAAGATTTAATTTTGTACTTTACACATAAAAATTGACAATAAAAATGTACAACTATTCCCTGAAGTGACCAACATGGGTTGGCATCCAAAACTTAGATCTCTACTATGTACCAAAATCCAAATGCTAATAATATTGTATAGGATGGGTAGAAATGTCAGTGTTTCTAAGTTTTTGAAATATTAAGTAGTAGAATATTAAGTTATTAATATTACACAAGACATGGTAAATGATAATATAATAATAGCTGGCATGCATAAGACAGTTTTATTTTACTTTTACTTTGTCATTAAAAGTACTAGGCAAACTGTTAAAATCAAGACTCAGGATGAAAAACATCAACATTTAGGGTAATTAGGGCCCCTGGACCAGGAGTTACTGGACTATCTGTATGGCTTTGGGCAAGTAACTTCCCCTTGGCTGCCTTCATTCACTTTTAAGCTGTCTTAAATCTTTTTTGAAACAAAGTTTCACTTATATTGCAGCATTTTCTTGTGTGTAAATAAAACAGGTGAAACTATAAGGATTTTAAGAGATTGTTAGGGTCTGAAAAATCATTTTAATAATTTGTGATTGTTGCATACATTCAATGACCTTTTCTATATTAAATATATTTCAATAGGAATAGACATACAATTATGTACTATTTTCATTTTACATTTCATTTTACAAACATAATTTTATTAAAAGGCTTTGAAATTTAAAATAAAGTTAGTTCACAAGACTAGAAAGAGGAATTTTTATTGCATTAAAATCCCGACTGCCATGTCCTAGTTGGGTGAGCTTGAGTAACTTTATTTAAATTGGTGTGGGACTCAGTTTTCCTTATTTGTAAAATGGGAATATTACTACTGCCAGAATTGTAGTAAGAGTCCAGGAATTAATAGATGTGAAAGCACCCAGAGCGGTTCTACTTGAAGAAATAATGTATTTCCCCAATACTCAAGATATACATATAATTCATATGAGAGAAAACTTAAGAAATATAAAACATAACTTATAAAACTATTCAGACTGCCAAATAATTTCTTGTTTATGAGAGGGAATACATAAAAAATAGAAAGTTCTCTTAAGATACTTAAGAAGTAATCTTAAGTCATTTTGGCACAGGGTGAGAGATAAATTAACTAGTGAACTTAACCAGCCTATGGCTTAATATATAGAAGTGATACTTACACACAAGTGCAAAATGTATTTGTAGAGCAATTTATATTTTTACCACATATTTTTCAAGTAGTTACTCACCAAGCCTAGAGAGAGTAATCTTGGCATATTAAAAATAAAGGCTATCTGAAAATGAATGCCAAAACAAACAAAAAAGCCTGCCAAAGCAATAATATACAGATTATTGCTATAGGAAAAAGAAAGAAACCTATTTTGAATACATCAAATTACTTAAAATAAACTTTTATTCAGTTGTAATTTCTTAATAACAGCCGACATCTTCTAAATAAATTACTATGTATCAATGACATTACATGCTTTACTTACATTATTGGATCTATTGATCTTTAAAACAACCCTATGAAATACTTTAAAGCCTTATTTTAGAGACTGGGAGAGAGAAATTTGAGTAAGATTAAAGAAGTTTCTCAGTCTCATAGCTAAAGCTTCCCCCGGAGCCTTGGCTCTTAACCAGGATGGGAGACATCTTCACCTGCATAAGAAAAACACTCCGATTTTACTGCTGAATGAGAATGCACAGCACCTAAGTCAGGAAAATGTATTTAAAATGAGTATCCAGCTTTTGTGCCCAAATTTTTAATGCATTCAATTGCCTGAACTTTAGGATCATTGCGATTTTCACAAGTAAAAATCAGAATTCAAAAATTTTAATCTATAAAAGTCAGTGGGGAAGTTTAGCACAGCTAGTGGAAACAAAGGCAATGTTAAATGCTGAATCTCCTCTTAGGGCAGGGGACAAAAATAAATATTTTTTTCCTCTAATAAATTCAAAATTAGAAATGAGAAAAAGTGAGATGAAGAAAAACATCAGTCTTTGTACATCTCCAAAAATGATGCTTTCATACCAGATAAGTAGATGAATGTTAATTTTACACTTGTAACTTACCTAGGTTTCTCTTGAGTGATTAAAATTTTTACTTTATTTAGAGCTTTCTTGGCACCTGTGGCTGTGGCCAGCTTGTTATGAGCTGGGCTAGAGTGTGGGCTGGATATGTAAACTTTTTTCCCAGGGCCTGAGGGAGGCTTGGATGGGGAGAAGTCTGAGATGAAAACAATACCCTCGCTGGTAAGCACTATATTGAGAAAAGCAAAACTCTGATTAAAGTTTAATGAAGTTTAGCATACAGTTTTATTCCAATACAATTTTGAGAGCAATATAGTGATAATTTTAATAATATATAACTGGCAATGTTATGCATTCATAACATAATGGGAATGTTCTCTAAGTTGAAGAGAAACAGGTGGTCCATTACAATTCATCAGAGGCCTCCAAGCTTGGCATTCTATATTATGTCTTATATTAAAAAGATAACATAAGGTTATTGGCAGAAAGAACAAGTGTTTGTTCTTCTAAATAAATTCAGGGCACGGACTTTCATTAAAAATCTTTCCTTATTATCCCAGCACTTTGGGAGGCAGAGGCAGGCAGATCATGAAGTCAGGAGTTCGAGACCAGCCTGATCAACATGGTGAAACCCCGTCTCTACCAAAAATACAAAAATTAGCCAGGCGTGGTGGCACACACCTGTAATCCCAGCAACTCAGGAGAGTGAGGCAGGAGAATCGCTTGAACTGGGAGGTGGAGGTTGCAGTGAGCCGAGATAGTGCCACTGCACTCCAACCCGGGTGACAGAGCAAGATTCCATCTCAAAAAAAAAAAACAAAAACAAAAACAAAAAACAAACAAACAAAAAAACTTTAACATATCCCATAACTTAAAAAAACAAAAAACCATACTTAAGAGGCTCTGCATATCACAATTAGCTAAGTTCATATATTTTATTTGATGATACCAAATTTTTATCCTGAGCTACTCAGTCTAAATATATTCCCTTTTTCTTCTCAAGCATCAGATCGAACCTTAAGATGATTAAGGAATATTCTTTTCCCTTAATATTTAGAAAACAGTAGTGGGCCCACAGTGACTTACTAAGTGTACATGAAACAAAAATAGTCAAGGAGGGAGCACCATATTTAGCAATACAAATTATGCCTTTTTATGACTGAAAAAATAATCTCCCTCAACAATGGGCCTAATACTGGAAGACATGAGCAGAAAAACCTTACTACCCTGGGTCCCAGCCCTTAGCAAGGCTGCTCTAAACACAGGGAAAAAGGATGCATTCAAGAGTTATGACAACCCTAGCACATTCAATATGAGTAAATCAAAGATGTTAGGTCAACTGACACTCTGGAACACACAATGCTTTCATCAACCAAATTACAGAGATGTAAAGAGCTGATGCAATCAAGTTAGCTGAAAGCCTTGTTGCCTTTTCAGGTTCCAGAACTCATCCTTCAAGGTCCCCTTTGCTTCCTTCTTTTGTGATGCCCTCCTTCCCTGACTCTGCCAACTGGGCCAGCCCTCCTAGGTGTTTCCCCAGCACTGCACCTATGTGAGTAAGTAAACTGGTGACCAAGTGAGTGTATGTATGCACACGTCCATATACAAACATTTACATACATAAAAGCCTAAGCACCCTGTAGTGTATTTACACAGCCACATTTCCCATGTTATTATAATTTCAATTTTGTCTGCCTTTCTCTTCCTCCTTTAACACGTGCAGACACACACACACCCCTCAATAAAAGTTGATGGGTAAAACAATTTTGAGTCATTCAAATCCAGGAAAAACATTCCTTACCATAGCTAATTCCCTTACCTCCTTCACATTTCTGATCATTATCAAAGTGAAGCCTACTTTGACCACTTTATCTCATACAACTTGCATGCCCTCATCCCCCATTCTTCTGCATCCCCTTTATCCTGCCTTTATATCACCTGTCACCTCTTACTACACTAGAATTTATTAATTCATTGTGGTCACAGTTTATGATATGACTTCTTCTCACTAGAATGCAAACTCTGTGAAGGCTCCTGCCTTTTGGGTTCTGAGACATCTTGGTTCCCAGAAGAGTAGCAATAGCTCAAGAAATATCTGTTGGATGATTAAATAGTTTCTAAACAATTTAGCCACAAAAATACCTAAAGCACATCTCATTTTTAGATCATTAGCTCAGGAAAACATTAAAAGCATATTAGCAAAAACTATCTCTGCAAGAAAAAACTTGCTTAGGCTTATTTCTTCTTTACATGCATCTGTTTATGGCACTCAAAATGAATGGCGTGAATTAGGACAATTTATTAAAAAGCAAGAACTTAACTTGGCCACAGACTGAATGAAACCCTTGATTCAAGTTATTTAAATGTTCTTAGAAGAACTAATTAAGTCTGGAGTGTCAAAGTAACTCTCTGTCCCTGGCTAGTCTAATACTATTCACAAATTCAACACAGTGAAGGTGTAGCTTGCTGATTTAATTTTTTATCATATTTGCAATGATATGAACTTATGATTGAGTATGTGTATTAGGAGCTGCAGATATATGGACTAGACATGCTTCTCCACTTCGCTCAGTCATTTTAACATTATAGATGTATAATGTGTGTGTATATCTCATGCACATAGCATTACTATATTATAAATATCTCACTTAACTCATTTTCCACAAGCAACTGTTACTCACAAGTTAAATGTGAGGGATCAAAAGGGTCAAAAGAAAAAGAAAGAATGTTATCTGCATAGCTCTTCTTCCATAGTTTGGTGCCAGTGTCGGCATTCCAGAGCACAATGTAATTTGGCGGGTGGATAGCAAGCAGTAAATCGCGGGAAGCATCTTGATTCCACAACCACTGAACATCTGGAAAGACCCGATAAAGAAAGGCAAAATTCAGAAACCACACTCTCCAAAGTCCTTGGCTAACTTGTCCTTGATATTTAGTTTTTAAAATATAATCTTTAAAAACTTAACCACCAGCCCCAAATGTGACGTGTGTGTGTGTGTGTGTGTGTGTATCAATATTCCAGAGAAAAAACTAATTCTATATAAAAATAAGTTGTCTGGTTAAACTCTCAAGGTAAAAATTTTGAAGTAATCTGAAATATTACTTCAAAGAAAATAAAAGGCAATTTGCCCTAATCATTACTTAAAACTATAAAATCAATATGAAACTCTCTTAGCCACAACCAAGATGTCAGACTTTCCTAATGTTTCTGTGGAATTACTTAATGGAACTTTACAGTTCTTCATGGTTTTTCAAAAAATAAACAGAATATGCAAAGATCTAGTTCAGTACCTAGTACACAGTAAGTATTTAATAAATATTTTTTAAATAGTCATTTAAAAAATTCATTCAGTCAAGAGAGCCACTGGAGGACTTAAGTCTAAAGAATACTGTACTGGGCAGGGCGCAGTGGTTCACGCCTGTAATCCCAGCACTTTGGGAGGACGAGGCAGGTGGATCACGAAGTCAGGAGATCGAGACCATCCTGGCTAACATGGTAAAACCCCGTCTCTACTAAAAATACAAAAAATTAGCTGGGTGTGGTGGTGTGTGCCTGTGGTCCCAGCTACTCGGGAGGCTGAGGCAGGAGAATGGCGTGAACCCAGGAGGCAGAGTTTGCAGTGAGCCGAGATAGCGCCACTGTACTCCAGCCTGGGCAACAGAGCGACACTCCATCTCAAAAAAAAAAAAAGAAAAAAAAAAAGAATACCGTACTGGTTTTAGGTCAGTAACATGAAACGAACAAACAAGCAATCTATATGAAAATGAGAATAAAATTTTGTTCATCTCTGATAATGAACAAATTACTTAATGTAGAGTAAGCACTGATGGCTAGTTCCTAACAGCAGTGGCCAATTTTCCTTATATTGTAGCTTAGATTACAAGATTGTACCACTTACTTTTTCTTATCATGCTTGAATGAGGCTGATATTGCAATTAATGAGTTTTACCAAAGCACAAATCAGTTGAGATTTGAAGAAATATGCCTAGAAGTGTATTAGTAAGGACAGAAAGCCAGATTTAGATCAGCAGAATAGGCAAAACACAATCAAGAGCTAACTTGGAATTGATAAAATTAAATGAATGGGGGAAAACCCCCAAAACCAAAAAACCACTCCAAGAGTAAGTGTATCAATATACACACTTAGCTGAGCAGACTTTCCTCACCCTGGATAGGCTTGGCATGCTCTTGGATCTCACACTGAGCTACTCCTGCTGCTACATCCCAGACGATGATCTTCCCATTGACATCAGCAGAAGCTAACCGTAAGCAATATGGTGAGCCAATGTTATGGTGATAGTTTTCCCTGGCCCATTTAACCTGTATCAAGAAGAAATCAGATCAAGTAAATACTTGCGCTGGATGAAACAGAACATAATTTTCACAAAACATCAACCAGAACCCATACTACATTTATATTACATAAACATTTAGCAAGAATAAACAGAAAACTGGTTTTCATTTTGAAGGCAGCATTTGTGTTACTTTGGTAGATATCTTTAACTGCAGTTACAAAATTGTTTTCTTTGACACATCACAAAGATCCTGTGATGAAAAATGATTCACAGCCTTAATATTTTGGGAAATTTAGGTTAAAACCCCAGGATGCCTTGAAAATCAGTTTTCCTAAGATCTAATTTATGACAAAATACCTAAAATCATATTTAGCAGAATGTTTTTCTGTATTCTAGTCTCCTAACTAAAAGAAGACAACTTAGAAACACAAAAACCTTGCAGAGGGAAAGTCAGGAGAAGGCAAAGTCAAACAAAAAACTCTAGCTGTCTCTCTCTTTCACAAAACATTAAGTTTTTCTCTAAAAAAAAAAAAATGCTTCATGCCTATAGCAACATGATTAACAATAGAATTTTTAAAATAAAAAACACATGAACTCCAGGGCAAATCTGATTAAATTCTTGAACAATGAATACTGACAGAATAAGGGAAAAATTTCATAGTCCTCACTAGGAGTCAGGCCTTCCCTGGTCACTACCACCCCTCTCTTCTCAGTATCCTGCTTATTTTCTTCAAAGCATTTACTACTACACAATTTGTACTTATTTTATTTACATTCTTTTTGCCTATTCATGAGTCCATCAACTGTAAGTTCCATAGGGCACACCATGTGGTCTTTGTTTGCATTTCTATTCTCAGACTTAGTACAGTGTCCAAGGTCTGTTTAATAAGTAGATTTAAATACCACAAATCTATAAATACATATAAATGTATATACCTATATATGTGTACAGATATAAATACACTCATATATAATGCTAAGGTAGGAAAGTAAGCCAACCAATTGCAGTAGTATTCATGAAAAAGATGGAAACAACGTTTTCTGAAAATGAGCGTGAACAGGCCTTAAGGTTTTCCTGTAATAGATCTTTTGCTCAGGCAAAAATTTTTAAATGAGGTATGTGTATATATGCATATGTATGTGTGTATGCATATTTGTATGTGTATATGTTTAAGTTCATAGGTATAGAATGTGTATGAATAGAATATGTATAGTGTATATATGTGTACACAGTCCATTCTAGTTATTTATAGATTCTGTATTTGTCAATTTACCTACTCACTATAATTTGCAACCTCAAAATCAATACTTGCAGTGCTTTTGTGGACAAGTGCAGAATGGTGAAAAAAATGTCACCGAACATACATGTGTGTTCCCAGCTGAAGTCAAACAAGAATTCTTGCTTTAGCTTTTCCAATGGCAAAACAAGTGTTCATCTCATGATTTATTTAGTACCACATTTTTCACATTTTTGTTCCTTTTGCTGGTGACTTCACTGTTTAAATAGGTCCCCAAGCATACTGCCTACCGTTTCTAAGTATGAGAAGTTGTGATGTGTCTTGCAAAAAATACATACATATATATATATGTGATAATCTTTGCTCAGGCATGTGTTGTTGGCTATGAGTTCAATGTTAATAGATCAACTGACATATTAATATGTCTTTAAACGGAAACACATATAAAGCAAGGTTATCTATTGATCAGTTGATGAAAATGTTGTGACCAGAGCCTCACAAGAACCTAACCCCTAGGAGCAAACAAAGTTTCAGTATTCACTAATTCAGTGTATACAACAACTTTACAGAATATAGCTACCACAAATAACAAGAATTGACTGTCTCTATGTGTATATATATGTTTGTATATGTGTATATATTTGTATATGTATATGTTGAATTCCATTTAGGTAAACTCCAAGCCATATATATATATATTTTAATAATCAAACTATTGAAAACCAAGGTTAAGGAAATCTTGAAGATAATCGGAGGAAAAAAGATATAATGCAGAGAAACAAAAACAAAAATTTTTCATCAGAAACTATGTAAGCTTGAAGATAGTGGAGGGATTTTTTTTTTTTTTTTTTTTTGGAGACAGAGTCTTATTCTGTTGCCGAGGCTGGAGTGCAGTGGCACTATCTCAGCTCACTGCAACCTCCACCTCCCAGGTTTAAGCTGTTCTCCTGCCTCAGCCTCCCAAGTAGCTGGGATTACAGGTGTGTACCACCACGCCTGGCTAATTTTTGTATTTTTAGTAGAGATGAGGTTTTGCCTTGTTGGCCAGGCTAGTCTCAAACTCCTGACCCCAGGTGATCCATCCACCTCGGCCTCCCAGAGTGTTGGGATTACAGGTGTGAGCCACCATGCCTGGCCAATGGAATGATATTTGTAAAGTACTACTAGAAAAAAAAATTATAAACCCAGAATTCTATATCCTTTGAAAATTATCTTTCGAAAACAAAGGTGAAATACTTTCTCAGAGAAATAAAAGCTAAGAGAATCAACCAATATTAGACAGGCACTTTAAGAACTTACAGTAAATTCTTCAGTCGATGGGAATATAATACCAGACTGAAACTTGGACCTACATAAAGAAATAAAAGCTCCAGAAATGCCAAGGGGCAGTGTAGGGGAAAGGAAACAGAGAGGGAAAGAGAAGGTAAATATATTTTTCCCAAAACACCCTATACCTTACATCAGACTTGATGAAAGACTGAATACTTTCCCCCTAAGCTCAGGAACAGGACAAGAGTATCCTCTCACTACTCTCCCATTCATTGTAGTAGAGGTCCTAGCCAATGCAACATGGCAAGAAAAATAGAAGACACACAGATTATCAATGAAAACATTAAACTGCAGTCACTTGCAGTGACATGACTGTCTACTTAAAAAAAATTTACCCAAAATTACTATTAAATAGATCTACTAAGTGAAGTTAGCTAGATTACAGGATATGATCAATAAACAAAAATTAATAGTATTTTTCCCTATTTCACATCATATATAAAAATTAACTCAAAATGGATTAAAAGCTAAAGCTCTAAAATTCTAAGAAAAAAACAAAGGTATATATCTTCTTGATATTGGAGAAAGCAATGGTTTCTTGGATATGGCACAAAAAGTACAAGCAACAACAATACAAAATAATAAATTGGACTACATCAAAATGAAAAAGTTTTGTTCTTCAAAAGACACCACCAAGAAAGTAAAAAGACAACCCACAAATTGAGAGAAAATATTTGCAAATCATGTATCAATCCAAACATATGACACAAAAAAGTCTAAAAATAAACAATTCATAAATTATGCGCTTTTCTGAATAGCATGATGAAATCTCCCACTGTCCTGTTCCATCCTGCCTTAATCATAAATCATCCCTTTGTCCAGAACATCCATGCTGTATACACCACCTGCCCTCAGTAGCCATACTGATTATCAGATCAACTGTTGTGATATCTCAGTGCTATGTTCAAGTAACCCTTATTTTACTTTATAATGCCCCCAAAGTGCAAGAGTAGTAATGCTGATGTATTGTTATAATTGTTCTCCTTTATTATTATTAGTTATTGTTGTTAATCTCTTATTATGCCTAATTTATAAACTTGATCATAGGTAAGTATGTATGAGACAAAACAGTATATACAGGGTTTGGTTTATAAACTTTATCATAAGTAAGTATGTATGAGAAAAAGCACAATATATATAGGGTTCAGTACTATCCAGGGTTTCAGGCTTCCACTGGGGTCTTGGAACATTTCCCTTCTGGATAAGGGAGGACTACTGTATACAAAGAAATCTTACGACTCAATTATAAAAAGATAAATAATACAATTTTAAAATGGGCAAAGGACCTGCATAGACATTTCTCCAAAGAAGATATACAAATGGCCAATAAGCACATGAAAAGATACTCCACACCTTTAGCCATCAGGGAAATGCAAACCAAAGCCACAATGAGAATCAATTCATACCCATTAGGATGGTTATAATCAAAAGAACAGAGAACAGCAAGCGTTGGTGAGGATTTGGACAAATTAGACTCCTCATACACTACTAATGAGAATGTTAATTTGGAAAACAGTCCAGCAGTTCCTCAAAAAGTTAAACAGAGTTACCATATGAGTCAGTAATTCCACCCCTAGAAACATACTCAAGGGAAATGAAAACACAGGTTCACACAAAACTTGCACATGAATGTGCAAAGCAGCATTATTCGTAACAGGCAAAAAGTACAAAATATCCAAATGTCCATCAATAAAATAAATGTGATACATCCTTACAGTGGAATATTATTCATCAGTAACAGAGTATTGATATATGCTACAACGCAGATGAACCATGAAAACATTATCCTAAGTGAAAGAAGTCATGCACAAAAGACCACAAATTATATGATTCAATTTATATAAAATCCCCAGAATGGGCCAGTCTACAGACACAGAAAGTAGGTCAGTGGTTGCCAAAGGATGAGGGAAATGGGGGAAATGGAATATGACTGCTAGTGGATATAGGGTTTCTTTTTGAGGTAAAAAAGTTCATTGTAATTGTGGCTGCATTAACTGTGGATATACTAAAAGCCACAGAATTGTGCATTTTAAGTCAGTACATTTTATGGTATGAGTATCTCAATAAAGCTATTATTTAAAAAAGAAAAAGACTCCAAATCTCTATCTCTAATCCTGACCTATCTCCTAAAGCCCGGATCACTATAATGCAATATATTACAGGCATCTCAGATTTTGCATGTTGAAAACTTAAAAATTCACTGACTTCACAGATGCTTACCTCTGATAACTGGAAACACTGTCATTCAATTACACCAAAAGAAACCTTGGAGTCACTCTATTCTCTTACTCTCCTTTATACTGATCACTATAAAGGCTATCAGGTTTACCTCTTTGCTGCTCTTAAACATGACTTCTCCATGCCCCAGCTTTATTTTAGGCCCTTAGAATTTCCCACCAAAATTACTGCAGAAATCTCCTAAATGATCTTACTGCCTCCAGTCTTGCATTTCTTCAGCAGATCCTCCACTGCTGCCAGAGTTTTTCTAAGACGCGAATATGGTCACATCAATCTCCTACTCAAAAATCCAAATTCCTGCTGGGCGCGGTGACTCACACCTGTAATCCCAGCACTTTGGGAGGCCAAGGCGGGTGGATCACGAGGTCAGGAGCTCGAGACCATCCTGGCTAACATGGTGAAACCCGGTCTCTACTAAAAATACAAAAAATTAGCTGGGCATGGTGGTGGGTGCCTGTAGTCCCAGCTACTCAGGAGGCTGAGGCAGGAGAATGGCGTGAACCCAGGATGTGGAGCTTACAGTGAGCCGAGATCATGCCACTGCACTCCAGCCTGGGCGACAGAGTGAGATTCTGTCTAAAAAAAAAAAAAATCCAAACTCCTTCGTAATCTTACAAAACTTCAGGACAGACAGCTGAATCTCTCTGGCTGCCTCTTATTTCATCACTCCTACAAGTGTCCCATCTTTAGCCATCTTTATGGCACGCTACTTACTTCTGTGTATATTCTTGCTTTTCCCTGCAATGCTCCTTGTCAATTTTTTACTTGGCTAACTACTGTCTACTAGTCTTGAAACTGTAGACTTCTGTGACTCTCCTCACAACCAGGCAATATGCAGCTCCTCTGTTTTCTCACAGCGTGTTACGCAAGTCTCACTTATCACACTATCACGCTGTGAGTCTTCCTTATAAGATGGAGAATTATCTGAGGGCTTTCATCTCCATATCCATAGCATATGGTAAGTGCTCAAAACTAAGGAATGACTGAGTGGTCTTGTAAATGGTAGAACTTTCATCTGCCTTAAAATGATCTAACAACTAGCATTTAATAACTCACCCTGTATTGACATTAAGTCATATATATGAAAATTCTAGGCTACCCCAAATAGGTTGTTATATTTAAAAGCTATTCAACACTTACACGTAAGACTTAATGAGAGCTTAGTGATACACAGTATTAAACTTTAGACTAGACAACATGTTAGCGTCAAAGTGGGATTTTACTTACCTTTACAACATCAGCTTTATGCTTTTCTAAAACTTGAAGAGTTTGGGCAGTAATGGAATCAATCACTACCACAAGTGAATGACATCCATAAGCAATTAAACCTTGCCAGCCCCTAGCAAAACAGTAATGTTAAAGTTTAAGTACAGAACAAAGCAGGACGACTTCTTTCTTGCCAAGCCTAAATAAATGATAAGTCTAATTCATATGTACCACCATTAATAAAATCATTTAAACCCAAAGGCCAGTATTTATCATTATCCCACTTAAATAAAAGATCTGGCTAAGCTTAAAATGCTTGTTGAAATTCACTTTTCATTCGGATAAAAAAAGTTCTAAAAGATATGAAAATAGAGACCCGAGGACATAAAAAGGAACTTGTGCCCTCTGACTGTTCTTGTAGGCATACGTCTTTCGCTTATCCGATTTCTAATCCTTAGTATCCACAATGTGCCTGGGGATACTGCGACTAATCCTAGTCCTTCCAACTAAATAAAACGACAAACACTGCACAAGACGTTTCAGTCCTCCTAACAACATCCCACAGCCACAGAATTTTGCTTTACATTTGTCTAATGAGTAGTTTTCAGAGCTGCAGTAGTAATTTATAGTGAAAGGAGAGAGTAATAAAGACGACCTGTTGAAGGCAGGAATGTTCTACACAGGAGGAGCCCGAAAAGAGGTGAAAAGGACAGGTGAAAGAACAGGCGCCTAGCACAGGGTCTGGCACATTGTTGAAAGACAACAGGAATACAAGACAACGAAAAAGAAAAGACAGGATGGGAAAGAGAAAGTGCACAGGGAATTAATGGTGGAGAGAGAGAAGCCTGGAAGCTGGAGGAGAGGAAAAGAGAGAGGAATGGAACGGCAAAAGGGCGAGGTGCAGAGAAAACAGCAGAGAAATACGCGAGAAAGAGGGGAAATGTATTTGCATGGGGGAATTTCCCACACGGGGCTATTATCACTTTTGTAACAACAAAAATCCACCAACTGAAAGCAAGCTCATTGCGTGAGGGCGGCTCCCTGCCTTAGCGAGGCCAAACTAACCAGGGGGTGAAACCTCTTGTCCTTCCCCCTTCCCCCTCACACATTCCTGGCCGATCCTGGCGACCTGGAAGCTCGGCGTCCTCACCAGTCCACCGCCGCCTTGTTGTGGGCGTTGAGGGCCCCCGTGAGGGTGCGCGCCGACACCTTGAAGTTCACTGTGTAGGGCAACATCCCGGCGGCCAGCCCAGGACCTGGGCGCTGACCCGCAACCAGGAAGCGGCGGACACTGTGCTTCCGTTCCAAACAGAGTCCGGGTGGCCCCCTCGGCGCCGCTGTCAGGTTCCTCTAGATTCAAGTTCTACAGGCTCCGGGTTCCACCGCTCCCGGATTCCATCGCCCCCAGGTTCCGTTGCCTTCAGTTTCCTAGGATCCTAGGTTCCGCACTCTCCAGAGTTCCGCCGCTTAGGCGGTTGTGCTAATCTGCGTCAGCTGGGGCTGTATTTGGAAGAAGAGGCGCTGCCTCCAGTCAAGTCTGTTTTTTTCAGGTGGGGACTGTAGGCCTTTGTGCCCTGCTGGAAATCGTGAAAAGCAAGAGAGAAGAGTCCCAGTTATTCTTGCTGCCTTTGATAAGTGAATTTAGGGCAACTACTAGTGCCAGTAGGCATGGGGGATCTACCGATGAAGAAGACACAAAGTCTCCGCTCTCGTGGAGTTTACAGAGAATAATGAATGAGATTAATTAAGAAATGAATGAGATTAATTGAATGAAATTGCCAGACTGAATGAAGTGAATGGCCTGAATATAAACAATTTCCAAATACAGATAACACTGCATATCTGGTGTTTGCAATACTCCCTTCGCACTTGAGGAAGAAGCACTATGTCTGGGGCCAAGTGTGACCCTTTGTCTGTTGCTGGGTACCTTTCATTTCGCACTTTCTCCTCTGCTGCTCTCCAGGTCAGACCCAGTCCTTCCCTCCTTTGTGTTCAGTGTTGGGTTTATACGCTTTAACTATAGCACTTAATGCAATGATTTCTTTTCAGCAATGATATTTGCAGATGTGTGTTTCTCTCCCCAATACATTGTTAGTTTCATGCGCGTCCGTGTGAAGAGACCACCAAACAGGCTTTATGTGAGCAATAAAGCTGTTTATTTCACATGGGTGCAGGTGGGCTAAGTCCGAAAAGAGTCAGCGAAGGGAGATAGGGGTGGGGCTGTTTTATAGGATTTGGGAAGGTAATGGAAAATTAGTCAAAGGGGGTTGTTCTCTGGTGGGCAGGGGTGGATCTCACAAAGTACATTCTCAAGGGTGGGGAGAATTACAAAGAACCTTCTTAAGGGTGGGGGAGATTACAAAGTACATTGATCAGTTAGGGTGGGGCAGGAACAAATCACAGTGGTTGAATGTCATCAGTTAAGGCTGTTTGTACTTCTTTTGTGGATCTTCAGTTACTTTAGGCCATCTGGATGTATACATGCAAGTCACGGGATGCGATGGCCTGGCCTGGGCTCAGAGGCGTGACATTCCTGCCTTCTTATATTAATAAGACAAAACAAAATAGTGTTGAAGTGTTGAGGCGGCGAAAATTTTTGGGGGGTGGTATGGAGAGAGAATGGGTGATGTTTCTCAGGGCTGCTTCAAGTGGGATTAGGGGTGGCGTGGGAACCTACAGTGGGAGAGATTAAGCTGAAGGGAGGTCTTGTGGTAAGGGGTGATATTGTGGGGATGTAAGAAGAAACATTTGTCGTATAGAATGATTGGTGACGGCCTGGATACGGTTTTGGATGAATTGAGAAACTAAATGGAATAAGAGAAGGAGAAAAACAGGTATAAAAGGTCTAAGAATTGGGAGGACATAGGACATCTGATTAGAGAGTGCCTAAGGAGATTCAGCATAGTCCTGCCAGCAAAGATTATTTATTTACTTCAAGAGTTTAGAGTGGCAGTTTGGGGATAGCACCAGGAGATATCAGCTGTGATGGCTTGGAGAAACAGTGTAAACCGGCAGTGTAAACAAGAGCAGGGCATGTATGAGTAGTTGAGAATGGTGAATAGGAGTATGACTACAAAAGATAGGGATGACAAGTTTTTTGGGGCACAGTCTAAGTTGGTCTGGTGTCAAATGAGACTGGGGCCTAATAAAAAGGAGCGTCTATACAGGAGCTTAAATGGGATGTACCTTGTAGCATTCTGAGGACAGGCCTGAATTCTGAGAAGCGAAAGTGGTAAAAGTATTGTCCAGTCCTTTTTAAGTTGGTGGCTGAGCTTGGTGAGCTGTCTTTTTAAAAGACCTTTAGTCCGTTCTACTTTTCTTGAAGACGGAGGCCTGTAAGGGATATAAAGGTTTCACTGACACCTACTAAGAGCCTGAAAAACTGCTTGGCTGATTTGACTAATAAAGGCTGGTCTGTTATCAGACTGTATAGAGGTGGAAGGCTAAACTGAGGAATTATGTCTGACAGAAGGAAAGAAATGACTGTGGTGGCCTTCTCAGACGCTGTAGGAAAGGCCTTTACTTATTCAGTGGAAGTGTCTATTTGGACTAAGAGGTATTTTAGTTTCCTGACTCGGGCATGTTGAGTAAAGCTAATTTGCCAGTCCTGGGTGGGGGCAAATCCTCGAGCTTGATGTGTAGGGAAGGGAGGGGGCCTGAATAATCCTTGAGGAGTAGTAGAATAGCAGATGGAACACTGAGAAGTTATTTCCTTGAGGACAGATTTCCACGATGGAAAGGAAATGAGAGGTTCTGAGAGGCGGGCTAGTGGCTTGTACTATAGCATAGCCTGCCTTTGCTGGTATGTGGCGATTAGGCCTGGTGGAACTGCCATCAATAAATCAAGCGTGATCAGGGTGAGGAACAGTAAAGAAGGAAATATGGGGAAATGGGGTGAATATCAGGTAGATCAGAGAGATACAGTCATGGGGGTCAGGTGCGGTATCAGGAATAATGTGGGAGGCCAGATTGAAGTCCGGGCCAGGAACAATGGTAATTGTGGGACTTAAAGAGTGAGTACAGCTGAAGGAGCCGGGGAGCAGAAAGTATATGTGTCAGGTATGAGGAAGAAAATAGATTTTGGAAGTTATGAGAAATGTAGAGAGTGAGTTGAGCATAGTTTGTGATTTTTAGGGCCTCTAAAAGTATTAAAGCAGCGGCAGCCGCTGCACGCAGACATGAGGGCTAGGCTAAAACAGTAAGGTCAAGTTGTTTGGACAGAAAGGCTACAGGGTGCGGTCCTGGCTGTTGTGTAAGAATTCTGACCGCACTAACCATGCCTAGGAAGGAAAGGAGTTGTTGTTTTGTAAGGGATTGAGGTTTGGGAGATTAATCGGACACGATCAGCAGGGAAAGCACGTGTGTTTTTATGAGAATTATGCCGAGATAGGTAACAGATGAGGATGAAATTTGGGCTTGACTGAAGTAATGGGGGCTGTCTGTGAAGCCTTGTGGCAGTACAGCCCAGGTAATTTGCTGAGCCTAATGGGTGTCAGGGTCAGTCTAAGTGAAAGCAAAGAGAGGCTGGGATGACGGGTGCAAAGGAATAGTAAAGAAAGCATGTTTGAGATCTAGAACAGAATAACGGGTAGTAGAGGGAGGTATTGAGGATAGGAGAGTATATGGGTTTGGCACCATGGGGTGGATAGGCAAAACAATTTGGTTGATAAGGCGCAGATCCTGAACTAACCTGTAAGTCTTGTCTGGTTTTAGGACAGGTAAAATGGGGGAATGGTAAGGAGAGTTTATAGGCTTTGAAAGACCATGCTGTAGCAGGCGAGTGATAACAGGCTTTAATCCTTTTAAAGCGTGCTGTGCGATGGGATCTTGACATTGAGCGGGGTAAGGGTGATTAGGTTTTAATGAGATGGAAAGGGGTGCATGATCGGTCGCCAAGGAGGGAGTAGAGGTATCTTATACTTGTGGGTTAAGGTGGGGGGATATAAGAGGAGGACGCAAAGGAGGCTTTGGATTGGGAAGAAGGGCGGCAATGAGATGTAGCTGTAGTCCAGGAATAGTCAGGGAAGCAGATAATTTAGTTAAAGTGTCTCAGCCTAATAAGGGAACTGGGCAGGTGGGGATAACTAAAAAGGAGTGCTTAAAGGAGTATTGTCTAAGTTGGCACCAGAGTTGGGGAGTTTTAAGAGGTTTAGAAGCCTGGCTGTCAATACCCCCAACAGTTATGGAGGCAAGGGAAACAGGCCCTTGAATAGAAGGTAATGTGGAGTGGGTAGCCTCCATATTGATTAAGAAGGGGACGGACTTACCTTCCACTGTGAGAGTTACCCAAACCTCGGCGTCCGTGATGGTCTACGGGGCTTCCGAGGCGATCGGGCAGCATCAGTCTTCAGCCGCTAAGCCGAGAAGGAGTCAGTCAGAGAGCCTTGGGCCAGAGTTCCAGGGGCTCTGGGAGTGGCTGCCAGGTGAGTTGAACAGTCCAATTTCCAGTGGGGTCCCGCACAGATGGGACACGGCTTAGGAGGAATCCTGGGCTGCAGGCATTCCTTGGCCTGGTGGTCAGATTTCTGGCACTTGTAGCAAGCTCCTGGGGGAGGAGGTTCTGGAGGAATGCCTGGCCACTGCAGTTCAGGCGTTTGGAAGTTCTGTGTGCTGGAGATGCGGCTGGGGTTTGTCTCACAGTGGAGGCAAGGAATTGCAACTTTTTTCTATTATTGTACACCTTGAAGCCGAGGTTAATTAAATCCTGTTGTGGGGTTTGAGGGCCGGAATTTAATTTTTGGAGTTTTATTTAATGTCGGGAGCAGATTGGGTAATAAAATGTATATTGAGAATAAGATGGCCTTTTGACCTTTTAGGGTCTAGGGCTGTAAAGCGTCTCAGGGTTGCTGCTGAACGAGCCATGAACTGGGCTGGGTTTTTATATTTGATGAAAAAGCCTAAACGCTGTCTGATTTGGGATAAAGAAAAAGGAGCATTAACCTTGACTATGCCTTTAGCTCCAGCCACGTTTTTAAGAATAAATTGCTGGGCAGGTGGGGGAGGGCTAGTCACAGAATGAAACTGTAAGCCGGACCAGGTGTGAGGAGGGGAGGCGATAAAAAGATTACAGGGTGGAGGAGTGGAGGCTGAGGAAGAATTGGGACCTAGCTTGGGCTGGCGAGGAGGGGAGAGGTCAGATGGGTCTGTAGAAAAGGAGGATTAGAAAGACTCAGCGACGCTTGGGGTTGGGACTGAGGGGACAGGCTGGAGGGAAAGAAGGAAGATTTGGGACGAGTTGCACTGGGCACAGAGACTAGGAAGGGACTGATGTGTAAAAGAATGCCTGGACGTCAGGCACCTCAGACCATTTGCCCATTTTACGACAAGAATTATTTAGATCTTGTAGGATGGAAAAATTGAAAGTGCCATTTTCCGGCTATTTGGAACTACTGTCGAGTTTGTATTGGGGTCAAGCGGCATTGTAGAAGAAAATAAAGCATTTAGGTTTTAGGTCAGGTGTGAGTTGAAGAGGTTTTAAGTTTTTGAGAACACAGGCTAAGGGACAAGAAGGAGGAATGGAAGGTGGAAGCTTACCCATAGTGAAGGAGGCAAGCCCAGAAAAAAGAGTAGAGACACGGAGAAGGGGTGGGGAGTTCTTGCCCTCCAGAAAAGCAGAGAAGGGGTTGGGGCACAGAAATAAGAGGTCAGGGTGCGGAAATAAGGGATTGGGGCGCAGAGATAAGAGGTTGGGGTGCAGAAATAAGCAATTGGGGGGTTCTTGCCCCCTAGGAAAGCGGGACTTGCCGCTAAGGGTGAAGGAGAAGGGGTTGAGGGGTACTTGCCCCTGCCCCAGGAAAGCGGGACTTGCCGCTAAGGGTGAAGGACCAAGGCAGGCGTCCCTGCATTGTCTGACACCCTTGAAACGTGGGTATGTAATCAGAGAGGCGTCCCTGCAATGATTAAACACCAAGGGAAGGCTGCCTTCCCAGTCTGTGACTGGCGCCGGAGTTTTGGGTCCACGGATAAAACGTGTCTCTTTTGTCTCTATCAGAAAATGAATTGAAATTAAGAGAAGGGAGAGATTGAAGTGTAGCGCCAAGATTGAAAGGAGAAAGCGGTTGAGGGATAGTGAGGGAGGTTGGAGAAGAGAGTAAAAAGATGCTGCTTACTGGATTTGAAATTGGTGAGATGTTTCTTGGGCTGGTCGGTCTGAGGACCTGAGGTTGTAGGTGGATCTTTCTCACGGAGCAAAGAGCAGGAGGACGGGATTGATCTCCCAAGGGAGGTCCCCCGATCCGAGTCATGGCACCAAATTCCATGTGCGTCGGTGTGAAGAGACCACCAAACAGGCTTTGTGTGAGCAATAAAGCTGTTTATTTCACATGGGTGCAGGTGGGCTAAGTCCGAAAAGAGAGTCAGCGAAGGGAGATAGGGGTGGGGCCGTTTTATAGGATTTGGGAAGGTAATGGAAAATTACAGTCAAAGGGGGTTGTTCTCTGGTGGGTAGGGGTGGATCTCACAAAGTACATTCTCAAGGGTGGGGAGAATTACAAAGAACCTTCTTAAGGGTGGGGGAGACTACAAAGTACCTTCTTAAGGGTGGGGGAGATTACAAAGTACATTGATCAGTTAGAGTGGGGCAGGAACAAATCACAATGGTGGAATGTCATCAGTTAAGGCTGTTTTTACTTCTTTTGTGGATCTTCAGTTACTTTAGGCCATCTGGATGTATACGTGCAAGTCACAGGGGATGCGATGGCCTGGCCTGGGCTCAGAGGCCTGACAGTTAGCTCCTTGATCAACAAAAGGGACAACATATTGGTGATTTTTCATCACAGGTTTTTGTGTCTAGCTTACCATTCTTGTAAAACAGCTTTCTCAAAGGTCACCTCATATCCTCTTAGTTGTTCAAACCAATGATCATGTTTTGGCTTTTAGTTGATCATGTTTTGCTGCAGCTTCCCTCCCCTTCCCTTGTTGTCTTACCTTTCCTTACCCCACACCCTAACCTACTGATGCTTTGGGGGCCACCAGATGTGCCCAAAACCACACATCTAAATTTATCACTCTCTTATTAAAAATCTTTGATGCCTCCCATGAGAAGATTGCTAATTGACTCCCCAAATTCATTCTCTCCTTTTTTTCTTAGGGATAGAACTTGAGTTTATATCTAGGCACCTTGTCCCTCCATTAAATGAGTACATTCCCCCAACTCCCTTTACAACTAGACCCAGCCATGAGACTAAATTTCTGGCCAATAAATGAAAATGGAAGTGTTGCATAGTGACCTCTGAGAAGTCACTTTGCTGTTCTGAGCAATTTCAATAGTTACACCTTACATTATTATTATCTTCAGATATATCTGTCTCAAAGGGGAGGCCAACACATTTTTAAGTAATCATAATATAGGAAAAATTATATATACCATAGTAGACTTAGAGTTCCTCTCATAAAGGAACAAAATCCTAGTCTTCCTTTTGCCCCAATGTCTGGCACCTTTCCTGGCATACAGTTGGTCTTCAACAAATGATTGATGGTGCAGGAGTTCCAAATGCCCACTGAGCATAAGGTCAAACAGGCACAAGGTGACAATCAGGCATCAGCGCAGTAGCTCACAGATGGGGGCAGGCAGCAGGTAACCAGCCCTCTCATCCCCCTGGTAAGAAAAAGCCTCTTGGAGAAAAAGAGATTAATTAGTTTAAATCTGTAAGCTACCTTGAAGATAATGGATGTTGGATATTTAGGCAAGGACAGGCTGGGTTTGGGACAGTAATGTATCTCCCATAATACAAGAGTGTGTAATTAAGTATGTTAATGGATTTTATGTCCTTCTCTGAAGCATCTGTCTTGGCCAGAGTGGAAGACAGAATATTGGACACACTGGACAATTGATCTCTTTAATAGGACAGAACTTATGCTCCTCTTTTATGCCTCAAAAGCTACCATTTCGCCCCATGCCTGATGACATAAACTCCAAAGCCTGGTAATGCGCACTCAGGGCATCCTGCCACTGCTAAATCATTTGCATCCCTAAACTAGGACAACTTTTTTACCCTCTTCTTTTGAAGTCAGTAGAGATAAATGCATGCGAACTTCTGATTCCTATTTTGATTTGGTGGTGGAAACACAAGAAATGGAAGAAGACAGAAATAATATGTAACAGAATAAATGACTTACTTCATAAGTAAACTTTCCAAGTTCACGTAGGTGATGAAGTCAGTAGCTTCCTTTTAAGCACTTGCAAGTTGAATACTGTGATAAACCTTTTACCTGCATCATCTCATTTCATCTGCACAAAGTCACAAAGACTATATTATGACAAATATTTTCACAAGTTCACAGAGTTGCCCAAGTTTATACAGACAATAAAAGGCAGAGCCAGCGTTGGAACCCAGGGGAGTCTGATTCTGAAACGCATGCCTTTAACCACATTGCCTTCCATGTCATGTACTCCACAGCCCAGTTAGAAGAAACTCCAGCTGCCTGGGAAGCGTGAGATTTAAAAAAAAACAACAGCTTCACTAAGACATAATTCACATACCATACAATTCATCCATCTAATATGTATAATTTGCTGTGTTTTGGTATATTCACAGAGTTTAGCAACCATCACCATAATCAATTTCAGGACATTTTATCACTTCTAAAAGAAACCCTGTACCCATTAGCAGTTGCTCACCATTTCCCCTACTTGCCATCCCTCAACTCTAGCAACTGCTCATCTACTTTCTGTCCATATACATTTGCCTGTTCTGGACAGTTCATATGAAGGGAACCATAAAGCATGTAGTATTTTATGCCTGGCTTCTTCCGCTTACCATAACATTTTCAAAATTTGTCCATGTTGTATCATCTATCAGTACTTTATTCCTTTTCACTGCTGAGTAATATTTCATTATATGGATATACCATCTTTTATTTATTCAGTCATCAGCTGATAGGCATTTGGTTTGTTTCTGCTTTCTAGCTATTTCAAATGTGTTGCTATGGACATTCCTGTACATATTTTTTGTGTGAATATATGTTTTCAATTCTCTTGGGTATATACCTAGTAGTACAATTGCTGGCTCATATAAAAACTCTATATTTAACTTTTTGAGGAAACTGCCAGACTGTTTTCCAGAGACTGCACCGTATTGCATTTCTGTTAGCAGTGTGTAAGTATTCCAATCTCTCCAAATCCTGGCCAACACTCATTATTATCTGTCTTCTTTATAATAGCCATCCTGGTGGGTGTGAAGTAGTTCTCGTTGTAGTTTTGATATGCATTCTTCTGATGGCTAATGATGCTGAGCATCTTTTCAAGTGCTTATTGGCCATTTATATCTTCTTTGAATAAATATTCAGATCCTTTGCTTATTTTTATATTGAGGTATCTGTCTTTTCACTATTGAGTTATAAGAGTTCTTCATATATTCTAGAAACAGTCTCTTTTTTTCTTTTTCTTTCTTTTTTTTTTTTTTTAAGACAAGGTCTCACTGTCACCCAGGCTGGAGTGCAGTGGTGTGATCATAGCTCACTGTAGCCTCACACTCCTGGGCTCAAAGGATCCTTCTGCCTCAGCATCCTGAGTAGCTGGGATTACAGGCAGGAGCCATAGTGCCTGTTTGAGTCTCTTGTCAGATATATAATTTGCCAAAATGTTCTCACATTCTGTAGGTGGCAGCATGGACTTTGAGCCACTTAGCTGAGCAACACATTCCCAGTGAGGCAAAGGGCTGTGGTCAAGGTCTTATTTCCAAAACCAAGCACTGGCCTGGATGTGGTCTGATTGTGGTCTGATTGTGGAAAGCAAAGGGAAAACAACTCTGACAATGAGAATTGTGTATCTAAGCACAAGGTGCATTACTCCCAGGAAAAATTGGATGAGTCAAAGGGAAAATTTTCTTTTATATATGTTTCATTATTTGTGTAGCTTTTATTTGCATTTCTGTTTTATTTTATGTGAAATGGCAAGATAATGAGCAACTTGAGGCACACTGGTGACAGTCCTACATGGTATCTTCTAGCACCACGGGCTTCTCTGTGCACAAGTCCATAAAATCCATGCATTCTGTGTGTTTCTTTAAAGGCTTTCAAATGCCCTTCTATTGCTAATGCCAGATATCATTTGTTGAGCATTTAACCATGTGCTAGGAGATGAGCTAAGGACTTTCTATGTGAGCTAAGCCTGTTTCACTTCTTAACCCCTCACACTGGATTTTATTCTAGCGCTGGAGAGTCATGGAAGGTTAGCATTAGTAACAGGAGGGTGTTTGTTGGGACTTTGGGCAGATTACTTGACCTCATTAAGCCTCCTTTTCTCCTTCTGTTATTTGTGGGGAGGAGAGTAACTATTCCTGGATGATGAAAAACACTAAATTAGATAACATATTAAAAGAGCTCAAAACAGCACCTAGCTTCCTATAGTACCTTATTATTTGCTGACAGTGCTGGAGCATGAATCTAGCCTCCTATTTTCTTTCTTTCTTTTTTGAGACAGGGTCTCACTCTGTCACCCAGGCTGGAGTGCATTGGCATGGTCTTGGCTCACTACAACCTCTGCCTCCTGGGTTCAAGTGATTCTCGTGTCTCAGCCTCCTGAGTAGCTGGGATTACAGGCATGAGCCACGAAGCCTATTTTTTCGTATTTTTGGTAGAGACAGGTTTCACCATGTTGGCCAGGCCAGTCTCAATCTCCTGGCCTCAAGTGATCAGCCCGCCTCGGCCTCTCAAAGTGCTAGAATTACAGGTGTGAGCCACTCTGCCCGGCTGAGGCCTCCTATTTTCAATAACAACACTAACCCATCTAAGCTATACCATCTTGAATCTGAAGAGCGATATTTATATTTTCTCTTTAAGGAGTGGCTTGCAGGAGAAGAAATAATAAGGATTTGGGTAAAGATGGAGTTGAATTTGCTGCATGAGTCACCAGGACACCACAACTGCAGCCAGTTTTCTCTTTTTAAAAAAAGTTGCTGTATTATTCTTTATGTTTCCAAAGAGTAGGATGAGATTGTCCTGAGGCACTTTCAGGATAGGTGAGGGCTCTATGAACCCCTGCTTTGGCTGTTGCTGGTACCCAGGCCTCTCAATTCAGTCGGTCCACACTCAAGGCTGTTTTAGGGCAGACTTTGTTTTTTTTTGTTGTTGTTGTTGTTTTTCTGAGATGGAGTCTCGCTCTGTCGCCCAGGCTGGAGTGTGGTGGCGTGAACTCTGCTCACTGCAAGCTCCACCTCCCGGGTTCGCGCCATTCTCCTGCCTCAGCCTCCCGAGTAGCTGGGACTACAGGTGCCCACCACCACGCCCGGCTAATTTTTTGTATTTTTAGTAGAGACTGGGTTTCACCGTGTTAGTTAGGATGGTCTCCATCTCCTGACCTCGTGATCCGCCCGCCTTGGCCTCCCAAAGTGCTGGGATTACAGATGTGAGCCACCGCGCCCGAGGGCAGACTTTGATTTACAGGTTGGTCTTACTCTAAGTGAAAATGCAAGTATGACACACAGAGATTCAAAAAACCAGTGGTAAATAGTCTTAGACTAGCTCTAGAACTAAAACAAGAGCTTTAGGGGGTCATAACATGAATGCATCATGCAGCATTTGGAAAATTACTGCTGAGATTGACCTAGAGGAGGGGTTAACTCCACTCTTTTTAAAGGATCAGGCTGTCTTCACACTCAGTGAAAGACTCAGCTGTTTGAGCTGCCAGGCGTGCCCCACCCAGTGCTCTCCAAGAGCTGTGGGCCAGGACGACCACTCTGCAAGTCACAGACGCTTACTTAGGCAGATGCTGCTCAGGGCTTGCCTCTGGTGACTGCAGGAGTTAAGTTTTAAAGGAGGGGGGCTACAACTTGTGTACCTTTCAGTATGATGTTGCCTCCAGTTTCCTCCTGGTTTGACCTGCACCGAGCCTCCCTTTCCAGTCCTGGTCTCGACTCAGAACTCTTTCCTAGTGCTTGGCTGTTCCAACTCCCACCAACTCTAGCATCAAAATGTGCCAAGACCTTTACTGCATTTGTTAGATTATTTTCCTTATAACATTGGTACTTTAAATCAGCTAATCCTGTATTATTTAACCCAAAGCATTTGAATTTCCAGCGAACCTTATTTTGTCAGCCTTATTTTGGGTATCACCAACCCCATTTTGTAAATGAAGGAACTCAGCCTTAGAAAGATTAAGTGACTTGCTCACGATCACATAGCTAGCTGAGGACAGAAACGAACCTTGGCCAGGTTTTCTCACTTCCAAGCCAGGGCTCTGTCCAGGATATAAAGCTGCTTCATGTGAGATTTAGGAGTGTTTGTGACGTTCTCATGGGGGTTGAATAGGGACCAGGAGTGCATACTTTGCACAGCAAGACATTTTAAAGAAACATCACCCAGTAACATGGAAGACAAAGTCACCAGCAGAGTGGGTGACTGGCTGAGTAGGGAGAGCACTAAACTGACAGCTCAGATCCGGCATCGACTTTTCTCCTTAAACACGTTCCACTCACTCCTTACTTTGTTGTGGATAATCATCAGTCCTATGTATTATTTGACTACCTTCATTATTAATCTCTTTTTATGTCTCTACATATTATGGGTGATAATCACAGTACAATGGATTAGTCACTGCACTTTATGACATGGTGATTAAGGTTTTTTAGACTGTAGCATGTTTCTGAGAAGAGCAGTCATGATAAAATGCATTTATCCTGAGCAGGCTGTGTTGGGGATATGCTCTTCTAACACCCTTGGTACAAGGAGAGGCAGCTGGGTATTGCTGGAAACAGTGAGGGCTTTGCAGTTTTAGGCAGATAGACAGACAGGAGTCCTACCCTATCTCTGCCACCTCCTAGCTCTGTAACTTTAGGAAAGTTTAGAGGATAAAAATAATACATAATGGTACTTCATAATCATTAAATGAAGTCATATAGGTAAGGTACCAAGATTAAGTCACTAATTGTTACATTGTAGTTAATATAATGTAGAGGGAGAAACACCAGGTGAGGCGCTAGGTGATTTGGGTGCCAGACCCAGGGGGTCCATCACTTGCTGTGTGCTCTTAGAAAAGCAACCTTGCCTTGCTGAGCTTCAATTTCCTCACCTGAACAATGGAGCTAATAGTAACCCACCTGGGAAAGTTGTTGTGATGATTAAATGAGGTCACATATGTAACAGAGGCAGGGGGCAGGCGCTCAGTCAGTGCTTTTACTGTGGTCATGAGGACAGAGCCCAGCCCTGAACTCCAGGTCATTTTGCTAAACCTCTGGCCTGCTCTCTGTATGAGGCCTGAGCCCTGCTCCCTCAGCCATGAGTGGATCCCAGCATGTCTCATTCCTGGGACTACATAGATTCTGTCAATGTGTGTTTTTCCAGTGATTGGCTGTTTTTAAAGAAAAAATGAGCTACAGGACTTTCTTATTTGATTTCTTCATCAGAGTTTTGTTAGTCCAAATAAACAATGTCTGAACATTGTGCTCATGGAAGAGCATTTCATACATTACATTAAACTAACAAGGTTGTGTCTGGTGTGTGATCATGATTTCTGGAGGAAAAAATAATTCTATTGATTTATCATTCTTAACAAGCTGAACCTTGGTGGAAATAGTTTGTGAGATGCTTTAACAAGTTTAAGGATTTCATAATTTTAGCTGGTCTTTCTCAGAATCCTCCAATTGTTGCAATTAAAAATAAATGCCAGTTTACCACTGTTTCTTTGGATCTCTGAGTATCATACTTGTGTTTCTACTCAGGATAATATTAACTTGTAAATCAGAGTCTTCTCTAAAACAGCCTTGAGTGTTGATGTGGTTTGGGTGTTTGTCCCCTCCAAATCTCTTGTTGAAATGTGATCCTCAGTGTTGGGGGAGAGGCCAGGTGGGAAGTGTTTGGATCGTGGGGGTGGATCCTTTGTGAATGGCTTGGTGCTCTCCCGGTGGTCATGAGTTCTCCTTCTATTAGTTCAGGGGAGAGCTGGTTGTTTAAAAATCCTGCCACCTCCTCCCTTTTGTCTCTTACTCCCCTTCTCTTACTCCCCCTCTCGCCATGTGACACACTGCTCTCCTTCACCTTCTGCCATGATTGTAAGTTCCTGAGGCTCTCACCAAAAGCCAAGCAGACATTGGTGCCATGCTTGTATATGGCACTGCAGAACTACGAGCCAAAAGACACCTCTTTGTAAATTACCCAGTCTCAGGTATTCCTTTGTGGCAACACAAATGGACTGATACAAGTGTGGACAGACTGAACTGAGAAGCCTGGATGCCAGCACTGGACAGAGCAAGGGCTCATGGCATTCTAACCTATAATGGAAGTGCCTCAGGACAATCTCATCCTACTCTTTTGAAACATAAACAATAATATAATAACTTTTTTTAAAAAAAGAGAAAAATGCATCCATAATCTTCATTTGCTAATGTGATTATTTTTATATTTACACATTTCCCCCTAGTTCTTGTCCAAATGATAAATTTTACATATTTACATAATATGCACATATCTTGTTAATTTTTTTCTTCGAACAGTCTATCATAATCATATTTATAATCTTTATGTAATCATCATAATTACCATTTGAATGATTTTATCATATTTGTTAGAGTGCATATACAATACTCATTTAGGTCTTCCACTATGACCTAACATTTAAGTTACTTCCAATTTTATAATAATAAAGTTAGAGTAGGCATCTGTATACTTCTGGTTGGTTTAATTATTTCCTCAAGATAATTCGCAGAAGTAAGTAGAACTATTTTTTTACTTTTAAAAATGTCTATATTTAAGAATAAATACTTGTTGAAAATACAGGTCTCAGAAATGCATAAACACAAAAATTAATTATATTATCACTAGCAAGAATGTCTTCTTTTGACCGTCTTCCTTTAAAATGTATGTATGTATTATTTTTATGAAATTGAGGTCATTATATAAAGTACTATTTTTACTCTTCTCTTTCCATTCAATAATTGGATACAAGCATTTGCAATATTTTCCTAATTTATCATGTCTTTTATTTTCTGAATTTTTTGACATACAGAAATTTAACATTTTTAATGGAATTAAGTATACTGACCTTTCATTTAGCGTGTCCTTCATTGCCTGAATGCCAGACTGTCCTTTAACAATATAGTGTTCTATATTTGCAATAACACGTCTGACTATAGGCCAAAATAAATAAATAAATAAACTTTATCTGAAGTTTCAGGTGTTTCCAAATCTGGAGCCAGGTTTGGAAGGTGCTGAAGGCATTATCCCTCTTTCCCCCTCACCCTGCTCCACTCTCTGGCCTGCAGGGAGCCTGGGCTTCCCAGCCTTACCTTGCCTTCACTGGTCCCTGGGTACCATGACGTAGCTCAGCAGGTGGGAGGCTGGGTGCAGGTGGCTGGAGACAGCGACCAGACCCACATATCTTTCTCAAGATAAACATAGCTGGGTGGTTGCAGAACAAGCCAATTACTGAGAATTTGGCTCCTACCTTTGAAGGATGGTCTTTTGAGGAGGACCTGTAATACCCAGGGGTTTCCAGTCAAATTAATTAGATAAGTCATAGCTGGCTTTGCTTTGTGCCAAGTTCCTCACATTTTTTTTTCATTTGCATGGATAGTTTCAATAGAAAGTAGAGAAGGAAAACAGTAATTAACCCTCCTCATGGCAGAATATAGTGGTTATAAAAATTAATTCTCTGTAGGAATCAGGCTTAAATTTCACTTACATTTTTAAAAGGGAAAAACCACTAGAATTCTTGCATAATTGTAGAAAGGGACATCCTATTCTTCTAAAACACAGAGCTGGGTGCAGTAAAATTTTCTTTCATTTCTAAAAGTCACAAGGGCTCCCAATGGCCTCGTGGGAAATGGTGCTCTACCCCTACCCCATCCATCTTCATTCAAGTTTGCACATATTCATGGGGCATCTGTTAAGTCTAGCACTGCAGGCCCAACTGTAGTACATGTACTAATCAACAGTTGGCGGGGATATGGCAGTGCAGTCAGCACATGTGGAGACAGGCTTCAGGGGGCTCACATTCAACCAGCACAATGCTGCTTTTCTCCCATTGCTGGGTCCCTGTTGATACTGCTTCTTTTGCCTGGAACATCCTTTTGTCTTTCTTTGACACTTTTCCTCCATGAAAACCCAGAGGTCTTTCTAGAATCTCCAGATTTTGAGGCTTAATACCACTAGTTTTAATGCTGTCATATTCTTTCTTTTAAAAAAGTACATTTTCCTTATTTTTCTGACTTTAGTATGTATTCATGAATGAAATGTTGGTAAATTTTCAAAAATGTATCATGGAGCAGGATGCAGTGGCTCACGCCTGTAATCCCAACAATTTGGGAGGATGAGGTTGGGAGGATTGCTTGAGCTCAGTAGTTTGAGACGAGCCTAGGCAACATAGCAAGACTTAATCTCTACTAAAAAGAAAAAAAAAAAAAACATTGCCAGGCATGGTGGTAAGCACCTGTAGTCCTAGCTACTCAGGAGGCTGAGGCGGGAGGATCACCTGAGCTCAGGAGTTCGAGGACTGCAGTGAGCTATGATTGTGCCACTGCACTCCAGCCTGTGTGACAAAGGGAACTCTATCTCAAAAAAAAAGAAAAAGTACCATTGAAATATTAGTAACAACAAAAATGTATAGAAGAAAAAAATAACTATTAATCTTATCTAAAGGTAACTATTATATTTCTATCATTTTAAATGTATCTTTTCATCTGCCTGTTCCCTTCTTTAGACCTCCTGGGGACACATATTCATGTCTTATTTATCTTGTGCCCTCTGGCTCTGTGACTGTCTTACATAGTAGGCACACTATACATGTTTGTTGAACTGAACCAGATTAATTAACTTAAATGCTTTTATTGCTACAAAAGAAGAAAGAGAAAAAAATCACCATATTAATAATTTTAGTGGGATGTTAGAAAAGAAACAAATTTCTCCTGCCAAGTAGAGGGATGTAATGAAGGCAAAAGAAGTTGAGTATAAAAAGAAAGTATAGTTAATAAATCAAATCACTCTGTTGAAAACTGCTACAATAAATTGATTACCCTTTGGCAAATCTTTTTAAAAAACAGTTAAATAAATGAACATTATTAGAAATATGAAGATGTTACAGCAATGAAAACACAAAATTTTTAAAGTACCATGCATACTTGTATATTATAAATTTGAAAGTCTAAATAAAATGAGTGATTTTTCCAACAAATACAAATTGCTATCACAATAATTTTTTTAAAAACATATGAAAAAACCAATAACTAAAGAGGAGTGAATAAAAGGAATACACCTGCCCTCCTCCTCGTTGCCCACTGTTTACTTGGTTTACTTTACAGGTGCATTCTTTTACTGTCAAGAAACTGATTAGGGCCAGGTGCGGTGGCTCGCGCCTATAATCTCAGCACTTTGGGAGGCCAAAGCGGGTGGATCACTTGAGGTCAGAAGTTCGAGACCAGCCTGGCCAACATGGCAAAACACCGTCTCTACTAATAATACAAAAATTAGCCGGGCACAGTGGTACACACCTATAATCCCAGCTAATCGGGAGGCTGAGGCAGGAGAATCGCTTGAACCCAGGAGGCAGATGTTGCAGTGAGCCAACATTGCACCACTGCACTCCAGCCTGGGTGAGAAGGCAAGATTCTGTCTAAAAAAAAGAAAAAAGAAAAGAAAAAAAATCTGATTAAATACCATTATCTAGAAAGCAGTGTAAAACCTCTGGCCAAAAGATAGTGTATTTATAAATGTTTTGAGTTACAAACAACAGAAACTACTCTGGTTAATATAACCAGAAAAAAAGATTCATTGTAAGAGGGTTTAGAAGCTAGTACACTCAATGGGAAGACTGGAAAACTAGGTTTGAGCAGGAGTGAAAAGGAGGTGAGGCATGACCGATTGAAACTGCACTGGGAATATGCTCAAGATCCCACTGCTCCCAGCTGGACACTCACTGCTGCTGGCCTTGCTGCCCCTGAACATCCTGCTCCTCCCTCCTGTAAGACTCACCCCTGCATCACTGAACTCTTTAATCCACAGCAGCCAACACACACACACACACACACACACACACACACGCACGCACACGCCTCTGACTGCCTCACTCCTTTGAGTTCAAAGTCCCAGACAGAAGCATCTGCTTGGCTGTGCTAGGTCATGAGCTTGACATTCTCACAACATAGAAAATATGTCTGGATTCTCTGTGTGAAAAATGAGAAATATCTACCATGGTCTGTTCATTTGGGGGCTCATGTATGCTTCTTCCTATATTTATGCTTCTAAATATCACTCCTGCCTAGCAGTTTTATTACCTCTCATGACTCAAGATGCAGTAGTCTGCTCTCCTAGGAGAGCCTCACCGAAACCCCACTAGTTATTGGATTGAGTCATATGAAATTGTCATTTTTATAGGTCAGAAAATGGTTGAATATCATCATTTTCATATGGTTCAACCTAACAGTACACCTTGCTCCAATTTATTTAATCTAGCAAAACGCAAGGTTGTGGATGGGATAATGGGGCTCCTTAGCCCAGTGCCTCCTAGGGACACTTTTTTCACAATGAAGGAAGTTTCTAGAACAGAAGGGATGCTGTGTGGGCTACCATGATGTATCCAGTAAGTCATGGAGGATGGTGCTGGCAAAAGCGTCATGGGCAGAAGCAACACATCTAAGTCCAGGTAAGAGGGCCTATTCCAGTGAGGGAAAAGCTCTGCCCTTCCATGGTGAAAAGCACCTGGTATGACCAAGCTACTGCCAGATTATTACACCATATTGGGGTTTTAGGTTTGGTTGTCGCTGCCATCAAATTGTACAGTCCCATGGCACTGCCAAGGCGATCTTTAGAGAGAAGTCCATGTTGTGGAGCCCACGCACAGCCTCTGCTTCATGAGCAAGCTCTGCGCTGGCCAAGGAAGAGGGCTGACTGACATCTGCACAGTGGCTACCTTTTGAGGGGAAATCTCATGAGTCACAAATATTCTCAAAGTCTGAGTCCAGGCACAGAGATCTATCCATGTATCTCTCCCCTGAGCCTCCTTGTGATACCATCTCAATATCCATTAACAGAATGAGTAAACTACATTTTCTCCTGTACGCTAGCAAGAAACAGCCTTCAACACAGAACAAGGGAGCCCCAGATGAAAGTGGAATTGAACTTTTATTAACTAGCACATGCTATGTCTCCTTCTCTCATTCTTCTGCCTAATTCTCCTATCAGTCTTTCAGAACTTGCCTGAAGAAACATTTCCTCCAGGAAGTTTTCTTTGATGCCTGTTGTAGGTTGTGTTTCTCTGAGGCAGGTGCTAAGATGGGGTTTGGTATGCCAAGTACCAAAAGGCTGGTCTCACTCCCACTGTGCCCCTGCAACAGCACCGAGTTTATTTCCGGGCAGCCAGTGAACAGGGCTGAAAACTTGCCGCGGGCTATAAGCCTCCCAGCTGAGACGGCAAGCCCACTCACAGTTCCTCAGCTGTCCCGTGGAGCCTGCAGCAGCATTCCACCTCCCTCAAAGCATTTGTGGATTCTCTCAGCTTTCCTGGTATGTTCCTGCGGTAGTTCTTGGAGCAAAAGTTCACGATGTGAGTCTCCACATGCTGCTCTGTCCGTCTCAGTGAGAGCTGCAAGTTAGTCCTGCCTCCTATCTGCCATTTTGACCCCCCCCCAGTTGACTTTTATCTATAGGCTTTGACAACATTAAGGACACACTTGCTCAAAGAGGTCTCCCATCGTTTGGAAGTCAAGCCCCCTCACCTGCCATTTTCTCTCCGTAACTCATCACTACTGGCACTTTAGTGTAAGTTTGTTTATCTCTTCATCATGCACCTCTTTGCTGAGTGTCTCTCCACTTCAATTATAAGAGAACCTGTCTCTTGTATTCATGGATATTCTCCAGGGACTAGGTCAGTGATAGGCACATTATAGGTGTTCAACAAATGTTTGTTAAATGGATGAATAAATGAAATTCTAAGCTCCTTGCAAACAGAAACCTGTCTCAGGCATCTTTGTATCTCTAATCTCCAGTAGGCAACCATGATTTTGTTGAATTCATTATATGAGCATTTGTCTCTACTATTATGTTACCCTTGAAATTCAGCTTCTGTTGCAACAAGCTCTTACCTCAGGGAAAAACAGGGAGTTCCTAAGTGCTACTGTCCATATATACATTTTTTTCAAATATTCATTTAATTTTTTTTGTTTCTGAGATGGAGTCTCACTCTGTCTCCTAGGCTGGAGGCAGTGGCATAATCTAGGCTCACTGCAGGCTCTGCCTCCCGGGTTCAAGTGATTCTCCTACCTCAGCCTCCCGAGTAGCTGGGATTACAGGCAAACACCACCATGCCCAGCTAATTTTGGTATTTTTATTAGAGACAGGTTTCACCATGTTGGCCAGGCTAGCCTCAAACTCCTGACCTCAAGTGATCTGCCCTCCTCAGCCTCCCAAAGTGCTGGGATTACAGGCATGAGCCACCGTGCCTGACCATATTCGTGTAATTTTATTAAACTATGAGGAGACCACATAGCTGATTTGAAGTACTATGAGTCAGTGTTGAACATGGTATCCTGCTCCTGAGTCTGGCCTGCATGTAGTGTGACAATCTGCATCCTTTGTATGTTGTGTGGTTTCATGGTCCACTGTGGAGCTCAGAGTATAGAGTTCTTCAGTATATCTCTTAAAATCTATCGTTTGAATAACACTTTGTTGAGATATAATTCACATATAAAATTTTTGAAGTGATTGAATATACTTACAATATGAGGAGCAGACAATGTAGGTGTCCTGCCCATACCTCCTATCCGACACCTTTACCATTTTTGTGGACAATGGCTCCTGATAAAGGCTTTCTACTCCCAGCTGCTAGAACCCTGCAGTGATTAACCAATGACTGAAGTTTACAGGGTGAGGTGGAGTATAACTATTCCAGCTCCCTTCTCTGCTGACTGGAACAACACTGTCCTCCACTGTTTCCAGAGCTTCTCTGTGGAACCAAGCCATAGGTTCACCTCCATGGGACTTCACTAATATTGCAGCCTGACTTGTCTTCCTTCCCTTTCCGGTCCCATTTTCCATTTCCTAACTGTTTTTCCGGAACACTTTCTAGTTAATCACTGTCATGAAAGACCCTTGTCTCTGGGCATGCTTGTGGGGAGTCCAACCTACTACGACACATGGCTCATGGCCATTGTTTCTCTGTGTGATCCAAAGAAAACCCGCATCCCAATCTCACGCTGGATTTGTTCAATACGGATTCCTGAGTCTCATCCAAACCCAATGAGTCAGAATGTCTAGGATTGGGGCACAGAGATCTGCATTTTGAACAAAGCTGATCCCCCATCCCAAGATTCTTCTGCACCCTGGAGTGTGGGAACTGTGGTTCTAGTCAGTACACTTGATGTCAAGATGTTGCAAATGCCCTTGTCTAGATGAAGACTTTACCGTACTACATTAAGGGTCTGCAAGAGAAAACCCAGCCAAGGATTCTCAGAACAACCCGAGCAACTTTCCTATCCTGTCTCTCCTGATGAAGGCTCCTGCTGCTTCTTATGAGGTGAGGAATATGGAGGTGGGAGTTGAAGAACTGTATTGCAAAGTGTATTTGTGTAGAAGCTGCAACCTAAATAGGTAAGTGGGCTATTCAGACTTTAAGCTAGTTAGTATGATTGGATGCCTGTCTAGCCATGTATTTCCCATCTCGTGTCTAATAGAAACCAGACTTGATTCTGCTATCTACCCTTTCCCAAATAATCCACATACCTCCCTTGGCTCCCTAGAGCCTGACTGATTATTCCTGATGGGTCCAAGGGGTATTCCTCCTTCTTTATCAGGGGTTGGTTCAGGAATTGGCATGTGATATGCAGCTCGTTGATGAGACATGAGAAGCATTTTGCTGGAAATTTCTGGAAACATACTTATTTGCCTCCCTGAAAGTTTTCCATAAGAAACTCACCCTTTCTCCTATTGGATGTGAACAAGGGAATAGGCCTGGTTGCTGCTAGAAGCCACTCTATGACCAAGAGGATGCTTTAGGATGCAGTTGAGGCTGGATAGCAGAGGAGAGTCCTGGAAAGAACCTCGGTCTTGATTATATCATGAGCCTGATTCTGCCAATTAAACCAAAGCTAACCCTATCTTTTGATGTCCTCTTTGTTAAGCAATGGATCCCCAAATTGTTTAATCAATTTGAGTTGGTTTTCTGTTACTGCAGCTTAAAGCATCCAGATTGACCTACTTTGACACTGAAAACAATACACCCTTCAAAAGTTGAACTGTGGTGTAAAATATTGGTATAAGCAGTGTCTGAGGCATTCTTTAATAAGAGCCAGTGAACAGTCCACACTCCTTGTCAGTGGATGGCATCAGATGCAAAAGGCACATCTGCCTCCTATCAGGATGCATCGGGCTCCTCTGAAAGCAGGAAGCATCCAGCTCCTGCGAAGTCAGGAGGCATTGCCTGTGAAGGCAAGCTCCCATGTGTTCCTGCAGCATCAGAGCTTGGCAGGCCCTGTTTTTGACCAGCATTGCAGCCGCCCAGCTATAGTCTGGACACTCAGCCTTGAGTTGCTCCACTGCTTTTCTTAGGACCTCACTCTGTTCTTGATTTCTCCATTGCTATCCCAACAGGCAGGGCAGGGCCGCAGTCACCGACTTGAGTAGTGCTTTTATTTATACTCATGATTAATTTGTGGAGGCCCAGGGGGAAGACAGCAAGTGAAAAGCTGTTGCCTGGGAAATAAGATTCTTTTCAGAACTTTCTGAGAAACATTGAGTTTTTGATGTTTCACACAAAAAAACAGAGCTTCATGTAAGAGCTGAGCCACCAGGGAAACCCTCCTGTGTCAGGCTAGAATGCAGGACTTCAGAGCCTAAAGTCTTTTTTGACTTTTTACTCTGCCTAAATGTTTTAAAACTGGCTTGAGAGAAAATTTGCACTCTCCTCTGAAAGTTAGATCCACTCTTAATAAACTCCACACTGACAGAAAATTCTAACAGCAGCAGATTCAGGGGGACCCCAGCCAGCTCTGCCTCTCCATCCTCCCTGGCTGGTGTTGGCTTACTCTGTGGCATGTTCCTCTTTTTTGGGCCCTCACAGAGAGGATATCTGTGGGACCTGGAGAGGACAGGATTATATACCATGGAGGAACTCCCTGTTTTCCCTTGCGATAAAAGCTTGTTGCAACAGAAGCTGAATTTCAAGGGTAGCATAACAGTAGGTTTAATAAAATATTAAAAACCATGCCATCTTAGATGAGTATAGGGATGCTTAGATCACATAAAAAGATGCTCCAAATCAGAATTTTTGGTTGCAGGGGACAGAGAACGAACTCAAAGTAGCTTTAACAAAAAGAGAATTCTTTGGCTCACAGAATCCAAGAAAGGAAAACTTCAGAAAGGAGAGGGGCACAGGTGAGACAATCAGAACTAGGGAGTCAAGTACAGACTAGACTCTCCCTGCATCTCTCCTTTCTGCTTCTCTCTCAGTGTTGGCTTTTTTCTCTCTTGCTGCAGACTATTTTTCACCAGATGGCTGGCAAGGTGACTGTCAGCAGGTTTTCAGCTATATCTCATTGCTTCCTATAGCTCTTTCTCAATTCCAGAACAACTCATGAAGAAGAACTTGAACTCACTCATTTGGATCAGATACTTGGAAGAACCCTGTTTGGCCAGGGAAAGCCAGAGATCTCATATAGCCATGTGGATGGGGAAATGTTTCTGGAGGAAGGAAAGGGTTCACAGACAATCCCTGAAAGGCTCACTCTACAGAGCCTTGACTATGTAGGAGAATCAGTCAGCAAACATCACAGCTAGAATTCACTGTGAAGATCACCTTGTCCAGGTAACCAGGAATCAGACTGATCAAGGGAATATCAATGGTCACACAACACATTACAGGGAGAGGAGAGACTACTACCGAGGTCTCTTGGAGTTGTATTTTTTGCTTTTCTCTATATATACTAGAAATACAGTAAAAAAAATTGAGTGTGTTTGTCCTCGAAAGAAATGTACTTCTCAATTTCTTATGAATCCCGTGACATACAGAAATTTGTAGACTGTGGTGGCCTGTTATTGTTATTGCTGTTGAAAGAGGAATTGAGAATCTCTACCTTCTCCTATGTTAGAAAGGAGGAGGGGTAAGGGACACTCCCATAAGCCAGGTGCTGTGCTCAGGGCTTCACATTTGTCATCCCATTTAATTCTCACAGCCCACTATGCGCAGGAATCCGCATTTTACAGATGAGGAAACTGAGACTTGGTAAAATAAGGTAACTTGCCTAACATCTCCTAGTGAGTAATGCTAGGGCTTGCTGGCAGGCAGCAGGTTAGAGATCCTCTCCATGGACCCCCCATGTGTGTGGGGTGGGGGTGCAGGTAGTTGGCTGAGAATCTGCTCAGTTCTGATGGACTCTGCCATCCCTGCTATAGACTCCTAATGAATCTCTGAGGGATGTTTACTATTAAGAGTTGCCTGTCCTCTATTCTCCCTGTCCCAGCAGGAAAGACAGCAGCCCTGGGAAGAGACAGATACCTGAGTCCAGGTAACTAGAAGCCACCTTCAGTCTAGGCTCTAAATCGGCCTGAGGAGACCCTTACCACACCCACCTCATTGCCTGGGCCTTGAGCTCAGCAGCACCGATACAAACCATTGTTTGGAATGTTATCTATATCTTCTCTCTAAACAAGGAGTAGGCCAAACCTTTTTTTTTCTTCTTCTTCAAAATTCAGATATTTGACTTTCAAATATCTTTCATAAGCACATCATAATGAAAGTGGTGGGTTATCCAGATGGGGCCTTTTTGCAGTTTTGCCAATTAGATTACAATATGTATTTATTCCCTTAATGGTCTACAAAGAGGCTAAATTCTTTCATAATGTCACCTTGTGACAAAGCTGACAATGCTAATGAAGTAACTCCTCTCCCTATTGCCCCCTCCCTCAGAGCAGTCATATCTTACCATTTCATCTCAGAAACTCTTCACACAAAATCACTTGAAGTGCTTTGGGGGACTGTATTGTAAGGATGAATTTGTGCCATGAGTGTGAAATTCAATTTATATATTTTCACCTGGTTGTCCAAGTATAAGAAGGCTTTTCCAGTGCTTAATGGAGCTGTTTATCTGTAAATATAAGCACTAATGCAATGTGATTTGCATGGATCTGGAAGCTGCCTTTTTTCTCTGGCATGAGTACCCAGTAAACAAATAAAAGGGCTCTGGAATCAGGCAGAATTGCAAATGGCCTCTTTTCTCATGGAGAGGGTGAATCTCCAAGGAACCATAGAAATGAGCCAGACTGTACAATCTCATTGTCAAGGCACTTTGATTCCTAATCTAGAACATTCTCTTCTGAATTTTGATTCAGTGCTTCTGAATTCTGGTAATAGAAGCCCTTTAAGATCAAGAATGTCTGGAATTTAGACATAGAAGCAAGCCTGGCCACGATGATAGCTCTATCTCAGTAATCCTATAGAAATTACTGCTGCTGCTGTTATTATTGCATCAATTTCTTATGTAGAAATTTGCAAACTGTTTTAGAATCATTTCTTGCAAAAAAACAAGTGCTGACTATTGTTAAAGAGGGTTCAAAAATTGCTGACAACTAAAGAAAGACTCTGATGAGGAAGTAAATAACCGAAATAATAACCAAGGCTAATTATAGAAATCTGAGAAGAGATGATGTTGCATATAATAATGACGGTAGTAGCTCACACTACATAGTGTATGCTGTGTACTAAGTGGTTTACATCATTGAACTGATTTAAGTGTTAACCACCTGAAGAGGCAGGTATTACTGTTATTTTATAGATGAGGAAACTGAGGTTCAAAAAAATCAAGTAACTTGCACAAGCTTATACAGTTACAAAGTGACAGGGCCACATTCAAACCTAAACCTGTCTGACTCTAAATCTTGAGCTCATCACCACCAGCTCATTCTTTCAAATGCTAAAGGTAAGCGTTTCTCACTCCCTGATTTTGGGTGCTATTCCAGGTACCATCACTGTCCGAGGTAGAATCGACTCAGGTTTGTACACTGAATCCTACTTGTACAAAGCACTAAAATGGTGGTTCTCATACAGGGATGGTTTTGCCTCCTAAAGACATTTGACAATGTCTGGAAACGTATTTGGTTGTCACAAATTGGGAGAGAGTGGGGAGGTGTTGCTGGCATCTAGCAAGTGGAGGCCAGAGGTGCTGCTAAACATCTTGCAAAGCACAGGACTCCCGCCCTCGCCCCTCCCCCACAACCACCAAAGAATTATCCAGCTCCAACGTCAATAGTGCTGAGGTTGAGAACCCCTGTATTCCATAAATTACCACTTGGATTCTAAGTAAAAATAGAGCAATCATACTCTTTTGCCCCCTTTTGATGTAGTGTGGCATTTGCCAAGGAAGCAAATTACAGTCTTGGAACCAGCCACAGATGCTGACTCTAAAATGAATGGATTCTCAAAGATCCCACTGGGTGGGTGGACCAGATATTTTATTCTACAAACCAGGACACTGTGAACGGAGACATGAATTATAATTACTCCATGACAACAGGCATGAACCTGGAAGAATGCTCTCCCCGCAACCTGAGTTTCACTGGTGAAAGCATGTTAATTGCAGAAGCCAGTGCGGCAGAAAAGATCAAATGCTGCAGCACGTGTCTTGGCAACGTCTTCAAACTCCCCCAACTTAAAGGTGCATTTTCCCACCAAGAACTCAAAACCAGATTAGATTTCCAAAGGCCCTTCCGAGGTCCCTCTGCTCTCCACAAGGGTGACACTTAGCGCCATCTGTTGGTGTTGTGCAGAGCTGAAAAGCTTTTGCTCTGCAGCCAGTTTCGCTATTTTTGAAAGTTCATCATTTGAACGTTGGCAAGTCAAGGATCTTCTATAGTTCAGTTTGTCTTGGCCAACACCCCGCCAGAGAAGTCATGTGTCATGGTTGTTTTGGATAGTAAAGCAAGTGGGCAGGTCTGGAATCTGAGTCTCTAGGTGCATTACTGAGCCCAGTTATTCTTTCTGTCAAAAGAAGAGGCAAGTGGTATCACGTGTTAAATACATCCCCATGGGTATAACTAGATTTCAAGAAAAGCTTGAAATTTTTTTATTACAGCCATATTTAACAACCATAATTTGGTAGTTAGGTGACTGAGGTGTGTGCCAACTGTACTCCATCCCCTTCTTCCACTCAAGAGGGCATATCCAAATGGAAATGAGTAGATGTAATTTTATTATAAGGATACTCTTGGATACTCCCTACTTTATTATAAAGAGATTTATTCACAGATTTTAATTCACGATAGCAATTGTCTGTGACCTGCCTCATAATCTGCCAAGACTCACCAGTGTATTGGACACCATGCTTGGGAATGGGGCTCCCTTCCGTAGTGCTCTGTCTCTGGGGAAATAAACACAAACAGCAAGAAGTAAAATAGAGCACTCCCTGTACTTCTGGTCTTCTAATTGTTTTACTTATTTTGAATTCAAAGTCCAATTTCCTGGTTAAAGCTCATGAGTTTTAGGAAGATAACAGTAGATACATTGGGCAGTAGGGAGGTCTGAAGTGGCCGTGTGCAAACCAATCATGGAAAGACGGACTAGTGGACAGGACACACACGTGAAGGATAAAGAGGCCACAACGGGGTGAAGTTTTTTGATAAGGAGCGGGTTGGGCCAGGTGCGGTGGCTCACGTATGTAACCCCAGCACTTTGGGAGGCCAAGGCAGGTGGATCACCTGAGGTCAGGAGTTCGAGACCAGCCTGATCAACATGGAGAAACCCCATTTCTAATAAAAATACAAAATTAGCTGGGTGTGGTGGTGCATGCATGTAATCCCAGCTACTCGGGAGGCTGAGGCAGGAGAATCACTTGAACTCGGGAGGCGGAGGTTGCAGTGAGCCGAGCTCGCACCATTGCACTCTAGCCTGGGCAACAAGACCGAAACTCTGTCTCAAAAAAAAAGAAAAAAGAAAAAAAAGAAGAGAAGAAAAGAAAAAAGAAAAGAAAAGGATTGGGCTCCCACTCCCATCTCCCATCTAGAGGACAGGATACTGATAAAGTAAAAGGTTAGGTTGAGAGGTTGACGCAGGGCTTTATCAACGATCTGTCTGATTCTACAACTAGCAGAGGCAAATAAGCATGCTGTGTTTCTTTCCTTTAGAGAGATGGTGGCAGCTGTAGGCAGAGAGTGGCCCACTGACAACCAGAAGAGGAAGACGAATGATCCTGGCTCCTCAGAGAATTTCTAATGGAGTTTTCTCCTCTACTGCATTCCATTTTTCCTTGCCACAAATCCTGAGTTCCCTCTCTTGCTGGCTGAAATACATTCCTTTCTGTTGGCAGACACAAATTTGACAGTGCAGCAAGCTGTGGGCTATGATTCAAACTAATACACACCCAGGGTTCTAAATGAAAGCCAGGAATCGCTGGGGCAGGAATGCAAACCATGGAGCTGAGGGGGCCTCCTGGAGTTCTAGAGGGGCCCAGAGGCCTCTGCAGGGCTGGACTGTACATTGTCTGTCTTCCTCTTGTCTCCCATCCATTTGGGCTTCTCTGTTTTCTTTTCATCCCATTCCCATCCCTGCTTCACCTCTCCCCAACCATTCACAGCACAGAAGGTTTCTCTGTTTCCTTTTTATCCCACTCCCATCTCTGCCTAATCTCCCGCCACCCTTCACAGCACGGCTATAGCACTTCAGGAATCTCCTCAATTGACTTTCTGATTGGGGTTGGGGAAGACGTGTCTCTCTCTGTAGCAACTGCTGCTCAGCTAAGGCAGGGAAGCTTGGACAAGAAATGAGCCTAGAGACATCAGCCTGTTGGACCTCAGCTTGCAGAGTTAAAAGCATATCTTGTCTGAATCAATGAATGGGTAGTGGGTATGAGTCTTACCCTACATCTGTGCACATGAAAAATGTCAGAGTGTTTTTATTTTTCTAAATCAACTTTAATCTGTTCTGAGCTCCCACCAACCAGACTCACTGGAAACTTCGTCTTGGTCATAAGCTAGGGGTTTTCCTTCTCTGCTTCTGAGTTGTATGCAAGCCTAGAAAATATGGCAGAGTCGGCCGGGTGCGGTGGCTCACGCCTGTAATTCCAGCACTTTGGGAGGCCGGGGCGGGTGGATCACAAGGTCAGGAGATCGAGACCATCCTGGCTAACACGGTGAAACCCCGTCTTTACTAAAAAATACAAAAAATTAGCCGGGCGTGGTGGCGGGTGCCTGTAGTCCCAGCTACTAGGGAGGCTGAGGCAGGAGAATGGCATGAACCCAGGAGGCGGAGCTTGCAGTGAGCCGAGATTGGGCCACTGCACTCCAGCCTGGGTGACAGAGCGAGACTCTGTCTCAAAAAAAAAAAAAACAAAAAGAAAAGAAAGAAAAGAAAATATGGCAGAGTCCAGGACATTTACAGAAGGCTCCTCTAGTCTGTGGCTCATATTCTTTATTTAAGAAGTACAGCTCAGTGCCCTGAGGGCGGATAGTGGCAGGGACTCCTTGGCAGGCTTCATGTGGGGTCTTTTCTGGGCCTAGGAGGCTTACTCCTAACTCATTTCATAGGAAGTCCTACCAAGGTCCCATCCACAGTCCCAATCCCAGTGTGCTTCCTGGGAATGAGACATGGGTTCCTACTATCCATGCAAGGCCTCTTGAAGCCTGGGAAAGCTTTAAGTGACCTCGTTCCCTCTCCGTGGTTTCAGCATCACCTTACTCCTCAAATTTTACCCGAACCCTTCCCATATCTGTGACCTTCCAACATAATTGTTATATGAGTCCAGATTTTTGCTAAAGACCAAGCTGTCAGCAAAGTTAGTTCCTTCTGAGGGCTGTGAGGGAGAATCTGCCCATGCTTGTCCCCGGGCCTCTGGTGGTCTGCCAGCAATCGCTGGTGCTCCTTAACTGGTGCTGCATAACCCTGACCTCCGCCTTCATCTTCATGTAGCCTTCTCCCCATGTGCTTGTCTGCATCCAAATCTCACCTTTTTATAAGGACACCAGTCATCTTGGATGAGGGGCCCACCCTACTCTAGTATGACCCCATCTTAACAAATTACATCTGCAGTGACCCTATTTCCAAATAAAGTCTTAGGTATTGGGAGTTGGGGCTTCAGCATATGAATTTTGAGGTGGGGGTGGACACAGAATTGAATCCGCAACAGTGATCAATTTTCCCCAATTTGCCTGAGACTGTCTTGGTTTTCAAGCTGAAAGTCCCATGTCCCTGGAAACTTCCTCAGTCCCAAGCTGACCAGGACAACTTAGTTGGAGACAATGCCAAAATAGTAACCCAAAAATGTCTAATTCTTGGTGACTTTCTGCTGTATGGGTTTCTCAGGAACTTCAAAGGAAAGGCTGGCCAGGGACACATAAATTTGGCTGTTCCTGGGTTCTTAGATGAATGTCACTTTTTAAACTTCTGACACCCTGCAGATGTTCACTAAGCATTGATGGAAATGGAGAGAAGTTTCAAAGAGAAGAGAGCTCAGATTTGGGCTATGGGACAAATGTGGAAGGAGGAAGAAGGAAATGAAAGGTGGAGTGTGGACAGAGTGGTGACTCTTGGAAAGGAAGACCTGAGGGAGGTAAGGTGAGGTGTCTACCTGAGATATCAGAGTGCAGAGGGGATGGCCTGTGGGGCACTTGTACCTGAGGCCCCCTTCTCCATGGGTGGCAAATCCTCACCTATCGAGTGAGCCATCATGCCCTGGAAGTCCAGCATCCAGTGGTTCCAATCTCTCTGCCATAACTACTGCCAAAACTAAAAAACTACTATGTTTTTTAGTTGCTACCACTTCAAAAGAGTGAAGAGTCATTTCAACTCTTTAATTCTCCCATAAATTAAAGATAATGACCATAGTGTGCTTGGAAAACTATGTTTAGGCCGGGTGCAGTGGCTCACGTCTGTAGTCCCAGCACTTTGGGAGGCTGAAGTGGGAGGATCGCTTGAGCCCAGGAGTTCAAGACCAGCCTGGTCAACATAGCAAGACCCTTCATCTACAAAAAAATAAAAAAATTAGCCAGGCTTGGTGGCATGTGCCTGTGGTCCCAGCTACTCAGAAGGCTAAGGTGGGAAGATTGCTTGAGCCCAGGAGGTCAAGGCTGCCGTGAGCTGTGATCATGCCACTGCGCTCCAGCCTGGGAAACAGAGCGAGACTCTGTCTCTAAAAAAAGAAAAGAAAAGTTATGTTTAAATCATGCTTAAAACACACATATATTGCAGTTTTGGTATAAGTCTCCAACCAGGACTGATTAATTATGGTCCGAACTTTGAGTAGGAAACCTATTTTAGAAGTACAAAACCTTATCATAAGAGAATGGTCCCGCCACATCCACTGTGTTTGACTGTTGCTGCTGTTTAAAAGTTAGGTTTTAGAAAGCTTATGTAGATGACTCCCAAGGGGTCCCTGTGTGATATGACATGATCTGGAAACAATTCCCTCAAAGCAAGTTTTCTGATTACTGATCCAGCTAATAGAATAATCAAAATAAACTCTTTCACAAAAGTCACTACCATTTGTGAGCAGGGGAATAATTTCAGAAAAAGGTATGATTTTGAAAAATTACAGCAGCTGCTCTTATTAAATAAACATTCTCTTTTCATAAGGCCAAAGATGTATCACAGCTCAGATGAGACACAGTTGATTAAAAAGCATATTGTTTGCGGTCTATTGGTAATACTATTTCTCAAGCAACAATTGTATATAGAGTAAGATTTATAGGAACTCCAAATACTTGAACTAGAATAGATTTTCTCTCCATTACCCAGAAATTTGTGCTCCTTTCCGTATTGCTAGCAGCCCAATCCTAAAAGACAGTTTTCCTAGTTTTAATTAAAACATCAGAAAAGTTGGTGTATGGCAACCAAGATACCTATTCTACAGACAGAAAAATGGAGATGCTTAGTGCCTTGTAGAAATGTGATTAAGGAGTTGGACAGAAGCAGAGTCATCTCTGACCTCAGCTTCAGAGTTCCAGGGAGTCCAGCTGCACCTTCCCATCAGTGCTTCAAGAGGTATCTGACTTGATATTTTCTGTGGGTCCTGGACATTCACCCCTGCAGCCAAGGGCTTTCATTTTCAGGAGTGTTCAACGTGTGCCATCTGTTCTCCTTGATGAGTGATTATTAGTGAATATTTGGCTTTGCACTCCTTAGTTTTGAAGTCATTACAGTGTTCGCTCTTTCCTAATGAGTAACCACCACCTGCGGTTGGAAGTCAACCCAAAGGATCTGGCTGGGTTTTATCACCGCTCTATGTTCTGTTTCATGCAATGAAGCAGAAACACCTTCATCATGTAAAGAGCTCTCAACTTGACACATTCATCTGTCTTTCATTTTCACTTGTCTCTCCTCCATGCAGGGATAGAGTCACAGGGAATCAACTGAGAGAGGCAGGAAGCGAGGTGGCCAAGAGCTGCGTGGTGAGAAGGAGCACATTAGGCTTGGAGGGCGCTGGCTGCTCTTTGGTTCTGCTGCATTGAATGAAAGCCACTCAAGGAGTGGGCTTTTATCTATCTATCTACTTATTTTATTTGTATTGAAATATAATTCACATACCTTAAAAGTCACCCCTTCAAAATGTACAATTTAGTGGGTTTTTAGTATTTTCACAGAGTTGTGCAACCATCACTGTTTAATTCTGGAACATGTTCACAGCCCCCAAAAGAAACCCTCTACCTCTTAGCAGTCACTCCTCATTTTCCCCCGGCTCCCTTCCAGCCCGTCCCTGGCAATCACCAACCTACTTTCTGTCTCTATGGATTTGGGCATTTTGGCTTAAAGCTCCACTCATGGGGTCCATTGCCATCTGTTTATGAATAGCCAAGAAAGAGGGAGAAATTACAGCCCAGGGAAAAGGAGGGAAAATCAATCTCTTGACACTCCCCATTGCCTTCTGTGAAGTGACAATGCCCCAATCTCTCTTCTGTAACTGTACTTCATGTCTTTCTTTTATATACAATGTGCATCCCTGCTTGAGTAATCCGTTCATGGCTCCTGGAACTCTTCCCCTTCCCCACTCACTCTTATGGCTTTAGCTCTCCTGGCAGTGGCCACACGACTCCTGGGCCTGCACCCTCCTTTGAAGCTTTGGTTATATCAGATACAGTGCTTGGTGCTCAAATTAGTTTCCTGTTGCTGCTGGAACAAATGACCACAAACTTTAAGGTTTAAAATAGCACAATATATTCTCTTATAGTTCTGGAGGTCCGAAGTCTGAAATGGTGCATCCGGGCTGAACCTACGGTGCTGGCAGGGCTGCGCTCCCTCCAGAGGCTCTAGGGGAGAACTGTGGCCTTTCCAGCTGCTAGAGCTGCATTCCTTGGATTCTCTGGCTCTGGCCCCTTTCAAAGCCAGCAAAGTAGCATCTTCAAACCCCTCTTGGCTTGTTGTCATATTGTCTTCCTTGACTCTGACACCTTCTGAGTCCCTCTTTATCATATCTGCAAAGTAAGTGCCCTTTGCCATGTAAGGTAACATATTCACAGGTTCCAGGTATTACAACATGGACCTTTGGTGGGGGGGGCACTATTTAGTCTACTATAGTATTCAAAATACTATGTTCATTGAGAGGAAGAAAGGAAGGGAGAGAGGGAGGGAGGGAGAAAGAAAGAAAAAAGAAAGAATGAAAGAGAGAGAGAGAAGAGAAGAAGAAGGAAGGAAGGAAGGAAGGAAGGAAGGAAGGAAGGAAGGAAAGAAAGAAGGGGCCAGGTGCTGTGGCTCATGCCTGTAATCCCAGCACTTTGCAAGGTGGAGACAGGCAGATCACTTGTGGTCAGTAGTTCAAGACCAGCCTGGCCAACATCTACTGTCTCTACTAAAAATACAAAAATTAGCTGGGCATGGTGGTGCACACTCGTAATTCCAGCTATGCGGGAGGCTGAGGCAGGAGAATCGCTTGAAACCAGGAGGCAGAGGCTGCAATAGCCAAGATCGTGCCACTGCACTCCAGCCTGGGTGACAGGGCGAGACTCTGTCTTAAAAAAAAAAAAAAAAAAAGAAGAAGAAGAAAGGGAGAAAAGAAAGGGAAGGGAAAAGAAAGGGGAGAGGAGGGGACGGAAAGAAAGGGAAGGGATGGGAGGGAGGAAGGTGAGGAGGGAGGGAAGAGGGAAAGAGGAAGAAAAAGTATATCATTATGCTTCCAAGATCTCTGTTCTGCTGATTGTTCTGATGGACAAGGAGAGAGGACTCTGGGAAAGGCAGGCTGTTTGGAAGTGCCCTCAGTCCTACGGACTGAAGATGCCAGGGAGGTGGAAGTAGGGCATCTCTATGCTTCTTTTGACCACCTCAACTCTCCTTTCACCTGCTTCCAGCTTTGGCCAGGCTTAGGGTGCAGGACCTGAGGCAGAGAGAGAATGCTGGACAATGATAGTAAGTCGCACACACCTAGGGGCCCCATGGAGCTGTGAACCACTGCCCCAGCAGGACAACTCTGTTCTCCCCGCTGTTTAACTACAACTGGAAGGGCAGGAAAAGAAAGCAATTGGAAGAGAATTAATAAAAACAGTGCATAGTAAGGCTTTCTTCTCTGCTTGCTCAATAGTCCCTAAAGTAAGAATATCTGAAATGTGAAGGTTGTGTATGGTCCAACAGTAGAAGCCACCCCAAACATTTGACAATTTAGCACATTATTTTCACGTGAGTTTCTGCAGATGCAGCAATCATGACTAATGCATAAGTGAATAAATAAGCTAAAAAGTTCCCCCCACATCAAAGCTTGAAGTCAGATTTGGGCTTGCATATATGTAGCTATATTTAAATAGCTTTTTGTTATTTTTACAAATTATTTTTAAAAATTACTGCTTAAAGCAAAAATAATAATATATTGTGTGGTTTATAACATAGGTGGAAGTATAACATACGATTACAATCGCTTGAAGGCTGGAAGGTAAGAAGTAGTATTAGGCTTGAAGATAGGTGGGATGAGTTTAATATGTCACTCAACAGACAGACTCCATTTCATTTTGTTCTGGAGAATATGATACTTTTCATACAAAAATATGTTACTTAACATGGATTGAGTTTATTATTGTTGTATTAAAATGAATCAATATTTTACAATATCAGCTTTAATTTGTAACATGATAAACATTGATAGATACATAATCCACAAGAACAAAAGCTCTTTGTAATCTTCAATCTTAAGACTGTAAGAAGTGCTGACACCAACAAGTGTGAGAACTGCATGCCCTTGAAAAGAATCTGTCAGGAACACATATACACTGTTGGTGTGAGTGTAAATTAGTTTAACCATAGTGGAAAACCGTGTGGCACTTCCTCAAAGACCTAATGTCAGCAATAACATTTGACCCAGCAATCCCATTGCTGGGTATATACCCCAAAGAATGTAAATTGTTCTATCATAAAGACACATGCATGTGTATGTTCATTGCAGCACTATTCATAACAACAAAGTCATGAAATCAACCTAAATGCCCATCAATGACAGAATGGATAAAGGAAATGTGGTACATATACATCATGGAATACTATGAAGCCATAAAAAATGAGATCATGTCCTTTGCAGGAACATAGGTGGAGCTGGAGGCCATTATCCTTAGCAAACTAATATAGGAACAGAAAACCAAACACTGCATGTTCTCACTTACAAGTGGGAACCAAATGATGAGAACTCATGTACACATAGAGGGGAACAACACACACTGGGGCTTGTTGGAGGGTAGAGGATGGGAGGAGGGAGAGGATGAGGAAAAACAATGAGTACCAGGCTTAATACCTGGGTGACAAAATAATCTGTACAACAAACCCCCATGACACAACTTTACCTATGTAAAAAACCTGCACTTGTACCCCTGAGCTTAAAATAAAAGTTAAAAGAAGAAAAAAGAAAATAACATGTCATCCACTGTTCATTAAGGTCCAGGCATTGACTCCAGAGTTTATTCTCTAAGGACGCTACTGCTCTGCATCTCAAATGTAAAAGGAAAAAAAAAAAGTTGTTTTTTTCCCCAAAATTCAACATCCATTCATTAAAAGAACAGCAATCTAAAAATAGAAAAGAACAGCATTACCTGATGAAGAGTCTCTGCTAAAATGTACAGAAATATCATACCTGAAGAGTGCAACATTGCATATATTCCCTCTGAAGTTAGGAATAAAATTTTCCTTGCTTTCATCACTGCTTCTATTCAACATTGAAAAAAAAAGATTTTAAATCAGTGCAGTAAAATAAGAAAAATAAATAAAATGTATAAGACTTAAAAAGACAGAAACAAAATTGCTGTTATTTTATTTTGCTGTTATTATAGACAAAATTTTGTTGACACAAAAATTTCCAGTGGAGCTACAGAAAAGCTACTGAGAAATAGGACAGTTCTAATGGTGACTGCATAGATCAATATAAAAATGAATACTGTTCTTATTTCCTAGGAACTATTAATTATAAAATGTAATTTTAAAAAACACTAAACTTGATATTTGTAACAGACATTTGCAGATACAACAAAATTTAAAAAAAAAAACTTTACTGAAATATTTAGAAAGATATATAAAAACCAGTTCATTGGCAGGAAGATTTAATATTATAAAGAAGACATATCACTTCTGCACTTTCATTGTTAGTCTAATAAAAGTCCTAACAAGACTTTTTTCAGAATTGGACAAGCTGATCCTAAAGCCATATGTAAGAGTAAAGAGTGAAAAAATTCCCAGACAAATTTAAAGGAAGTGGCCATATGTGTGGTAAGGGAGAAAGCTGGGATGGGGAACAAAATTTTTCTTATTAGATAGCAAAGCTTACTGTGTTAGTTCATTTTCACACTGGTATAAAGACTGCCAGAGACTGGGTAATTTATAAAGGAAAATGGTTTAATTAACTCACAGTTCAGCATGTCTGAGGAAGCCTCAGGAAACTTACAATCATGGCAGAGGGTGAAGGGGAAGCAAGGCACCTTCTTCACAAGACAGCAGGAAGGAGAATGAATGCAGGAGGAACTACCAAACACTTACAAAAACCATCAGATTTCATGAGAACTCATTGAATATCATGACAACAGCTTGGGAGAAACTGCCCCCATGAGCCAATTACCTCCATCTTGTCTCTCCCTTGACACATGGGGATTATGGGGATTATAATTCAAGATGAGATTTGGGTGGTGACACATAGCCTAACCATATCACTTACCATGGAGCTGTAGAGAGTAAATCAGTGCAGCATTGTCCTGGGATGTCAGGCAGCCTGGACACTGAGCCACATATAGATGCAAGCTTGGTATATGACAGAGGCAGCTTTAAAATTAGCAGAAGGTAATAGACCAAACAAGTAATTCTAGCACATTTTCAGAAGAAGATAACATTTGATCATTATCTGCCATCATATTAAAAATAATTCTATAATGTAAAAATATGAATGTCAAAAACAAAACTATAGAACTGTTAGAAGAAAACATGGGCAAATATCTTTATGAGAACAGAATAGGAACCGATTTGAAGAAAACCTTTTTTCATGATAGGAAAAGTACAAGTCACAAATAAAAAGTGTGATAAAGTTTTCTAATTAACAGTATAAACTCACTTGCCAAGAAGCAGGAAAAAACATGAAAAGATAAGAACAGATTTTACAATCCATGTAATTAACAAAATATCAGTAACCAGAATGTAAAAAGAATCCCTATTTAAAAGACAAACTCAATAGAAAGATGGGGAAAATAATATAAATAGGAAATTCCTTGAGGGGGAATATTTCATGATCCGTCAACATGAAAATATTCTCAACCTCTCACACAAATAAGCACATTTCAAAATGAAACAGCAGTGACATACACACACATCACTTACGTCAGCTTAGGACCATTAATAAGCATGCTCATACCTAGTGTTGGTGAGGACGTAGAGGAATGGGCACGCTGTACCATCACTGGAGATGCTAATTGGTCCAAGTGGCCACTTCAGAGAGTGATGTAGCATCTCTCAGTACATTCTCCTTTAGAGAAATCCACATTTGCACAAAAGGGACATATCCACGGGTGTCAGTGCAGCTCTGTTATTTCATAGCATGTAAGTGGAAACTACCCATCAGTAGAAAAATAGATAAATAATCTGAGGTCTCTGAATAAAGTGGAGGCTGGAAGTAGATCAGTATGGTACCAACGTAGGTACATTTCCAAAACATAAAAGCAAACAGCAAAAGAAATGAACAGTATTTCACCATTTATCTAAATTTAAAAAACACACAATAGTGTATATACTATTGTTGTAGTATCAGGGCCAAGGGAAAATTCTCCTTTACCTTCTAAAGGTTTACTGAAAATCACTGACAAGAGGGAGATTAATAAGAGAATGGACATACATATTTATTTAGTGTATTATTTAGTGTATACACGGGAGCCTTCAGAACAGAGACTCAAAGCTACAGGGGAAATTGTCCATTTTTATGCTTAAGTTCAACAACCATGTAGAAATATGATTGGACAGAAAAGGTATGATCTAATGCTAATAGCTGACTGAGTGAGGAAATCCAGCAAGGCCCGTCTGTCTAGATTCTTCTCAGCCTCTCAGAGCATGCACTCCTTCCTTCTGGGCGTGGGGCAGAACCCTCTCTCGAATGGGGCTCTTAAGACCTACAGTCAAATAACGTAGGTCAGATAATTTCTTCATGGTCCGTTTTTACACAGACAGGTGGAGGAAAAGTTAAAGTAACATTTTTAAGTTTTATGGCTGGCTTTGGGAAGAGGGGTTCTGGTTTCTATGACCTGCCTTGGGGAAGAGAGATTCTAATTTCTCTGCCTAGCCTCAGGGGAGAATGGAACTGAGAGACAGGAGAGCAGGAGAAGGTCGGAGAAAAACTTTTGCCTCTGAAGCTGCTTCTGAGGTCTGCATTTCAGGGTATTGTTTTCTGAGTCCTAGCAGTAGAAATGGTAAAAATACATTCATCACAATAATTCCCATTAGCCTTAATAGTGGATACTGTTGAGGAAAGGTAAGAAGGAAGGAAATGAGAAATGAGTTGGGGATTTAGCTGTATTTGCAACGTTTTATTTCCAAAAGTTGTGAGCCAAACATATATGACAAATGTTAGCTGTTTGCTTTTGGTGAAAGACATCATTTTTTGTACTTCCTCTGTATGTTGTAAACATTTGCATAATTAATCAAATCTTTTTTTAAAGATTATGTAAATGGCAAAAAGTTTTTACCTGTAGAATAATCTGCCTCCCCCAAAGTTATCCGTGCCCTAATCCCCAAAACCTATCAATATATATTTCTTTTCATGGCAAAAGAGACTTTGCAGATGTCATTGAATTAAGGATCTTGAGATGAGGAGATTTTCCTAGATTATCTGAGTAGGCTCAACATAATTACGAGGAATTACAGGAATACAGGCAGCCTCTCGGAGCTGGAAAAGGCAAGGAAACAGAGTCTCCTCCAGAGCCTCCAGGACAAAATGAAGCCAGATGAGACCCTGATTTTAGCCTCGTTTGACCCATATCAAACTCTGATCTCCAGAACTGTAAGATAATAAATTCGGGTTGTTTTAAGCTATCAAAGTTATGGTAATTTGTTAGAGCAGTCAGAGGAAATTAATATATTAGCTCATCCTAATTTCTGTTTTTAAAATTAAAATGAGGTCTGTAATCTGCCAGGTCTCTTAGTTCATTTGTGCTGCTACAACAGCATTCCATGGACTGAGTAATTTATAAACAATAGAAATGTATTTCTCACCGTTCTGGAAGCTAGGAAGTCCAAGATGACGGCATCCGCATTCAGCATCTGGCGAGGGCCTTTGCCGCATCCTTACATGTCTGGAGGCAGAAAGGCAAAAAGGACCTAGATGGTTCCCTGGGGCCCTTTTATAAGGTACTGGTCTCATTCATGAGGGATGGCTTCATTGCCTTCTAAAGGCCCCACTTCTTAATACTCACACATTGGGTCTTAGATTCCAACATATGAATTTTAGGGTGACATACATTCGAACCATAATACCAGGGAAATGTTCTAAGGTTTATTCACTCAACAAGTACTTATTGAACATGAGTGCTGCTATGCCCCAGACACTCTGCTGTGGACTTAAGATAGAAAAGTGAGATAAATTTGACAAAAGTGCCTGCTCTTTGGGGAAAGAGTGGGTGGAGACAAGAAATAAGAAAAAAATAAAGTTAGAATATAAATAGAATATTAGTACAGTGGTGAATGCTACAGAGACAAGAAACATAACAGGTATGGGGCTTGGGAGTATGGAGGGTGTGCTTGGGTGAGAAGTGATTACAATTTTCAGAACGGTGCCCCAGTCAGGAAGGCGACACATGAGCCAACTCTTGGAAGAGATAAAGGGAATCTGGTCATATGGATGTGCAAAGGAAGAGTGTTCTAGCAGAGGGAACAGTCACTGCAAAGCCCTAGGCTCAAGTATGCTCAGTGCATTTGTGGGACACAAAGAGGCCAATGGGGCTGGCACAGAGAGAGCAAAGGGGAGGGTTACAAGAGCTACCCCAGAGAGGAAGGAGAGAGGTGGGTTGTCAAGATGTTCCCGAAGTTAGTGGCTGCGTTTGATGTAAATATAATCCTAAAAAGCCACCATGAGTCTAAGACTGCTTTTCCATGCTAGGAATATTTATACAGTGGCAGCCATGAATGCTACGGCCTGTCACCCTGTTACTCTGCATAGCAGTGTGTGGGCAGCCCAGGCATCGGCTTGGTGTGAGGGAATCTATTTCCGATAGGGGACCCAGGGCGTTTGGGGCTGGGGCAGTGGCTATCAGCTTGCCCAGAATTATCCAGTGGCCTGAGGCAATGCTCCAGGAGTGCTTAAAGCAACTGGCCTCCTTGGCTCCCACTAAGTAATGCTGAGGTCTGTCAGTGGAATTCATTTTTCTAGCATTCGCACCAAAAGTGTCCAGGCAGCCTACAGTAAGCAACACATCACTGGTGGGGTGCCCCAGGCAGATTGGAGAAGCTGTGGCCACATAGAGTGGGGGAAAGAGCAGGGGACCTCCCTGAGCCTCAGTTTTCTCCTCTGTAAGTGGAGTGTGCTGACTCCCCAGGATTATGCAAGAGTTGGAAGAGCAAGGATGTTGGGGAAATGCTGGGCAAGCAAGCAGCAAGTGCTCAAAGGATGCTGAAGCCAGGGCTTCCCTCCCTTCTTTCCTTCTTCCTCTCCTGCTTAGCATGGTGTTGGGTCCAGGAACAAAATAATCTAGAATACAAAAAGTGTGATAGGTGAGCTGTTGGGAAGGGCTGCAGGATGGGCTGCTGGCAGCCTTCCAGCTGGGGAAGTCAGGGAGGCTTCCTGGAGGGGTGGCGGCTGAGCTGGCTAGGATCCAAATGTGAGTATTCCTCCTGGGGAAAAGCAGCAGCAAAAGCAGCCTTGGAAAGAGGAAAGCAGGGGATCCAGGGCCCTAATTCAGGGAGGGAGTTGTGCATAATAGCAGGTGTGACAGCCAACAGAGGGAATGGGAGGGAAACTGGCAGGAGGAGGGTCTGAACTTACACTCTTTACAGAGCCTCAGCTGGCTTTTGAGTTTGCACGGAGTGTAGGAAGTGAGCAAATCAATGTATGCTTTGAGAAAATTAATTTGGTATAAGTTCCTCCTGAATTTCATTGTGTTTGATATGAAAATTTAGCCTTGGGCCAGCACTGCATGGAATTTTTAAAGTGCATCACTTCACAGATTAAAAGGGGGCCCTCTGCTCCTGATACCCTTATATAGAGAGTTCTACTTAATTTTACAGAAGGGTACAGTTTAACCTGCTCTTGTTCCATGCAACTCGGAAAAATAAATTATTTAACCAAGGATATGCTTTAGGGCATTATGTTTGCCTTTTTTATTTTAAAAATTGTTTGTCCTTCTATTTTCACGCCTTTAGTTATTCAATACAGCCTTCCTTTTACTAAAATCATGTGCCTGTCCTCTTGAAACTGAAAAACTTGTCTAATGTCATAAAACCATAAGGGAAGAGTGTTCTCTGCCCCAGATTTTGGCCTATATGCCTCTTTTTTCTGTTTAGTCTTAATTGAAAGATTGTTTTATACATTGTTCTTTTTCCCCATATCTATTTTTGTTTTTTCTAGTCTCATTTCAGAACTCACTCAACCATTTCTGCTTCTCAAAGAGATGCTATTCTGTTGATAATAGAGAAATCTCCAGGTGCACTGCCATTATCTAATTCTGGGATATTATTAAGAGCATTTAATTCAAACAATCATGTTTTATTAGAAAAGAATGACTAAGTCTTTGATTGAATTGACTAGGGCATAACTATTTTAGGGTTTGTTATTAGAATTTAGAATTATCAGGCAATTTCTATGGCTGTTTGAGGTGTCTGTTTTTACTTGTAATAACGATTCTTCTAATAAAACCTTCTGTAGGATAGTGTTTTCTTCTTATTAAGGGGCTGATATGCTTTATTTAATATAATCATCTTAATGCCTCAGGAAGTTTTCTATTACTTTCATTATAAGATTAGGGAAACCCAGGCATGGGACTTATATGACTTACCCAAGCAGGTGACACCTTCACTTGAACCTTCGTTTGCATTCAGGTTTTTTTTTGTTTTTGTTTTTTTTTTTTTGAGACGGAGTCTCATTCTGTCACCCAGGCTGGAGTGCAGTAGTGCGATCTCAGCTCACTGCAGCCAGCCTCCGTCTCCTGGGTTCCAGCAATTCTCCTGCCTCAGCCTCCTGGGTAGCTGGGATTACAGGTATGCGCCACCACGCTGGGTAATTTTTGTATTTTTAGAAGAGACAAGGTTTCACCATATTAGCCAGGCTGGTCTTGAACTCCTGATCTCAGGTGATCTGCTTGCCTTGTCCTCCCAAAGTGCTAGGATCACAGGTGTGAGCCACCGTGCTGAGCCTGTCTTCAGGTTTATAAGCCAATTCTCCTTCTGTAGTTATGTTAATGCTAAGCCCATGTGTTACATGTTATCCCTGAATTTGTGAATCCCAGAAAAACTGGCTGTTGTGGAACAATTTCTACAGAAAAAGAGGGCTAGAAATGTTTTCATTGGATACTGATAACTCTGCTTCAGTGTGACCTTTAACTAAATTATAACCATTATCATTCATTTTAATAGAGTTGATGTGATGGTGGGGACCAATGTCAATCTATTATTATGAATCATTTTCTGTATCGTGAAATCAATACCTTTTCTCTCATTACTATTTGTATTATTTTGGTATTGTTATAGATAAGTGTTCCTCAGCCTCCACTCTATTAACATTTTGAGCCAGATAATTCTTTCTGTGGGGAGCTGTCCTGAGCACTGTAAATGTTTAGGAGAAGCTGTGGCCTCTACTCAGTAGATGCCAGTAGCACCTCTCACCCCAGTTGTGACAACCAAAAAGTCTCTAGGTGTTGCCAAATATCCCCTGGGGGACAAAGTCGTCCTTTGTTGCAAATAACTGCTGTTGATGATATAGGAATTAAAATATTTTATTCTCTTAAGCTATTGAATTCTCTAACCTAAACATGCATTATTAATTACTTTGAAGCACACTTACCCATTGATCCTCCTATCATCAATAAGAATCCGTTGAGAACATCTTCCAGTACAGAGAGGAACCAACATCTGGTTAATTCAAACACAACCCCTGGGATCAGGTAATTAAACATGTTCTTAACTAGCTGTCTTACCAAAATCAACACAAACTGCAGTTTCATCCATCTTAACTACAGAGCATGTGTTTTTCTAGTAATGTTCCTTGTCAAGCTTTTAGAGCTGAGAATTGAGAAAACAAGCCAGAATCGGCATCTTTGGTTGCATAATAAATGTGTTTGACACACATCAACCTGAGTACTCTGCAAATTTGATAATCATTTCACCAATTTTTGTGTTAGATCATTTCAAATGAAGCAACCATTTATGATGGGGTAGGAGGAAAGGAGGTAAGGGTCTAGGGAAAGAGACATACACGAGAAAGGGAGGACAAAGAATTCTGGAGGGTGCCTACATGAGGCATGTATTTCTGGATTCCAGGTTGATAGACAAGAATCAATAGGCTGTGGTTGTTAAATATACAGTCCGTAGACTAGACCATCCAGTTCACATCTCAGTCCTTCTACTTATTAACGATGAACTTGAGCAAGACATTTACATTTTCCCTGCCTCACATCTTATGGTGTTGCTATCAGGATTAGTGAGTTGAAAGAAATAAGGCACATAGAAGAGGAGCCAGCAGATAGTTGCTTAATGTTACTTGTTATCCTTAAAACAATATAGATAGCTTTGCATATAGAACTACCCGTCGACACAGAGCTGGAGAGAGGCAGTGTGTGGTCTGGTGGCTTGGGTTTGGAGCTGAGCCCTGCCATTCATTGCTGGGTGACGTCTGGACCTTGGTTTTGTCGGCATAAGTTGGTTGTAAAGATTAAATGAGAAAAGGCAGGTAAAGCCCCTGGCGAGGGGTCTGGTACAAAAAGCAATAAATGCCAGTTTCTTTCCCCAGGCTTGAAGACTGATGCCTAATTCTGGCTGGTTATGAGACCCAGGAAGATTACTTAAAATCTCAGATCCTCAGTTTTCACATCCATGGACTTACCAGATCGATCTTTCCATCTGTCCATTCAATAAATTTCATTCAATCATCACTAAGTTGGCCCAGACTAAGTCCTGGAAATCTTTAAATCCCTCATTTAAAAAATATGGAGAATTTCAAATGTCTGAAAAACAGATTATGCATAACCAACCCCCATTTACCCACCACTCAATTCGAGTAAGCCACCTTTCAGCTTTAGACTTCAGAGGGCCCTTGAGTTAGGATGGCATGGAGGGTGGAATAAAAATATCAGGGGGTTTCTGTTAACTCCAAGTTTAATACGAGTTACCAGTATAATGTGGCTATAGCCCAAACTAATAACTCCCCTTAGCCTACGTTAAAACAAGCATCACATTTAGAATAAAGGCGATGATGCTCTTCTCTTACAAGCTGCTCAGGCCTGTCCTGGAGTTTTCCGTTCTGTTTCCTCATCACATTCAAGAGGCCCCTACATCAATAAGAAAAGGTCAAGAGGAGAAACAGCAGGATTGTTACACAGCTGGAAGCCATGAGTACTGATTATCATTGTCACTTATTAAGCTCCTGCTGTTTGCAAGCTGTATGGCAAGTGCTTTCTATAAATTATTGAATTCTCATAAACACAAAAAAGTAGATGTTATTGCTTTCACACCATTTTATGGATGAGACAGAGTATAAGATGAAACTGAGTAAAAGAAAATTTGAAATTCATCTCGTTCACCCAGTAGGTCACTGAGCAGAGACTTGAACCCCAGCAGTCTGGTTCCAGGACCCACATCCTGAGCCCTACACCCCAGCCCCAGGAGGCTTAACCTAGAGAAGAGAAATTGAGCTCCACAATCTTTCTTCAAATTCCTTGGAAGGCTGTCTTGTGGAAGCCCTCTTTGATGGACTTTGTGTGGCTCCAAAGGGCAGATGCAGGTTCTAGGTGTAGCAGTAACAGGCAGTGGGTTTCATTTCAACACAAAGTGCTTTTTATTCCTTAGCGCTATTCAGCACACATGTGGCTTGGGAGGCAGTGAGTTCCCTGTCACTGGAGATGTGCAAACAGTGGGGTAGTGTGGGAAGCAGGAAGAGAACAATCAGGCAGATCTGATTTGCAACCTGATTCTGTCACTTACTAGCTTGGCGGCTTGGACATAATACTACTTCTCTGAACCTCAGTTTCCTATCTGTAAAATGAAAATACTTAACTTAAAAGGTTGTTTTGAGAATTAGAGATGCTATTTACAGAGGTCCTGGCTCATGATAAATACCTAATAAATGGCAGCCTTGTTTCAAATTTCTGCATAAACTCATGCATCTGCTGGGGGGTTGGACTGCTTCCCCTCTAGGTTCTGTGCATCGCTCCATCCTGACTGACACCCAGGAGTCTTGGCTTTTTAGGATTGACTCCAAAATGGCTTTATCCATCACTGCAAAGTGAACATTTTGCAATCCTCATTAGATGCATATTCTTATTAACTTTTCTCTGAAATCATCCTTTACTGTGTCATGAACTGAGAAAAAGAAGGAGCAAAAAGAATAATGGTTAAGGTCTCCATCTGCTGCATCTTGGTTTACAGCAAAAAAGGCCGTGCATTACCCAACCTTGGGAGTATCTATTTTTAAGCAAGCTAAATTTGCTTACATTATGCAGGATTGCATGGAAATGTGGACTTGAATGTCTGAAGTTTGAATGTTGAAGTATCTGGGGGCTGTGCTACGCTGGCTTGGCTTCCCCAGGCACTTGATGTTGGGTGGAGGAGTGTGCAGAACTGCAGGAGAGGAGCAAGCATCATCTGTAACAGTACAGTGTTGGCCAACCCAGCTTTTACTTCGTCATTCATCAAAACGTTCGCTGTTTCAAACTATTTGAGTCCCAAAGAGAATACGTCATCAGCATTGCCCTCTAGCATGCTACAGCAGGTCATAGGCCAGTGGGTTTCCTTATTTTTAAGGCTGTAGAGCCCTTTTCTTCTGTAGAGCTCTTTTCTTTCATGGATTGTCCCAAGGGACACTGGTAGGTAAGACAGGTGAAAGGGATACCCTTTGGGTTGAAGTTGGGGTGGGGAACTGGAGGTTGCAGTCTGTTGGCCCCTTGACCACCCTCAACAGCTCCTCCTAGTGGTCTGGAGGCATCACCTTGAACCTCTAGGGCCCCTGGAATCCAGATTGACAACCAGTTGGACACAGCCATTTCAAATCCCTTTCTTGTTTTAAGAGGCTTCTTTGACTGCCACCTTTTACACACAGCAGGTTTGCAAGCCCTTCTAGCACCCACAGATGGTAAGAAATTGGAGGGACTTCCCTGCTGACTTGGTCGTCAGAGTCAGCTGAGTATAACACAGACCCTATTTTGAACCCAGTCTTTTAATGTTGTTTAATGAAACAGAATAATTTTACTTTGTTTTGCTTTCTAAGCTTTTTACTGAATTGCCATTATTTTCAAAATGGATGTTAGTGGAGGAGGTGGTAATACAATAGCTACCAGCATTTATTGAAGGAAAATAAGGAAATAATTGTTCACTTGACATTGCCATGATTTTAACGGTTTGGGGAAAGGCCACCAGAAACAGAGTTTTGAGTGTGCTAATGATTCTGCCATGCCTGGGAAGCTGGAGGAAGCTCTTATGGACACTTGAATGATCCTGCTTAGACCCCAAAGCATCTAGACCAGGGCCTGGCATACAGTGGGTGCTCAATATGCATTGACTGGATGAGAATGAACCCAGGGTACCAGACACATTGTAGCTTCATGGCGCTGTCCCGCACATTGCAAAAATGTAACTCCAGTTTGTGCCTCTTAGGATTTCACTGATCAGTTATTTCCCCCTCTCTTCTGGCAGAAAAGGAAGAGGCAATATAAGATAGGATACATTTACATTTTTAATTTTCTTTTAGTAAAACAGCTTCTTTTAAGCAAAGACAGTTTGGTGGTAGCACAAGTAGATGCTGCAACCAATTAGTGAGATGACATGAAGTAAGATAGAAAAAATGTAGATTTAATTGAAGAAAGTTGCAATATAAAATCAAGCTGCCAGCCTTTAAAATTGTAATTAATTTTAGGGGAAGAAAAAGCTCATCGAATCGCTCTCACTGCTTTCTCACTCAAGTGTTTGCGCAACCGACTGTCTCATTTAACTCTTCCTTCCTGCAAGCTGCTCTTCCAGACAGCTTCTGATCCATGAGAAATACTCCTCTCTAGGAGACGGTTTTATGACTCAGTGGATTCACAGAAGCTCTTTCCTCTGAAGATGTTTTTAGTGACCTCCAAAGGATGCTACATCATAAATTCTGACAGAAGACATGAAATGTGACAGTGGACATGATCAGGCTGGTAACTAGCATCCCAGGTCTATCTGGGGTCATAAACAATGGCGCTGTTGGAAATGATGAAAAAGGAAACTGTCGGCTAATGAGATCAAACATCCAGTCAAGGCAGGCATTAACCCACCTGCTTATGAGGTAGTTGGCACTTTCTAGATTTCCACGAAACAATGAAGGAAGCAGAGAGAGGGAGAAAGGATTCAAGCAGAGTCTAAAAATTCCTCCCATAGTAGCCAAATCTCTTCTAACTCAGCCTCACCAGTGCTTGATATCCCACCATTATAAATCCATATTGTAGTTGATTTCTCCAGGTATCTTTTTGTATTTTTATTTTTTGAGACAGAGTCTTGCTCTGTCGCCCAGGCTAGAGTGCAGTGGCACGATCTTGGCTCACTGCAACCTCTACCTCCCAGGTTCAAACGATTCTCCTGCCTCAGCCTCCCAAGTAGCTGGGATTACAGATGCCTGCCACTGTGCCTGGCTAATTTTTGTATTTTTAGTAGAGACCGCGTTTCACCATGTTGGCCAGGCTGGTCTTGAACTCCTGACCTCATGATCCACCCACCTTGGCCTCACAAAGTGCTGGGATTACAGGCATGAACCACCATGCTCGGCTCCAGATATCTTTTTAGAAATACTCTGATCTGAAAAGGCACCTCTGTATGCTAGTGTGAGTTAATTGATCAGATACATTTCCTCATTGGCAATAGAGATAGAGGCAAAGGGGAGCTTTGAGTAACAGGACCTCGATCAAACCTCTGTGTGCCCACCTTGTGATTGTCTTCCAGTGTGTGCTGAGTTGTATGACAAATAATGAGACAATGGGAAAGCTACTCTAGAAGGCTCTGTTCTCTTTGTATGGGCAAATAAAGCAGAAACCTAACTCACAGGCTCCTTTCTCATGATCACTATTTGCACAACGCTCTGCATAGTGAGGGATGTTATGTCCTTTAATCCTGACTACAAAAGGCAAAGAATCTGTATTGTAAGGAAACAAGGGAGCTGGAGCATGTGCAAAGAATGTTCACTTCCGGCAATAAGTGGGTCTTAAGATTGTGTTTAATTCTGCTTGAAAGTATTGTGGGCATATAATTTTCATTTCTGAAATGTTGTCCTCATTTCTCACCAATCTTTAATGCGCAGAGGCTAATGATTTTAAATTTCACCGTTCTTGCCCTTGAGCTTGTCAGTGAAATAACCTACCATGAAACTTGTCCATGTTCTGCTGCCTGAAGAATCCTTTAGCAAAGTACATCCTAATACTCTAATTGATCGATTGTTTAAATTTTTGCTTTAATACATAGGCATATTTAACTCAGCAAGGAAACAAGAAGGATAGGTAATTGGATGTCTTTTTCTTTTTTAATGTAAACTTTCTTTCTCCCAGGAGCACACACAACCAGGAAATTCTGAAGGTGAGCAATGAATGAGCCAGGGCTTGTTTTTCATAAATGTTTATAAAATCTATAGTGATATCACCTCTTTCAATCCTGATTTTGGTAATTTGTATTTTCTTTGTTTTCTCAATCAGTGTGGATAGGTATTGTGTCAACATGCTAAAGCAAAAACTACCTTTCTCAGAATTCCCTTCTCTGTTTGGTTCTGAGTCAGGGTTGTCCCCAAGAGAAATTTATGTGAGATGTGCAAGACAGTGTGAAAGGAAAATATCTTGGGGCCCCCAAATCACTAAGTTGAAGGGAAAAATCAAGCTGAGAACTGCTTAGGGCAATCCTGCCTCCCATTCTATTCAAAGTCACCCCTCTGCTCACTGAGATAAATATGTATCTGATTGCCTCCTTTGGAGAGGCTAATCAGAAACTCAAAAGATTGCAACCATTTCTTTCTTATTGACCTATGGCCTAGAAACCCCCTCTCCACTTGGACTTGTCCCACCTTTCCAGACAGAACCAATGTTCATCTTACATATGTTGATTGATGTCTCATGTCTCCCTAAAATGTATAAAACCAAACTGTGCTCTGACCACCTTGGGCACATGTTGTCAGGACCTCCTGAGGCTGTGTCATGGGCATGTGTCCTCAACCTTGGCAAAATAAACTTTCAAAATTAACTGAGACCTCTTTCAGATATTTGGGGTTCACAGTAGAATAAAGTGGCAGCCAGTGGATGTATGGGAAGGCGTGGCTGAGCTCCTGCACATTGCTGGTTCTTTGGTGGTTCATCATATATGTGGGGGCAAGAGCCAGGTCTACAGCTCCCCTCATTTCTGGGCTTCTGCCTCCAGCTTTTCTCAACCCTGGTTGAGCCACCTATGCAGCTGTACAACAAGAGCACCAGCAGCTCACTTGAGACATTGAAGTTGGACGCTCAGAGGCAGTGAAAGGCCTATGCACGTTCCAGCTTGTGCCCCTGAATCCTAGTGGGTCCTCCGAGGCTCCAGTTTATCCTGGATTTCTCCCACTTCTAGTCCAGGTTTTGTTCCTGACTGGTGGCTCTATAGGCTTTGGACACCAAAGCACTTGTTTCACATAGACTGTTTAACCAGTTACCCCTGTCAACGTAGGAGTCAAATGCTATAAACTATTTAAGGAGGTTTATTCTGAGCCAAATATGAGTGACCAAGGCTTGTGACACAGCCCCAGGAGGTCCTGAAAACATGTCCCCAAAGTGGTTGTTTTACAGTTTGATTTTAAACATTTTAGAGGGACAGAAGTTACAGACAGACATCAATCAATACATATAAGGTGTTCATTAGTTTGGAAAGGCAGGCAACTCAAAGTGGGAGGGCTTTCGGGTCATAGGTGGATTCAAAGATTTTCTGATTGGCAATTGGTTATCTGAAGACCTGGAATCAATAGAAAGGAGTGTTTGGGTTAAGATAAAGGACTGTGGAAAACAGGGTTCTTATGTAGATGAAGTCTCCTAGGTGGCCGCCCTTAGAGGCAATAGATGGCAAGTGTTTTCTATTCAGACCCTCAAAAGGTGCTAGACTCTCAGCCAACCTCTTCAGGATCAGAAAAAGACCTGGAAAGAACAGGGGATTCTCTATAGAATGTAAATTTCCCCCACAAGAGACAGCTTTGCAAGACCATTTCAAAATATATCAAATAAGTATATTTTGGGACAAAAGACTGATTTCTTTCAGGGCCTGCTACTTGTCATGCAATACTATACTAGAGTCAGGTTGGAATTTGGTATCTTATTGCTACAAACAGTTTGTTCTCTCAGTCTTAGAATCTCTGTTTTAATGTTAATGCTGATCAGTTGTGCCTGAATTCCACAGGGAAGAGGTTACAATGAGGCATGTCTGACCCCCACTCCTTTCCATCCTTGCATTAAATAGTTTTTCGGGTTTGCTTTGGAATGCCCTTGGCCAAGAGGAACATCCATCAGTTGGCTGAGAGGCTTAGAGTTTTATTTCTGGTTTACAGCACAATTGCATGAGGTCAGATTCCTACCATATTCTGTATCACTCATATTGGCTCAGATTCTCTGATCAACCCTCAGGTGAAGTCTTGTTGTGGGGTTATCAATGTTACCATTTTATTCACAAAAGTAACTATTGTCCTTGCTAATTTTCTCTTATTTATCTGTTTTCTACTTCTTTGATTTCTGCTGATCTTTCTTTCTTCCCTTAAACTTATTTTGAGTTTAATTCACCCATGTTTTCTTAGTTTCATAATGTGAAAACATATTTTAAAAGAAGAAATATTTCAAGTCAGTGATTTCAGATTTAAATCTGTAACTGCCCGATGGGTTCTTCTTGCACAAACAAAATCAGTTCACGGAGACTCAAGGCATTGCCATAAAAAAAGAGTTTAATTAACATGAGACTAGCCACACCAGGTGAGAGACGAAGTTATTACTCAAATCAATCTCACTGAAGGCTTGGAGGTTAGGGGTTCTTCAAAGATAGTTTGGTGGGCAGGGGGCTAGGCTATAGGTGCTGCTAATTGGTTGGGGATGCAATGATGGTGGTATGAAATATGGTCCTCATGAGCTGAGTTGGCTTCTAGGTGGGGCCACAGAACTGGTTAAGTCACAGGTCCAAATGGGGCCATCTGGTTGTTAGAAGTGCAAAACCCTGAAAAGACACTTCAAAAAGCCAAACTTGGGTTCTACAATAGTAATGTTATCTGCAGGAGTAATTGGGGAAGTTGCAAATCTTGTGACCTCCGGGAAAATGGCTGTAATTGTTTACCTACTTTACATTGTAGCAGAATTCCAGCCCCTCTCATTCTCCTAACCTGATGACCTTTCATTAGTTTTACAAGGTCAGTTTAGTTTTAGGGAAGGGCTATTGTTATTTAAAATATAAACCAAATTTCTCCCAAAGTTAGCTTGGCCCATGCCCAGGAATTAGCAAAAACAGCTAGCCTGTGAGGTTAGAAGTGAGATGGAATCAGCCATGTCAGATTTTTCTTTCTATCATAATTTTGCAAAGGTGGTTTCGAAGCTATACATCTCTCTTAAGTCAGTGCTTTAGCAGAATCTCTGAATTTTTGATATGTGTTTTAAAATCACTTTTCTGTATAAAATATTTTCTTAATGCTTATAATTTCCTCTTTGACCTGTGCATTTTTTACAAGGGGGTAGTTTAATTTTTAAGCCTTTGGAGACTTCCTAGATACTTTATTGTTATTGATTTCTAATTTAATTTTATGGTTCTAAATAAGCTTTTAAAGATTTCAATATTTTGAAATTATTTTTATTTTTATTTTTTTATTTTTTTAGTATTTATTGATCATTCTTGGGTGTTTCTCAGAGAGGGGGATTTGGCAGGGTCATAGGACAATAGTGGAGGGAAGGTCAGCAGATAAACATGTGAACAAAGGTCTCTGGTTTTCCTAGGCAGAGGGCCCTGCTGCCTTCCGCAGTGTTTGTGTCCCTGGGTCCTTGAGATTAGGGAGTGGTGATGACTCTTAACGAGCAAGCTGCCTTCAAGCATCTGTTTAACAAAGCACATCTTGCACCGCCCTTAATCCATTTAACCCTTAGTGGACACAGCACATGTTTCAGAGAGCACGGGGTTGGGGGTAAGGTTATAGATTAACAGCATCCCAAGGCAGAAGAATTTTTCTTAGTACAGAACAAAATGGAGTCTCCTATGTCTACTTCTTTCTACACAGACATAGTAACAATCCTGATCTCTCTTTCTTTTCCCCACATTTCCCCCTTTTCTATTCGACAAAACCACCATCGTCATGTCATCATGGCCCGTTCTCAATGAGCTATTGGGTACACCTCCCAGACGGGGTGGCCGGGCAGAGGCGCCCCCCAACCTCCCAGACGGGGCGGCTGGCCGGGCGGGGGCTGCCCCCCCCACCTCCCGGACGGGGCGGCTGCCGGGCGGAGGGGCTCCTCACTTCTCAGACGGGGCGGCTGGTCACAGACGCTCCTCACCTCCCAGACGGCGTGGCGGCGGGGCAGAGACACTCCTCAGTTCTCAGACGGGGTCGCGGCTGGACAGAGGCGCTCTTCACATCTCAGACGGGGCGGCGGGGCAGAGGCGCTCCCCACATCCCAGACGATGGGCTGCCGGGCAGAGACGCTCCTCACTTCCTAGACGGGATGACGGCCAGGAAGAGGCGCTCCTCACTTCCCAGACTGGGCGGCCGGGCAGAGGGGCTCCTCACATCCCAGACAATGGGCAGCCAGGCAGAGACGCTCCTCACTTCCTAGATGGGGTGGTGGCCGGGCAGAGGCTGCCATCTCGGCGCTTTGGGAGGCCAAGGCAGGCGGCTGGGAGGTGGAGGTTGTAGCGAGCCGAGATCACGCCACTGCACTCCAGCCTGGGCACCACTGAGCACTGAGTGAGTGAGACTCCGTCTGCAATCCCAGCACCTCAGGAGGCCAAGGCTGGCAGATCACTCGCGGTCAGGAGCTGGAGACCAGCCGGGCCAGCACTGCGAAACCCCGTCTCCACCAAAAAAATACGAAAACCAGTCAGGCGTGGCGGTGCGCGCTTGCAATCCCAGGCACTCGGCAGGCTGAGGCAGGAGAATCAGGCAGGGGGGGTTGCAGTGAGTCCAGATGGCGGCAGTACAGTCCAGCCTCGGCTGGGCATCAGAGGGAAACCATGCAAAGAGGGGGAGGGGGAGAGGGAGCCAATATTTTGAAATTTATTGAGACATTTTAGAACCTAGTATATAGCCTCTTGGTGAATGTTCTGTGTGTTCTTAAAAAGTGAATGTGTATTCTACCACTGTTCAGTAAATGCCAATTGGGTCAAGTTTGTTGATAGTCAAATCTATATCCTTACCCATCTTTTTGTCCCATTTTTTCTGTCAGTTATTGAACAAGAGGTGTTAAAATCTCCAATTACTTCTATTTCTCTAACACTGCCATTTTTTTCTTTGTGGATTTTGAATTTCTCTATATATTTTGTATATTTTGAAGGTCACATACATCTTTTGTCGTCATGTATTCTGATGAATTGACCCTTTTGTCATTATTAAATGTGCTTTATCTCTATTCATAGTCCTTGCCTTGAAATTTATTTTGACTGGTATTAATATAGCCACACCACATCGTGTTTATTAAGCTCACATTTTGCATGGTATATGTTTTTCTATACTTTTCCTTTCAGTCTATATCTTTATATTTAAAGTGCATTTGTCTTAGACATCCTTTTTTTTGGCCACAGGATAAGAAGAAAACCATAAAAATTACTAGATGCCCTATGATGAAAGAAAAGGTTTCTAAATGGCGTTATATCTGGATAACTATAAACCACATTCCATGACTTTAGGCAAGTGATTGATTAAAAATATAATTTTCCTGTAATTTGTCAGTTGCTTAGCTCACACAGATCCTTTTGACAGCTGTTTCTTAAACAAGAAAAATATGAGACTGTCAGAGACAGTTTAGGTTGCTGGTGTTACATCTTGCAATAAAAACATCATTTGAATGAAATGAGATTATAAGAGTTTGCTGCTAACTCTGAACAAACACCATCTTCTTGCAGCATAGCAGTGGATCTGGCAATGGCAGTTTGATGACTCTAATCAAAGCACTTATCATATGAATTGAAGTGAAAAGAACGAGAAAAGAGAACAAAGAAATTATTTTACTCTAAACAACAGGTGCCTTGAAATTAAACCATCTTTAGTGGTTAAATGACCTTATACTCACTCTCTTTTCCTATCTATCCATCGCCAACTCATATATTCTAATCTTTCTTTCAAATTGCTAGACTGAATTAAAAATAATTGTTTTCTATACAGGGTCAGGAAAATATGAAAATATAGCCATGTTATAATTATTATAATCCATATTTATCATTATCTATATTTTACACCTAACATTTACACTTGTTTTGCACAGGAATATTTGGACCAATTTCTAGAAATATTTGGACCAAATCTAGAAATGTTTTTGAAAGACTTATTTCTTACTTTTATGCTAAAGTCTCATAAACAATATTTAAAAGCAGCTAGCAAATATGTGCTGAGTGAGACCAGGAACACTTTGTAATATTCTTGCTGAAAGTGCAAAACCTGATTCTGATCCTAAAGGAATCCAGATAAACTATACTAAAGAACATTCTACAAAATAATGGGTTGCATTCTTTAAAAATATCAGAGTCAAGCAGCACACCAAGCTGAGGAACTGTTCTAGATTAAAGGAGATTAAGGAGACGTGACAACTAAATCTAATGCATTATCCTGGACTGGACTCTGAACCAATGGGGGAAAGTAGCTGAAAAGGACATTACTGGGACAACTGATGAAATCTGAATATGGACTATCATTGGGAAATGGTATTATATCACTGTTAAAATTCCTAATTTTGAACATTGGATTGTGACTAAATAAGAGAATGTCTTTGTTCTAAGGAAGCACACACACATCAGTACTTGGAGTATATGGACCTGATGTCTGCAACTTACTCCCAAATGGTTTGAGGGGAAAAATCCTCTTTTTCTCTCTCTCTATCCCTAGCCTATAGACAGATGGTGAGTCTGGACCATGTACATGTGAGTTCCTTGTACTATTCTTACAATTTTTCTCTAAATTTGAAATCCTATCAAAATATACAGTTACCAAAACAAACAGACTGCTAACAAATTGTCTTTCCCATTAACCTATATGTCTATTAGAGATTAGGAAATCCTTCATTTGCTTTAGCAAAAAGCATCACAGCACAGACTTTTGAGCCAAAGACTGATTTGAATTAAGACTCCTTGTGTGAACATGGATAAGTTACTTAACTTCTCTGACCTTCAGTTTTCTCCTTTATAACACAGGGATAACGAGTCCTATCAAAAAGTTGAAAGGATTAAATAAAATTATATACATAAATAGTTTCATTTGGTGTTGGACACATAGTAAAACCTAATAAATGTAGCTCCTGTTGTTTAAATTGATTAAGAGGTGTCCAATAGTATCTAGTATTGTGCTATCCAATAGAAACAGAATGTAAGTCACACATGCAATTTAAAATGTAAATTTTAAAATTTAAAAAGTAAAAAGCAAGTGAAATTAAATGATTTAGTTTTATTTTATCCAAAATAGCAAAAATATATTTCAAAATGTAATCATTATAAAACTTACTGAGATATTTTACATTTTTTTAATTTACTAAACAAACACTCGAGATGCGGTGTGTATATTATAGCACCTCTCAATGTGTTCTAGTCACATTTCGGTTGTTTAACAGCCACATGTGAGTGGCTGCCATACTGGACTGTACAGGTGTAGACATTAAGAATCAGACTTTTTCCAATTTCAACACTTGTCATTTTCTATTCCTATGAACTATTATCATAGGATTGTGAACTATTATACAATATTCTTTATTTAATGCCGATCTATCATTTCCCTTATTATATTTCCAAAGAAGCTCCAAGAGGGTTGTATTTCAGCTATGACCAAACACTTCATCAATCCACATTCCTCCACTGGTAGGGTAGTCAGGGACTTGCAGTGAGTAGAAGGGCTTTTTACGTGACCCTACATGATGAGGAAGCATTAGAGTAACCAAAGGCTAGTTGCCCAGGAATGCTCTGGTTTTGCTGCCTAATTCAAAGAGGTGACTGGTGCTTGTAATCCCAGCACTTTGGGAGGCCGAGGTGGGGGATCACCTGAGGTCAGGAGTTCAAGACCAGCCTGGCCAACGTGGTGAAACCCCGTCTCTAATAAAAATACAAAAAATTAGCTGGGCATGGTTGTGGGTGCCTGTAATCCTAGCTACCTGGGAGGCTGAGGCAGGAGAATCACTTGAACCTGGGAGGTGGAGGTTGCAGTGAGCCGAGATCATGCCATTGCACTCCAGCCTGGGCAACAAGAGCGAAATTCCGTCTCAAAAAAAAAAAAAAGTGACTGGTATTTTGGAACAAGATCGGGGAGGGAAACACACATTGGGCAGATGCTAGGTGCCTTATTGCTGGAAACTGACCCCCTCTGAGAGTCTCCAGCTGCTTCCCAGAGGTCCCTAGGGAGCTGCTTTCTCATCCATGTGCAGGAAGCTGAGTTCCAGCCCAGTGGTGTCCTGGAACTGGTTGTACCAACCCCATGGTGTATATTTCTCCCAAGTCTGTGTTCAGCGTCACCTAGTTTGTAGCTTGAAATTGGCCACAATGAGAGTATTTATACCATGGAAATTAGCAAATGCTGCAAAGCAGGGCTTTTCCCCTCCCCAGAGGACTGGCTTATTCACACACCACTTGTTCCAGCCTCTATTTTGCTCCCACACAAAACACTTTCTGCTGCCCATAACTGCTCTGGGGCCTTGGCTCTGCTGTCTCAGCTGCTTCCATGAAGGGCAGCCTCACTGGCATTGCACAGACCCAGCAGAGGAGAGGGACCTGCTCTCCCCACACCTCCTCCACTCTTTCATCTGCCTACCACAAAACAACCTCGGTTGTAACGTTAGCCAATAAAATAGTGGTGTGAAGATCCAGAGTTTTTCCTAATAAAGGTTTCAAAGTGGCCCAAGATCTAAGTTTGAAACAAACAACTCAAATATCCATCAATTAATGAATGAGTAAATAAATTGTGGTCTCTCCACACAAGGGAATATTATTTAGCCATAAAAAGGAATGAAGTACTCATACATGCTCCAATGTGGATGAACCTCAAGTATATTAACCTAAGTGAAACACGCCGGACACCAAAGGCCACTTATCCTAGGATTCCATTAGTATGAAATGTCCAGAATAGGCAAACCCTTAGAGACAGAAAGTAGGTTAGTGATTGCCAAGGCCTGGAGAGATCAGGAGATGGGAAGCGAGTGTTAATGGCTTTGGGGTTTCTTTCTGGGGTGATGAAAATGTTCTGAAATCAGATGGTTGTGATGGTTGCACGACCTTGTGAATGTCCTAAAACCCACTGAACTGTACACTTAAAAATCATGGATCTTATGGAACGTGAATTATACCTCAATAGAAAAATAACCAACAGCAAAATTAGTGAGCTGTGGGCAGTTCAGCTCCCTTTGGAGCTTATGGGGAGGTGGCTTTTCAGTAGCATGCCCTCTGTCTCCAAGGATGCCTGGAGCAAGGGGGTGCAGCTTCCTCTGCTTTGTGGAGAGGATAAGGAGGGCCTCGCTTGGCTTCCTGCTGCTCCCCTGATTAGAAGCCCTTCTAAGGGGATCAAGGCTGTGACTGGCTATGAGAAGAGAAAACTAATGCTCCATTTCCCACTCAGTCCCTGGGCTGCTGAACTCTTCCCCACCACTTGAGGAGGAGCTACGCTGGGAAGAGATGAGCTGATGCCCAGCTCAGTATGTGTGGGGGAGGGGGGTGAGCTGATGTCCAGCCCAGTGTGTGTGTGGGGGGGAGGGGGATGAGCTGATGTCCAGCCCAGTGTGTGTGGGGGCAGGGCAATGAGCTGATGTCCATTCCAGTGTGTGTGTTGTGGGAGGGGGGTGAGCTGATGTCCAGTCCAGTGTGTGTTGTGTGAGGGAGGGGGGTGAGCTGATGTCCAGTCCAGTGTGTGTGGAGGGAGGGGATGAGCCGATGTCCAGCCCAGTGTGTTAGGGAGGGGGGTGATCTGATGTCCAGTCCAGTGTGTGTGGGGGGAGGGGGTGAGCTGATGCCCAGCCCAGTGTGTGTGGGGGGAGGGGGTGAGCTGATGTCCAGCCCAGTGTGTGTGTTGTGGGAGGGGGGTGAGCTGATGTCCAGCCCAGTGTGTGTGTGGGGGGGGGGGGGATGAACTGATGTCCAGACCAGTATGTGTGTGTCGGGGGGATGAGCTGATGCACAGTCCAGTGTGTGTGTGTGGGGTGGGGGATGAGCCGATGTCCAGCCCTGTGTGTTGGGGAGGGATATGAGCTGATGTCCAGCCCAGTGTTGGGGGGAGGGGGGTAAACTGATGTTCGGCCCAGTATAGGGGGCAGGGGCTGCCCCATTGAAGTGCGAGTTTCTGAGAGATGGGCATGACTGGTCACTGCTGACTTGCAGGAGACCCCACTCCAACATCAGAGGAGAGTGGGTGTGCGGCCACCAGCAGCTGGGCGAAGATGAGGCCAAGTCACATAGGAAGGACCCAGGTCTGGGAGAGCAACTAGAAACTGAGACCCTCTAGTGGGGCCTAGAAAATAAGCTAAACCACCAGAGATGCCTCCCAGGAGAGAGCAGCCACAGCAGGGCAGTCACCAGAGACAAGTCTGTTCTCCAGCCCCTCACCCAGCTCTCCTACCCAACCAACCCTAGGGCCAGGAGGAGGGGCCCATGCATAAAGAAGTAATCTGTGGCTCCTCCCCTCCTCCCAGACCTGGCTGGACTTGGGGCAGTTTTCACTTAAGTCTGAGCCTGACCTTCAAAAATGGGCAGGACCACATCTTATTACCCAGATGAAGTGACTTCAAGGAAAGTGTCTGACATTTAGGAGGTCTCTACAAAGCCAGGAAGGAGGGCTCTATGAGGCATAGCAGGAATAGTCATCGGGGAAAATTGTTTCCTGTTGTCCCTCACAGTTACACTCCTCAGTTAAACCAGGCAAGAGACATCACTGAAGGATTTGAGAAAAGAAAGGGAATTAGAGCAACCCAGCCTGCCTCTCCAGGGAATTCCCTGGTGCCCCGGCCACCTGGAAGTTCCTGGATATGTGCAAGAGACCTTGGGTTGATGGAGAGGGTGAAGGTGGTGGTTTTCATTTCCTTCTTTTCATCCCCATCAAAGGCTGCTCTTCTGAGTCTTCAATTTCCAGACCAACCTCCCTTAAGGTGACTGACAGTGGGGACCTCAACCTCACCTACAGGGATGTGGACTGATCCCATGGTCTCAGTGAGAGACCCAGGCAATATTTCTACATGAAGCATGTTGGATTTCTGAATTATCCAGCCTCAAATGACACCGGGATGGGACAGTGTTAACCCAGGTGAGGTGAGACTAAGCCAAGTTCAGTCCAGCTTCTTTTCAGGCTGTTCCCATAAAGCTTTAAATACTTTATTCTTTATTCTCTCCGATGTCACCTTGTTTCAGTGGACACTGTCATGCCCATTTTACAGATAAGAAAACTGAGGCTCTGAGAAGTTGAGGGACTTGGTCAAGGCCACATGTCAGTGAGTGCCAGAAGTTTCTGCTACTCCTACAAAATCAGAAGTTCCCCAAATCCAAACCATCTCGACCTACCCCTGTGACCCGCCAAAAGAAGCTGGCCTTCCCCATCCTCCTGTCTCCGCAGTGCCATTTGCCTTTCAGTCTCCTAAAAAGAAGCACTTACTCTCTTCCCCAAATCGCAGAGGGAAGCTTCAAATACACTTCTAATCATCCTCAGTACCCAGCAGTATATGTAAGTTATATTTAATAGCATTAACCTAATTTATAAAGACTTTTTGGAAGTCAGGAACATATCCATAAAGACTAATTCCTTTCTAACAGATTTTGAAGAAAACACCACTAAATAGAAGACAATACTTCAAAAGCAGTTTAGACAATGCAGAAAAATAAATGTCTCCCAGATGAAGTGGGGGTGGGAACGGGAGAGAAAAAGATTAGAAGTGTTTGCTGTGCATAATTCTTGGTAATACACATTGCAACTATGTCATAAAACATACCTCAAAGCAAAATAGCCATATCAACACAGCTGTGTCAAAATGTCCTGCTTTGGATCAGGGATTCTTCAGAAAGTGGAGGGTGAGAGGGCCCAAGAGGATTGAGTTGGGATAGAAAGGGAGGTGATGCTCTGGGCTTGTTCTAATTGAGTGCTAGCTCATCCTCAGCCTGGGGCTACTGGCTGGGCACGTGGCTAGTGGGTCAGAACAACGTGCCTATCTTTCTTCCATGTTGTTCATAGTACTGAGTGCAGGACACGTAGCAGGTTCACAGTAAATGCTAATCACTTGATTGGATTTTAGTCATCTAATAGGTAGGCAGAAGGATGTTTATGTCAATTACAACAGCAACTAAAATCTCCACCCTCGAATTCCTGGTCTAAGCTAAGATCAATAGGAGTATTAATAGCCAGTAATAAGCACAGAGAGTATATAAACATGAACATGATGGGTTAGGGATACATTAGATTTAATTTTCTTTAATTATATATGCTTATGGGATATGTAATTCATTTCTTTAGAGGGAGGGAAGGAGAGGAAGAAGGAGAATATGAATTATTAGGGTTGGCCTGTCTTGCAATTCCCCACAACATTTTTCAGCAAGGAGGAGATGGGCAGAAGCACTGCAAAGCAGCAGGAGTGGGGATATAAGGGGCTGACAGTCTTGTCTCTACTCTGAGGAAGGTCTCAAACCATCTCATCAGCTCCAAGGAAGATACAACTACCAGCCCTGAGGGTGGGAAAAGATTAGGCCCTATTCCATCCCCTCAGGGCTGAAAGCAGGTCCAGCACACAGAGGTGGTACCCAAGGCCAAACATAATCAATGATGGATGCCTTCTCGCTCCAGAGTGGGAGTCCTGAGTGCAGGAACCAAGTGCTGCTCATTAATCTATCTTCACACCTTGCACAGTGCCTGACACAAGAAGCCCATGAGCATTTGTTGAACGAATAGGCGAGTGAGTGAATGAATGAACTGTTTCTTCTATTTATGTCTGTGGCTGGAAGAAATTCCCCTTTTTACTTTTGAAATACTTCTCTTTTTGTTTCTTTGAATCATTTCCTCTGTTTTGTGACAATGCAATGCACCACTTCCCTCGCATCCTATATTCCAACTCAGCTTGGAACCCTTGTGCTGTGCACAAACACAGAAACATTTTAAGAAACGCACCAACCCTAGACCAACCTAAGTTCATCCATCTTAGTATGGCTGGAATGTATCTGAAAGGGGACCAATGTTCATTTATGTGCACACAATGTAATATATCAAAGCTTGTTTATCCTCAAGAGTTCCTGGCTAAACTCTGTCTTTCAAGATATTCTCAGCCACAGAAATTTCCTCTTAACATGTGAGGCAGCTTGCTCTCTGCATCACAAGACACCATTAACCCCAAGCAAGAGTTTTGAAGCCCTGCCCTAACAAGCTTTAAGGATTTAACAACCTTATAGTCAGAGCATAGAAAGCATTTCTGCAGTACAGCCAGTAAGGCATAGCAGGTCTGGATCACTCTAATATGCAGAGAAAGCCAGTGATGAAGCCAACCAGAGGGTGTGCTGTGGCTGAATAATGACCTTTGGGGCCAGAAGGCCAGGAACGGGCCAGCCTCAGCCCTACTGAACAGCATAACAAGAGGAATAAGACTTGAATTTTTCTAGCCCTCTCTTTCTATTGCTATATAATAATTGTACACATTTATGGGGTACATGTGATATTTTAAAACATGCATACAATGTGTAATGATGAACTCAGGGTAATCGTGAGATCCATCACCTCAAACATGTATTATTTTTGTGTGTGTTGGGAACATTCCAAATCTTCTAGGTATTTTGAAATATACAATAAACTATTGTTAACCGTAGTCGCCCTATTGTGCTGTCAAACACCAGCACTTAATCCTTCTATCTAACGGTATTTTTGCACCCATTGGAGAGTGATGATAGGAGCCACCAGTTTATTCACTATGAAGGCAACATAAAGGGTCTGCTGGCCAGATTTTACTTGTTAAATCCATTAGCCTCATCTCCCGGAACACTGACCACATGCCAGAAGCTGTTCTAAATGCTTTGCATGGATGAACACACTAGCTCATTTAATCCTCAGGATCCCATGGGCTCATTCCCATCATCATTCTCATGTTACCAAGGAAGACAACTGAGACCCAGAGCAGTCTATGGCTTGTAGGTAGCAGGGCCAGAAGGGGAACAGTCGGTGGGATGGCAAGGTCATAGTGCCTCTCGTCATCGTGCTGGCAGTGTTGTCTTTCAGTTATGGCTTTTGGGCATGAGATTTCACCTATCTGATATGCGTTACTTCTGCTAAGTGGGGTATAATTGTGTAGTAATATCCACTTCATTAGGGTGTGCTGAAGATGAAAATTAATAGCATCTAGTGATGTGTTTGGCCCATAGTATCTGTTCGATAAATGGAGTAATTTCCATTATACTTAAGGTTGGAAATGGGAAAACATGAATCCAACTTATATTAAGTTCAATTTCCTTTGTATAGAAATCTAGGTTGGGCTAATTAATAATAGAAATCTGCCTATGTTGATTTAACTTTAAGAAATAATTTTTATAATGTAAATGTCACAGGGCTACTTCCTGTGATGCATAGTTCCTGGGACAGCTTTGGGTTCCAGTAACTATTAATTCAGTGTATTAATACATCTATCCCACAGGCGTGGAAGGTTGGTGCTAAACTTGGTAGTCAGGTCTCTTTCTTTGCTTTACATTGAAAAAAAAAATTACATTTTTTTTTCCTTCCTCCATCCCAGCAAGAGAATCTTCATTCATTGATTATCTAACCTGTCCCAGGCCAGCTCTGCATCCATAGCATTTCATGTGGTCCCATCCCAGCTTTGCAAAGACGGAGCCTGAGTTTCCATGAAGTTCTGCCACCTGCTTAAGGTCCCACAGCCATAACGATAGTGTGGGGGCCCAGCTCCCTCTAGCTCCCCAACCTGTGCTCACTCAGATGCACTTCTTGTAGCAGGCCGGCCTTAGAAATCTTCAGGCTTCAAAAAAATTGCAAAGACTTTAGCATTAAAACCATTTTTTGGGGTGAGAGATTAGGAAAATTAAGAATCACCCATTTTTGAGGGGAACAACACACATGGGACCTGTTGTGGGGTGTGGGGGGGATGGGGAGGGAGCCTAGATGATGGGTTAATAGGTGCAGAAAACCACCATGGCACACGTATACCTATGTAACAAACCTGCACATTCTGCACATGTATCCCAGAACTTAAAGTAAAATAAGATAAAATAAAATAAAAAGAATTACCCATTTTCTTATCCCCTAATAGTAAATGGGATGAACACTAACAATCTCTTCACTGACCAACCTCATCATTAAGAACTTTCATTGACCAGGTGTGGTGGCTCACGCCTGTAATCCCAGCACTTTGGGAGGCTGAGGTGGGCAGATCATGAAGTCAGGAGATCGAGACCATCCTGGCCAACATGGTGAAACCCCGTCTCTACTAAAATACAAAAAATTAGCCAGACATGGTGGTGCACGCCTGTAGTCCCAGCTACTTGGGAGGCTGAGGCAGGGGAATTGCTTGAACCTGGGAGGTGGATATTGCAGTGAGCTGAGATCGCACCACGGCACTCCAGCCTGGTGACAGAGAGAGACTCCTTCAAAAAAAGAAAAAAAAAAAACCTTCATCACCTCATCATATTTCACCATGTGGAGTTGGGGAAACACCTTCTACATACAAATCCTCCATTACTATGGTTTGTTTTTGTCTTAATATTTACCAATTTTCTTCTCTGAATTATTATGAAGTAAATTACAGACAACATATCATCCCTAAAATTTCAGTATGTACCTCTAAAAAATAAGGACATTTTTCTATCTAATCAATGCCACCGTGATCACACCTGAATGAATATCATCTAATTGTCCATATATATATTCGAGTTTCCCCAATTGCCCAGAAGTGTCCTTTATAGCTGCCAAAATTGTCTTTTGAAATTTTTACCTATGGCTGAAAATAGCTGAAAATGTCTGTAAAACGGCACTTGAAGGTATGTCCCCATGCAGGGCATCAGAGGAGTCTTGGGTGACTCTAATATAAATTCATTGCCAAAACACAACAAAACAAAACCATATATGTGACACTTCTATAATCAGGCAGTAGCTTTCGCAGATAGGAGTTACAAGTCAAATTTAATATTGAGGTCTGGGTGGCAGGTTTTCCCCTGGTTGTTTTTTTGTTTTTTTTGTTTTTTTTGTTTTTTTTACCTATCTCATCTGGTGCTAACATGCCTAACTCCTCTTACTGCTGGAGACATATCTTATCTTCCCCTTGGGTGGATGTCCTAGGTCACAGTGAAGTGGCAGCTAGGAATGTGGACAGCCCTCACCCCAGGTGAGTTTGAGGGTCTCCCAGTTTTGAATCTCAGTGATTTAGGTGGGAGGCAGAGATGCTGTAGGAACCTCACTTCTTCTTCCAGTAGGATGACCAACCACTCTGATTTGCCTGGGACTTTCAGTTTTAAAATCAGGGTAAGTTGGTCACTCTACTCCCCCAGGGTGTTCGGCTTGCCCATCGTGGCAAAGCTCTGCTCTTATTTGAGCTGACATGTCCATTAACCCGCAGTATTTACTCAGTTTCTATTATGTGCCTAGTAGATAACTAGGGGGGCTACAAAAGAAGGGGGATAGGAACTGATATTGATGACCTACTGTGTGGCTCTCACTTCACAGAACCAACCAATTCACTCCCCAGGTGTAATCACCATGAGGGCTGGGATTCTCTCCAGCTCTCTCCCTGTCTGTATGTTAGAACCACCTGGGCAGCTCCTCCAGGAGTTTCTAGTTCAATCAGTCTGGGCTGGGGGGGCCTAAGCACTCTTATTTTTAAAAAGTGCTTCTCAGTGATTCTGGATAACCCTTTTCCTGCATCTCAGACTGTAAGTTTCTCAATGCAAACCTCTATGTGACTGATCATAGTTGGCATGTGAGAGAAAACTGATTTGTTCATCTGACACTAACGGTGGGTCCCTCCATATACAGCAAGAGTGACAGCAGCTTTGCCCTTGAGGGACATGCTCACCCACTCGGGCCCTGGCAGTCTGGGTTTAGAGGCTGGCTGTTTACAGGCTGTTCAACCTCCTATGCTCTATTGGGGAAGAGGGGAGCCCCTGGTCATCCAGATCCTTGTCCAGGTAACCTCAGGTGATCTCCTATTGGGATCAATTGAACCAGCTTATCTCCACACACTGACCTCTACAAAGCAACCTCCTTCTAACAAATGAAAGCCACAGAAGGTGACCTCCCAGAATATCTGTCACATAATACTGACATCCATTTATTGAATAGAAGTTGGTAAGACATGACAAATGTGCATGAGAACATAAGGTCAGTTTATACCAAGTACCAAATGAAGAATTTCATCAATAAGCAATGTAGGAGTGAAGGAGCCCTTTGGATGGTGTGCTAGTATATTTTCATGCTCCCTGAGACTGGGCAATTTACAAAAGAAAGGGGTTTAATGGACTTACAGTTCCACATGGCTGGGGAGGCCTCATAATCATGGTGGAAGGCAAGAAGAGCAAGTCACATCTTAGGTGGATGGCGGCAGGCAAAGAGAGAGCTTGTGCAGGGAAACTCCCATTTTTAAAACCATCAGATCTTGTGAGACTTACTATCATGAGAACAGCACAGGAAAGACCTACTCCCATGATTCAATTACATCCCACCATGTTCTTCACACAACACTTGGGAATTGTGGGAGTTACAATTCAAGATGAGATTTTGGTGGGGACACAGCCAAACCACATCAGATAGGGTAGGGCCAGAAGGCTTCCTGCAGGAGGTGGATAAACTCTGGAAGGTGGGCAAGATAGAAGAGTAGAGAGAAAGCAGACCCTGCTCACAAAAGAATGTGGTCCCCTATCATCATAGTCACTTGTTTGGAGGAAAAAATAAGGCTATCACTTCATTTTCAAATGCTTGCATTGTAAGGCCACTAACATCACCAGTGAATATAGCTTAGAGGTTAAAACCATAAGCTCCAGACACGAGTTACCTGGGTCCAAGTTGGGCTTCCTAGTTATGTAACCATGGGCAAGATAGAATCCTTTTTCTGTAAAGCTGGATTAACAATGATATCAGCCTAATATGATTGCAAGGATGATGACCAGATAACACACATAGAATGTGCAGTACAGAGCCTGGCACATCATAAGCATCCAATAAATGCTGGTGATGATTGTTGCTAGCATTATTAACTGAAGACTTGGTCATTTACTATAATCACATGGGTCAGACATCTCTCAAAATTTTAAGTTCTTGGTGAAATCGTTACTCACAGAAGATGGCTCTCCTTTACTGGAATGGGAGCAAAGCTGACATTAAACCTCCAAGGCTTGCCATGTTTTGAGAATCATCAGCATAATGCTAGATCTATCTTTGCCCAATGAATAAGCAAGCAGATGTCTTACTTTGCTAGGGTAGCCATAAAGTGCCACAGACTGGGTGACTTGAACAACAAAAATTAACTTTCTCATCACTCTGGAGGCTAGAAGTCCAAGATCAAGGTGTTGGCAGGGTTGGTTTCCTCCGAGGCCCCTCTCCGTGGCTTGTAGACAGCCGCCTTTTTGCTGTGTCCTCACATGGTTGTTGCCCTGTGTACACAAATCCTTCATACCTCCTTTTGTGTCCAAATTTCATCTTCTCATAAGGACACAAGTCTGAGTGGATCAGAGCTCACCCTAAAGTCCTCATTTTAACTTAATCGCCTCTTTAAAGACACTATCACCAAATACAGTTACATTTCAAGGTCCTGGGCATTAGGGCTCCCACATATGAATTCTTGGGGGACACAGTTTGACCCGTAACAGCTGGGTTCTGCTTTCCACTATACTTCTGTTGATACAGAGGAGAGGGAAGTTCCCATGGCTGTTGTTGTCTGCATAGGGAGGAAACCTGGAGTGTTTCAAGTGTGCATAGCACGTGGTTCCTGTGCTCGCTCAGCCTGGCGAAGCTGCCTGAAGCAGTCACAGGAGGTGCAAACCATCCACAGTGCTCAGCATGAACAAAACACTTACTTCCAAAGTGCTTCTGAGAAGTGAAAATGAGATTTTAAATATAAATCATTCGTCCAACACAACCACTAATATGTGCGGCCAATATTTCTCACTAATGGATGGGTTAGAAAATAAATGTATAGCCAATCTCTCATAATGAAATATGTGTACTCTTTATAATTGCTAATGATTTAGAGTACATCGCTCTCTCGCTTAGTAAATGGAGTTTTCACATCTTTTGTCTTAGTTAAGTAAAATGCGGTCATGTTGATGTTGTTTAATCAGAAGGAAAGACAGAATAAGGTGGCTGTTTTTAAAGGTTTTAAGTGCTCATGTGTGTTTTGTGACATGCTTTCTCAACTTTTATACTGAGGACCACCTAGAAAGTTTTATGATAAATAATTGGCTTGTGGTGCTCAAATGCAGAAGGAATAGGAATTCCTAGTCAAACTATTGAGTTACAAAAGGTTCGGTCTCATAGGCTCCTTTAAAGTTGTTTTATTGTATTTTTCTAAGTAAGCACTTGGATCCTCAAAATGTTTCATTTACATGGGTCTTTTCTGTAAGGCAGCGCACAAAAGAAAATTAAATTTATTTGAAAATTGTCTCTGCACTAACAGCCTGGAGTATCCTCTTTACTGTCCCCAACACACACACACATACACACACACACACAGGCACACTCACGCAGGCACACACAGGCGCACACACACAGGCACACACATGTAGGCACACACAGGCACATACACACAGGCACACACACTCGTGCACACAGCCCTCCCCTTAAAAGTAGTTCAAACCTATAAAGTTCAGTTTGATTCCAGGGTTATTTCTAAAATTCTCACATGTTCTTTTGCAAGCTTAGAACGCTGCCCTAACAAACACTAAGGTAGTACATATTAGGCCTTCAGGTGTCTTGTTTTACTTATTAAAAGTATTCACAATTGATTTTTCAATTCTTGAATCAAATTTCCCTTTCTGGGAAGGTCTATGACTTGAGTTTTAACTGTCCTCTTAGCCAGAATCCAATTCTATAGTCTATGGCCAGCCATGAAGGTTGGTATCAGGAAAAAAAGCCTTGTGATGTAGGCTTAATTCACATGGCTTTATTGACTTAGAAGCTATAGATTAACCCTTAAGCATAATTCTTGCCAGTGATGGGATGCCATAAGGAATCGCTGTGTTCAGAAGAGTAGTGATGTTCCCTTTCATTTATATGATGCAAATCATTTATGCTATAATACCACAGAATACGCACACATTCTCTCTAACTACACTCACACACCCTATAACACACATACACACACACACACACTCTAAGTAAAGTGTTGTTGGGATATTAATTAGGAATGTCCCTGTTTTATTGGGCAAGTGTAATGCCAGTCTGCTGTATACCATAGAAACAGGAGGGCAGAGCCAGCAGCAGTGTGAGCTTGGCCCTGGACCCACTTCACTGCTAGACAGATGCTCTCATGCTGCACCATTGCAAGTCATCGTTGAGTCACCCTGGCTTCCATGAACTTGCTGACCTTTAATGGGTCTGCAACTGCCCTTTCAAATCACCTGAAAAATAACGGAGCCTATTAATTAGCCACCTTCCTAAAAGCAACATGTCAGGGGAAAGACACTGTGAGGATGAGTGGAGCGCAAGGTGGAGCTTCCCAGGGCCAGTTCAGAGGACATGGGACAGCACCGTGGTCTAAAGCCCAGGTCCTGGACTCCACCAGACACATATTTGAGTCCTGGCTCTGTTACTTATCAGCTTCAAGGGAATAAGTAACTTGCCAATGCTACACAGAAAGTAAATTCCTGGCCAGGCACGGTGGCTCATGCCTGTAATCCCAGCACTCTGGGAGGCTGAGGTGGGTGGATCACTTCAGGTCAGGAGTTCGAAACCAGCCTGGCCAACATGATGAAACCCCGTCTCTACTAAAAATACAAAAAAATTAGCCAGGCACGGTCGTGGGCACCTGTAATCCCAGCTACTCTGGAGGCTGAGGCAGGATAATTGCTTGAACTTGGGAGGCGGAGGTTGAAGTGAGCTAAGATCGTGCCACCGCACTCCAGCCTGGGCAACAGAGCGAGACTCTGTCTCAAAAAAAAAAAAAAAAGGAAATTCTTATTGCATAGGGTCATGAGGATTAAACGGCGACAAGCACATGAGCCTGGTGTCTGGCACATCCCATCATATTTGCTGTTATGATTATTACTGCAATGCTTACATGGGCACAGCTCTGGGGAAACTTAGCCATGGTTTGATATTAGTGACGTCAATAGACAAGTTAGTGATATCAGCTGGTTGTCACCAACTCGACCATCTCTTGCTACATTTCCACTTCATTTTGTGCTGTGTCAGTACACTTGAGCACAAAGAATTGGAGAAACTGGAATTTATTGAAGGCTTGTGAGCCATTCCAAGCTTTTCAGAAAACTCGAGATTGCCAATGTTTATAAACAAAGCATCCTGCTCTGCTGCCCAAAGTTTGAAGAGCTTCATGTCTTAGTGAAAGTAGCCAGTCTGTGATTTACCTGCATGGGACTTGCCTGCTGATCTCTGCAGGCATAAGCATCTTTGCCCAGGTGGCATCTACTGCTTGCCATCTGAAGGTGGGACTAGAACTTTAGGTCCTTCACAGTTGGATCAACTCTAGATTTGCGGGCTTCACTCTCTAGAGACAGTCTCCTGGTGAGGGGAAGCTATTTTCCGTCTACAGTGAGGGGTGAATATAACAGAGAAATATGTTCCTTCTCTACTGCACAGATGTCAAGGGTGAATCACGAGAGGAGGATGCAGAGAGCTGGGGACATTTGAGCAGCAAGGTGCCTCAGCTGGCAACTCAGCAGTTCCTTAGTAGCCCAGTCCTTCGTAGAACCCTTGCCAGTGTTTCCACAGTGCCCTACAGAGCATCATTAATCAAGGCAGAGGCTGTAGAATTGCTTCTCCCTGCTGCAGGGACTCCCTGAAACTTCCGCCATCTCTCTGCAGCCCTGTGGATGGCAATTGCCAATGGCATTTCTCTCAGCCACCATCTCTTAGGATTCAGACAATTGGACAACTCAGCCTTAGCCTGTAAAGGTCACCTCTGGAACTAGAGGGGCTGCAGCTCACAGCCCGTGGTTCCTGCTGGGGTCAGGGGCAGCTCATGTGCCCTGCGGCTCCTCCAGGGCATGTGATAGCTGCCTAGGCCACTTCAGTGTCACCAACCCACCTGTGCCTGCCCCTCCTTCCCGCTCTGCCCTTTTCAGTCCCTTTCCCTGAGGCTCCTAAGGGAATTTGATTTCAGGGTCTCACGTCTCTCATCAGGACATGTGGGAGCAGTGCATTCAAAGGGATTGAGAAAAGGCCAACTTTGTGTCATTTTTTTTCTGGCAGTATGCTTGGGTGTGCCAGAGATCACACCAGGATAAAAGCAAGAGGTAGGCAGGCTCAGAGCCAGAGTGGAACAGTGGGAGAGGCAGTCGGAGGGATGTTTTCAACTGCAAGGAGTAGAGTACCCAAAAGCAGGCTAAAAGCAGTTTAAGCAATAAGGACTATTTTTCCTTCCAAATAATAAGTTCAGAAGCAGTTGATTATTGGGGTTGGTTCAGTAACTCAGTTATGTCTGGATACCAGGTTATTGCCTCTGCTATTTTCTGAGTTTTCCAAAGGTCCAAAAGCAAGATGGGGTAGAGCTCTAGCCCATATCTCTCCAGGAGGAAAATCTTTCCAAGAAGATCCCCCAAGGTATTTCCACCAATGTCTCTGGATAAAACTAGGTGTCATGGCTGCCAGTGGCTCAAGAGCAACTGGAAAGTGAGTTTCTAACCTTTTGAGCTTCTGTTTGTCATTGATCCAGGTTCCCCCAGCAGGGGAGTATAGGCGGGGGACAGCTGCTGGAGAGGCAACAAGCAGTGATGGCGACAGATGCTATCATTTATGAAGATCTGAGTGCTAGCACTGCATTTTTACTGTAGAATTTTACAAATATATCTTTTGTTTTTCCTATCCCCACAATAAAACAATATGTATTAAATTATGCCGCATAGTCTCGCATGTGCATCTATAAAATTCCAGTCTCAAAAGTGGGTTATTGGCCGGGCACAGTGTCTCACACCTGTAATCCCGGCACTTTGGGAGGCTGAGGCAGGTGGATCACTTGAGGTCAGGGGTTCGTGACCAGCCTGGCCAACATGGTGAAACCCCATCTCTACTAAAAATACAAAAATTAGTCAGGCGTGATGGTGTGCACCTGTAATCCCAGCTACTGGGGAGGCTGAGGCAGAAGAATCGCTTCAACCCGGGAGGCGGAGGTTGCAGTGAGCCAAGATTGTACCACTGCACTCCAGCCTGGGTGACAAAGCAAGACTCATCAAAAAATAAAAATTAAAAAAGTAGATTATTTATGCACATAAGAAATAGCTTCATTTTCAAGAAGCAACAAGACAACAGCATACATAGCTGGTGGTACAATAGACATGCCTTTATCCCTTTATGGAACTGGAGGATTAGGACCTGGGATCTGCTATTAATTTAATGCTTTAGCAAATTAGTAATCACAATGATAAGAAACTGTAGCCTTTCTTCCCAATTCCTTTCATCAATAGGCAAGGAGGGCACAGTGAGATGGAGATGTATTGCTATCACACGTACCAAGAAACTTTGAAAGGAAATGTGGATCTGTATAAAATATTTCCAACATTTTATAAACTATACCACAGAATTAAAGATAACTCAGGTTATCCAAGGAAGGAGAAAGGAACCTACCACATGCCCATGCTACCAATGAAGTGACTGAAACTCAGAGGTGCTAAATACTTAGCATCAAACCTAGAAAGTTAGTCTGTCTGGCACCAAATATTGGATTTTTATCACTGTGTCACCCAGCAAAAATCCAACATTTTAAATACTCGTATAGATTTTTCTTAAAATTCTTCCTTTCCAATGTGTAGTTAATACTCTATTTTATTTAAATTATACTTTAAAATTAGACCCAGTAGTGTTTGCATTCATGAATTTCTTTTAATTTTATATTTTGCATATGAGATGTAGCTTGATTTTAAGGAGGATGCAAATTTCAAAGGCACTGCTATGCATATCCACCACATTCTTGTCTACCTAATGGCTTATCGGGCTGGGCAGTCAACTCAGGCAATGGTAGCTGCCCTGGGTCAGGTGAGCACTCAGGTTGTGTATGCTGCGAATGGCGGTGAAGCTTATGCACTACAAAAGGGATGGACTCAAAGGGCACTAACTCGTCTGAGACTTGCCAGTTTTCACTGGGTAAACCAGGTGTAAATGTGATGTATAACACCCATCCTCTCATGGCCAAAGTCACAGTGTCATAGCCCTTGTATTATATTAGTCAAAGATTTCCGAAATGCAAAATGTCTATCATTCTTGTATTATTTGCTCTTGTATTAGTGAAAAATTTCTGAGACGTAAAACGTCTGTCATTCTTGTATTTATTGTTTCTGAGGCAAGATGCATATAATCGTTAACAAAAGATGTGTTTTTCCTACGGAAAAATAATCTACTGTGAAGCTGAAAGATTTTTGAATGGGGTGACATCTATTGCATGTAAGTGAAATTTTCACACAATAGAGTTGTTATAAGAAAGGTCCTTATGTAGCATCTATTTGAATCCCCTTGCTGTGAAGATGAAGAAACTGAAGTAGTGAAAGGTGAAATAATTAACCTAAGAACATACATAAAGCTACCCGTTAAATTGTGCTTAGTATTATTATAACACGATTGTTATTTTTAAGGTATTATAGCATTATTGTAGAGAATTTTCAACACGGAAGAAAAATAAGCTGTCCTGAATTCCTCCACTCTTATTTTGGAATATTTTTCTTTCAATTTTTTTTCTACTTTAGTGTCAGATTTTCTAAGACTCCCATTTCCTATGATATATTCTTATTCAGATACCAAGCTCATTAAATGAAAGGATATTTGAAATAGCTACTAAAAAGTTCTACGAATGAAATAATTTTGATTGGAAAAGTGTTGGTTTTCCAAGGTTCTCTATCCACCTGGTGTAGATAGTCTTTTGAACATGCTTTCTCATTGTTAATTGAGCACAGCTGGGTATTAGCATGTCACCAGAGCTTTAAAACCAAAACTCCAGTAGATCACTTATTTTATGGATGTTTCCACACTGGACCTCACTAAACTGACCAGATATTTGGTCAACATGTAGACTCAATCCAGGCCACTGAGTCAGGAGGCCGTACTCACGATGATTAGAATCTGCATTGTTCTTTCTGGAGCATATCTGCATCCATTCTGTTCTTTATTCCCCTCATTGACATTCTAGAAAGGGACTGTTGTGACTCTTTTCCAGGTGACAGACCTAACACTCAGGGAACAGGAGTTTAACCATTGTAAATGTCTGGAAACCACACCTACACTGCCTCTACATTGGACCTGAAATTCATATTATTGGAATCCTTTAACCAGAGACGAGGCAAGGGAGCACTAGGAAGTTTCCTGAATTAGATATGAGGCTAGAGTCGATTATCTCTAATGTGACTTCATCCTTTGAAAGCCTGTAATTCTACATTGTTGCCCCTTCACATTAGTCCTGGTGCTTGGATGGTAGATGGGCACAGAGTGGCCAAGAAACAAAATATCCTGCCCGTAAAGCTAAGACCCAGTGGGCCAGTTTCAGAAGAGTATCACATTTGAAGAACTGCAACCCATGAAGGGGATTTAATTTTACTTAGGTCTTTCTCAAAAATTCATGGGGGATCCAAGAGCAAAATCTACACCAAATCTTTATAACTTCTCTTGTTCTGTTCTCTGCCACCCCCAATTAGTCAGAGATTTCTCACTCCTACGCCATGAGTATACTCTCTCTCATCCAGATGGTCCTGTCCCTGCCACCTGAGTGTCTTGTTTTCCTATCATGACCCATTTGACCAGTTTCATCCTCCTGCTCCCCATGAAGCTGCCTGGGAAATACATTCTTCTCTCCCATCTCTTTTCTCATCAGGCTTTGCATAAGCTTTTGCCCTTTCTGCCCTCAAAAATAAGGAAAAGAGGGGGAAGTACAGGAAAAGCAAAGCTGGCAATTCTGAAATTGTTATATGCAGGCAGTGGATAAAGTCTGAACTCTTTACACATTAAAAATATTGTTTCTTCTCATACAGAGGAAGTTATTGTCCCAAAGTTGTGTGTCATGCCCGAAGTGTCTGGGATCCCCGAGTGCCTGTGGTGCCCAAGAGCTATGAATCTGCTATCATCAACACAGAGGGTACCTTCTGAATGGGCTATGTCTACAGTGATGCTGCAAATGGAAGGTAATGGGGGAGAGAAATCCATCTGGATGAAATGGAAGCTGCTTTGTACCCTTAGGCTGGCATATGCAGCCCAACTTAGGGTTAGCACTGGTGAGATTTTGATGTGTGGAAGACAACCCATGTGCAGTGCAGCTGCATCTGTACCCACAGGGTGGAGGATGCAATCTAACTTCTCAGCTACTGTAGCCATGTGAATGGGCTCTGAAAATTTTCATTAACTGATGCATTAAGATAATGGAAAAATAATGATACACACAGGACAATTGCTTTCATTATAATGTAGGAATTAAATCGGAACATCTTTTCTTCCACTCCCCTCTGTGTAGTTCAGAAAAGACTCTTAGGGGTTTTAAGCTCTCTCTCAGGTGGAAGAATATTTAAATAAATTATATAACTTTAGTTCGTTATCTCCTGACGCTTAGAGCTTTATACTTGTGATGAGATGGGTTTGTTTTCCGTTTTTTCTCCCTTTCCCCCTACCTCCATCACTCCAGGCAGAGCTCCTGGGAATGTTTGGCAAGGTTAATAAAAAGATGGAAAAAAAAATCTTTGGTAGGTTGGCATAAAAGCATATGAGTTAAAGCTGGCAAATTTAGCTAGAGGAGGGGCTGTTTGTCCTCTTAAAGCTCAAGTCTGAAAAATCCGAAGGAAGTGAGGCTTTCTTCAGCTAAGTGCCTGCCACTTCCTCTCCAGAACTGAGCCTACAGTGATGCTCAGAACCTGAAGATGCCACACACACTTCTGGGATGCAGCCAGGAGCCCTAGGGTGAAAAAAGAGCTCAAATAATCATGATTGTGAGGTCAGGGAAGGTGACTGGAAAGAAAGGGAATGCCCATGTGTGTGCCCAGGTTGGAGTCTCTATGGAAGGATCAGGAAACTGGAACACATTTGCGCTATCCTTTGGACTCTATAACGTAAGGCCTCTTTTCATATGACGCACCATACCTAGTGCCCCAAATGGCATTACAACTAAATATAAGGCATTTACAAGTGCTCAGTTGCAGAAGCCTGTACTACATCAAAATGTTAAACTAGAGGTACAATTGTTTTCCTTAAAAGTGTCAGGGGGCCGGGAGCAGTGGCTCATGCCTGTAATCGCAGCACTTTGGGAGGTTGAGGCCGGTGGACCATGAGGTCAGGAGTTCAAGACCAGCCTGGCCAACATGTTGAAACCCCGTCTCTCCTAAAAATACAAAAATTAGCTGGACGTGGTGGTGTGTGCCTGTAGTCCCAGCTACTAGGGAGGCTGAGGCAGGAGAATTGCTTGAATCCAGGAGGCAGAGGTTGTACTGAGCTGAGACAGTGCCACTGCACTCCAGCCTGGGTGACAGAGTGAGATTCTATCTCAAAAAAAAAAAAGGGGGCAGTTGGATTAACATTTTAGAAGTCAGTGTTGGTGGTCACACCACCTGTGACACACACACCTGTGATGTGGAGGCAACTGCGAGCGCTCTCAAATGGCTGTGCCACTCTGACACCTGTGAATGACAGAAGGACAGAAGAGGGGTTGGGCAGGAGTCTCAGGCTGCACTGCAGTTCCAAGCAAGTTTTAGGAAGACCAAGAGGGAGACCTTGAGCAAAAGACTTGCATAAGAGGGTTCTTGTGTCTTGGAGGAATGGCTGTCACCAAAAAAATGCAGTCCTAAGGGAGGCCTGGCAGTTTCCCCATCTACAGGTAAATCTGAAGAAATTTGCACTGAAGAATGACAGTTTCACCTCTCCCTCCCTCATTAGAGATTCAGGTGGAAATAAATTTGGTGGTTGGACTCTACACTGCTGTGCTTAGAATAAACTCAGCAGTTTTGCTGATTTTCTTTCTTTGATGAACATTTAAAAAGAAGATCCCAACTGAGTTGCTTCCTTTTTTCTTTCTGATAATAGGCTTGAACAGTGGGAAGGAAAAGGCTGCAGATGCCTGCGTGGAGAACTAATTGAAAGTAGCCACTGAAACTAATGGTACTAATGGGGATGGAATACAAAACTCAGAATTCTAAGGAGTTTGGCCAAACTTTTGAAACGAGTAGTGCCACCTGCATCTGCTTTCTTCCACCCACCCACTTGCCCGCTCCTTGTAGTCTGTTTTGATCTCTGTCCCTCTGCTGAAATTAGTCCCTGGGAGGTCACCGAAGCCATCCTGCACACTATGTTCACCAGCCTTTCCTTGTCCATCCTGGGTCTCCACCTCTCTGCCAGGTGCCACTGCAGATGGTCACCTCCCTCCCTTCCACTGCTGTCTCCATGGATGTGATTTTCTGTTTGTTTGCTACTCTTCATAGCTCCTTTGTCTCCACTCACTTCTGATCTTCCTCTTATTCCCAAATAGATTCTCCATGCTCTGCCCTCAGCCTTGAGTGCTTCACAAGTGGTAGCTATTATAATTATTCTTTAAAATTCAAAAGCTTAGATTTTCTTAAAACCAGTCCTAGTACATCCTAGTACATGGGATAAGTACTTGGCCACAACTGGTTGGGTCTATGAGTAGGTACAGCCCCTTTAGAGCATGACATCTCCATTTTGCCATGGATTCTACCACCTACTTTACTCACTTGTGTGGCTGCCTGGTCCATTGAGCCATGGAATTTCTAACCACAGCCTTATAATCATTTTCTATTTGTTTCTCTGTCTGTCTATTTGTCTCTCTCTCTCTCTCTCATGCCTCATCTCCCCTTGATAACCAAAATATCCTTCTCTGACCTGAGCACATCTTTCTGTGGGAGAGAAGGTAGGGGCTGGCAGCTCCTCTCTGCAGGTTCCTTCCAGTTCTGTGCCTTTGTCCTAAAGGCATCATCAGCAGTCTCTTCCTTTTTGATTAGGGGTGTCAGAGGCATTTGAACCAGAGTGACTCCATCTTGAATGAGGGCTAGGAAAATGAGGCTGGGATTTGCTGGGCTGCCTTCTCAGAAACTGAGGTATTTCTAGCCTCTAGATGTTTACGGTTAGGGGAATAGATTGACAATGTTTGCTAAACACACCCAGACTTGGAAGTGTCCTGATATCCCAATATCTTGAGAACAAACGCATTTCTAGTTTTGCTTTAAAGATAGTATTGATTCTTGCGAAATACAGTAATTAAGAAAATTAGTCCTTTATCACAAACCCTTATAACAGAGCAGATCTCCCTATTATTATTATTATTATTATTATTATTATTATTATTTGAGATGAAGTCTCGCTCTGTCACACAGGCTGGAGTGCAGTGGCGCCATCTCGGCTCACTGCAGCCTCTGCCTCCTGGGTTCAAGCAATTCTCCTGCCTCAGCCTCCCAAGTAGCTGGGGCCATAGGTGCCTACCACCATGCCTGGCTAATATTTTGTATTTTTAGTAGAGACAAGGTTTCACCATGATGGCCAGAATGGTCTTGATCTCCTGACCTCATGATCCACCAGCCCCGGCCTCCCAAAGTGCTGAGATTACAGGCGTGAGCCACTGCACCCGGCCCAATCTTTTTTATCCTGTATATAAACAAGCACTGTAACTAGGGTGGACACATTCCCCCTCTTACTTTAGGGAACACCCTGCTTTGTCCATCGAGTAGCTGTCCTTTCACCACTTTACTTTCTTAATAAACTTGCTTTCGCTTTGCACTGTGGACTCTCCGTAAATTCTTAGGCAAGATCCAAGAACCCTCTCTTGGGGTCTGGATTGGGACCCCTTTCCTGTAACAGGGGCAGACTTTCCTTTTTTCTCTTCTGATGTTTTATAGCTCAATGTTAGAATTGCTGCCCCAGCTGTGAAGGACACTGAGCATTAAATAATGCAGGGACTCCCATCCTTCACATAAAAAGATGAAAAGAAGTATCAAGGAAGAAGAGAAGGAATAGATTCTGGAGCTAATGCAGGAGATCAAATTCAAATGAGAGTTTACGATTCAGTGCATAGATTCTGGATTGAAGAACCCAGGCTCCTGCTAAAGCTGTAATTCCTCCTCGAACTTCCAGAGAGCCAGTCTCTGGGAGCCAATGCCAGACACAGAAAGCATCATGCAGTGAGGGAACGCAGGGCTTCTGTGTATTGCACAGGTTTTGCACTCTTAGGTGGATGGTTCATTTGCACATAGGTGCATTCAGCTCCAAACTCTCTGGGATGACTGAAAGAGCTAGCTGATGTGCTGCTGGATTCGGTTTGCCAGTATTTTATTGAGGATTTTTCGCATTGATGGTCATCAGGGATATTGGTCTAAAATTCTTTTTGTTGTGTGTCTGCCAGGCTTTGGTATCAGGATGATGCTGGCCTCATAAAATGAGTTAGGGAGGATTCCCTCTTTTTCTATTGATTGGAATAGTTTCAGAAGAAATGGTACCAGCTCATCTTTGTACCTCTGATAGAATTCACCTGTGAATATGTAAATGACGAGTTAATGGGTGCAGCAAACCAACACGGCACATGTACACATATGTAACTAACCTGCACATTGTGCACATGTACCCTAGAACTTAAAGTATAATTTAAAAGAAAGAGATTTTTCTTTTTTTTAAAAGAAAAGAGAAAGAGCTGGCTGAGTCAGACTACAGTTTTCATTCTAGTCCTAGTTTTGTGATCTTGGGACATCCTTCAACTTTTCCAACTCATTATTTCTTTAGTGACAAGTGGGGATAATCCCACCTCCCAGGGCTTTTAGGAGTGCAATTTGATGTGATAATAGGAAGATCTAGCACAGTACTATAAACATAGTGTTACTGGCAGCAAATCTGTATGGGTCTGCAGCAACCTGTTCTTCCCTCTTCAGAAGAAAGAATTCAGCTGAAGGGGCATGAGGCAGAGTGAGAGAACGAGGCAAGTTTTACAGCAGGAGTGAAAGTTTATTAAAAAGCTTTAGAGCAGGAATGAAAGGAAGGAAAATACACTTGCAAGAGGGCCAAGCAGCCAACTTGAGAGATCAAGTGTCCAGTTTGACCTTTGACTCAGGGTTTTATAATATTGGCATACTTCTTGGAGCTTGCCTCTCTTCTCCCCTGATTTTTCCCTTGATGTGGGATACCTGCATGCACAGTGGCCTGCTAGCACTTGGGAGGAGCCGCTACAACCATTTCCTGGAGTTGTGTGATGCTCACCTGAGGCATTCCTCCCTCACCAGATGAATGCTCTGAGAAGGTCATATACCAGTTAAACTCCGCCATTTTGCCTCTTAGTGTACATGCTTGAGCCCACTCACCCAACTCCTGAGATCTTATCGGGAAACTGCTGATCACCAGTTTCAGGTTTTTTTCTGTCTATTGGGAGACTGCCTTTCCCTAGTGCTGGCTGCGACCAATTACCATTTTAGAGAAACAGTGTAACAACCGCCTGACCATATTGCCTGATGGTCGCCTGACCTTCCTGATGCAGTGGGAGGGAACCCCATCCTGCCCTTTTCATGCAAAACTAGCTACCTGCTATAACAACAGGAGGCAAACAACAGCCAGGATCATCCTGTACAGCTGCATAGGTTGTGCACTGTGCAATGCCAAGGGTGTCATTCACATAGTCTCTCCATAATCATATGCAGCAGCCCCACCTGCAAATGTCGGTTCCCTTCATCTCCTTTCCCCAATGAGAGTAGTGAAAAGATTAGAGAGAACAGCAAGGGGCATTTGATAACTACACGACTGACACAGATATATTAACATAATGTGACCAACTTCTGCTTCCTCTACTTGACAAAAGGGGACCCCTCAACATGTAATGAACGCTAATGTACTAGGCACTCTAGGCCCTCAGTAGGCATTTCTGTCCCATTTCTGTAGAGCACAGTTCTTTATAGCCCGTGGTCCAGTTGTCTTCGCCCCTGAGTGAAAGTAAAAAGCTGTTTCCATCCAAGAGCATATTACTGGCTTCAAGCCACCTCTTCTTAAACTCTTAGCCCGTGCCTTTTCCCCACATCTCACACCAAGCCCAGCATCACTGTAAAGTCAAACTAAGATCTGGTCTGAGAAAGCCTCTGTACTCTCATACTTGAGTTCTTATGGAGGAACTGTAACCTAACATAGTAGGCAGGCAAACCGAAAACTAACGCAGGAGTATGCTTCTGTAAGCTAGCAGAGTCTCAGCCAATCCCAGCAGCCATGCTTGAGCCACTCACAGGCAGCCAACTGTTCAAACCATGTGCAAAGGAGGCTAACGCAGAGCCATAACCAATCCAGCTGTTTCTGGACCTCACTGTTGTTTTCTGCAGGCTCCTTTTTTTCCCCTCTGTCCATAAATTTGCTCTGACCATGTGGCAAGTGCTAGAATCTCTCTGAATCTGCTGTGATTCTGATGGCTGCCTGATTCGTGAATCTTTTTCTTTTTCTTGCTCAGTTAAACTCTGTTATATTTAATTTATTTAAAGTTTTTATTTTAACACTGTGTATCTGGTCCATCAGTCCTCAGGGGACAGTCCTTTGGTATTTAGTGATAAGAGAGTTTTAGGGGTCATGAGGGTAGCCCCAGCTATGGAATCTCAGCATCAGGGCGGCCTTCAGAACTCAGCACTGCCTCCTCACCTGTCCACCCCTCTCATGAGCCTCACCCTCTGCACTTTGCTCACATTTCCCCCTAAAGTTTTCCTTGTGGCAGGAGATGCTTGACGTCAAGACCTTCCTTCTGAACATCAGTCAGTAGTGTGAAAACTGAAAATAGATAATATATTTTAGAAGAAGACTTCTGATCTCTGAGAGACAAATTATGAAAATTCTAACTAGCCCTATCTTTAAGGCATAGAAAAATTATGTTGTCAATATATTGCCTTCTGTTTGGTGCATGTTCTTCAAAATCAAAGACTGTTAACGTGCTATTGCTTTTCATCTTTGCCTCAATTGAATGCATTTATAAGGCCACTAATTCTTACCATTAATATCAGACCTTCAGTTTTCATTTTTACTGATTTTTATATAACAATTTTAAAATGCAATAAACTGCATAAGTACACACTGATGTTGAAAGACAGCACCCGAATCCAACTGGTAGCTGGCAGGTAGTGCCACCATCCAATTACCCAAAATGTTTCCTAGCCAGCTGATGTACAAGAGTCCCAACTGGGGTTTGAATGTCAAATATCTAAAAGATAAGGGCTGAGCACACTGATAACTAAATATCAAACTGGAAAAGTGACAGGGTCAACAGCTGTCTCGAACTCCAAGTCCATTAGATGGGGTGAGCCGCAGACACTAAGGGCCTTGTCGGGGGAAAGCAAATAACTGCTTTGGTCTATTCCATGCATCTATGTTCTCTGGGTTGACCCTGCAGAAATCTATAAGGCTGAGGTCCTGCCGTCAAGGTAGGACCAGTACTCTGGGCCTGGCCCCGCTGGGTTTTGTCATCCACTTCTAGACAACTCTGCAGGGCAAGGCTGTTTTCTGCCAGGTACCATTACTGGAGGGCTCTAGACCTCGAGAAATGTGTAATTAAGAAGCTCATCCTACCTCTCATAATCATCCTACCCCTTCCTTGCTGCTCTCACCCCCAAAGATTCCTGCTGAGGGGTCAGTAGGTCACTCAGAAGACAATGGAGAGCCACTGACAGGGTTTAAGGCAGGGAACCACAAGCCTAGACTTGCATTTTGAAAAGATAATTCAGGGAACATCATACATCTATGCGGTCCTTGGGGGCAAATGCTAGAGCTGAGAATGGATTCCATATTAGATCAGCACAATGTTTCCTCTCATCCTGCCAAGAACTGAACTTTGTCTCTCCATGCATCAAACTCTTCGATAGGATGCCCCAGTGGTGGACACACACAGCATATTTGCTGTTGTTGAGTTAGCCACTTAGAGGATTGAATCAGTAACATCATTTTCTCTTTTTAGCAACTCGTTTTCATTGATGTTACCTTGCACTCTATTCCTCCCTAACCCATGTAGCTCTGTCCACCCTAATTTTCCCCAAGATGTCCTGACCAAGTGGGAACAAAAGAGATCAACAGTAGCGCTTTAATTATATCCTCTCACAAAAGTCTGCACCTGCAGTCACTTTCAATCTCTCTTGGATGAGAGAGAGTAGAAGGTAGTAGAGTGGAGTGGGAAGAACTCTGAACATGAAGTCCAAATACCTGAGTTTTCCCCTGTTCTGCCCCTTACTTTTCATGTGACCTGGGGTCATGCCTCCACTCGCTTACCTGTAAAGGAGGACCAGGTCACCTTGCACATCCTAAAGCACGGAGTCTATGATTCTGCAGTTGGTTCACTGTGCTACTTGGAGGGATATGGCAGGAACAAGAATGATAATCCTTGCTTTCATGCTGAGCTGGCTTCTTCTGAATTGATTTGACTTGGTTATTCAAATGAGTTTCAGCTGCCTCTGCAAGAAAACAAGCATCTTCCCAAAATGTATTGGCCCTTCTCCAGAAGTTATGCAAATGGCAGAGATGCTGGTTTATTAGAAGCAAAGAAAGAGGCTCTCTTCCCTGAGCAGCCTTCGATGGTGGGAATCCCCAGTGCCTCTGCTAGCTGGGCATTCTGCTACTGTAAAGGAGCCCATGAATGCAGAGAACTCGGTCACAGGGTTTGAACCAAGGTAAAAATACTCACTGTGGCACATCAGGGGTGACCTGGGGTAGGGCAGGAAGCTTTGCCCTCACTGAGCTCTAGCAAGGAAGGGTGGGGCCTAAACCATGGCTCTGCTTAGCCTCCTACCTGGTAATTTATCAAGCAGCAGATGATGCAATATTATATAGCTATTAAAAATAATAAAGAGATGTGCATCTATTTATATAGAAAAATCTTCACAATATGCCAGTAAATAAAAAGTGAACCATAGGCCGGGCGCGGTGGCTCACATCTGTAATCCCAGCACTTTGGGAGGCCGAGACAGGCGGATCACAAGGTCAGTAGATTGAGACCATCCTGGCTAACACGGTGAAACCCCGTCTCTACTAAAAATACCAAAAAATTAGTCGGGTGTGTCGGGTGTGGTGGTGGGTGCCTGTAGTCCCAGCTACTCGGGAGGCTGAGGCAGGAGAATGGTGTGAACCCCGGAGGCGGAGCTTGCAGTGAGCAAAGATTGTGCCACTGCACTCCAGCCTGGGCGACAGAGTGAGACTCGTCTCAAAAAAAAAAAAAAAAAAAAAGTGAACTATAAAAACAGAACATACAATAAAATCCCATTTTCATTATACACTGTCTATATAAGATATATAAAATAGCTAATATTTATTGAAGACTTACCAAATACCAGCCATTGATTTAAGACTTTACACATACTATCTCATTTGATCATCCCAAAATGCTGTACAGAAGGTACAATTTAAAATCCCAATTGTACAGATAAGAAAATGGAATCAAACGAAGTTCAAGTGAATTTTCAAGATCAGAGTCAATAAGTGATAAAACTAGGCTATAAATCCAGTCACTCGGACTCTGGCCCCTAGGCTTTTGGCTATCTGGCTGTACTATACAGGCCTCTGGAAAGTTTAGAGCAAAGAATTGATATTGGTTATTTCTTGAAATGGGTCATTTTCTTCTTTTAGCTTATCTGTAATACAAGTATTATGAAGATAATATGCATATATTTATGCAGTAGATATCTTACATTGGAAAAAACAATCTCAATTAGAAAAACCACAATTAAAAAGGTAATTAGAAAGAACACAATAGGAAAAAGGACTTCTGTAAATCTTTATTTCTGTCTATGGAGTTCTTGAATGTATTTCACAGGCCAGTTTGCAGTACTATTTGTCTGCCTGTAATCTTTTTAAATACTCCAAGGTCTAATTGTCTAGTTGCTTAATAAAACTGATTCCCTTTGAGGTTCCCTAACAAGCTAAATAATGCCTTTCAAAAAAGAGCTGAGTAACCAGTTAAATGGAATTACATAGGCACGACTATTTGCTGCTTAAGTCAACTGTGATATTCTCAGACTTCATAATTGGTTATGTATTTGCTAACTCTGCGGCAAATGAACATCTCATACTTCCTAGTTTGCCAGTATAAAAGAAAATCATTTAAAACTTTACTTTCTGATATGTATTTTATGGTAAGATGTTGAAAAAATATACATTTTCAAATGCTGAACACACTTCTATAAAAGGTCATGCTGACCATTGGAAAATTAGCTGGTATATATAACTTCATCATTTTAGCAGTTCAATTAATCTCAGTTTCACAGCATAGAGTGGGGTGGAGAGGAGGAAAATCAAAACGATGCCTAGGGCACAGTCTCTGAATTTGAAGCAGCATGGACTTCCTCCAGATCAGAGGTAGATGCCTAGTGAATGCATCAGTGCTATGACTCCCCAGAACGTTATCATTTGGGGAGTTTCTGTTCAGCCCTCCAGATCTCCAGGGCCATTAACCAACAGCTGTTTGCCTGTGTTCAGGCCTATGGCTTAGATCTAAGGGTAACAGCGTCATCCTTGGGCGTGTACAGTCAAAGATGGAGAGTTTTTATTCCTTGGTGGCTCTGGCTCATTTATCTTTAGAGTTTATTGCCAGTGATAAAGAACTCTTATACATCCTTAAATATGATGTTGTAACATGAAAACATGAGATTCTCAATATTAATGGTCTCTGGCACAGCAATTGCCTTATTAATGCTGGTGGAGATCTGGTTTCCCCAAGGGAGAAGATGGCCCAATAATGATACAGTCATCCCCAATACTCATGGGGGATTGGTTTCAGGACTCCCCACCATCAGACACCAAAATCCATGGATGCTCAAGTCTCTGATACAAAGTGGCATAGTATTTAGATAGAATCTACACACTTCCTTCTGTATACTTTAAATCATCTCTAGATTACTTACAATACCTAAATACTACGTAAATAGTTGTTATACTGGGTTTTCTTATATGTATTTTTGTTGTATTGCTACTTTTATTTTTTTCTAATATTTTTGATCTGTAGTTGGTTGAATCCACATGTGTGGGACCCAGGGATATGGGTGTGGGCTATAGTTACAATCACAGCTTCATTGTAGCAGGCATCACAGCCTACCTCACATTAGCCATTAGCCGGGTGTACATGTGGGCCACAGCTTTGATAACAGTCATAGAGCAACAGTAATGAATTCCTGCTGTGGCCACACACTCATAAGCTCTTGACATGCACTATTTCACTAAATCCATCCCTATCATCCTAGGAGGCAGATCCTCTTATCCCCATTTACACATGAGGAAATGGAGGCTCTGAGAGGCAAAGTCACTTGCTCAACATTACAAAAGCTGCTGTAGAGGGGCAGTGCTGAGGCTTATAGCTATGCCTGCCTAACCCCAAAACCCCTGTGGGTTGAATCTCTGTGCCATGTTATCTCAACACAGCACAATTTTCAATGTGGAAGATACCCAGATAGGGAGTCCTGCATCCTGGCTGATGAGGGGGTGGGGGAAGGAGGCCTCAGTCAGAGCAGCAAACCGGGGAAGTTTATTTCTCTTGTATTGCACCCCACCCCCACCAGCCAGTACAGTGCTGGGGAGAAGCCATGTGCAGACTGTCACCCTTGACTTTGAAAGGCCCAGCTGCCATCTATAGAAGAGGAACTCCAAGCAAAATGACAACTGTCTTTCCAATTCTACCACAGATGCCATTTCACTCTTGCAGAAAACTGTGTTTATTTTCAGAGATACCTTTGAAACTTCAAATAGACAATGACGCTTGCTCAGTCAACCTGTGGCTGCCTCTTCATCTCCTAATGGTGAATTCCAAAAGCAGCCGACAACCCCAGGTCTGGTTAGAGGAGAATGAGACCAGCGGGAGAGCTCGGCCAGGCTGAAAGGATAAAGTGATTGGAACTAAAAGGGCTAAAGACAGGCCAGGGGGAGGAGGGACTCCAGAGAGAAGGGAGAAGCTAGGGAACATCAGGATGAACCCCAAACCTGCTAATGCCCCTTCTATGCTCAAATCCTCTCTCCTCAAACACAACCTTCCAATAGCACAGCTAGTCCCCAGCTCTACCAGCGCTGGGCCCTGCCCCTTCAAGACCAGACTGTACAAGGCCCAGGATTCAGGCCGAATTAGCTCTGACTCTGATAGTGCCCCATCCCTCATGTACCTTGACTGTCACTTGCTCTGGCACCCACCATTAGATCTGATTATCCAAGACTGTGGATTCAGTTCCTCTTGATGCCCCCTTGCTGCAATTCATTTGATGTGACTCTCCAGACATTTTATTCTAACTTGCTATGAGCTAGGCTTTGTGCTGCATCCTGCAAAGGATCAAAGGAGTTGAATCTTGGCTCTGCTACTGGAGAGCCCTGAGCAAGTTCCCTAACAACTCCCCTCCTTTTCTGTAAAATGAGTATACTATACCCACCCTGCTGGCTCTTGGGATGTCATCATCATTAAATATATTAAGGCACCAAGCTCAGCTTGGAGGTAGCTGGGACTTTGCTAGGTGGTATGAGATGGAGGCAAACGGCCCCAGTTAAAAGCTCACCTGCAACCAAGGCACAGCTGCAGGTGTGTGGGGTGTATGTCTGGAGAATGTGCAGCAGCAGGCAATAGTGTGTGGGCAGAGGTTGGAGGAAATGTGAGAGAATAGGATAAAAAGGTAAGTGTGGGGCAATGGCTCCACCATGGTGCCCTGGTGACTTGCACCTAACCAGAGAAGCTACCTCTTGAATGGCTTGGCACAATGCCTGTGCTCCTCCAAGGACATGAGGCTTGTAGGAGCTGCTGTGAAGCCATCTCCCACTCATCTCCCTCTCTCCTTGAGAGGTTGTCATGAATCAGTTTCTCAAGGTCTCCAGGGTGCTGACAAGGTTTGGCGCTTTCTGCCCTGTTTCCCCCACTCCAAAAGTAGAGCTGCAGAACACGAAACTGTTCAGCCAAAATCTGCAAGTGCCCCAGCTCATGGTGTAGTCATCTGATCCCTTCCATTTCAGGGTTGCTCAGTTTGGTGTTTGGGAAAGATCATGGGGAACTGGCCCCCCTCTTCACTGTCTATATAAAAATAATAACTGTCTAAACCTATAAGTGGTTCACTGTCTATTACCAGCTGAATTAGCCAGGCTTTGGCCTTGGCTTTGTTTTGTCTCATGTGCATGCACTTGGCAACAACTAAACGTGAAATTGTAGAGGTGGAATATTAGGGTGAGAACGTATTTGTGAGGTTTTTGAGCTATATCATCCTTTTGGATTTCTGACCTTTTGCCTTCTATTTTCACAGCTAACCCTAGGATGACTGGCCTCTGACACTTGAGCCATCCCATCATCTGTCATGGGTTGACCCATCCATCCCCTCAATGAGCCTGACCTTCAGGACCACTGACAGAGGAGCAGTCAATAGAAATTAATTGTTAAATACCCAGAAAATCTGAAATGGTATTTAATATGCAGTTCATCAAGAGCAAAAGTTCCTTAAATCTTCATCTAGAAAAGTTATTTATAAGGGATGAATATGTTGTATGAATATGTTGTATGCAAATATTATATTCAAGGGCAAGACCATGAAAACAGTTTAAGAATCCGACAGGGAATTAGATAAAGACATCGGAGTGCACTTGTCAAAATACAGCTATCAAGAATGATGATGTTGAAAAATAGTTTAGCAATATAATTGTCTAGAACCACAGGGAGTCTGAGATTTTACCCAACTTGTGAGTTAACAACTCTGCTATAGCTTCATGAAAGAAGACACAAGACTCCTGGGTCAGGAACAAAGGTCTCTAATACTCACAGCAATATCAGGAGCCAGAATTTCAGGATCCTTTTTCCTGCCAGTTTCTCAAGTCCTAATTACCACCGAGTTACAGGAAAGGGCCAGGTAACACTAGCACTGCCATCAGTGGCTGTATTACAGAACAGGAACTCCAAGCTTAGGAAACCCAAATCTTTTATAGTTAACAATGAACACATCTGCCATTGTTCTGAAGGGAGACGCTACCCCAATCTTCCACACCTGTTCACTATATAAATATCTGTGAAAAGATAGACAGAAAAATAGGTGGAGAATGCCTCTGCTCACAAGATGTGCAGAAACGTGAGAGGCTCATGGAGAACTGTTTCCCTACAATGACAAAATGCTGACGATATATTGTTATGTAAAATAAAGCAGGCATTTTTCACCTCATTTTCATGAAATATAGTGTGTTTATATAGATATTTAGAAAAGTATGAAAGGACATTCATCCAGATATCAATAGAAGAGTTTATTATTTTTGCTAGTTGTAAGTTCAAACTTTTCTAGTAAAAATAGATTACTTGTGAAATTATTTTTAATCTTTTTTTTTTTTTGAGATGGAGTCTTGCTCTGTCGCCCAGGCTCGAGTGCAGTGGCATGATCTCAGCTCACTGCAACATCCACCTCCTGGGTTCAAGCAATTCTCCTGCCTCAGCCTCCTGAGTAGCTGGGATTATAGGTGCATGCCACCATGCCCAGCTAATTTTTGTATTTTTAGTAGAGACGGGATTTCACCATGTTGGTCAGGCTGGTCTCGAACTCCTGACCTCGTGATCTGCCCACCTCGGCCTCCCAAAGTGCTAGAATTACAGGTGTGAGCCACTGCACCCCTCCTAAATGTCAATTTAATAACTGAGGGAGCCCTTAAAATACCCCGCTGACTTCCACACGGGTGTGTAAAATAGAATCTGCTCACGTCTTAGAGGAGATAAGTACATGCTTAATGTTCTTAGGAGAGACCTGCCTTTTGACATGGAAGCTGTGGTATTGTTGACAAGAGCATACCTCCTTAAACCATGCAAACCACGTTCACATCAAAGCTGCCTACGAATGATTATTTTCCATGATGCTATGCTCCCTCCTGCCTGCCTCAGTGGCAAGTGTGACTCAGCAAGTGTATCCAGGGCATCCCTCACTCTTACTTATTTTTGCCAAATGCAGTGGAAATGTATAGACTTTTTTTCATATTTATGTTGGCTGCAGAGCATAAATCTGAATAGGTTCTCCAAAGTAAGCTTTTTCTGCATGCATTTGCTCCCAATGATGATAGGTATTATGAATTGCTTTATAGTAATCATTATCCTTTTCCATATGTTTTACGGTTAGTCTGTGCTATAAACTTGTTTGATTTAATGATTTGGGTTCTCTCTCTCTCTCTCTTCTCTCCTCTTCTCTCTCTCTCTCTCTCTCTCTCTCTCACACACACACACACACTATACAACATACAGTTTCTTGTCTTTAAACAGGGATAGTGATTACCTTATAGATTGTGATTAGGATCAGATAAACTATAAGTAAAGCCCTGTGGTATAATGTGTGGGACAAAACTAACACAATTTCAAATTTTCTGCAACAAGTAAACAGTATTTTATAATTGACAAAACTAAAAACGAACTTTAAACTTAAAATTTCATATTACACAATTGACAATTCAATTAACTTTCCAATATTAGTGTCTCTGCGTATATATGTGTACAGAGACATATGTAACTTATTTAACTTTAAAGTATATTTTCTAATAGCTATTTAAGAGCCATCAAACTTTCCAAAAAAAGAGATAGCTTTTAAAAATAAGTGTTTCAACTTGTGATAGTTACTTGCATAAATTGATAATTTAACCAGCTAATTATTAAATCTATAATAGACAGGATGAAGCAGCATTAGGAGAGGGTATTTATCAGTTGCCTGGGGGCTGTCTCATAGCTTAGTTGAAATTCTTTTGGTTGCAAATGTCACAAACCCACTTCAAATTAGCTTAAGCTCAGGCAAAATTTGCTGGAAGGATCCTGAGGCAGTAGCTCCAAAAGTCAAAGAAAAAGCCAAATAACCCAGTGATCAGGAAAAAGGAAGAATGAAGTAGGAACCTCTAGGGCCCAAGGTTGTGGATTTTTCTTCTAGAGACTTGACATCCACATTACTCAGCAATATTTTCCCATTTGCTTTTTCTCTTGACTTTAATTCTGGAGAGAGAGGAATTGAGTGGTGCAGCTTGGGTCAGGTGTCCACATGTCCACACCTGTTGTAAGCACCTATGGCTGAGAGGTCAGGGTCACATAACAGAAGTATGGCTGCTGGGGCCCAAGCCCATGCGTGTGCATGTGTTGTGTATATGCATTTCTGTGTGTGTGGCAGGGAGTGCAAAGGTGGAGGGGGTGACACTCAGGGATCTGTGGCTGGACTGGCATCCCTGAAGTTCTTCTCCACACATGTTTTTGCTTCAGAGGGATAGAAATTTCCATTCCTCTTACATTTTTATAACATTGTTAGATGACTTCCTCACTCTGGATTTTGGTGTTCTAACCAGAAGTTCATAGGCAATACCTAAATGCTCTTTGAGCTTCCGCAGTGCACATTAATACTTCATCCAGCAACTTGGAGAGTCCATCTCAGTAGAAAATTCAGCTGGTTTCACGTGGAAACACCCACTGCCCTTAGTAATGGAGCTGCCAAGAATGAATCATGCTCAAATTTGTCCTTTTAGCAGAATAATGCTGCCCTCTGACAGCAACTGAATAGGCTTTTATCTTTTGGGGAAGTAAATTTTCTTCCTCCATACAGTTTCATTAATATTTGTGAACTGAGCCACCATGCTTGCCTGCATGCCTGTGCCAGGCCCTCTTGCGGCAGCCCACTCCCACTCCCCTTAATTCACTAATCATCTGCACACAACGGGCTGGAGGAAGATGGAACTTAGCCCTGGCTGGGGGCAGGGACCTGGTTGTGAACCCTTGGCCTAATGGAGACTTGGTCAAGCAGTATCAACTGTCAGGACTTTTATTTCCTGATCTGTAAACTGGGATCAGAATCTCCCCCTTTTTTTTTTTTTTTTTCATGATGGAATCTCGCTCTGTCGCCCAGGCTGGAGTGCAGTGGCACGATCTCGGCTCACTGCAAGCTCTGCCTCCCAGGTTCACGCCATTCTCCTGCCTCAGCCTCCCAAGTAGCTGGGACTACAGGTACCAGCCACCACGCCAGCTAATTTCTTTTTGCATTTTCAGTAGAGATGGGGTTTCACTGTGTTAGCCAGGATGGTCTCGATCTCCTGACCTTGTGATCTTCCTGTCTCGGCCTTCCAAAGTACTGGGATTACAGGCATGAGCCACCGTGCCCGGCCCAGAATCCCCATTTTATCCAAAGAGCTGAAAGAAGGCAGTGGGGATAATAAGTGTGAATGTAGTTTGGATGCTGTAAATTTCTATGTAAATGTTAAGTATATTCTCCATTAAAAAATTCACCAACCTCATTCTCTTGGGTGTGTTAAATCACATGCATTCATGTTTCCAGTCAACCAGAGACCCCACTTTTTCCAAACTATGTGGCAGAGGAATAACATCTGTAACTATTTTGTTTGAGCTACTTCTTTCATTTTAGAAACTGTGAAATCATCAGAGAAAATAAATACTCTGTGATATTCACACATACTTCTACGAGAGTAATTAGGAGACTCTTTGGCAAAGTTACATATAAAATATCCCCGGGAGATTCATTTTCTACCAAACCATTCAATAAAAATGAAAAACACTCCTCCCAACTCTACTCCCACCTAATTCCCTCAAGACCCCATATCCTTGTAGTTTCATCAGGGTTACTTATATTTTGTTGCAAATACAATTATTACCTTGTTACCTAGACCCTCAAGATGTAAGAGTTTTATGCACATAGGGTCACCACACATGATTCTGCATTATTCAGAAGAGGTAAATCATTTGTTCTCCTGCAAAAATAGCCCTGTATCTATAAAATATCCTTCCCATCCTGAAGATAATTTATGCCTCCTGACCCTCAAAGAAAATGAGAATTTCTGGCCACGGGCTTGGGGTGCATCCATTAGTGGCTCACCCATGTGTTCACAACTGCATTATCTAACAGCACATCTGACTGACCGCACAAATTTGCATAGTAAGCCACGTTGGCCAGCAGGTGAAATTCAAAGGCAGGATTATCAATAGCATCAACAGCTACAGAGGGGTCAAGGAAAAGAATTATAAAGGTCATTTGTTCAGAGAGAAGGTGGCCACTGGTGACTTTGGAGAGGTCACTCTAACAATGGCAGAATGGCAGAATGAAGAAGTCAGAATGCAAAGATATAAGGCAGGTTTTGATGCTGAGAAAATAGGAACATAGGTAGTTATTTGCTTGACAAGTAAACTAACAACTAAAAGGAGGGATAGAACTATGCCTCAAGAGAGGCAATTCATTTATTTTCTTAGTTGAATAGCCAAAACATGTTCATGTTTGAAGGCCAAGGGGAAGGAGCTAATGAAATCTACTGGTTATAAGCTGTGCAACCTTTGACAAGTTACTTGATTTCTCTAAACCTTAAAAGCATCTCTTGTAAAACAGGGGTAGTAATACTATATATTTCATTGGGATATTGTGACCTTTAAGTGAGGTAATTTATGAAATACTTAGCTTCACACAGTGCTAAGTACCCATTAAGTGATCAATAGATAAAATACTGATTTACAAAGAGAAATAGGAGGAGGAAAAGTAAGAAAGAGGCATCCAAGGCAGCAACAGAAGAGAGAAGAAGAGGAGGAGATGGCAATGAAGGAGCTAGAAAGGAACCCCTGCAGCTGTAGGGAGAAAGGATGGTTGAATGTGCAGAGAAGAATTTTCCATCGTAAAGAGGAGGATAAGATAAAGCTTCTGGTGGACATTTCCAAATTTCTCAACAAAGGCGACAGTTTTGTTGAGACAATAGCAGGAAGGGGGTGGTTAGAAGACAGGGAAAAGAGCCCAGGATTGCCATTGTGAAATACACATTAAGACTTCACAGAGGTGAACATGGAGATTATAGAGTAGCCACAAGAGCCCATTTGAAATAAAAAGAGAAGTCCAGGGCCAGGCACCCAGGGGCAGAACAGCAGGTTAGGACAGAGCAGAAACTCAAGGGAAAGAAGACAACTGAGAAGAGGTGAGGGCAGGCTGTCTTCCTTTTGTGTGTTTTTCCTTCCCTTTCTTTCCTTCTCTCTGATTTCCTTTCCTTTTCTCCTTCTCTCTTTTCCTTTCTGATTTCTTCTTTAAGAAGTAATAAATAGTAGAAAGAGTGGTTAATCATTCGTTCTTCAGTGTTTTCCACCTTCTCATGAGACTCAAAGAATTGATGTCTGTTCTGTAGGCTCTTGTAAAACATATTCAGTTCGTCTGAAGAAGGAGCTGTATAGATGAAAATAACAGCACTAATAAATGCTGAAAGTCTCACAGTATTAACATGATTATATGCAGCCTGAAAATGGATTTCAAAGCCAGAGAAGCTTAGGTATCAGAAAGAAAAATGTCAATGTAATTGGAAATCTATCCTAGCCTTGTATCTGCCTGCACTATTTACTCTGTTTTGGGGCTTTCTTTGTGATTAAGCTATTAAAATGCAATCACTCTCCCTTTTTAGGCCAGCCAAAACAATGTAATTTTTTTCAAGCAAAGTATAACTATAAAAAGTTAAAATACAGAACATGACATTACATATCATCTAAAATATCTTTGAATAAATTTACCAGTTTATTGAAGCAGTGTTTAGTGAGAACCTACTATGTGCTAGGCATTGTGCATTTAATGGGGCTATAGGCCTCATGGTTCCCATAATCATCAACACTCACAATCTTTAGAAAAAATTTCAATTCTGGACAACATGGAAAATTAACATAAGCCATTGCCTCCCTTCCTCAAATCCAACTTAGGAGATTTTAGGGAAAGAAACAGAAGACATGTGGATGGATCCCCGCACTTAACACCAAAACCATGAAAAACCCATGGGAAGATGAAAGATAGTTAAATTCCTGTGTGATAGGAAGATGATAGCCTATATCAGGAGAAGCCCAGGGCCATAGATGGGATACGTGCTTGGAATGCTGGCTGAGTGTACCTTTTATCTCTCTTACCCTGACCTCAGTGGGCTATTGATCTCCTATTGTTTGAGTGGCAAAGCACCTCCCCAAATCAGAATGTATCAGAGCAGTTAGCCAACATCGGCACAGAGCTGGAGACCCTCTGGAGTGAGAATAAGTGTGGGGAAGCTGGCCAGCCCCTGAAAATTTCCTCCTTACCTCTCCAACCCCAAAGCAGAGAGGAGCAGTTGGAAGAGAGAAGTTACCGGGGCTCTCTGAGGGTGAGGTCTCAGGAGGTACAGGGTAGGGAGAGGTAGGAGAAAGCAAACTGGAAGTGGTTGATTCCTGATAGAAACATCTGAAGCTGTGCAGCTTAAAGCATACTCCCCACCCCTAAACTCACAGTCTAAGATTTTGATTCTCCTTCAGGTATACATTACTCTCCGTGTCAACTGAAATTCCCAAGGGACATGCAAGGTTTGGGGGTGCGGATTTAGGAGTTGTTTAATAAGACTTCTTTGGAGCACACACACCCTGAAAGGCAGTATATCAAGAAATATCTACTAGAGACACTTAAAATAAGCCTAGTAAATATCTTTTAAAAGGGAAGGAGTGATATTTGAACACGAAGTAAGAACAAGTAGTTACAGATAAGAAACAATGGGAGATCCTGGGCATGAAAAATATAAGTATAGAAATGAAAAACTCAGTAGATGTGTTGAAAAACTGAATGGATACTTCCAAAGACTAAACTAGTAACCTGGAATTTCAAGTTGAGGAATTGTCCCAGAGAGTACCAGGAAGGGTTAATGAGATGAAGAGAATAAAATTAACATTGAGAGACATGGAAGACAGAAAAGTATCAGCATTGATTCAATGCATGTTCCAGGAAGAAATAGAACAGTAATGCTTTATGCAAGAAGACAGTGAAATAATATTTTTTCAATGCTGAACATAGACATTTTTGAACCTAGAACTTTGTAACCAGTTAAGTTTTTATTTAAATATGATTGTGAGATAAAGATATTTTCAGGTTGACAGGGCCTAAAAATTGTTTCCTACTTCAAGAACATATTTGAAAGAAATACTCTAGCAAAGAGAAGAGATTAATTCAGGAGAGAAAAATGAGGTATAGGAAGTATGGGTGAGTAGATAAGTTTTATTGTTGCTTAGATGTGCAATGACCTCCTGTACTTCCTTCTTACAAAAACCAAAGCATAGCCATGACAATACAAAGTAAACACTCTCAATGAGTATAAATTTAGTTATTATAAAAATTACAAATTAATGTTACAACTTAATGGGAATTTTATAAGGAGAAACCATTAAATGAATAGAAATAAGAAGTTAACTGTTCAAGAAGAACACATGATTTATTCAGTGGGAGACAAGAAAGAGGGAAAAGGAACTGCTTAAGTGCTGTTGGATTTTAAAAAGTGAGATTTAAAAATATGTTGCTCCCAGGAGATATATATAACAAAAATACAGAAAAATTGAAAGTATAGCTTGTACAGATATTAACAACAAACTCTTGTATAACAATGTTCACATTAGACAAAATTAAATTAAAAGGGGAAAACATCACGTGAGTTAAAGAGGAAAGTTATACATTGTGAAAGGAGCTAGGAGAGATTATAATTGTGAATCAAAATGCACCTTAAAATATGCAACTGAATAAAGCAACAGAGAGCATGTATAGATCAGCAACTAGAGCTGGAGATTATAAGACAACATTTTTAATAAGTGACAGATCATGCAGAAAATATAAACAAAGAGATAAATCTGAATTAATATGATAAATAATCTGGACTGTGTATAAAAAGCTATATTCTTAGCATTCTTGGAAAAATAACAAATAGTATCATGTAAAACACAAAAGAAGCCTTAATAAGTTCCAAAGAATCAAAAACCAATATTATATTTTCTTATAATGCAACAAAATTAGAAATGAATAACTTGTATAACTAAAAAATTTGTCCTATGTTGAGGGAAGGGGTGAGATAAGCATTCATTGGTTAAGGAAGAAATCATCAGACAAATTGCATTCACTTAAAGGTGAGTGATAATGAAGGTGCCACATTTTAAATTTGTGAGATGCAGCTAAAGCGATATTTAGAGGGAAATTTAAACCTTTCATTACATATAACAGAGAGCAACAACAAAAAGGTTACTACAAAAAAGTTTAGCATTCAACTCTAAAGGGTAGATAAAAAGCAGCAAAGTCAATAAAAAGAAACAAGAAGGAATGTAACAATAAGGATAAGGACAGAAATTAATGAGAACAGAAAGAAGCAATTTAGGTAATTAATAAAGTTGGTTCTTTGAAGACTAATAAGACAAATTTCTGGCTATATTAATCAAGGAAAAAGGGGAGAAGATGCAAAGTAAGCATCCAACAGAATTTGAAGGTGAAAATATCTACCAATATAACTGTAAGATTTGAACAAAAACACAGCACTCAAAATATAAAATAAATAAACACCAGTCCATATTGATATAAATAAGTGGAGGAGAATAGACAAATCTCCCATGCAGAAGAATTCCAAATAATGTATGTAGATACTCTGTCCTTGAGGTGGAATACTCCTCACTTCCAAAAAGTGCACACTATGGAAAGGGGGATAAAAAGCATCACTTCACAGTAGAGACAGCTGGGCAACCCACCCTCAGTCAGTGATCAAGGTCAACCTCAACAGTGATGAGTGATGTTGGTATTGTGTACACTTTATATGATATGATGAAAATGGCACTTTATCTGTGCATTTGTGAGATGCAGCTTTCCCCAAATACATAATTCCTGTCTAATGATGAGAAAAACATCAGACAGATCCAACTGAATGACATTCTATAAAAACTTAACAAGCAGGGAGAATCACTTGAATCCGTGAGGCAGAGGTTGCAGTGAGCCGAGATCGCACCATTGCACTCCAGCCTGGGCGACAGGGTGAGATTCTGTCTCAGAAAAAAAACAAACAACAACAACAACAAAAAAAACCCCAAAAAACTGTCTAAGTCATCCAAAACAAGGCAAATATGAGAACCTGTCCCTGCTAAGAAGAGCCTAAGAAGACATAACTAAATGTACTATGGGATCATGGGATCCTAGAACAGAAAAAAGTGTATTAGATGAAAACCAAGAAAGTCAGAATAAACTGTAGACTCTAAAATAATGTATTAACATTGGTTCATTAATGTAGCAAATGTACCACACTAATGGAAGATTTACTACTAGGGGAAACTGGGAATGGGCTTTATGGGAGCTCTCTGTACTATCTTTGTAAATTTTTGTAATTTCGAAACTGTCCTAAAAGAAATATTTGATTTCAAAAAAATACTATGAACAAAAGCAGTGATAAATTTGAAAATCTAGAAGGCATAGGCCGGGTGCAGTGGCTCACGCCTGTAATCCCAGCACTTTGGGAGGCCGAGGCGGGCAGATCACGAGGTCAGGAGATCGAGACCATGGTGAAACCCCATCTCTATTAAAAGTACAAAAAATTAGCCGGGCGCAGTGGCAGGCGCCTGTAGTCCCAGCTACTCGGAAGGCTGAGGCAGGAGAATGGCGTGAACCCAGGAGGCAGAGCCTGCAGTGAGCCGAGATTGTGCCACTGCACTCCAGCCTGGGCGACAGAGCGAGACTCCATCTCAAAAAAAAAAAAAAAAAAAAAAAAAAGAAAATCTAGAAGGCATGGACACGTTTCTGAAAACAGGGGAAAAAAAATCCAACAAAGATCAGAGTTTGGTGCGTGGTGAGGGTTTGGTCTCTACTTCCAAGATGGCACTGTGGAGGCTTTGTCCTCACATGCTTGGAGGTCAAAGGCAGAAAGGGGCCAAATGCTGTGTCTGGCCTCTTTTATAAGATACTAAATCTCATTCACAAGGGAAGAGCCCTCATGACCTAGTCACCTCCTAAAGGCCTCTCCTCTTAATACTTTGCATTAGAGATTATGTTTCAACATGAATTTTGAAGGGGCATAAATGTTCCCATCATAGCAGAGGTATAACGATCAGAAGGTGTGCAGGTGTTAAGGGGATAATAAATAACACCATCTTTATACCACATCAAGTCAGAAAAAAACAGACAAAGACATGTGAGTAAGGTAGATGGAAATAAAACATTACCTTATAACTGATGAAGCTGATATTGAAGAATGGGCTTGGATCAGCCAGTCTGGTGGATTTGCAGTCATTTTACCTCTGAATTTTAGAGATTTACCCTGCTGTTGGCACAGACAGACAATTAGGCTGACCTCACTGCATAGCTGATGGTGTGAAGGAGTTCTTGGGCAGGTGAGCTCCCAAATGGGATACACAGAAAGGACTGAGCTACATATGCCTAGTTTCTTCTAAACTCATCAGTTAAATCATTTTTACAAAATGAAGAGTAAATAAGGATATAGAATTAGACCAGAAGTGAGGAAAAGAGGAAAACTTTAAAGGTCACTAATTTTTGACTTTTAAAAAAATAATAGATGCTGGCGAGGTTGTGGAGAAAAAGGAACACTTACACACTAATGGTGAGAGTGTAAATTAGTTCGACCATTGTGGAAGACAACATGGAGATTCTTCAAAGACCTAAAGTCAGAAATACCATTTGACCCAGTAATCCTACTACGGGGGACATACCATACCCAAAGGAATATAAATCATTCTGTTATAAAGACACATGCATGTGTATGTTCATTGCAGCGCTATTCACAATAGCAAAGACATGGAATCAACCTAAAAGCCCACCAATGATAGACTGGATAAAGAAAAAGATAGGGCGTACATATATACCATGGAATTCTATGCAGTCACAAAAAATAATGAGGTCATGTCCTTTGCAGGAGTGTGGATGGAGCTGGAGGCCATTATCCTTAGCAAAACAACACAGGACCAGAAAACCAAATACCACATGTTTTTACTTATAAGTGGGAGCTAAATGATGAGAACACATGGACACATAGAAGGAAACAACACACGCTGGTGCCTTTCAATGGGTGGAGGCTGGGAGGAGGGAGAAGATCAGGAAAAATAACTGTGTACTCGGCTTAATACCCGAGTGATGAAATAATCTGCACAACAAACCCCCATGACACAACTTTACCTATGTAACAAACCTGCATTTGTACCCCTGAACTTAAAATAAAAGTTAGAAGAAAATAAAAAACAAAAGTCATTATTTATAGATGACTTGCTCATCCATAAAGCTTATTCACATTTGAGTCCTATCCAAATCAATAGAATAAACTGGTAATTAGTAAGAGTTTAGTGAAGTTTCCAATTAAAAAATATCAACATACATAAATCAATAACATTTGTTTAAATAGTCATCAATTAGAAAATATAATAGAAAATAAGACATCACCTATAATAGCTCCAATGCTAAAGTATCCAGTAATTAATAAATAATATACAAGGTCCTTCATGAGAAAAATATCAGAACTCTATTAAGGTATATTAAAGGAGAGCTAAATAAGTGGGAATATATACTATGATCACGAATTGCATAACCTATCAAAAGTATCAGTTCTTTCCGAGTTAATCTGTGAATTCAGTACAATTCCAAGCAAAATCCTGGTGGTCATTTGATAGAACTTGACAAACTGACGCCAACATTTAAATTGAGGAATAAAACCTCACAAATGGACAAGATCATTTTGAAACAGAAAAACAAAGTGGAAGAAATTACCTTACCAACTATCACACATATTGCAATGCTACAGTAATAAAGAATGAATACTAAAGCACAGTAATAGACAACAGAATAGCCTTGAGAGAAATCCATGAATCCATGCAGACTTGCTATGTAATGAAAACGATTCCACGCATGTATGGGGAAAGAATGGATTATGTAGCTAATGATGTTGAGAAATCTGGTTCATTTTATGGAGATTTGTGTGTGTGTGTGTGTGTGTGTGTGTATGTATATATATAAAATATATATTTTTATATACATATATACACACAATATATACATTTATATGTATATATACAACTATATAAAATATAAAACTATATTATATATAATATATAAATATATAAATATAAAATATAAAAAATTACAAATGGATGAAAATATAAGTATAAAAGGTAAGTGTTTAAAGCTGACAAGAGAAAAGGTAAGAAGTATTTTTGTAACCTTGTTCTGAAGCAAGATCATAAAACAAGGCTGTAATGAGAATGATGGACTGCACATCAAAATGAAAGTCTTCTGCTTAAGGGACATCATAGCAAAGCTAAGAGGTGGTGAGAGATAACACGTTTTCAATGCCTAAAATGCTTAAGAGGTTACAATCGAGAACATACTAGATATTCATGCAATTCAGCAAATAAAAGGCCATATGATAGAACTTGAAGCAGCAATCAGAAGTAATGAACTAAATTTACATAACTACAAGACTAAATCTCAACAACACATTGTGGAATGAAAAAAAGCAAGAAACAAAATTTATAGCACCATATATTTATGTAAATTGCAGCATATAAAAATCTATCCAATATGCTTTTTAATAATATACATACACATAGAGATTGAGTAGACTGAGCACCTATTCAGTAAAGGAGAGGGAGTGTGTGGTTTAAAGGAGTCAACTCAGAGAAAATGTTACAAGAAATAAAGGCTCCGCATCACTTGACGATGATCATATGCTGGAAACTAAGAAGCATGTTGAATTCTTTCGTGTGGATTTATTACGGTTGAAGGAAGAAAGAGGAAGTGAGGAGGCAGGGGAGAAGGGGGAAGAGTGTAACAGAGAAAGGGTCAATCGGAAAAATAGAGAAGCAGAGATGTCCTAAGTGGTTTTCATTGCCCACTTCCTAATGCCTCATGGCTGTAGTTCTCTTTTGGTCTTACTGGCGCATAGGGAGAGTAGGTTCAGAAGGATAGCGTGTATTTTGACAAGAGGAAAGGGGTTGTATTATCTGTTTTCATACAGCTATATAGAACTTCCTAAGAGTGAATGATTTATAAAGGAAAGAGGTTTAATTGACTCACAGTTCAGCATGGCTGGGGAAGGCTCTGGGAAATTTACAATCATGGCAGAAGGCAAATGGGAAGCAACGTGCTTTCTTCACAAGGTGGCAGGAAGAAGAAGTGCTGAGCAGAGCTGGGGAAGAGCCCCTTATAAAACCATCAGATCTCGTGAGAGCTCACTATCACGAGAACAGCATGGGAGAAACTGCCCCCATGATTCAATTACCTCCACCTGGTCTCTCCCATGACATGTGGGGATTATGGGGACTACATTTCAAGATGAGATTCGGGTGGGGGCACAAAGCCTAGCCATATCAGGGGTTATAAGAATAAGCTGGGAGGAGGGTGTTGCCTTACTTGTCTTTGAAATAAAAAGTGTATTCTCAAATACGTATAGGAAGTGTAATCACTTAGATTATATCCCTTTGGATCAAATAAGCCCCCTCTGGGACTGAAATCTATCTTCAATTTAAAGTCTTGTTTCCAATGGCTCCCAAAGAAAATCTAACTATTCTATACTCAACTCACACTTAAGGGGTTGCTGAGGAGAAAATATAAAGACATTATTGGGATATGGCTTCCACTACTTTTTTTCCCCCCTGAGCATTAGATTTCAGATTACTGTCAAAAGACAAAAAATTACAACTTTAAAGATCTTAGTTGGCTTTTATTCATGATTCAAGAATTGGGCAGCCCTCAGAACTACAGCAGGTTCAAAAAACTCCAGCCAGCAAAGTGATTAGACAGTATTTACTGACAGAAAATGGAAGTGAGATATAGAGACAGCTTAATTGGTTACAGCTCGGCATCTTGCCTTATTTGAATCAGCTGGCTGCCTGCAATTGACTGACTGAAGCTCAGCTGCTGTAACCAACTAAAGCCCAGCTGTTTACCCAAGTGCACTCCTAAGTTAATTAGTTTCATTTAGCATGAGTGACTCCATATTGGTTTGGTCTGTTGGGCCCAGTGCAGCAGCCTAGTCCAAATCAATAGGCGCCTACAAATTTTATTATTTAACATTTTAAATGAAATGGAATAATATTTAAATAAAATGTTCCCACTACTTATTTTTCTCTTCTGGATGTTAGATTTTGGATTACAAACCCATCTCAGGGAAGTTTCCACGCCTCTGGTGTTTGAGCCTGGATCACTGAATAAGTGGATGATTTGTTAACCAGAATGGTATAACTTCCACTCTCCACTGTCATTTCCTTCCATCTATCCAGTTGCCTGCCCTTTTCTCTAAATGGCTTTTATTTGCAGCATTTCATCTGAATTAAATTCATTGGTCTTCCTCTAATTAGCCAAAAGTATCTCATTATCAGCCCATGACTGGTTAATTATATGATTACCTGCAGTATCAATCAACAAGTCATCTCCTCTGATTTAATTTGTAAGCTCACAGCACTGAGACGTCATGAGTTCCTTTCCTGTCAGACATTTATTAAGGGGAGAGGATTTATTGCCCTCCCAGCAGATATTTCTTTCATTGTTGTCAGCTTCTCATTACAGTTGGTTAAGCCTCCATTGTGATACCCCCTCTAGTCTGGACTTAAACTTCAAAAGCTGTTTTGTACTCTGGGGGGACTCAGTAGTATCATGAGCTTCCAAACAATAACTTTCGGAATCACACAGAAAAGCTCTTACTAGAACATATTGGGAAAAGGCAGTGGGAGGCTTTGAATCTCGTTTATGCCTTTGCTTAACAGAATTTAATAACTGATATTTCAAAGGGCCATCATTAGGTCTTGAATTAATGTTTCTTTACAAAAATAACCTGGCCTGATTTCTTGAGACCTACAACATTTTTTTTTCATGTGAGGCGGTAATTGGATGGGATTGAGTCTTAGAGGACAAGATTTTTAACAAAATATGTTTCTTGATTTTGGTAAAGTTTCCTCATCTCAAGTGTACAAGAACTCCATCTATTCAAATGTTTTTGAGCTCCTGTTATTGTCAAGGCTTATGCTAGGTATTGGGGACACTGAGGTGAAGGTGAGACAATTAGTAGATAAGTACTGCTTTGTTTGTAAGGCTGAAAAAAGTAATGAAATGAAAACTCTTCTAACGTGTAAGACCTTTGGTTCTGATGATGTTTTGTAAAAAGGGTCAAAACAAAGCTATTCCTTCTCTTGGAAAAATTCCCTGAATAGACTAATGCTGAATTTCTTAGGATATACTCTTTTGTTTTTTTTTTGTTTTTTTTGTTTTTTGCTTATGTTACCCTATTACAACTAGAGAACACCAACAGATGTTTAATTCAGACCCTGAATAGCATATATTGTTTAAAACCTTTGTTTTTCAGCAGACGTATATGGAGCAAATCAATTGAGCTCAAAAGAGAAGCTACGGTATTATTTTAGGCATTCAATTTTCTATTGACCTTCTTGTTACAAATATACTTCTGTATGTACAACTTTAGAAGGAAAAGCATCTATATGTTATTAAATTGCCCTCTGCCTTTCCAGGTTAGCTGAGTGATACTTTGACTAACAAATAATATGTGATGTTCTTCCATCCTCGGAGAGGGAAACGGTTAAAATCTAAAAGCAAGAGACAAAATGCCACGTTTCATGTATGAGGCAAGCTCCAAGGACTTGCATGAGCTCCCTGTTTGAGGCAAGCTCCAAGGACTTGCAGGAGCTCCCTGTTTGCAGCCAGTGCGAGTTACCTTGGGATCCTGCAGTTAGAATTGTAGGGTGCCTTTATATGTCTGCAAACTCCTAATGGTGGGACTATGATTAGGTATGTCCAATTTGGAAAAGAATTTGGCATTTCTATTCAATTTGAGGATATGCAGACCTTACCTATTGACTCAGGACCTCTATCTCCAGACAAATACCTTACCACAGAAACTTATACATAAATATACCAGGATAATGATTCCAGAGCAAAATGCAAACAACTTGAATGTCCATCAACCCGTAGAGGGTAGAATGGATAAGCGGTCATATTTACATAGTGTAACAGTACAGCAATCAGAAGAGTACACTACAATTATACACAGCTACATGAATGAATTTCACAAAGATGATGTCAAGTGGAAGACATGTCAAAAAATGATAATGGTAGGACTCCATATCAAGTTCTAAAACAACCAAATTAGCAAATTTGTTTAGAGATGCATGGGAAGGTGTTAAAATTATAAAGAAGGCCAATAAAATGGTTACCATGATAATCAACAAATTGGATACGACTAGGAAATAGCACACAAATGTTGAGGGGACGGCAGGCAATACTGTTTTGCAGGGGGCATTGCAGAAAATATCTCTGTAGTTGCAAATATTGTTTTGCAGGGGGCATTGCAGAAAATATTATCTCTGTAGTTGCAAAGTGTAGTTGCAAAGGCATTTTATTTGTGACGAGTGAACTGTGCATATGTTTCTAGGCACTGTTCTGCATGTCTATTACATTTCAAATAAAAAAAAAGTCTCCCTTTCTTGGAAATACGATCTAGTGCTTTTGACTCAAGCCTGTCAGGAACACTCTAGACAGGCTTCCCTCTACTCTAGATGCTTGGGGCTCATTCACGCTGTCATTCCGGATCTGCTCCTGCATTTCTCCATGCCCCAGAGGGTAGAAGCAATTAGCTGATGATGCCCTCCCTGCAGAGCACAGTCTTTCCCAGCGTCAGCCCCTGCCAGCTGTATCTACACAATCTGCATCTCTTTGGGGGATCACTCTGTAAGCACAGACTGCAGCCCACTGACAGCTTCCAGGGGATTGCTGACAACAGCTACAGCAGGGCTCAGAGCTGCACTTCTGGGTCAACATGAGTTGGAAACTGTGGCAAGATTCTCATTTAACTGTGGACTCTGATTTCAAACCTTTGGAGGGTAGACACTGGGTAGGGAGGATTAGGGTTTGATTGAAAGAGAAGAGAGACTAGGGGAGGAAGCTGCTGATGCCAGAGGAGACACACTTCCTCTGATGAAGCCTTTTCTGCATATGTATGATCCTTGTATTACCAAATACTCCAGGGTGAGGAAACACATAGGAACTGACATGTTGGTGTGGTTAAGTGAATTTATTCATTCATTCAACAAGCATGGCTGACTAACTTCTGGGGCTCAGATAAGATGGGACCTACAGTGAAGAAATTTTAAAACACAGATCATACCCTTGGGAAGCTCAAAGACAAAATACATGACAGGTATGTAGGTAACTGCAGGTACATCTTCTGATGTGTATAATGGGAGATACAAGCATAGGTGCACAGAGGAGGGGTGTACCTAACATAAGGGAGGGGAAGGGGGAAGGGGCATAGCTACTTGGTTGGTATTCACTGAAGTCACTGTGACCGAACCTAAAATCACCATCTTCTTCCCCAAACCCTTTCCTCCCCCTGTATCTCCAATCCAGAGTAATGACTTCCCATCTTTCCCCAGGAAAACTGAGGAGAGGGAAAAACCCAAACAGCAAGAAATGGGGAGTCATATTTAGGTCTGGTCTCTCATTGACCACCTCTTTTATTCATTGCTAGTTCTGGGTTCTTCAAGGACTGCCACCCAATGGCACTCTTCCAGATCACAGGTCGGAGAAAATTGAGAAAGAAACAAAAAGCAGGAGATGACATCAAAATGTTACCTTTTCTCCCTAGAGAGGCTCAGTAGAAGACATGGCTTTAGATCTGTGGACCAAGAAGGCTTGCAAATACTGAGCCTCAAAATTTGTTAGGGTCATCCATGCAATCGCAGCAGCACGACAGGGCATCCCAAGTGGATTGGCTGTCCAGGTAAGATTTAGGGCATGAAGAAATGGAGTACTTGTATTCTTGTAGACAGGCTCGCTCCCAAGGGAAAATGGCTAAGCTGAGCTGAACTGAGCATGCCCAGTTATTCTTTCCAAATTCACCAATTCAATGTCACTCCACCTCCCTCAAGAAGGAAGAGAATGCAAACGGTGTAAGAGTCCAGGTGTGTGCTTAAGAAAAAATCCTTCCTTATGGAAACCCAGAGTGTACAAAAGCCTAGGCCTATTTGGTAAATAGCTCATGATTTTGTCTGCTCATCTCCAAACCCATTGTTATAACTACCGTCTTTGTCCAGACCTTCTCCAGTTAATTGCCTAAATTGCTCCTTCCTACCCAAGTTGACTCCCGAATCTATGTCTCAGGCTGAATAACCTTTGTATAAACCAACACAGTCTCATATTTTTCACCTTAAAATACTTCCTTGGCTCACCTTTGTTTCCATGATCAAGCTCCGAGTCATTTGCTTAAGACACAAGATCTTTAATCGACTGTATTTTGCCAACCTGTCTTGATTTATTATTTGGACACTTTGTCATGTTTACCTCATTCCAGCTAGTCCAAATTACTGGCAGTTCCTTTAACAAACCAAGATTTTTTATACCTTCCTCACTCCTCCATCCTTCTGCCTGAAATGTCTTCTTTTCTTTCTCTGCCCGGGCAACTCTTACTCGGTCTTCAAAACAGTCCCATTCCCACTGACTTTCCATCCAGAAACCCCCTACCCATCTGACTTAAACATCCCTTTTCTCTGCTCTACAGCATCTCATGTATGGCTCTGTCATAGTAGATGCCCCACTGTCTTCCATTTTTTTGCTCGTTATCTCCTAGAAAACTGAATTCCTTGAGGGCAATGACACTTATTTCTTGTCTAACCAGTGCTGAGTCCTAAGTCTGACACAGAATGGATGCGCAGAAATTGTGTGTTGAACAGATGAATGATCAGACAATCTCTACGGGTCATTCTTGTTTTGATATGCCATTATTTAATGGACCTAACGCATCACAGTAAAAGGAATAGAAGCAGCTGGGGAAAACATAAAAATTGACATCTGGACACCCCTTCATAGTTTACAGAGCCTTTTTATTTACTCATCTGCCTGTTCCCACCGGGCATTCCTGACCTTGACTCTGGAGCCTACGCATTGCTGACAAAGCCACCAATAGACTGAGCTCGCTATTTTCTGGCGAGAGCTCCTTCCATGCATGAGGGCAACTAACAGGACAGGTGGGGCAAGGTGGTTTTGTGAATGTTATCTACACTGCACATAATACAACAGCAGGAGAAAGAACCTTGCCCTAGACAGTCTTAGGGTGGCCCTTCTGTTAACTGTAAAATACCCTTTCCCATGTGATCCCAGCCAAGGACCTCTCCTCAAATCCCTCCCAATTTTCATTCATCTTTTTCTCAACATGGAGCTCTCACACCACGTGTGGGATGCTCGGACCCTGATTACTATGTACCTCATTTTGTGTGTGTGTGTGTGTGTGTGTGTGTGTGTGTGTGTGTGTGTTTCTCATAATGACATTAGAAGCGGATCGCCATAACAGGGGTAACCAGGAGTGGTAGCTGAGAAGTCTAGTTTTAGTAGAACCTTCTGATCCTCATGGTTGGCTTCCACCATCTTGTGCCCACCCCCCAGCCTCTGCCTCCTTATCATGTCTGTGTCTCCCAATGTCATGGTGGATGTGATATGCTCCTTTACACATCTTATTTCTACCAGTGGAAGATAAAGTACAAAATGCTCTCAATACATCTACCTCTAGAAGATCTCTAACCAAATGCATTATATACACTTAATTCTTAACCTATAAATTCCCATAATTTACTACAACAAATACTCTTCTCACCAATATTATGTATAATTTTTGTACACACTATTTTATCTAATTTTCCTAAAAATCCAACTTTGTTGGTCTAACTATTCTCCTCATTTATAAATTTTAAAAGCTCAGGCTCTGAGAGAGAAATGGATTTATTTAAAGACTCCATGCTGATAAGGGATCAAAATAAAATGAAAACAGCAACAACCCAAACAACTATGTACTGAATACCTTCTACGAGCCAGGCATTCTTCTAGGTACTTGAGATATGAACAAAACAGATAGTGCATCTTATTGATGAGAGGAGAACTTATCGTATCAAAATATTAAAATTTATAGATTAAGAACTAAGTATATATATTGCTTTTGGTAAGAGATTTTATAGATCCCATTCTAGAGAGGGCGATAGACAACACAGAGAAATAAATTGCAGAGAGATTTTGAAGATAATAAGTAGAACGTGATACGAGGTCCGAATATGGAAGGTAGAGGCAGAGAAATACTTTAATCAGGGTGGTCAGGGAGCTCTCATTGAGAAGGTGACGTTGGAGCAAAACATCAGGTATCTGAAGGAAGGGTATTCTAGACCAGTGGTCCCCAACCTTTTTGGCACCAGGGACTGGTTTCATGGAAGACAACTTTTCCATGGACCGGGGTTGACAGAGGGCATGGTTTTGGGATGATTCAAGTGCACTATATTTATTGTGTACTTTATTTCTATTATTATTACATTGTAATATATAATGAAGTAATTATACAACTCACTATAATGCAGAATCAGTGGGAGCTCTGAGCTTGTTTTCCTGCAACTAGACGGTCCCATCTGGGGGTGATGGGAGACAGCGACAGATCACCAGGCATTAGATTCTCAAAAGGAGCATGCAACCTAGATCTCTTGCATGTGCAGTTCACATTAGGGTGCTACTCCTATGAGAATCTAATGCTGCCACTAATCTGACAGGAGGCAGAGTTCAGGTGGTAATGCAAGTGATAGGGAGTGGCTGGAAATGTAGACGAAGCTTCCCTTGCTCTCTTGTTGCTCACCTCCTGGTGCAGCCTGGTTCCTAACAGGCCACGGACTGGTACTGGTCCATGGCCTGGGGGTTGGGGACCCCTGTTCTAGGTAGGGGGGCCAGTGTGGAGGGAGGAGACCCAGGGGCTGGTGCAGGGTGTGTGGAGACAGAGTTGCAGGAGGTGATGTTGCAGAGGTAAGATGGGGGTGATAGTCACACGAGGACTTATACCCAGGCCTTCTGACTCCATGTCCAGAATTATTTTTACTGTGTAGCCCAGAAGAAACCATAAGGAATGCTATGCAGCAAGAAATAGTTATTAGAGCTAAAAATAGACTAAGTCAAAGGTATACCCTGGGCCATCTATTCATCAACATGAGAAAGTTGTGATGCTATTTCAATTGTCATGATTTTCACATCCCATCAGGTTAAAGAGATCTGTGCACTGTGGACAAGACACAGATTGCTCTGGGTAACTTTTCATGAGCATAACCTGGACTCAGCATGTATATTCCCCTGTAGTGAAAAATCAGGTTCAATCTTAAGAGAAACGTTGGAAATATTTTGAAATTTCCCCATCAGTCATTTGAATACCATTATTGAGACCTTCCATTTCTACCCTGTGCATTACTGCTCTGAACGAATTCTTCTCTACTGCGGAAGACAGAGGGAACCATAGTTTAATGAGAGCCCCAAATTTTGATATCAGTAACCCTTCTTTGAGTCTCATTTCCCTTAGGGAAAGAGTCTGAAGGTACAGAACTTGCTTTTTGATAATGATAACAAGTTGGGAGGAAGATTCTAGCTCAAAATGACAGGATGATGTGCATGTTTGCTGGAGAGAAATGCCTTTATGCACAGCCCCTGAAGGGAGGGACAGACAGGCAGGCTCACTCAGGAGCTGATACCTGGTGTGATCACTGCCTCCGTGCTGATTCCCCCTGCTGCCTGAGCAGGCTGGGTCCTGCCACCGCACAGCATGTCTTTAAACAAACATTTGCACACGGCGCCATTGCCCTCAGAATCGACTTGGAAATTCATGAGAGTCCTAAGTGCCAACTGTGGCACACAAACTCCAAGCTGCTTTGTTGGAAAGGGAAGTTCATAGAACAAGATAAAAACAGAATGGGGATAATTTTTAAACTTCTTTCTCATCTACAGAAAACTTACAACCTTCACAATGATGTAAAAGTGTAATTTTTTCTTTGGGAGACATGGACTTTGAACATGGGTTTGAATCCTGGCTCTTCCTTTATTAGCTTATGACCTTGGACACATTTCTAACTTCTCTGTGGGTCTGTTTCCTCATCTTTACCTTGTAGGACTTTTGTGAAAATTAAATGGGATAAAGTTCACAATATGCCTAGCCAGGAGTCTGGCACAGAGAAGGTGATCAATGACCATTATTACTATAGGCCCTTAAAAATCAGTTATATTAAAATGAATAACTTGAATAACTTCTTGGCCCATAAGTGCTAACTATAAAAATGGTAATTTTTCCCCTTAAGCTTTCGTTTCTACCTGCCAGAATCTAGACCAGAGCATCAGGAAGAGGTAGTGGCTATGACGTAAAGTAAGTGTCTTATATTATGTTGAAATACTAATATAAACCATGTGCCCTTACTTTCCCACAAAAGGGCAAACTTCTCATTTATAGTCCAACAAGATAATTTAGTATCTGGCAGCAAGAGGCACATTCCACCCCTGAACATGATGGTTTGCCTTTACAAACATGATCTGATTTCCAAATTGGGGCAGAGGGAGCAAGACATGATAGCAGCTTTCAATTTTAAATAATACTTCTTTCTCTAAAAAATTTTTTTGTAAAGTTGGTTCTATGTTTCCCAGGTTGATCTCAAATTCTCAGCATCAAGCTATCCTCCTATCTCAGCCTCCCAAAGTTCTGGGATTACAGGCATGAGCCACCATGTATGGCCTTAAATAATATTTCCTAGCTAATAGGAAATTTTTTAGTGTATATAAAAGTTCCTAGGAATCATAAAAAAAGGACAAAACACCAAATTTAAAAATGGGCCAAAGACTTTCACAAGTATCTCATGAAAGAAGATATCAGATGGCTAAAAAGCATATAAACATGCTCAATAGCATTACTTAATAGGAAAAATAAATTAAAATCTCAACCAGATAGAACTACACACCCACCAGAATGGTTAAGCTTACAAAGACAATATCAGATGCTGACAAGGATGTGGACCAACTGGAACATTTGCACACATTGCTGACGGGAGTGTAATTTGGTCTGATCACTGTAGAAAATTGTTTGACGTTTGACACTAAAGCTAAACATTACTTATTACTCAGCTATCCCATTCCTAAGTATAGGCCTACGAGAAGTGAATGTATATGATGACAAACATCAGTTCACGGAATCATGCACATGCTAAAAGTCATTGAGTTGTACACTTAAGAAAGCACGATGGCTCACATCTGTAATCCTAGCACTTTGGGAGGCTGAGGCGGGCGGATCACTTGAGGTCAGGAATTTGAAACCAGCCTGGCCAACAAACCCTGTCTCTACGAAAAATACAAAAAGTTAGCCAGGCATGGTGGGAGGTGCCTGTAATCCCAGCTACTTGGGAGGCTAAGGCAGGAGAATTGCTTGAACCCAGCAGGCAGAGGTTGCAGTGAGCCAAGATTGCACCACTGCACTCCAGCCTGGGCTACAGAGCGAGACTCTGTCTCAAAACAAACAAACAAACAAACAAACAAAACAAACAAAAAGAATGGTATAACTTACTTCATGTAGGTTATACCCTGCCTGATTAAAATAAAAAGAGGTGAAGGGAGGTGTCTTTCCATGAGGAAAGACGGAATGACATGGAAAATGTTCAGGCAGAGTATGGGTAACTATCAGGAATGGTTCACAGAAGACTGCATTAGGATGAAAGGATCCACATTGGGCTCCTCACCTTGGTAAAATCTGTAGAGATCATTTAGATTAGAAATGTGCTTCCATGCTGGGCAGTTTGTAATACAGAACTCTAGAGAGAGGAAAATGGAGTCAGAGATTTCTGTCTTGTAATGGTCTAAAACAGGACTTTTTAACAAGGCACTAGATTTTAAATCTGTTTTCACACTCATTGCTTTTACCTCAGTGGAAGGTGCTTATATGAGGGGACCCCTTTGGCACCTGTCATGATCCCATGAGTCCTGCCTACAGGGATGTTATTTCTGCATCCCAGTTGAGACTGTCCAACCTCTCCAAATAAGGAGCAGGACAGTATGGTGGTTACGAGCAGGGCGGGTTGTGATCTTGAACAGAAGCATAGTTGTTAAGAGGGCAGAGCTGACATTGACTCCCTGGGTTGAAATCCTCTTTGTCCTAGAACAAGTTATTCAACCCTTCTAAGTTTTATATGTCAAATGGGAATAGTGGATTACATGAAATAATACACACCAGGGCCAGGCATACAGTAAGTACCTAGGGGCAACATCACTCCCCCAGGGGATAAAAATTGTTTCTTGGGGGTGAAAATCTTAGAGATTACAATAGTTTGTGGCCCTCTAAAAGGCCACAGCACATAGAGAGCTCTATGGTGTATCTGTGGTATCACAAGGAGGGGTGGTTAGATAAACAATGTCTTAAGAGACTCCATAGGGAGGTGATAATGGAATAAGGGTTGGTCATCACTGGATCGGAGCCTCCCGACTAAGGTGTAGCTTCATTCCCTGTCTGACTCAGAGCCCTCGTCCTGCTCCCATTCCTCCTGCAGGCAAGGCTATAGGCAGCTTGATGGCTAATGAGTTTGCTGGGTCAGTCTCCAGGTTTTACATCTCTCTTTGTTTCTTCTTTCATGAGCCAGTGATCCATGAGCCACTAGAAAATGCACTTACTTCAAACCTGATGAATTGTAGCTTTCCTAGGATTTATTTCTAGTCCTTCCCCCACATCCTTCACTTTCTCTTGTATTAAGTTCTTTAGCTTGTACCTTTTCAATTTGTTTTTTCCCCTCTCCAGAACCTTCTGTTTGATTGTTCTTAAAATTGGCCTTAACAACAAAACAAATGGAGAGAGGCCCCCAGACCAGAGCTCTGTGAAGTCTAGGAAGTTCTTCAACTCTTACTTCTCCAGGATGCTACAGGAATCAGCAAGAGGAGATCAAGTGAATTTAGAGATACAAGCTTTTCCCAAAGCATGGCCCCCGGGAAGACCACCTTGAGTCAGAAAAATGGAAATCAAACAGTACCTGGAAGTCCTGAAGGGTAGAGATCTTACTGGACAAAACCCTCTGCCCTTTCTTAGGTAGGAAAACATAGGTTTTGTATAGAGTTACAAACCTGCTATCCACCAGAGCACTCAGGACTGTGGCTCGCAATTTACGTGCTGGCTTGCAGCTTCATTGCCCTATGTGTTGCCTTCTGTAATGTATTTTTCCTGGTTACCTAATAACTCACATTTATCTAAACACCATAGCATCTCTGAGGCTCTGACTCATCTCCTTATTTGGAAGATGCTAGCTATCTCCCCATACTGGTATTTTAAAATCCAGCATTAATTACAGTAATTCCTTCTACTCATCCATACAGGCACATGCAGAAAGAAGTGAAAAGTTATTTGTTTCTTTTTTCCTTCATAAAGAGCCTAAAGAAATGTGTTAATTAACTACAAAGTTAGCCAAGATTGGATTTCATTTTTTTGATTTTATAGATGGCCTCAGTGCAAAAATATCCGGCTACCGAGAATAGTGAATAAATAAAACGAAATGTGGCATGCCTAAATATTCAGAGTGGGAGAGTTCTCCTTCTCATTGTGTGTGTGTGTGAGTCAAAAACCCAAAAAAGGTGGGAGAAGTGGCAGAACTAGAACCATCATCCATTAGTTCTTAGTCTCAAAGATTCAAGTGGCAGGGCAACAGCTAAATTCTGGAATGATGCAGTGAGTTCTTTGTAGGCCATATATGAAGTGTGCACAGAAATACTCATTTCTGCAGAAAGTAATAGCTACCATCAACTTAGCACCAGCAATGCGCTAGGCTCGTGGCCAGGCACTTTGTATGAACTACCCCACCGAATTGCAACTACATTGCATGGGGGATAGGTTATGTTCTGATCCCTGCTTCTCAGGTGAGGAAACTGAGGCTGAGAGAGGTTAAGGATGGCCCCACGGGCAGCAGAGGTGGGATGGGTCTTAACCACAAAGCTACCAAGCCTCACGGAGCTAGACTGCAGTTAACAGTTGATGATCCAAGGACAGGGCTGATGGACATGACAGTATTGTCTTCTCCCTCTCTGGCCTTGCACAAACTTTATCCTGTCCCTCTGCTCTGGCACAGGGAGAATGGCACAACCTTGCTGAATAGATGCCCACATCGCTGGTGGTTTTTAGCCCAAGCAGTGCTTCAGTACAATTTGAGATACTTTTGATTTTCTTCTTATTCCCTTCCTTTCTGTCTCCAAGCCCCTGACGGTGTGCCACTCCACTCCTCCTGGGCAGATCCTTTTCTCATTAAGAAAACAGAGCTAGCCAGGCATGGTGGCTCACACCTGTAATCCCAGCACTTTGGGAGGCTGAGGCTGGTGGATCATTTGAGGTCAGGAGTTCGAGACCAGTATGGCCAACATGGTGAAACCCTGTCTCTACTAAAAATACAAAAAAAATTATCTGGGCATGGTGGTGGGCACCTGTACTCCCAGCTTCTCGGGAGGCTGAGACAGGAGAATCACGACCTGGGAGGTAGAGGTTGCAGTGAGCTGAGATTGCACCACTGCACTCCAGCCTGGGCAACAGGGTGAGACTCCAAAAAAAAAAGAAAGAAAGAAGGAAGGAATGAAAGAAAGAAAGGAAGGAAGGAAGGGAGGAAGAAAGGAAGGGAGGGAGGAAGGAAGGGAGGGAGGTAGGGAGGAAAGGAGGGAGGGAGGAGCTGATCAGGCAGGGGCTCAGGGGCTCTCCCTCCTGGCTGCTCCACACCTGCCATGTGCCGGGTGTCAGGATGCAGTGGTGCCAGACTGGCCTGCAGACTGCCTGTAGCCATGTCCCACTTCCCACGGGTCATGTTGCTGCATCCCCCAGCCCTCCCCATCACCAACTCTGTGTCTGATTCAGGCCATGTCTGTGTCTTGGCTGGGCCACCGTCACACCCATCATCCAGGTGTCCTGCCTCTGGCCTCACATTGCTCGACACCAAGCTACCTTTTTGCATCTCAGCCCTGACCCATCACTTTACTGCTGACATTCCAGTGTCCCCTAAATGCCAAACCTCAAACATTTTAGCTGTGACAACGACAAGTGTCACAATCTGGCCAAGCCACCTTTTCTGTCCCTTTGCCCACACCTGTCCTTTTGCCCACACCTGTTGGTATGTTCTGGCTCCTCCCCTGAGACCCAGTTTAAATTGTCTTTAGCAAATAGAGAGTATCTTATTTTATAGAAGAGGATGAGATGGAAACTAGCTTTACACAGACGAAAGGATTTCAAAAAAGCTTCAGACTTACATTACCAAAAATGATGAATTATTTCCCTGGAGGAAGAAACATAGTGGATACTTACCGTGAAATAATCAGTACTCAGAATATTGCAAGTGTCTCTGAGTACTAGAGCGACTTTAATAATCTGAAAATGCTCCTTCTGACCACTAGATGGCACATCTAAAATACCAGGCAAATGGCACACCTCCTTAATTCAAAGCAGGTATTATTACTACAATTACTACCACAGTTTATTTATAATGGTTGTAGTATTTGTCCACACACCACTTACTATAATGCAAACACTACTCATGGTTATGAATATTCAGAGGATGAAGTTTGTTATGCAATCGGATGTCAGGTATCCCCAGGCATCTGCAGTGGTCCCAAAACGCTTTGGGATCAGTTTCATGGAAGATAATTTTTCCATGGATGACGGGGAATGCTTTTGGGATGAAACTGTTCCACCTCCGATCATCAGGCATTAGATTATCATAAGAAGCGTGCAACTTAGATCCCTAGCATGTGCAGTTCACAATAGGGTTCCCGCTCTTAGGAGAATCTAATGCTGCTGCTGATTGACAGGAGGCAGAGCTCAGGCAGTAATGCTCACTGGCCTACTGCTGACCTTCTGCTGTGTGGCCAGGTCCCTAGCAGGCCACGGACTGGTATGGGTCCTTGGCCTGGTGTTGGGGACCCCTGATCTATAGGATCAATATTAAGCTCTGAGCCCAAAGTACATCCACCCTCTCCACTGAACCCATCCCAATACCTTTGGTCCTGAAAGATACTTTTTTCTAGTTCACATAAACAAATAGCTCTCAACCTGCAAATGCCCAGAGTTTAACCAACTTTTCTAACTAGGCCCAAACAAGCAACTTGGAACCAAAAATGTCTCTGTTTCCTACCACTTAGGAGCAAATGACTGATTTTGACATTCCTTGGGTCTCTTCTCTGACCCTGTTCTCCTCCCGCCTCTGTCCCAATTAGTACCTCAAGGCCTTTGCTTTTAGGGAAGCCAATAAACACTCAAACTGGTGCATGCAAAATTATTTTTACTGCATGTTAAAGAGTAATTATGAAACAATACGCACATGATGTTCCCACATAAAAATCTTTTAAAGCGATAATGAGACTATTTCTTTGTAGGTGGAGATGTATATTTGACTCACTTCCATGAATTCTGGTCTAATCGTATCTTATTTCCTTCATTTTGTTTTAGTGCTTGGAAGAGCTCCATCGAAATTCACTCTTATCTTCAGCCTCAGCACTGAGCTGCATTACATAAACATGAGTTGCTTCTTTATGACCATTTGAGAAGAGTAAAGAATCATTTCCTTTTTTAAGGCAAACACGGTCCATTGTAGAAACTTCATACATTAAATAAGCCAGGTTTGCAAACATCTGCCCAAAGACACCCAATAGAGAAGCCCTATGCATATAGCAGATTATTGAAGGACATTCTCAGCCAAGTCATCAAGTTTCTTCAGTCATTTCAGACCTGAAATTCACAGTGAAGTCCATCCATCACCACCAAGTCTTGCCATCTGCCCTTGGAGGGTCACAAAGGAGATCCATGTATTTAGCTGCTAATAACTTATTTTTTTTCTTCAAGACTCAATTTAGATGTCACTTCTTCCGGGAAGTCTTCTATGAATTTCCTTCCCAGATCAATTACCTAGCACTACGTTTAACGCAATGGATTATAATGATGTGTTTATGAGGCTGCTTAACCTACTAAGGGCAAGGATTGTACGTTATTCATTCTATTACCCATCATAATGCCTGGCACATAGAAAAAAGAAAAGTGAATGAATGAATGAATGGATGAATGAATCAATCAAAGTATGAATCAAAGCATGAATGTAAACTGTACATTTCCTGGGAGAAAGAGAGAAAGGGTCTCCATTTTTATGAGTTAGGACATTTCCCAACGTTGTATTGGTCAGGGTTCTCTAAGGGGACAGAACAGAACTAATAGGATATCTATCTATCTATCTATTTATCTATCTATCTGAAGGAGAGTAGTAGTATATTATATATATATATATTTATATATATTTATATACATATTTATATATTTATATATATTTTTATATATATTTATATATTTATATATATTTATATATATATTTATATATTTATATATATATTTATATATTTATATATATTTATATATATATTTATATATTTATATATATTTATATATATATTTATATATTTATATATATTTATATATATATTTATATATTTATATATATTTATATATATATTTATATATTTATATATATTTATATATATATTTATATATTTATATTTATATATATTTATATATTTATATATATTTATATATATTTATATATTTATATATATTTATATATATTTATATATTTATATATATTTATATATATTTATATATTTATATATATTTATATATATTTATATATTTATATATATTTATATATATTTATATATATTTATATATATTTATATATTTTTATATATTTATATATATTTATATATATATTTATATATTTATATATATTTATATATATTTATATATATATTTATATATTTTTATATTTATATATGTATAATTTATATATATTTTTATATATTTATATATTTATATATATTTATATATATTTATATATTTATATATTGGTATATATATTTATATATATTTATATATTTATATATTTATATATATTTATATATTTATATATATTTATATATATTTATATATATATTTATATATACTTATATATATTTATATATATTTATATATATTTATATATATTTATATATATTTATACATATTTATATATATTTATATATATTTTTATATATATTTATATATATGAAGGGAAGTAATAGAATATATATATATATATATACACACATACACACACACACACACACACATATATATATAAAGGGTAGTTTATTAGGAGAGTTGACTCACATGATCACAAGGTGAGATCCCACAATAGGGCATCTGCAAGCTGAGGAGCAAGGAATCCAGACTGAGTCTCAAAACCTCTAACATAGGGAAGCTGATGGTGCAGCCTTCAGTCTGGCTGAAAGCCCGAGAGCCCCTAGCAAATCACTGGTGTAAGTCCAAGAATCCAAAAGCTGAAGAACTTAAGAGTATCCAACATGGAGGAAAGATGAAGGGCAGAAGACACGGCAAATCTCTCTCCTTCCACTTTCTTCTGCCTACTTTATTTTAGCCACGCTGGCAGCTGATTAGATGGTGCCCACTCAGCTTGGGGGTGGGTCTGCCTCTCCCAGTCCACTGACTCAAATGTTAATCTCCTTTGTCAGCACCCTCACAGACACACCCAGGAACAAATACTTTGCATCCTTCAATCCAATCAAGTTGACACTCAATATTAATCATCGTGCTTGTTTTCAAGGCTGATTCATGTACTTGTAGGTTAAAAAAACTGTTGGATTCCACATATATTACAAGCAATAACCAAGTGATTTGGTCATTTTAATTAACAACTGTGTAAAACAAGTAAAAATCATTTTGTAAAATATCAAACATTAATAAATGGCACAATTTATGGCAGTTTGATTTACAAAATTCTCTCAAATATGATATTTCTTTGCTTCTCTGAACACCCATCTTGAATGGGTTAGATTGGGAATCATTTTATAGATGAAATAATAGAAACTTGGAGAAGTCAACTGACTTGAGTTAGTGAAGGCTGATTCAGGACAAGATTTTCTGATTCCAAAGCCACTGTCCATCCTATAACACCATCAAGCTCATTCCCCTCACCTCTATATCATAAACCTGCTGGCTGTTTGACTAGTTTGGCCAGTGGATTGGATGATTTAATCAATTAACGTGTTAGTCATAGACAAAGAAACCTGTTCCTCTCCAAGCTCAGCCATTTACTAGCTGTTTGACATCTGACTTTGAATGAGTCATGGAAATATTGTCCAAGCCTTCAGTTTCCTGAAGTTGGGGTTAAAGAATAAAGTCAATAAAAGAAAATATACTTTTTAACTCTCAGTTGGTTAGAGTTCAGCATCCTCCTCCTTATCATTATTATAACAACAATAACTACCCTTTCTTCTGTTCTGATTGCATACCTATACTGTTCTTAGTACTGGACATTAAGAACTCATTCACTTCCGTAACACCTAAAGTAGGTACTCTCCTTATTCTCATTTTACAGATGCAGAAACTGAGGCATAACAAAGTTAAGCAACTCAATATGGTTAAATATCTAGTCAGTAGATGGGGAAGGATTCAAATTAAGGTAGTTTTGCATCAGAGTCCGTGCATTATTACATAGAAAGCACCTAGCCCAGTGCTTGGCACAGCAAAGCTCAGTAAACATAGTTTTTATTGTTAAATATTGCTAAATGCAAATCCTACCAGTTTATTGGGGGAGGGCCTATACCATTCTCATACTCAATGCAAAGGAGGCATCAAGTTCATCTATCTGGAAAGATGAGAACTGTGGGGATCTCCTGGTGGCTGAGCCCTCATCCAAGTATGCCCAAGCCAAAAGCCACAGTGTACATTTAATGTAATAATTCCTGCCACCATGTGCAAAGCCTTGAAAGCAATTAGTTCATACCCAGCTATTATTAAGAAGTTATTTTTGTAATAAAAATATGTCTTCCTTTAATTTCTACATAAATGCAAGGGTGCCAATACAAGTATAGTTTATTTAAAGATGTTCTTGCAGGAATTTAATTTATCCTTTTGAAGAAGCTGCAGAGGAAAGGTACAGAGATGAGCAAGACAATTTGGAAGTGTCCTGAGCTACAGATAAAGAAAGGGTAGCTTCTTTCTCACTGGAACTCAATATCAAACTCTCAGCTTGATCAAGGACAGAGTACATAAGTCTTTGGCGACCAGTGGCCCTTGGAGGTAATATCCCAGCTACTAGTTTGTATGAGTTAGAGTTATCATAGAGTAAATCTCAGCACACAATAGAATGGGTTACTTTGAAACAGTACAACAGGGACTGCAAACACAGTGCATGCCAGGGTTTTAGAGTGCTTTCGAGTGGGGCTTGTTAAAACTACAGGGTAAAAAACAAATACCCAAGCACAATATTTTCAGAAGCAACAAAGTATAGAAGAAAGAACATGTCAGGAGATCGAGACCATCCTGGCTAACACGGTGAAACCCCGTCTCTACTAAAAATACAAAAATTAGCCGGGCGTGGTGGCGCGCGCCTGTAGTCCCAGCTACACGGGAGGCTGAGGCAGGAGAATGGCGTGAACCCGGGAGGCGGAGCTTGCAGTGAGTCGAGATCGCGCCACTGCACTCCAGCCTGGGCGACAGAGCGAGACTCCCTCTCAAAAAAAAAAAAAAAAAAAAAAAAAAAAAGAAGAAAGAACATTGCACTTGGCACAAAACCTAAGCCTGAGCCCAGCTCTGTCCTTATAGATTGTATCCCATAGACAAGTCACTAACTGGCTTGATCCTCAGATTCTTCTAGACAATGGAAATAACATAAACTATTTCCTACAGTTCCTATTCATTTTGAAAAATCTTGAAACAAAGAACATGAAAGCACTTGGAAAACTATCAAATTTGAACTGCAAGCCATTTTAAATTCATTATTAATAACAAAAAAAGAGAGCCACCTAATATGAATGTCAAAATACATGGAAGAATCAGTACATTAGCAATTATATGAATCGTGCTGTCCTTTAGGCAGGTATAATCTAATTCTCATTATATTTATTGTACCAAATTATTTGAAATTACATTCAAGTTATGCCATGCAAATTATAGTCAGTGATGAATATGTTGAGCAGAAAACTATGTGATTTAATATTTACCATGTAACAGATCTAAATTGGCAAATACCTTAAGGCAGTGATTTAGGCTATTATTAAATAATGATGAAAAATCATTTACTCCCAATGTAGTTCTAGAATAAAAAGACAAACTTCTGAGGTTGGGGGGAATATTGGAGTTTCATAATGGCTTTGGATTAAGGCCTCGTCACTATTGACTGACTTGGTTGAAAACTGCTGGCTTCTTAAAGGTCAAGCATTATTATTCACCAACTTTTATAGTCATTTGTAATATGGGATGATATGCAGAATCAGGATCTCCCTGGATTCTCTTCTGAATACCTAAGGAGTCAGAGTTTATCAAGAGCAGGCGGGTACAGTATATTATTGATTCCTTCTTATGAACTTGCAGAGTTTTTGTAGAAGATCAGCTGCACCCTAGCTGAAATACACATGGATTCTGAAAATAAACATACATATGGGAAAACATAATCCACTGCGGATGAAAGATTTATCAGCCTGCCTCTTGTGACCCATATGGCAGCAAAATTAATGGCTGTTTGGAAGCTATAAATTTAGAAAAACCCTTTGTACATGGGAACTCATGTTTACCCATGCTGTATGTTAAGTAGCCTATGAAACAGCTGAACCATTGAGAAGCATCCTTCCTGAACTCTAATTTGTACACAATGGCCCTATTTACTTGGAAAGCCTCTTTATTTTCTAAGGAACAGAGCATCCAGTGCAAAAACTCTAATAAACAAACAAACAAAAAATAATACTAAGGCCCTACAGGATAAACCAAATTCCACAAGCCAGTTTCTGAGAAAAGTTATAAGGAAAGGGATTTGTATGCCGTGTTGTGGAACTGAAAAGACAGTTTTGTCAAACTTATCTCCCTTTTCAAATAAATTTGATGCAATGGATTTTTTTAATCTTAGGTAAATAATAAGAATCTTAGGTACTATTACGGGAACGATTTTGGAAAAGACCAGTGAGAGCATTTTTTAGATTTGCCCCTCTGCAATAGGGCAAGAGGGTGACAACAGTTAATCTCAGAGGTTCTTCCCTTCTCTGACATCCTATGATCTTATGATTTCCTAATATTTAGGTCTACCTGTCAGGTATACAGCCTCCTAAGCCTATGGGATTTAGGACAAGGATCACAAACTTAAATATCTTAGTGGGCCAGGAATGAATACTCTATCAAATGGCAATTGTGGGGAATGAGGGAATGCATGTCCCTTCTAAAAGGGGTGTTAAGGATTGAATTGTGTCAATTCAAATTTATATGTTGAAGTTCTCATTCCCAATACCTAAGAATGTGGCTTTATTTGAAAATAGGGTTGTTGCACCCCATCAAAAAGTGGGCAAAGGATATGAACAGACACTTCTCAAAAGAAGACATTTATGCAGCCAAAAAAACACATGAAAAAATGCTCCTCATCACTGGCCATCAGAGAAATGCAAATCAAAACCACAGTGAGATACCATCTCACACCAGTTAGAATGGCGATCATTAAAAAGTCAGGAAACAACAGGTGCTAGAGAGGATGTGGAGAAATAGGAACACTTTTACACTGTTGGTGGGACTGTAAACTAGTTCAACCATTGTGGAAATCAGTGTGGCGATTCCTCAGGGATCTAGAACTAGAAATACCATTTGACCCAGCCATCCCATTACTGGGTATATACCCAAAGGATTATAAATCATGCTGCTGTAAAGACACATGCACACGTATGTTTATTGCGGCACTATTCACAATAGCAAAGACTTGCAACCAACCCAAATGTCCAACAACGATAGACTGGATTAAGAAAATGTGGCACATATACACCATGGAATACTATGCAGCCATAAAAAATGAAGAGTTCATGTCCTTTGCAGGGACATGGATGAAACTGGAAACCATCATTCTCAGCAAACTATCGCAAGGACAAAAAACCAAACACCGCATGTTCTCACTCATAGGTGGGAATTGAACAATGAGAAGATATGGACACAGGAAGGGGAACATCACACACCGGGGACTGTTGTGGGGTGGGGGGAGGGGGGAGGGATAGCATTAGGAGATATACCTAATGCTAAATGACGAGTTAATGGGTGCAGCACACCAACATGGCACATGTATACATATGTAACAAACTTGCACATTGTGCACATGTACCCTAAAACTTAAAGTATAATAATAAAAAATAAAAATAAAAAATAAAAAAATAAAAAAAAAGAAAATAGGGTTGTTGCAAATGTAATTACTTATGATGAGGTCATGGTAGAGGGGGGTGGACTCCTTAGCCAATATGACTGGTGTCCTTATAAAAAGGGGAAATGTAGGCCAGGCAAGGTGGTTCACGCCTCTAATTCCCGCACTTTGGGAGGCCAAAGCAGGCAGATCACTTGAAGTCAGGAGTCCGAGACCAGCCTGGCCAACATGGGGAAACCCTGTCTCTACTAAGAATACAAAAATTAGCCAGGCATGGTGGCACATGCCTACAATCCCACCTACTCAGGAGGTTGAGGCAGAAGAATCACTTGAACCCAGGAGGTGGAGGGTGCAGTGAGCCGAGACTGCACCGATGCACTCCAGCCTGGACAACAGAGTGAGACTCCATCTCAAAAATAAATAAAAAATAAAATAAAAGGGGGAAATGTGGACACAGGCATGCACACAGGGATAATGCCAGGTGAACCATGAATGCAAAGGTTGACGGGATGCAACTACAAGCCAAGGAATTCCAAGGATTGCCAGGAAAGCATCAGAAGCTAGGAGAGAGGCATAGACCAGATTCTCCCTCACAGCCAGCGGGAGGAACCAGCTCTGCCAACATGTTGATCTGGGACTTCTAGCCTCCAGAGCTGAGATGATACATTTCTGTTATTTAAACCACCCAGTTTGTGGTACTTTGCTATGGCAGCCCTAAGACCCAATACAGAGGACAACATCTACTAAGCTTCAACCCAGTATTGCTATGTGAGATATGCTGGCTCACTTCTGCCCGTGTTCTAAGAGAAGGCAGAAATGTAGATTTTGTTCCATATAAAACATCCCAATTTAAACATGCTGGCAACAAACACAGGAAGACTTAACACAATGTAAAGGCAAAGTGTATCTGACCCACAAGTTACTCTGCTTTAAGGATTGCTGAATACACCCCAAATTATCTTGAAATTCGTATCCATGTTTGTTTTGGGTTAAGGCCCAGGAAGGCTTACAATACAGTGTTCATGGGTTATTTGGAGTGCTAACATATGAAATCAACATCATTTTTTTTCTTTAGCTCAAGTTAGTTGGTTAGATTCATCTATTCATTTGCATACTTTTGAGCATGTAAATCCTATTTTCAAAATTAATCTCCTGAAACTCAAAAACTAAAGTGGAGTTTTTTGGCACATGTTTATGTATTAAAGTAACATAATTAGTATGCAATATTTAATGTATAATGTATAATGCATAACATCATTTATTATAAGGGTGATCAATGGAACAAAAAAGATCATTTGATTAATAGAAATATCTGAAATTAGGATTTGTACAAGCCTATCAGAATTTTTATAATTTCTATTCAATTATTTTCTATATTGTGCTTTAGTTTCCTGTTCTGGAAAATCTTTGATATATACAGATTATGCAGTTGTAAAAGACAACAAAAGTTCTAATAAAACTTTACTTATAAGCAATGACGTTTGAATTTAATTAAATTTTCAGATGCCATGAGATATTCTTATAGGCCATACAAGAACAGGTGATGGGCTGAATTTGTCCCACGGTCTGTAATTCTAGGATATACATTAAAAGAATTGTTTAAAGGTGTGTAATATGGAAGCTAAAAAGGGGGAAGATGGAATAATAAAAATTCCCAATTAATCTAAAAGAAAGTGAGAAAGGAGAGAAAAGAGAACATAAAACAGACAGGACAAATAGCATTGAATAAGATGGTAGGGTTAAACCTAAATATATTTTATATAAATGGGTAAATGACCCGATTAAAAGAAAAATACTGTCAGAATAGGAAAGGAGAAAAGCTCAGTAATGGGTAAGCAAATGAAATATAAAAATGTGTGAACAAATAAAATATAAGTTGACGAAAAGAATGAAAATAAAAGATATGCAATTCAAACACTATAAAAAGAAAACTATATTCATATCAGATAAGGCAAACTTTAAGACCAAAAAGCATTACAAATGACAAAAAAGACATTTTGTAATATTATGCTTCAATTCATCAGGAAGCTATAACTATTCACAATTTGCATATACCTAATAGCACAGTCTCACAAAATATAATGCAAAACTTGACAGAGCCACAGAGAAAAAGACAAGCCCACCCTTACAAGAGAGAAATTAATATAACTGTTGATAACAAATAGAACAAGCAGATAAAAATTCAGTAAGAATTTAGAATATTTCAATAACATCTTTGGAAAACAAGATTAATATGCACACATAGAACACTGCATTGAAGAACCACAGAATGCATATTTGTTTTCAAGCACACACAAAATGTTTACCAAAATTGACAATAAGTTGTATCATAAAGCAAATATCTAACAATTTCAAATGATTGCAATCATTGAGTATGTTCTCTGAGTATAATACAATTTAATACAATTAAGCTATAAAACTATAAATTAATTATAAAATACATAACTATAAAAGCTGCATACATTAGAAAATTGAAAAATGTAATTCTAAATAGCCCATGGGTCACAGAAGAAATCACAATAAAAATTATAAAGTATTTTGTATGGTATAGTAATTAAACATGCATATAAAATGTGTAGGATACAGCTAATGGTATGCTTAGAGATTTCATAACCCTTAATACAGACATTAAAAAGATAAAGTTTTAAAATCAAGAATTTAAACATCCATTTCAGCAAGTTATTTTTTAAAACCAAACAATTAAAACTAAAGAAGCATTACATAGAAATATTATAGATACTATATGTATATACTCATGGGTTACATACATGTAGATGTTTCCCTGCTCTGTTAGCTGACAGAGTCTAGAAGCAATGATACCTCAGTAGCAACAAGCATGTTGTATTAGTCCGTTCTCACGTTGCTAATAAAAACACACCAAGACTGGGTAATTTATAAAGGAAAGAGGTTTAATTGACTCCCAGTTCCACATGGCTGGGGAGGCCTCACAATCATGGTGGAAGGTGAATAGGAGCAAGTTACATCTTACAGGGCAGAAAGCAAGAGAGAGCTTGTGCAGGAGACCTCCCCTTTATCAAACCATCAGATCTTGTGAGACTTATTCACTATCACAAGACAGCACGGGAAAAACTGGCCCCATGATTCAGTTACCTCCCACCAGGTCCCTCCCATGACACGTGGGGATTATCACAATTGAAGGTGAGATTTGGGTGGGGATACAGAGCCAAACCCCATATCACATACCTAACTCCAGATCTTGGATTCTTTTTTTTTTTTTTGAAACGAAATCTCGCTCTGTCGCCCAGGCTGGAGTGCAGTGGCGCGATCTCGGCTCACTGCAAGCTCCACCTCCCGGGTTCACGCCATTCTCCTGCCTCAGCCTCCGGAGTAGCTGGGACTACAGGCGCCCGCCATCACGCCCGGCTAATTTTTTGTATTTTTAGTAGAAACGGGGTTTCACCGTGTTAGCCAGGATGGTCTCGATCTCCTGACCTTGTGATCTGCCGGCCTCGACCTCCCAAAGTGCTGAGATTTACAGGCATGAGCCACCGCGCCTGGCCAGATCTTGGATTCTAAAACTATTCTTCAATTAAAGGAACCAGGGCTCCATGGAGAAATGCTGATGGTAGGACTGAGGCAGTAAATAGACGAGATGAGCCTGGAACATCTCTTATCATGCCAAAATGTAGGGAAAAGCTCAAAAACAAACAAAACACCCCACAATTAAGGGGTATGTCAAAGGGACACAGAAGCCAACTGAAAGAGCTCTCAATGGCTAAAGCTAAGAATTTTAGCAAAACTAGCTACATAAATAAGACAGTATTAGATTATAGCCCAAAGTATTACATAAATATTCACAAGTCTATACTGACACAAATAAATGATCGAATTAATAAATAATTGAGGGAGAAGAGAGAAATTTCCCATGAAGAAGAACTCCAAGTAATTTATGTGGTTGCTCCACCTTTGAGAAATAAAACTGCTCAGTCCTTAATTGTGGACGGAATCTAGTGATTTCCTTTCAAAGCACAGAACATGGAAAGGGAGGGAGAAAAACAGTAACCTAAGTAACTCAACTGTTGAGGAACCTGATAAACATTTCTCAGCCAGGCAAACCACATCAACATCTACAGTGAGAAGTCATGTTGATAGATTGAACCCTAATGGCACTTTATCTCTGTGGTCTTCACTTACGCAGAACTTCCAGAGCACCTCAGGAAGAGAGGGCACGGAGACTCATGCTCTTCAATGCCTCAGATCGGAAGTAACACCTGCCATTTCCTGTGAGAGCCCATTGGCTGACACTGGTTCCAAGGTCCCAAACTAACTACATGGGAAGCAGGAAGCACCAAGAAGCTGATGGAGAATCGGGTTTTGGAAGCAATAGTGAATTTTGTGTGACCATTTTGTAAAACCAGCACATTTGAGCCAAATACGAGAAGCTTAAATAGTTAGGGCTTCTGATCTCTCTTGAGCACAGCATTACGTCAGCCTGATAGATTTCTTTAATCCACTGGGCTGCAAAATATTTGCCTTTTCTTCACTTCATAATCTCCTGTCAGTGATGTATGTCTTGCCACCAATTAATGGTGGCCTGCAGGGTTACACTACTAATGATGTCATTTAGAGCTCAAATTTGTATTCAGATTCTTACATATCTAGGCTCTGGTATTTTTTGGACAGGTCATGATAATTTTGAAACAGGATTTATTTTCTCTAAAACAAAACTCCAGCTTTAAAACTGACTGCTCTGCCCTAAAATAAATAATGTATAATGTCAATCAGCAGATAGCAAGCACCACTGTCATATTTCTTAACTTAAAAATGTTCGGGAGCCACAGATAGCTGAATTTTTGGCTGACTGATTGGCTTTCTTGCCTCTCTCCCTCCCTCCCTCCCTCCCTTCATTCTTTCCTTCCAGAATAATTCAGTCCAAAAGGGAATGAGGTTGGGAGCCCACATAAGGAAAACATCCCTGGAAATAACTACTATTTTACTAATTTCCAGTGGGGCGGGGGGTGGGGGGACCATGTGACAAAGGTGAGCTGAGCGAAGGTGGGAGTTCCTTGGAGGGAGGGAGGTTGTCCAAGGCCGAGAACCCCAGCCCTGTCCTCACCGGCTGCATGGCCATGGATGAGAAACTTTGTCTGAGTTTCAGCTTCCCTGCCAAAATGAGTGACTGGCCTAGAGCAGCAATGGTCACACTATGGTGGCCCCTTGGGAGCCATGGAGGGTGTGAGAGGCAAGATGAGGACTATTCCCACCCTTCAACCCTGTCCCAATTTTCTCTATTGTAATGGGCCCCTGATGCAATGGGCCCCTCCTCTCTCCAAATACCTGCAAACTCTCAGAGACTTGTGCCTCATAGGCAAAGAGGTGATACTGTCTTCTGTTCTGTGATCCTGACAGGCCCCAACAGATGAATTTGTTTGTCTGAAGGTTCCTGTACTAAAAAATAAATTACATTAAATTAAACTGGAAAACCTACATTTTAAAAACTAGTTGGCCTGGTCATTTTATCTCTTTTGCTTAAAAGAGGCTTTTGCTCTGACATTTCACTGAAATATGTGTAGACACTTTGTGGACAATGTTGGGATGTAAATAAGAAAAATAGAAGCTTCTCACACACTAAGCACACTGGGAAAATCATAGAGAACTTCACTATAGATCCACATTAATAGTGGATATGGTTATGTAACACACCCATATCTATTCATCACCATAAGCAAAGGAGCCAGAAGAAAGCAAATCAACTTAGCTGAAGGCTTTGGCTGGAAGAAGGAAAATCAAATGCACCGTTCAGAACACCATAGACACTTCCGGCCTCCTAAGGCCATCACATACACACATAGGCAAAGACACACACACACACACACACACACACACACACACACACACACACACACTCATGCACACACCACCACACAGAGAACAGTTAAACAGCAGCAGAACTTATTGATATGACTCTAGGTGAAAGATTCGGACCAAAACTGCTGTTAGAGTTCAGGGTATTACTGGTCAGAAAACTCCAGTCAATCCCAACGTTACAGCTGTCAGAACTGAAAGAAAAGACTCAAGATTTTCTTTAAGGTATTATTACTGCTGAGGTCCCGGATGCCTTGGGACTTGCCCACAGCCACACAGTTTCTTGTAATTGGTGGATGTGGGAACACAGACCAGGTGTCCTGCCTTCCAGCTCCATGCTCTCTTGACTTTGCCACCGCTAACCTCAGGGGGCTCTTGGATTAGGATCAAAGGCTCATTTCAGGAACCCAGGGGGAGAAAGATTGCACTGACTTAACTAACTCAAAATCATTAGGGAAACAATGACCCATGCACAAGTTTCCCTTTATTTCTCTTGCTGTGAAAAAAAAAAAATCCGGATCTGTATAAGGAGAAACTTTATTGGAAGGATTACAGCAAAGGGCATAACAGGAGGATCAGGGGACCATTGCAATAGAGAAAATGCTCTGACCACGACATCTACAAGCATCTCCAAGGTCAGCCAGTAAAGGGCTTTCCTTTCCTAGGGAGGAGTAAGCAAATCTGGAAAGAGCCAAGTGTGGGAAGGGGGATGTAAGGCTGACATAATTGGTCAGTGGATCACAGAATGTCTTACCCAGAGGTCAGTCTATTCCTTGGGAGAGTCCATTAGTGGGGAGATGTGTGCTGGCTCAGGCTAAGAGGAGGTCAAAATTCAGGGATCTGGGGCAAGGAGAGAATCTTCACCAAAGATTGGTTTGCAAAGATTTTGTCTGGATTGATCACAGACAGTTCAGCTAATCATTTACGGGGCCAAAGAATGAAAATCTGCAGGGTGTCTGCCTGGCTTTGCCATGGGTGAACAAGGGGGTCATCCATGATTTTTGCCTAAGTCATATGGGGAAGGATGGTTCCCTGCAGTAGGCCAGTTCCAGAGCATAAGGGAATTGGGCAGGGGGAGTAGCTTTCTTAATTGTCACCATTTTCCAGGATAACAAGCTCAGTTGAAGTTCAACATCGCCAGAGTAAAATGAGGCCTTTAGTGTTATCATTTCGACAATCAACCCCTCATTTCCCTACCCCACAACCTTCTCTGTGAAAAGTGCTTTATTTTAAGAAGGAAAATTAATTTTGTAAGATTTCTTGGATTGAACCAAGTCTAAAAATTGGCTAGGTGACTGCAATATCCCTTCTGATAATTGAGATGGGATATTGATTTTGAAATATTTTGTAATATTGAGACTCAAGCTACACTGTCCACTACAAAGTCCATTCTTTCAAATGACTACTTAAAGTCCATGTTTTCATGCTACCTCTTTTCTGACTTACAGATAAAAGACTCTAAACTGTGATGAAGCTAGAGGCAGAATTGCCTATATTCTGCCACACAGAGGGCCATTTCTGTGGGATCTTAGCAGATATTACCTAGATACCGCAGATGCTTTCCTCCTTCTCAGATATTTCTTTTACTTATTAAAGGTTTAAGCCTTCAATATCACAAATCACATGAGCCCTAATACCTCCTCTCTCTCAATTTCTGCAAACTCTCAGGGACTTTTGCCTCATAGACATTTGTTCCTCTCTACACCAATCTGGTCTCAAAACTCTGTGCTTTCAAGCTTTCCATGTGACTCACTAGCAAAAGGTGTGTGTCAGTCTAGTAATTTTTAGGAAGATTGAAGGGCACAGCAGAGATCACACAGCTGTCTCCCCACCTGCTGTTTCTCACCCAGGGAAAACAGTTTGGCTCACACTCAGATTTATCTTTATTTCTTACTTTTCACCCATAAGCATTTTAAATTGTTTTCCAAACACCCTGTGGCCATACCAGCTCTACTGGGAGTTATGTTAAGCAAAGCCAACTAATTGTATACCTTTCCACATAGACAACTAAATCTTTGCTACTCGGTATGGTCCAGACCAGAAGCACTGGCATCCTGAGAACCTGTAGAAGTGCAGATTGTCAGCTACCTCCCAGAGCTGCTGAATCCCCAGATGATCACATGCACCTTCAAATTTGAGACCCCTGGAGTGTAATGTAGTTTGGATCAATTCCTTTCACCTTGGAGTTAATTGGTATGGTGGATTGAATAATATCCCCTCAACCATCCAAATTCATGGAATTTCGAATTATGATCTTATTCTGAAAAAGGGTCTTTGCAGATATAATTAAAATAAGGATCTCAAAATGAGATCATCTTAGATTTCGGGTGGGCCTTGAACCCAATGCCTGGCATCCTTATAAGAGATGGGAGAGGAATATTTGCAATACAGAGGGACAGAGAAGAGGACCATATGAAGATAAAGGCAGAGATTAGGGAGGTACATTTGTAAAGGAAAGAACGCCAAAGATTGCTGACAGCCTTCAGACGTTAGGAGAGAGGTATGGAATGGATTCCACCTCCAAATGGAACCAAGGTTACCAATACATTGATTTGGGACTTCTGGCCTCCAGAACTAGGACAGAATATATTTCTGTTGTCTTAAACCAGTTTGTGGTCATTTGTTACAATAGTCACAGGAAGCCAATATACCTGGTGACACTTGGGTTTAGGTGTCAGTCTGGGTTTTTTTTCCACTGGGTCATACCACTCCTTTATTTTCCTCATCAATCCTGAGCTGGTGAAGGCTTTGAAGTTTCTTGTAAATGTGGTCAGACTGTGGTCTCATGCTCCCTGCCTAACTTTGACCATGACTAGCCTTTTCTCTCTTAGAACCTCTTTCACCTTCTGACACTTTCACTTTCTCTGCTTTCTCCTTAGCTCTAAGGTTCCATCTCTCTCTTCTGCTTCTGCATTCTCTGTCCTGAGCTCTCACTTGTCCTGCCTGTGTGGGTCTATTAGAATCTCCTCCTGGGCTGCATTCTTTTCTACCTTAGCTACTCTGGGTTTTGTTGTTGTTCTAGAAAACTTCATTAACTTTCTTTTTTTGAGAAAAATGTCTATTAATCCTCCATAAAATCATATAAATTAGGCTGGAAAATATCAGATTTGAGCAATCCCCTAAGTGCATTCTGCTTATTCTCATCTTCCATGTTTGGATTAGGGAGAGGGAATTCTTTCTCTCTGATATTTTCTGCCTCTTTAAGTATCTCTAGACTGCAGGGAGAACCCATCTCCTCTACCACACACAGAGACTAAATCAAAGTCTTCCTTCTGAGATGAGCAATAGTTCATTCATTTCAATTATTTACTTCTCTATGTAAACCAAAAAGTGTCTGAGACAGATCTCAATCAATTTAGAAGTTTATTTTGCCAAGGTTATGGATCACAACCTGTAACACAGCCTCAGCCTCAGGAGGTCCTGAGAACATGTGCCAAAGGCAATTGTGTTATAGCCTTATTTTATATATTTTAGAGAAACCTAAGACATCAATCAATACAAATGAGGTGGGACAACTCAAAGCGGGGGTTGGGGGGAGGTTACAGGTCATAGGCAGATTCAAAGATTTTCTGATTGGCAATTGGTCAAAAGAGTTATTATCTAAAGACCTGGAATCAATAGAAAGAAGTGTCTGGGTTAAAATAAGGAGTTGTGGAGATCAGGGTTCTTATTATGTAGATGAATTCTCAAAGGTGGCCACGCCCAGAGGCAATAGATAGCAAGTGTTTCCTATTCAGACCTTTAAAAAGTGCTAGGCTCTCAGCTAATCTCCTCAGGATTAGAAAAGGGCCTGGTAAGGAACGGGGATTCTCTACAGAATGTAAATTTCCTCCACAAGAAACAGCTTGGCAGGGCCATTTCAAAATATGTCAAAGAAATATATTTTGGAGTAAAATACTTTGGTTTCTTTCAAGGTCCCACTATCATGTGATGCTATACTAGAGTCAGGTTGGAATTTGGTATCTTATTGTTACAAAAAGTCTGTTCTGTCAGTTTTAGGACCTGTGTTTTAATGTTAATGCTGGTCAGTTGTGTGTCTTAACCACAAGGGAAGAGAGTAATTGAGGTATGTCTGACCACTCTTCTTCCTGGCATGATCTGAACTAGTTTTCCAGGTTTAGTTGGGTCCTCTGGCTAAAAGGGGGGGGTCCACTCAGTTGGTCGTGGGACTTAAAATTTTATTTTTGGTTTATATCTATCATAGGGGTCACATTCAGAGTGAAATGAACTAAAAAACATTCTTTGCTTATTTATACTCTTTTGTTGAAAGAATTCCTTGTTACCAAGACAATATGTCGTCTAGTCATATAAGAATTACAGACAGTGCAAATTCACTTTCAAGATTAAGCAATTGAATATATATTCGTTCTAATGCATTGTGCTTAAAAATGCTGTTTGCTTTGGAATTCACTGAAGAGTTCCCACTCAGTCATCTTGCTTCAGTGAGAGCTTTCATTTGATCTTGAAGAGTTGATTCTCTTAGCAGTAAGAAATGTTCTTCTTTATGTCTGCCAATACTGTTTTTTTAAAGTCTACTTTATATGATATTAATATAGCCACACCAGCTTTCTAATGCTTAGTGTTTGCGTAACATATTTTCAAACTTAGACGTAATTGAAATATGTTTCTTGTCATCAACATGTAATTTATTTTTTTAAATCCACTTGATGATCTCTGCTTTTTAACTAGAATGCTTAGCCATTTGCATTTAATATAATTTTTGATATGACTGTCTTTAAGTCTTCTATCTTGGTATTTGTTTTAATATTTATATAATTTGTAGATGGAATTTAAAACATATTCGCTTTCATTAAACATCACTGTAAACTTCACATTAATTATCAGGCCTTGAACAACCATAAAATCCCAGAGTTATAAGGAACCTTAAAGGCCTTCTAGTGTTACTCCGGTTGGGAGAAGAGTCTTACAGAGACATATTAAAATCTACAATTGAAATAAATCATTATCTGACCAACTGTCATTAGAAATCATGACACATCACTCAATCCTTCTTTAGACACTTCCTAGAGACTTGAAGTTTTCCACATATAACACGTTATCTCATGGCTTTTCACTATGTACCTAGTATGGATAACAGACAACTATTTTCTCTACAGGCTTTCATCCCTTTCCCCAGACATTTCCTATTATTAAAACCGAACCAAACCACACCAAACCACACCAAACCAAACTAAACCAAACCAAACCAAACCAAACAAAAAAACCCCTCAATGCATTCTGCATCTTCTATGTGCAGACACTATGATGGAGCAAAGGGGAGGAGGTTCAAGGGTGTTAAGGCCCTGACCCAGGCCTTTGGAAATCCCAGCCTAAAGAAGCTTTGAATTTTTATCTCTTGTATCAGGCACTTGATAAAATCAGAGCTGACTTCCTTCCCGGAGGTGAGTTTACTTTTTTTCTTTTCTTTTTAAACATGCAAGGAGAAGGAAGTTCCATGGCACTAGGAAACCTAGAGAACTGGCAAAGGATTATTCTGCTGCTCTTTGTTTTTTAAATAAACACTATATAATTGAACTTCTAGAGACAGTTGCAAAGGTTCCAGCCCTTTGCTAGTCAGGTCAATTTTTTTACATGGCCCAGAAGAATTGGGCTGATTCACCTTTTTAGAGAATGGACAAAGGGTTATGGTGCTCCTGGCCAGCATGACGTAAAGACAACTTCATTACTTCATTGAAGGCACTTAAAAGAAAAGTCCTGCTCTATTTTTCCTGGCAAACAACTGGCTCAATTTAGGGGCAAAGATTTCTCATAGAAACGTCACAAGTCTTTGGTAGAATAATGAGAAATTTATACTTCAGAGAAAGGTATTCACAGGTCCTGGCGAGACTTACTTAAGATCTAGACAATGGTCACAATTTACTATTTCAATTTGTCTCTCATAGAAGGGAAAACTCACCAATCTTGTGATGAGTGCTAAGAGGCCTATCAAGGGGATTGACTGCAGGTCTCCTGGACCACCTGTGATTCACCTTGTTTTAACAAAAACAGGAGCTCCCAACGTCGTTCACTCATTTCTGATGCTAAATTCCCATTATCTTTTTCACTGACATTGGCTTTCAGGCTCTAGGAATAGTTGGAAGAGTACACAGACCTTACAGCTCAGAGGGCAAAAGCCAAAGTTAAAAGAATAAATAAGTCCTTTCCATCTTGACAGGTGATTACAGTTTCAGACCAACCATCCGATTCTGTGTGGTGATTGCACAGACCTTTTGCTACATAAGGGAACATTTCACTGAGGGCTGCTGGGTGCAGTACCTTGAATGTCTGAGCTCTTAACAATGGGATCTGTCTGCACATCACTTTGCACATCACTCTTGCAACAATAACAGCCTATTCTTTGCTTTCTGTTGGTCGACATTCGTTATTTCACTCTCTATTACTATTGGATTTGGATTGCCATTTCTTCCCCTTTTTGCAAGTTCTAGATTTCCAATTTCTTAAGGACTAAACATCTGAACTAATGAATTCCAAATTGCCTAGAGTGTTTTACCATAGAATCATAAGGGAGTTTTACTTCCCCAGGGACTTTTAGGAGCTGGGATCTTTAAGATCATGTAGATTTAAGCCCGGTAAGTGCAGAGAGAGGGTCTAACTTGTTTATGCATCCTTCATAACCTCCTTTGTATAAGGTCGATGCTCACAACAGGTTTTCTGAATCAAATCGTCCAACACTCTCCACCTTATAAATGAGGATATTGAGGCTCAGGAGATGGATAAACGTTATTTATCAAATGAGTGACTGAAGATCACATTCAACATTCTCCTTTGTAAAACTTACTATTATTTCAAGATTCAGCTGAGATTCCACAGCTGCTGAGGTATCTCTACAGTACTTCATGCCTACAACTTCCCCCTTTGATGAACTTTGCAGCTTCTCCTAGAAGAAATATTTTTAGCCCTAAAATGCAGAACTTGCTACGCTGACTGTAACTTCTTTCTTTTGAAATAGTCTCCTCTTCTTCCTGCGAATGCATCAGATACTCTATTAAAAGGGAATATCCACTCTCTGCCCCCATTTTGGCTTTTTGACATCTCACCCCCTTCCACTTTGTGCCACATGCCAATGATTGTTCCCCCAGCTCAGGGAATGCTGTGCCCTCCGGCTCAGAGGGCCTTCTTGGCCACAATAAGCTCCCTGTGCACATCTATTCCTCTGAAGCTGGCATCTCTCTTAAGTAATGTTGGTGCCTTCTCACTCCCTGCTGGCTGGCTTGGCTTGTCACACCTGTCAGCTGAAGGGCTCTTATTGATCTTCGTGTTTGTTTTTCCCCACAACATTGTTCTTGGCTCTTACTCTGTCACAGCACAGTGAACCAGGCTGCTCTCAGGTGAGGTTTGATCCTCCTGTGCTCTGCTTCTTTGTGAGGCCGGTGACTGGAATAAAAAACTTCATGTTTTAAGATAGGGTTTCTTCATCTTGGCACTATTGACACTTTGGACTGGATAACTCCATGTTGTGGGGGTGCCCTTTGCAAAGTAGGTTGTTTAGCAGCACCCCTAGCCTCTGCCCACTCCATGCCAGTAGCACCCCCACCCCCAAGCTGTGGCCATGAAAGATGTCTCCAGATCTTGCTGTGTCCCCGTGGACAAATTTGTTCCTGGTTGAAAACCGCTGCTATACGCGGACACAGTCACCTGCTCATGAAACCCAAAGACGGAGGCCAGTGCTCTGTGATTTTCTACCCGTGTGGGAGTGACTTGGAATTAACCACTAGAGTCATGTCAGAGTGAAGTTCTGTGTTCAGGAAACAAACACACAAATATAAACTGCCTGTGCAGAAACGCCAGTGTACTTTCTTGAAAAACATAAAAACCTTTTGCTTGTTTCTTAGTATACACCGAAGCACGTTGAAGAAGAAGGCATGCCTCTGGCTTAGTAAGATGCCTTCACATTCTAATGGTGTTTTAGAGTTTAATAAAGCATTCTGCATGTATTAGCTCATTTAGGTCCTCAAGGTACTAAGTGGACTATTATTATTATTATTGTTGTTGCTTTGTTAAAATCACCCTCTGGAAACTGATTTCAGAAAGTTTAAAAAATTTCTGTACTGGATTTATTTTCTTGCTAGACACATTAAGGACATATATATTTTTTCCTTTGGTCATAAACTGCAAAATAGAAACAATTTTATGAAAAAAGTCAAATAGGTTCTATCTGATTGTTTCTCATTCTCTCTCCTTTGTCCTACCCCAAATGGAAACATTAATTCAATTGCCTCTAATAGGCGAAAAAAAAATCCCCTTAGTGGTATATGACCAGGAAGGGGCTTTTGCTATTTCAGAAGTTGCTTGGTAGGCATTCTGCATCACTAATGCCTCTGAGTAATCAGTTTGCAAAACAGCAAGTGTCCCCAGCCAGCCCATCATTGCCAGCACTCCCTTCTCATTGTCCTAGGTTTCTTGACCTTTACAAGCTCATCACTGAATGCCTGTTTTAATGTGTTCTCTTCCCCACTGCTTTGTCCTGCCTTCATCAGACTAAGTGATAGGTTTGATTTGAGGCTTGTCACCCACGAGAGGATGTTTACCACAAATGTCACTAAAATGATCTTATCTGTGGCTCAGTAGAGTGATCTGCTACCAACAGCCCATAATATTAAGATGATGGCTAAGCCCTTCCCAGGCAGCTGTGTGCCACCATTCCCTCTGATTGTACAAGGAGTGCTTTGGTGAAAATGACTTGATCTGTAATATGAGTTGGTGTAGCCACAAGCAGAATCATAATGGGCTCTGGCAGGCCCAAAGCTATGTTAGAAAATAAGCTGTTTTAAATTTACCACGTGATTTTCAATGGGCACAGGTTGAGCACCTGAAATTTGGAACTTAACAAATCAAGTTCCAAGAAAAGATGCTAAATGTATGGTGGGACGTATGAAGAATGTGAGAGCCTGGAATTTGCCCAAGATGGGGGCCCTTGTTCTGAACACATGAAGACACCTGAATGCTTTCTTTACCTATATAGCCAGACCTAGTGTGACTGCAGTAAAAATGTAGTCTGGTGATGCTCAGTTTATTCTCACAGATTCTAGCTGCTCCAGGGAGTCCTGTCAAAAACTGGTGGGGCAGAAGATCGTATCTGGACCATCTCATACACAGAACTGTAGACACCATGCTTACTTACCCAGGGTGAACTCAGAGTGATGTATAAAGTGGAGCCCATGATATAACTATCAGAACTTCCTTTGAAAATCTGCAGAAATTCTCAATCTTAAACATTCCAGAAGTAATTGTTAAATTCCCGGCTGACTGAGGAATCCATTATGAATCCACTTCTTTCTTTTTAACAACTGAATTTGCTGAGACCAGCTGCCCTACTATGGAGTTAATTTTCATTTCCGTTTTTGCATTCTTAACAAAGACCTTAAAGCTACAATGATTCCTAGACTCTAACCCATGGTTATTATACAGTGGGCAACCATATCACACACTGTGCAGATTTCTGCTTGAAAATGACTCATTAGGCATAGGACAGGATTTAAAGTAAAAGGAATCAATGCTGAGAGATCACAGATGTCCTAAACTATAAACACAAACTACAAGTGAGCTGCTGCCCTCTTTGCACTTTTCTCCAAGATAAAGGCTGCAGAGGCCCCGACATTTCTGGGTGAAATATTTCCCATCAGAACTTCCCACGGGCCATGATGTCTGTGGTCAGAGGCCAGGGTGCAGCACAGCAGCACAACATTCAACTGAAACACAGAGAATCTTGGAAATTGGTAATGCACCCCCTGAATGATGGATGTCAACCACAATCTTCTCTCACATTTACAAAGCCTGGTTCAGTTTGCAGAGAGCACTCTGAAATGCTCCATCATTTGAAATGTAATCTGGGGAGCTGAATTTGATGGAGCTGCAGGCAAATGAGTGGACGTCCAAAGAGAGGGACTGCGTGGGCTTTGTCTCCTGAGGGGGGCATTGCAGATAGCTAAGGCGTCTGGAAGGTGGATGGATTCCACTCATTCGTAGCTCCTGCTCCAAGGCACAGCATAAGAAAGATTTGCCTATGATTTCCAGCGCTCATTTTGTTTTTAGCAGAAAAAAGGGTGTTTGCTGGGCAGGAGCTGGTGCTTCCCTGCGTAGCTTTTTGAGATCACCAGGTGAAGTGGAGGAGTAGCTGTGTAGCAGGCTTCCTGCTGCAAGCCCCAAGCAAGCTCACTGCCCAGGTGGCAAAGGCTAGCCACAGGCTGATTTTAAACATGCATGAAGCCAAATGCTGGCTGCCACACATTTATTTTTTACAATTCAGCTGACTCAGCGCATAAGTCCTCACCACTGGGGGAGACGGAGTCTACTCCCACTCACACCCCACCGGGCCTTGTGCACAGGGAAAACCTCACTGCAGAGTCTCAGGGGTGCAGAGATGTTTTCCAAAGTAGGCAGAAATCATCTATGCAAGTGCCCAGAGCCTTGGTGGGCCCACAGGACATAGGTCCGTTGGGGACAGCCATTCTGCCAGCCAGGCCCAGCCTCCTGCATCTTTTCCTAAAAAGACTGTGTGGGGGGCACAGAAGAAAGAGACTGAATATCGTAAGGCTATTTTCTCTTTGATCCCTAATATATCTGTCTAGCTGTTCTCATTTGTTCTGTTTGCTCACACAACTAAAGCAGGTTCACTATGGAAAAGTTAAAAAAAAACACACACACAGATACATCAAAAAGGAAGATGAATCTGTTCTCCTATTACTTATAGAAAATGAGTGGTTTTCCTCCCTATCATTTCTGTCTGCATATATTTATAGATATCAGAAATGCCCTCATGGTCCATATACTCATTTGACCTGCTCTTTACAGTTTATAAATCGTGAACATCTTCCCGTGTTATTAGCTTTAATGACCATCTGCTATTATATGGACCATAATGCACACAGCTGGAGAATATTTGAAAAGATTAATATAGATTCCTTCTCCCTTATTTACCCGTTCTTTCCTCCCACCCCTGACCCCAACCCTTTTAAGCAGATGATAAACTCTGTGTTTCTTGACCCATCTATGGCCAGAGAGAAAAAAGCTGCCAACAAAACATTTTCTGTCCTGGGTGTTGTTTCTAGAGGTCCAAGACCACTGAAGGGGTTAGGTGGGGCAACTCTGAAGGCGACACCAGGTGGAAGGAAGTCTTGAAGGATAAAGGCAGAAAGGGATTGATATTAAGAGGCCTTTCAGTCAGGTGCAGCAGCTCACACCTGTAATCACACCGCTTTGGGAGGCCAAGGTAGGAGGATCACTTGACCCCAGGAATTTGAGACCAGTCTAGGCAACATAGTGAGACCCTGTCTCTACAGATAATTTAAAAATTAGCCAGGCATGGTGGGGTGTGCCTTTAGTCTTAGCTACTTGGGAGGCTGAGGGGGGAGGATCATTTAACCCCAGGAGGTTTTGAGGCTGCAGTGAGCTGTGATCACATCACTGCACTCTAGTCTAGGTGACAGAGCAAGGCCTTGTCTATGAAAAAGAAAGAAAGAAAGAAACCTCTGGGTCCTGTAAAAGCAGGGCCCACAGGGGCAGTGGGAGCTGAGGGGAATGGTCTGAAGGTGTCCAGATAGACAGGATCCAAGGACAGGGCTCCCAGCTTCAACAAAGAGACCCTTATCCCACAGTGGCCCAGGGTCAGTAGAGAGCCCTACAACTGAAGGGGGCCACTGTAAAAAGAAAATTATAATGACTACCCCTCCCACCTTACTCCCCTTATCCCCGTCCGTGGCATTGAAGACAGTCCCAGAGCCTTGTCAGGACCTGGAGGCAGAGTGGGTTGAGTCTTCAAAATAACCAAGATCGCCTTTCGCACCAGCCTAGAAGTTTGTAGGACATGAATCCTGAATTAGATCAAGTCAGAGTCAGTGAAGGAAATGAGAGCTCTCGTGGGGCCAGGCTTGTGAATGAACAGTCAATGAACTTGTATTGAGCCCATCTCATAGTGTTCAACATAAAAAGTAGTTTCAATTTTTCCACCATTTGGTCATCTTAGCCTTAACTTTTATTTTGTCACATGATTAAATTCTTTTTTCTCTCTTTTTTTTTTTTGAGAGGAAGTCTTGCTTTGTCATCTAGGCTGGAGTGCAGCAGCACGATCTTGACTCACCACAACTTCCATCTCCCAGGTTCAATCAATTCTCCTGCCTCAGCCCCCTGAGCAGCTGGGATTACAGGCACTCACCACCAAGCCTGGCTAATCTTTTTTTTTTGTATTTTTAGTTGAGATGGGGTTTCACCATGTTGGCCAGGCTGTTCTTGAACTCTTGACCTCAAGTGATCTGCCCGCCTTGGCCTCCGAAAGTGCTGGGATTACAGGTGTGAGCCACTGCGCCCGGCCTGATTAATTTCATTATACAATTTTACTCACCATTTTATCTTTCTAACTTTTTTGCCTAACTTAAAAAAAGTATACATGTGTATCTAATTTTATATGATCTATCTCTCCCTATATAATTTTTATATTATCTATTTTAAAATATAGACAGGGTCTCACTCTATTACCCAGGCTGGTCTCAAACTCCTGGCCTCAAGCAGTTCTCCTGCCTTGGCCTCCCGAAGTGCTGGGACTACAGGCATAAGCCACTGTGACTGGCCAACTTTATATGTTTACTCTTAACATTTCATATTTGCATCCAGCCTTTGTACACAGCAAGTGGAAAGTACAAGCACCAGCAGCTGTAGTGAGGTGGACGTAAGCCCCAAGCAGGAGAGTGGGTCTCATCCTCCCTCCAGCTGATCCCGCAGGGACCATGCCAGCCTCCTGGAATAGGCCCATGTTCTTTTCAGGGAGAGACAGAGAGGGAAGGCCACCTAGGTGTAAGCAAAGCACAGACCAGAGCTCCCCCTCCAAGTTATCAACAGGTCCAGCCCTCCTCACAAGCATCTGAGCTGCTGGAGCAGTGGGGCTTCCTCCCATTACAGGCTATCTGGCCCTTTTATGAGGAAACATGTAGCCCAAGATACCCTTGGTATTATTGCTGTCTATCTCCTGTGCTTGGGCTTGGCAGGGCAAAAGGGTGGCTGCCCCCTGAAGTTGGTCTTCAGAAGTCTCAGGCAGAAACAAGACCTCGTCTTGTGGGGTAGTCTCAAGAGCCACCTGTTATGGAGACCTGATCTGGTGGGGGCAGAAGTCAGACTGTCGTGTGCTGAGGAGCAGGCAGAGGCTGAAGAAGTAAAGACTCCTCTTTGGGGAGGTGAAAGAGACAGATTGGACGGTAACTACAGCAGATATAGTTCAAGAGATTTATTTGGGGCCAGACGTGGTAGGTCACGCCTGTAATCCCAGCACTTAGGGAGGCCAAGGCAGGTGGATCACCTGAGGTCAGGAGTTTGAGACCAGCCTGGCCAACACGGTGAAACCCCGTCTCTACTAAAAATACAAAAATTAGCCAGGTGTGGTGGTGCGTGCCTATAATCCCAGCTACTCAGGAGGCTGAGGCAGGTGAATCACTTGAACCTGGGAGGCGGAAGCTGCAGTGAGCTGAGATGGCACCACTGCCCTCTAGCCTGGGCAACAGAGTTAAGACTCTGTCACTCACACACACACACACACACACACACACACATACACACACACACACACACACACACAAAGAGAGAGATTTATTTGGAACAAGAGAGTAATATATTTCTAGGCAGAGAGGAAGCAATGTAAAAAGAGAGAAAGGTTGAAACTATGAGCCCCAGGGAGGGTCTGGAGCAACAAGGTGCTGGAGATGGGTGGAAATGAATCTAGGGACTCATTTTTCAGATTTACTCTTGTCTTCCTTATTCTAGACACTGCTGTCTTCTTGTATCACTTTCTCTTATTTATCACATATTAAGAACATCATAATAAAGCAAGCAAAATAAAATTTTTGAGTCACAATAAAATAAGAACCTACCCACCCACCCTGTACATTAGTAAGTACAATAGTCCTGCAACAGTGGAAGCTCGGCAGAAGGGCAGAGAGAAATCTGAGGTGCAGAAAGCCAGAGGTGGCGCTGAAAAGCAAAGACGTCGAATGCTCAGCAACGTCAAAAGCAGCAAAGGAATCTCTGAAAGCTCCAACATCTGGCAGCTTCATGGGAAACCATAAAGGGGATCCCTAGAATCTCCCCAGCATTAGAACCTCCGTCCTGGAGGAAGAGAAAGTCCTGATTGTGCCCTCCAAACATTTGAAACCAGTTGTGAACTGAATCAAATTAAAGTTGCCGCCTAGCCCGGACCCAGCTCAACTGTGGATTAGTCTGACTTAGCATCCAACAAGGGGCCTGACAGAGATAGAAGCTCTTCTCTGTGGGTGAATATTCTTTACTTCATTCTCTATTGTTCTTCTACAAAAACGTTCAGCACACAATAAAAAGTTATGAGAAACACACACACACAAAAGAAAATATGACACGTGGTCAGCGGAGAAACAGAGTAAACACAGAGATGACCTAGATGTTGGGATTCTCAGGGAAAGACTTTAAAATAACTGGCCAGGCACAGTGGCTCATGCCTGTAATCCCAGCACTTTGGGAGGCTGAGGCAGGCAGATCACTTCAGGCCAGGAGTCCGAGACCAGCCTGACTAACGTGGTGAAACCCCATCTCTACTAAAAATACAAAAATTAGCCAGGCGTGGTGGTGCACACCTGTGGTCCCCGCTACTTGGCGGGGCTAAGGCATAAGAATCGCTTGAGCCTGGGAGGCGGATGCTGCAATTAGCGGAGATTGCGCCACTGCACTCCAGCCTGGGTGACAGAGTGAGACTCCATCTCAGAAAAAAATAATTAATTAATAAAATAAAATAACAATGACAAATATGTAAACCTCCATCAGTTCACTCAGGTGTTTACCTTTTCCTCTAAATATAAACAGAGAGATGAAAACTATTTTAAAAATGGAAATACTAGAAAGGAAAAAACATACTCTTTTTTTTTTTTTTTTTTTTTTTTTGAGACGGAGTCTAGCTCTGTCGCCCAGGCTGTAGTGCAGTGGCAGGATCTCGGCTCATTGCAAGCTCCGCCTCCCGGGTTCATGCCATTCTCCTGCCTCGGCCTCCCGAGTAGCTGGGACTACAGGCGCCCGCCACTATGCCTGGCTAATTTTTTGTACTTTTAGTAGAGACGGGGTTTCACCGTATTAGCCAGGATGGTCTCAAGGAAAAAACATACTCTTATCAGAAATGACAAATTCAGTCAATAGGTTTGACAGTAGTGAGCACATCGGAGGATTAGTGAAACTCAAGATAGGTCCATAGAAATGGTCTAAAATGAAACACAAAGAGAAAAGGAAAGGAAAAATAAAACACCTGAAAGGGAGCATCCCGTGTCTGTGGAATAATATTAAATAGTCCAACAGAGATCTCATGGCAGGATCAGAAAGAGAGAGAGAGAATAGGCCAGAAAATTTTGCAGATAGATAGATAGATAGACAGACAGACAGACAGACAGACAGACAGACAGACGGATGATAGATAAATAGACAATTGATAATTTTCCAAAATTGATGGAAGGTATGAACCAATTAATTTAAAAACCTGCACATCGTGTACATGTACCCTAAAACTTAAAGTATAATAATAAAAAAAAAGCTTACCAACTCAAGAAAGATAAATAAATACAAAGCAAACTACATCTAGGCACATTATGATCAAACTTCTAAAAAGTAAGATAAAAAGAAAGTTAAAAGCAGCTAGAAAAAAACAGAAGGAGCATTACATGCAGGGGAACAGCAATACAAATGGGAGCTGTGTTGTTTCTGCTTTTTCATTAGAAACAGTAGAGGTCAGAACAAAGAATAAGATCTTTAAAGCTCTGGTTTTAAGAAGCAAAGGAAAACAAAACAACAAAGAAAAATTGTCCATATATAAGGATAAGAATTCTTATCCAGCAAAACTATTTGTCAAAAATGATTATGAAATAAAGACATTTTCAAACAAATAAAGACTGAGAGGTCTCCAACAAACCTAAACTACAAGAATTTCTTCAGCTTGATAGGAAATGATACACATAGAAGCTCCTGTCAGCACACAGAAATGAAGAGAGCTTCAGAGAGCATAAACATCTGATATTTATTTTTAAAACTTTAAAAAATTTTTAAGATATATACCCAGACATACATATTTATTTTTAAAAAAAGACCATCAACTGTTTAAAGCAAAATAATAACAATGTATTGTGGCAGTGAAAGCATGTGGAAATAAAGTGTATGACAAGAGGGACACATAATACAAGAAGGAATAAGTGAAATGATATCCTTATAAAGTCTTACATTGTGAATTCGTATATTATCATTTGAAGATAGACTGTAATAAGTTAGAGATGCACATTGAAAAAACATACAAAAAGGTATAGCTAGTAAGTCAATATAAAAGATAAAGTAAAATAATAAAAATATTTGATTAATACAAAAGAAAGAGAAAAAAAAAAAAAGATAAGAACAGCTTGGCCCACTAGAATGTCTTGGGAAAAAGCTAAGGCTGTCAAGACCAAGGAAGCAACTGTCACACACATTCCTGGTGGAAATATAAAATGGTATGTGTGCTTTGTATAACGACTTGGATGTTTCTTAAAATGGTTCAATATGTATCTATGTTATTACTCAAAACTTTCCTCTTGGGTATTTACTCAAGAGAAATGAATACATTTGAACACAGTGAGACTTGTACAAATACATTCATAATAGTCAAAGTCGGGAAATAAATCAAATGTCCATTAATAGGAGAATCAATAAACAAATTGTTTCATATCCCCGACAATTGGACACAACTCAGCAACAACAACAACAACACAAATGAACTGCTGACACATACATCCACAACATGGGTTAATCTCAAACGTGTTGCAGGAAAGAATCCAGACAATAAAAGAGTGCATATTATATGAAGTTCAAGAACAGTCAAAACTAATCAATAAAAGTACAAATCAGAAATTTGTTACCTTTGGGAGAAAATTAACTGGAAAGAGGTACGATAGAATTCTCTAGGATGATAGAAATGTCCTATATCTTTTTTGGATTGTGGTTACACAGATTTATGTAATTGTCAAAACTCATTGAACTGATGTACTTAGAGTTGGTACATTTTATTGTATTTGTATTTCAGTGTGAAAAATAATAAACCTACCTTTCCCCAGGACTACAATACTGTTAATAGGAAGTTCTATGGACAAAGATGTTTGCAGAATTTTAGAGCAGTCAGAATTAAAGCTTTGAAAGCAGTAGCGGTAAAATGTCTTTATTTCTCAAGTCTGATTCTGAAAATACATATAGGAACTTGAAAATCACCATTAATGCTGTCCTTGTTGGTGCCCGTTGGATGGAATCTCTCAGTGCATGCATCAGGCTGAATCAATGTATAGTTTGCATTTTGTGATCAATAATACTGATTATAATGATGGTTAGCATTATTTCCCATTTTATGAGCATTATCTCATTTCATCCTTACTAGGGCCTCCTAAAGTGATGGAATTTTTCTTCCCATTTTCTCAATAAGGAGCCTGAAGCTCAGCATGGCTGTATTATTTGCCTGGGGAAAATAGCAGATACAAAATTCAAATCCAGCCCGGCCTGTGTCCACAGCTGAGTTCTTAATCACTATGGAGCACTGAAATAAAAAGTATTTGAAATTTTATTTTAAATGTAACTGAGTTAGGGAGGGATACATGATATTTAAAGAAACCAAATGAGTAGTATTTTGGGTAAAATGAGACAACTTTGTAATGTGATGAATCAGATTATCTGTTGCATAAATTAATATTTTCAATTCCATTTCTCATGTTGGAACATGCCTATGCGGCCATGGCTGGGAGGGAGAAATAGCATCTATCCTTGCCCAGGGTCCCTTCCTTAATTAGGCTGAGTAGCAAATACTCAAGAGAGGCAGGTCTAGAAACTTGACTAGAAAATATACTCAATAACTCTGGCTTATGTCCCATCAGTTAGAACTGTGGCATGTGGCAGGCGAAGTAGGGAAATGTCACTTTCGGGGAGCATATTGTTACTCCCAATTAAATCAGGGTGGTGACTGAGGCAGAAGGATACTGAGTGGCTAGCTAGAAACCCCTGCCAGAGAGAAAGAGAGAGGCACAATGGATGAAAGATGGAAGTCTGGGTTTAGTAAAAAGCACAGGGCCAAGGTGTGAAGCAGGGAAGTCTTGGTGACAAGGCAGGAAGAACTCCTCTGCCATCTCAACTGGACACCAGTGCTGGAACGGAGGGTCTTGGCTGGTTCTTTCTGTCCTCGCATTACTCAGCTCAAGATGTAGAGGCCTAGGGAAGGGAGTCCAAGTGGCCACATTTGGATGAAGAGGCTGCACTGAGGTTACAGAAATGGTGCCTTCATGGTCCCATCAAAGTAGGTCGTACAGGTGTGGAGAGCGCAGCCTTCCTATCCCCAAAACTCCATGTCACTGTTAGGAAAGGAGAATGATGCCAAGTAGCCACAAATCACAAGTATTCACAGCTCTCATGCTGGTGCATGAGTTGGAGTATATGTGCTTGAGCCCTGACTATTGCATGAGTGAGTGTGTTGGGGTGGGGGAGAGAGGCTAGATCCTCTCTTTTGAGGAGGTTGACAGAGTAGTAGGCCTGCCCTCTGGTGCTGCTGTAAATGTGGATTGAATCAAATCAAATAAAATTGAATTAACTTCAGGATTATTGGTTTCAAAAAGGGACAAGCAAATATACTGTAGTATTTATTTATCAAAGTGTGGCCAATGGACAAATTGCATCAGAATTACCTGGAAAGCTTGTTTAAAAAAAGTCATTTATTTGTTCATCCATTGGGCAAATAACATATTGATTCCTTCTACATGATAGGCATAGTCTAAAGAGCTAAGAGGAAAAGAGTAACCAAGGCAGACATCATTGCTAGCCTCTTGGAAACTTCAGTATCATGAGGAAAACAGTCAAAACTTAAAATTCGAATGAAGTAAAATAGTCACACTTTGTGATGTTGCTATGAAAGAAGCAAATCGGTTGCTAAGAAAGAGATCAACAGTAAGGGGCTTATGGGGAAGACACCCTTTAAATGGAGTATCCAGCAAACACCTTCCCGATGAGACATTTAAATGCCTGAGCTTTATCCCAGATCCACAGAATTAAGCCATGTCAATTAGTAGAAGGAGATCACTTCCTTTCCTAAACAGTATATAAGTTAAATAGTTCTCTTGGAAGAAACAAAAGAAATATTTGCTATTGAAGGGATTCCAATCTCATAAGATATAACACTTGAAAAATTGGGGGAATCTTTTCATTGGGAGATTACACTGCATTTGAATCTTCTAGAGTTTGCTTCCACCTGATTCTTCTCTCTTTCCTGGGAACATGAAAAGGATATGCCCAAGCCAAGTGAATGCTTCCAGCCAATGGGCTGTGATGAGAAGTTGCAGGTGTCTTCTCTGGCTTGAGGCACCTAAGACTGTGAGATCTCCAGCACCTTATTTGTCCTTCCTCAGAGACCCTAGAAGCCATTGTCAGCTGGCAATGTCACAAGGTGGTGGAGCCTCTGTCAACCTGAGTCTCTGAGAAACTCAGGGGAGCCTTTACACTTCCTACCAGCCCACGCTTGGCAGGTATGAGTGAGAAATGAAATTGGCTTAAGCCACTGATATCATTTGTTACAGCCACATACCTGAGCATTGTCTTGACTAATAAGAGTATGAACTGTGCCTCCTTCCCCAGAACCCACTGGTTATAGAAAACAAAATAAAACAAAAACCAAACCAATCAATCAAACAAAAACCACCTAGAGAGCTACTGAGATATATACTATATTGTGTTCATAACAATCGCTAAACCTTATTGATCATTAAATATATGCCTGACTCTGTGTTAAATAAATTGCCTGTGTAGCGGATTAATTTAATTAGCCAGACTTGGTTAAAAACAAGCCAAAAGCAACTTTATTCTTTAGTCTACTTACTACCTCTGAGTACTGTGGTAGGATTCATTTCTTCCCACTTTGTGGATGGCATTGTAGCTTGGGAAGGACCCACAGCTTTTCTGATTACCAACAGGTAATAAAAAGTTGAACTTCTTCCAATATAAATATTCCAGAACCTCACCCAATTTAAAATGTCCTCCAATTCTGGCTTAGGTTGCCCTAGACTTAGAAAGTGGGTAGAAGATGTATGAGTTTGGCTTCTTCACAATTTTAGTTTACATTTGAGTACGTAGTTAAATTCCTGACTAAAATATCATCCAAATGCCCTCTGGGCTTAAATATTTGAGAAGTGTCATCACTTAAGAAAGACAGATGATATTCAATTTGTATTCAATATCTTTAAGCAGTAATCAGAAAAAGTCAAATTTTATTTTATTGTAGTCACAACTTGCAGGGGTCAGAGAAATATTGACTGCCAACTACTTTCCTGAGTTTAATTTTGTTACTCTTACGAAACAATTCGCCAACTGTATGACAACTATGAAATGGAGATTTTATATTTTTCCCCTAACTAATTTTATTTTACCATTTATGTAAAATTTTTCTATTCATGATTCTGTTTGTAATTCAAAAGGTCTCAAAAACTGAATCAACCTATACTATTTTCTGTCCTTATTATTTTAAGAAACAAGAGTATATACTTGACTTATGTTTCATTTTGTTAATTTTTTGTCATGAAAATGCCAGATAATTAGAAGGAGGGCACATTTAACATTAAGATTTAGTAAACTCATTTTCATGAGAAAGTTTATAATAGAAAGAGGAAACAGAATAAAAGATTTCTCTGAGACCATGAATCATCTGATGCTAACTCCTTCCCCTGGTTGGTTTACTATTGCAGTTGTCAGTCTAGATGCCATGGTCAGAAGGATCTTTTTGTAATTTAAACACATCCTCTGTTCTCGGAACTGAGATAACCAATTTTACATCTTCTATTTCACAAGCAAAGTGGAAGAGGCTCGTGATGGAAATGAAATGAATGTTTAGTCTAGGCAAATATATAATTGCTCTGTTAGAAACACCTCCATCCAGAAAGATAAATTAATGTAACACATTTTGGCAGCATTTGCTTGAATAAAATACATTTTGAAGTAGGAATTGAATAGGATATAAGCTCTGAAATTAAAATGCAGAGATATATGTGTATCAAAATTTCTTCTTCATCCCGCTAAAGCAGATAATTGCTGCACAGATATGACCAGAGAACCTTTACCCTCAGAAGGTGATGCCAGTAAAAATATTCAGCACTTTGGCACTGGGAGCAGCACTTTGGCGCTGGGCTCATGCCTGTAATCCCAGCACTTTGGGAGGCTGACATAGGCGGATCACTTGGGGTCAGGAGTTCAAGACCAGCTTGGCCAACATGGTGAAACCCTGTCTCTACAAAAAAAAAAAAAAAAAAAAATTAGCCAGGCGTGCTGGCAGGTGTCTGTAAATCCCAGCTACTCAGGAGGCTGAGGCAGGAGAATCACTTGAACCAGGGCGGCAAAGGTTGCAGTGAGCCAAGATCATACCATTGCACTACAGCCTGGGTGACAGAGCAAGACTCTGTCTTAAAAAAAAAAAAATCGGCACCTTGGGAATGATATCAGCATGATGGCAGAATGGAAAGTATCGGGCTCCACTCCTCCTCCACAGAAAGTTCAACTAGCAACTATCCACAGATGAGAATATCCTTTTGAAAACTTCAACAAACCTCTTCCACTTTTCTTGTGAAATAGAAGATATAAAACTGGTTATCTCAGCTCTGAGAACAGAGGACATGTTGAAATTGCATAAAGATCCTTCTGACCAAGGCATCTAGATTGACAACTGCAATAGTAAACCAACCACAGGAAGGAGTTAGCATCAGATCGTTCATCCTCTTAGAGTAAATTTTATTCTATTTTCTCTTCCTTTTGAAAACCTCAACCTCAATCTGGAAAAAAGCCTGAGACATCCACATCATAGGCAGAATTGAGCAAATTCAAATTAGAAGGGTGAGTTCACTGTGACCATGCCACTCCTGCCCCCTCCCTAAAGTCAGCACAATGCCAGATGGAGAGAATTTCCCTGGGCTCATAATTTCTACAAAGGGAAAGGAGAACCAGAGGCAGTCATCTAGCCTCCCTAGAATTCTGAGGCACTTCCCAGGAAGTCCACTGTCCTCTCACCTCATGGGAAACACTAGGGAAAGCATGGCTTGATTGCTCAGGGGTCAGGTAGAAACAATGAAAGTGACCAGCACATGGATCTTGGTGGTACCTCTGTGTTTCTGCCAGATGTAGCACTTGATAAAAGGTATCAGCCCACCTCACAGTGTACCCCATAGAGCTGAGCAACTTGTCTGCAGAAGCATGGTAGGAAGCACAATCCTGCTGGAGCCCCTACTCTGCTAGTTTTCCCACTCAGCCTCATAACCCACCCCAGTGACCCCATCCACGTAGGGAGATTCCCAACTTCATGGATTTCAGAGAAGCAGAGAGCCTAGAATGGCTTGACCTGGAAAGATAAGCAGTGGCTCAACACAGCCAAAAACCTGGCTCAACAACCTGATGTAGATAGGGAAATTCCTACTTCCATGCATTTTTAAGAAATGTAGAGGCCAGTCATGCTTGATCCAGGAGGTCAAACAGCTACTCAACTCAGTCAAAAGCCCACCCCACAGCTCCACATAGACAAAGACACAATCCTCAACTGCATATCTCAAAGAAACATAACCCCAGGTTCTGCCTGTCCAGAGAAGTGATCCTTTCTAAGCCTGAAGCCCAACCTCCAGCCCTGTCCAACTGAAGATCCCAAATACTGGAATTGCTGAGCCAGGAAATACATCTTGTGACAGGCCTGGCTAGAGGCCATCACGGTACCCAGCCAGCAGCTCTGCCTGATAGTAGAGCCAGTGGGTGGTCTCACTGGTCATTGGAACCCAGCCAGTAGCTCCATTTGACATCAGAGCAAAGGCAGTGGCCCAGCCATCTAGAGAACCCACAACAAGTTCTGCCTGTCTGGGGTCATCATCAGCAGGCCCTTCCAATAATCACAGGCTAGACTAAGTAGGGAAGCTCTATCCTGGCCAAAGGACATCTGTAAATGTCAGAAGAGGGGCCTGTTTCCTCAAATGCACAGACAATAACACAAGGGCACAAGGATTACAAAGAATCAGAGAATCATGCCACCTCCAAAAGAAACTTAAAAAGCTGCAATAATGGATGCTTCCCCAAATAAAGATCTATGAAATGACTGACAAAGAATTCAGAATAATATTCATAAAGAAGTTCAGTAAACTACAAGAATATACAGAAAGAAGAGTTAGTGAGATTTGGAAAATAATATGCAAAAGAGTGGGAAGATTCACAAAGAAATAGGAACAATAAAAAAGAACCAGGTAGAAATCCTGGAGATAAGGAAAACAATGACTGAACTGAAAAATTTAATAGAAAACTTCTACAGTAGACTCAATCTAGCAGAAGAAAGAATTTGCGAGCAGTGAAACAGAACATTTGAAATTATCCAGTCGGAGGAGCAAACAGACAAAAGAATGAGTAAAGCCTATGGAAATTATGGGACAACATCAAGAGACCAAACCTGTGTGTAATAGGAGTTTCAGAAAGAGAAGAAAGAGGAAAATTGCCATAAAGCATATTTAGAGAAATAATGGATGGAAATTTCCATAATTGAGGGATAGATGCCAATGCCCAGAAATGAGAAGCAGAAGTCTCCAATCAAATTCAACCAAAAGACCAGTGTACCAAGACATACAATAAAAAAAATAAAAATTAAAAAAATCAAAGCCAGGGCTGGGTGCCGTGGCTTATGACTATAATCCTATTACTTTGGGAGGCCAAAGCAGGAGGAATATTTGAGCCCAGGAATTCAAGACCAGACTGAGCAACATAGTGAGACTCTATCTCTACAAAAAATAAAAATAAAAATATTACCTGGGCATGGTGGCACACATCTGTAGTCTCAGCTATTTGGGAGGCTGAGGTGGGAGGATTGCTTGAGCCCAGGAGGTTGAGGCTGCAGTGAGCCATGATCACACCACTGCATGCCCTGTCTCAAAAAAAAGAAAAATCAAACTCAAAGAAAAAAATCTGATATGTTCTGAAAGCAGCAACAGAGAAGAAGCGTATCATATACAAAAGAGTATCAATGTGACTATCAGCAAATTTCTTAGCAGAAATATTACAGGCCAGGAGAAAATAGAATAATATTTTCAAAGTGCTGAAGACAAAATAAAAAAGCAAAACTTCAAACCAAGAATACTTTATCCATCAAAGCTGTTCTTCAGAAATGAAGGAGAAAGAAAGATTTTTCCCAGACAAGCAAAATCTGAGTAAGTTCATCACCACAGGATGTGTCTTGCAAGAAATGTTAAAGGGAGTTCTTCAAGCTGAAAGAAAAGCATACTAATGCATAATACAAAAAACATTTGAAAGTATAAAACTAACTGGTACCTATAATTATATGGTCAAATTTAGAATACTCTAATACTGTAACAATGATGTTTAAATTACTTATACCTTTAGTATGAAGGTTAAAAGATATAAATATTTTTAAAACTAAAATGATTTGTTAAGTGGTATACAGTATAAAGAGATGGAAATTGTGTCAGTAAAAGATCAAAATGCAGTGGGTGGGGTTAAACGTAGACTTTTTTATGGCACTCAAAGTTAATTTCATATCAGCTTACAATAACCTGTTATATCTATATGAGGGTTTTTGTAAGCCTCATTATAACCACAAAAGAAAAACCTACAATAGATAAACTAAAAGTAAAAGGTAAGAAATCAAAACATGATAATAGAGAAAATCACTTAACCACAAAGGAGAATAGTAAGAGAGGAAGAAAGAAAAGATTTACAAGACAACTAGAAAGCAATGAACAAAATGATACTAGTAAGTCCTTACATAACAATAATTACTTTGAATATAAATGGATTAAATTCTCCAAATAAAAGACATAAAGTGGCTAATGGATAAACAAACAAGACCCAAATATATGCTGCCTACAAGAGACTTACTTCACCTGTCGGAACACACAGACTGAAAGTGAAGAGATGGAAAAAGATCTTCCATGCAAATGAAAACCAAAAAAGAGCAGAAGTAGCTATATTTACATCAGATAAAATAGAATTCAAATTAAAAACTGTAAAAAGAGATAAAGAAGGTCATCGCATAATAATAAAAGGAGTCATTTCAGCAAGAGAATATACTAATTGTAAATATATGTCTATCCAACATCAGAGGACCTAAATACAAATGCTTCTCAGCTTACAATGGGGTTACAATAAAACCATCATACACTGGAAATACTGTAAGCTGAAAGTGTGTTTTTTACTTACAATACTTTCCATCATTAGTCAAGGAGTGTACTGAATGTGAATCACTTTCACACCATCATAATGTCAAAAAATTGTTAAGTCATATCATCGTAGATCAGGAACAGTCTATATATAAAGCAAATACTAACAGATTTGAAAGGATAGGCTGATTGAAATATAACAATAGCAGTAGACATCAACACCCCACTTGCAGCAATGGATTGATCATCCAGACAGAAAATTAACAAAAAAACATTGGATTTAAACTGCAATCTAGACGCAATGGACTTAACAGATATTTATAGAGCATTCTATTCAACAGCTGCAGAATATACATTTTTCCCAACTGCACGTGGAACATTATCCAGCATAGATTATATGTTAGGCCACAAAACAAGTCTTAACAAATTTAAGAAGACTGAAATCATATCATTTATTTTCTTTTTGTCCACAATAGTATAAAACTAGAAATTAATAACAGGGGAGAACTTTAGAAATGTTATGAATACAAGAAAATTAAACAATATGCTCTTGAGCAGCCAATGGGACAATGAAGAAATTAAAAGGGAAATTTAAAAATGTCTTCAAACAAATGAAAATGGAAACACAACATACCAAAACCTGTAAGATACAGTAAAAGCAGTTCTAGGAGGGAAGCTTATAGCAATAAATGCCGATATCAATAAAAAAAAGAGATTTCAAATAAACAACCTAACATTGTACTTCAAAAAGCTAGAAAAAACTAAACCCAAAATTAAGAGAAAAAGTGAAAAAATGAAGATATGAGCAGATATAAATAAAACAGATGAAAAACTACACAAAAGATAAATGAAATGAAGAATTTGTTATTTGCAAATACAAAATTGGCAAACTTTAGTCTAAATAACTAAGAAAAAAGAGAGAAGTCTCAAATAAATAAAATCAGAGATAAAAAGGAAACATTACAACTAATACCATAGCAATTCAAAGGATAATAAGAGACTATTATGAACAATTATATACCAACAAATTGGATAACCTAGGAGTGGATAAACTTTTGGACCCATGCAACCTCCCAAGATTGAATCATGAAGAAATAGAAAGTCTGAATAGGCTAACAATGCATAATGAGACTGAATCAGTGATAAAAAGTCTTCCATCAAAGAAAGGCCCAGGACCTGATAGAATTCTGAATTCACTGCTGAAGTCTATAAAACGTTTCAAGTAAAACTAATACAATTCTTCTCACACTATTTCAGAAGATTAAAGATGAATGAATACTTTCAAACTCATTCTATGAGGCCAGCATTACCTCGATACTAAAACCTAACAAGGACACAATAATACAAGAAAACTATTGGCCAATATCCCTGATGAACATAAATGCAAACATTTTCAACAAAATACAGTCATGCATCCCTTAAGAACAAGGACATATTCTAAGAAATATGTAGTTCGATGATTTCATTGTCATGCGAACATCATAGAGTGTACTTAAACACACCTAGATGGTATAACTCACTACATATTTAGGCTACACGATATAGTCCACTGCACCTAGGTGACAAATATGCAAAGAATGTTGCTGTCATAAACACTGTAGGTAACTGTAACACAATGGTATGTATTTGTGTATCCAAACATAAAAAGGTACAGTAAAAATATGGTATTATAATCTTATGGGACCACTGTCATATTTGTAGTCTATCACGAACTGGAACATTATTATGCAATGCATGACTCTACAAGCAAACCAAATCCCAAAGCACATTAAAAAGATCATTTTCCATGACCAAATAGGATTCATCCAATGGATGCAAAGCTATTTCAACATATGCAAATCTATAAATGATACACCACATTAAGAGAATGAAGAAGAAAAACCATATGATTATTTCAATAGATGCAGAAAGAGCATTTGGCAAAACTCAACATCCTTCATGATAAAAACTCTAATCAAATTAGATATAGAAAGAATGTACCTCAATACAATAAAGATCATAAATGGCAACCCCACAGCCAATATCATACTGAATGGAGACAAGCTATAAGCTTTTCCTCTAAGATCTAGAACAAAACAAGAATGTCTACTTTTATCACTTCTATTTAACATAGTACTGGAAGTCTTAGCCAGAGCAAGAGAAATGCCTTTTATTTCTTTCTCTTAGGTATGAGAGATGGAAAGGCATGAGAGATTGGAAAGGATGAAGTTAATTTTCCATGTTTGCAGATGACATAATCTTATATATAGAAAACCCTAAAGACTCCACTGAAAACCTACTAGCACTAATGAACAAATTTAGTAAAGTTACAGGATACAAAATTAACATACAAATTCAGTAGCATTTCTATACACTAATAGCATACAATCTAAAAAAGAAATCAAGAAAGCAATTTTATTTATAATAGCTACCAAAAAATGCTTAGGAATAAGTTTATCCAACGAGGTGAAAGATCTCTACACTCAAAACTATTAAACATTGAAGAAAGAAAGTGAAGAAGACAAATAAATGGAAAGATGTGTCAAGTTTACAGATTAGGTAAGTCAATATTGTTAAAATATCCATGGTGCTCCCCAAAACCTCCAGATTCAATGCAATTCCTATTAAAATACCAATAACTTTCTTCACAGAAATAGAAAAAATAATCCAAAACTTTGTGGAACCTCAAAATGTCCTGAAAAGTCAAAGTCAAAGAAATTTTGAAAGAACAAAACTGTAGGCATCAAACTACTTGACTTCAAAATATACTACAAAGCTATAGTAATCCAAATAGCATGGTAGTGGCATTTAAACAGACAAATAGACCAATGGACTTGAATAGAAGACCCAGAAATAAACCTATGCATCTACAGCCAACTGATTTTTGACAAAGGTGCCAAGAACACACAACAGAGAAAGGAAAGTTTTTGATAAATTGTAATGGAAATATTGGATATCCACATGTAGAAGAATGAAATCAGACCCTTATATTTTACTCTATTAATTAAGGAGTTAAATGTAAGATACTAAACTATGAAACTTCTAGAAGAAAACAGGGAAAAATCTCCATGACATAGGTCTGGGCAAAGACTTTTTGGGTAAGACCTCGAAAGCACAGGCAACAAAACCAAAAATAGACAAATGGGGATACAACAAACTAAAAAGCTTCTGCACAGAAAAGGATACAATCAACAGAGTGAAGAGACAATCCACAGAATGGGAGAAGGTATTTGCAAATTATTCTCTGGACAAGAAGCTAATACCTGAAATGTACAAGGAACTTAAACTACTCAATAACAAGAAAACAAAACTAGATGCCCATCAACAGTAGATTAGATAAAGAAAATGTGGTACATATGTACCACGGAATACCATACAGCCATAGAAAGAATAAAATCATGTTCTATGCAGCACCATGGATGCAGCTGGTGGCCATTATTTCAAGTGAATTAATGCAGAAACAGAAAATCAAATATCACTTATTCTTACTTACAAGTGGGAGCTAAACAATGGGCACACACGGACATAAAAATGGAAACAATAAACACTGGGGACTCCAAAAGGGTGGGGAAAGAGTTGGAAAACTACCTGTTAGGCTCTGCATTGACTAACTCTCAAACTCCAGCATTATGCAATATATTCATGTAACAAATCTGTACATGTACCCTCAAATGTAAATTTTTTTAATGAGCAAAGGACTTGAGTAGACATTTCTCAAAAGAATGGACAACAGATATACAAAAAAAAATGCTCAACATCATTTATCATAAGAGAATTGCAAATTAAAACCATAATAAGATTTTACATAATATCTGTTAGATTGGCTATTATCAAAAAGATGAAAGATAACAAGTGTTGAGAATGTGAAGAAAAGGAGACACTTACACATTGTTGGTTTTCTTATAAATTCAGGCCGGGCACGGTGGTTCACGCCTGTAATCCCAGCACTTTGGGAGGCCGAGGCGGGCGGACCATGAGGTCAGGAGATCGAGACCATCCTGGCTAACACGGTAAAACCCCGTTTGTACTAAAAATACAAAAAATTAGCCGGGTGCGGCGGCGGGCGCCTGTAGTCCCAGCTACTTGGGAGCCTGAGGCGGGAGAATGGCGTGAACCCGGGAGGCGGAGCTTGCAGTGAGCCGATATCGCGCCACTGCACTCCAGCCTGGGTGACAGAGCGAGACTCTGTCTCTAAATAAACAAATAAATAAATAAATTCTTAGGAGATTTTGGAAAATAGTATGGGGAGTTCTTAAAATACTAAAAATAGAATTACCATGTGATCCAGCAATCACTCTTCTGGGTATACATGCAAAGGAATTGAAATCATTCTGCATAAGAGATGTCTGCACTCTAATGCATTATTAACAATAGCCAAGATTCAACCATTTTTGATCTATTCATCTGTTGATGGACACTTAGGAAACAAAGGATGAACGGATTTAAAAATCTGGTATATAAACACAATGGAATACTACTCAGTCACAAAAATGAATAAAATCCTGTAACTTGCTAAAACTTGAATGAACCTAGAGGACATTATGTTAAGTGACATAAACTAGGCACAGAGAGACAAATACCACATGATCTCACTTAAACATGGAATCTAAAAAAGTTGATCTTGTAGAAAGAGAGGAGTACAATGGTGCTTACCAGAGGATGGAGATGGAGGTGGAGGGAGAGAAGGAAGATGTTAGTTAACAGATACAAAGTTACAGTTGGATGGGAGGAAGAATTCTAGTGTTCTATTGCACAGTAAAGGGACTACAGTTAATGATAATATAGTGTATAATTCAAAAGAGCTAGAAAAGAGGACTTTGAACATTCTTGCCACAAAGCAATGATAAATGTTTGAGGGGACAAATATGTTAATTACCCAGATTGATCATTACAAAATGTACACATGTATTGAAACATCACATTGTACCCACATAAATATGTACGATTGTTATTTATGAATTAAAATTTAAATAAAACTTAAGAAAAACTCAACACTTCACATTGGTATGCTGTGGCCAACTCCTTCTAAAAGAGAAGAAAAATCCACATTATATCTTAGACTTACCTACAAGAGGATCGTTCCAGGTAATCATTTTATTGTTACATCTTTTGGGCTTTAGTTATCATTTTTGACTACTTTTTCCCCTGTGGAAGGGAATTCCTTAATTAAAAGTTCTAATGAACTAAAGTTTTAATAGAACTAAAATAAAACTTTTTATTTAAGATTATTTTGTTTGATGAAACTAAAAGTGAAACTAAAAGTTTTAGTGAAAATAATAACTGAAAGACAATTGGGAGGACATTTCTCAAAGGCAGGGGGACCCATCGACAGTACGTACATCTTTTGGCAAAGTTTGAATGACCTCATACCCTCATATAAACTCAGTGAAAATGGAAGTGAGAATTTTTTGATTGTCATTATTGTATTTTCAGCAGAGTAAAATGAGTTGCTGGATTTGTGCTTGTGTAATTAAAGAGATATTCGCCAGCTGACAAGTATTAAAGCTGAATGTAGCAATCTTAGCTTTGTTAAATTTTGCTTTGATATTCACTGCTGAAAATAATTGACTTTTAAAAATACTACATCAAAGTTGAATGAACACATTCATCAGTATTTCCAACAGGCATGTGGTTGATAGCTTTCCTTCTGGGAAGATCTTGCCCCTGAGCTCCAGAAGGGACACTATCTCCTGTGACAAATCAAGGCAGAGTGTAACACTACACTGTGTCTCACAGCCTCGGCTGCCTAAGCACGAATATCACGTGGGGAAAGGTGTGCAGCATGCCCAAGGGACCCAGGATGAGCAGACAGTCTGCAAAGGGGCAGGAAGGCAGGCTGAGGACAGGGACTCAGTCAGATGTATGCCTCATGACAGAAATTCCCACTGGCCATTGTGTTCCTGCTAGTGACCTCTAACCTAGGTTGAGGGAGAGACTTACCCCTGCCCCCAACCCTATGTGTCGACATTTCCTGCTCCCCTTCCCTCCCTAAAGCCTGTGGTCCAGAGCACATACCTTGTGCTCAGAGACCTGGGCTGTGCTCAGACACCTGGGCTCTGCTCAGGCTCTGTAATCCCAGCACTTTGGGAGGCCGAGGCGGGCGGATCACGAAGTCTACAGCTGTTGCATCCCCAGCAGGTGACATCAGGTCTCTTGGCCCTTCTTTCCTAACTTGTATCACAGAAAGAATGATGCCAATATCTACTGCTTAGGGTCATGATGAAAATCAAGGAGGAGGTGTGCTTAATATGCACATCATCAGCACTGGGCCTGGCATAGACTATGTGAGGAGTGGTAATTACTAACTGTTGGTTTAGCTATAGGTGCTTTAAATATTTGTTGACCTCCAGGCCAGGCGCAGTGGCTCACGCCCGTAATCCCAGCACTTTGGGAGGCCGAGGTGGGCGGATCACGAGGTCAGGAGATCAAGACCATCCTGGCTAACACGGTGAAACCCCATCTCTACTAAAAATACAAAAAAAAAAAAAAAAAAATTAGCCTGGCGTGGTGGCGGGTGCCTGTAGTCCCAGCTACTCGGGAGGTTGAGGCAGGAGAATGGCGTGAACCTGGGAAGTGGAGCTTGCAGTGAGCCCAGATGGCGCCACTGTACTCCAGCCTGGGCAACAGAGTAAGATTCTGTCTCAAAAAAAAAAAAAAAAAAAAAAAAATGATTGACCTACTATGTGGTGGGGCTAGGGGACACAGATGAACCAGACAATGCTATCATGTCAGGGAGACCACAGTTTGTGAGTAGGAGCCATGTCTAATACAAATCCTCTCACTATTCGGGAGCAACATCAGACACCATTTCAGGGCATGCATATCATTTCCTCTCTCAGTCCTCCACCCACCCTCTGTGTCCCACCCAGGATGTCACAGCTGCTTGTCTCTAAAAATGCAATTTTCACTTTCAGAGAGAAAATCTTGTATCCATAGGCTTTCTCCCCTCTCAGAGTTCTATGGGAATTATGATAAGTAGCTATTGGAATTGCATACAGTGGGAGAGGGACAAATTAGCAGGGATCCACTTCAATAAGTGCCTGACCAATGCTTGTTGATTGGATTTAACAAATAGCTCTCACAGAGGAAGTTTTGCTTCTGACTAACAGCATTTATCCCATGCCAAAAATCATCAGGAACCAGTGACACAGTCAGCAATCAAACAGCAAGTAAATGTCCAGCCTCAACCAGCGCCCCTGCCACACATGCTAAAGGCACAAAAGAATGCTTTCTGAGCATGCCTCCAGCTGAATGCAAGTGGACAGTAACCTTTGGAATTTGCTGCCTGCTGACAAAACTTTTAAATTAATCCTGGCTCTGGAAAGTGGAAGTCCTCAGAGTCCTCATTACTTCATGCTACAAAAATACAAATGCCCACAGAACCAGAAATGAGCAAAGAGGCAGTTTGGCAGTGAGAAGGACATGGGTGTGGAGGTGAATATAAGTAAGTAGCTAATATCATCTCACCAGTGGGAGCCCAGTATGTTTGGAAGCCGGAACACCCACGTGCTCAGATCTCTTCTTGGGATACAGGGGCAGATGTGCACACCAGAATGACGGAAGCTTCCTTTAGCCTTTGAGAGGAGCTTGGTCTCCAGGAGACAGTATGTGGTTTTCTCTCCTGATCTTCATCCTCAGTGACTCCACCAAGAGCCATCTCACTGCACTGACAAGAGTCATCAAGGGCTCTCAGCAAGCCTGCGGGGAGTCAGCTGCCCCATCCTGCATGCTGAGATTTGCCTGATTACAATATCTTTCATTTTTTTAAAGGAAGTGTATCCAGTATATCAGCATCCTAGAGGGAAAATGAGCATATTAAGGGCTATTTTTAAAGTCCAGTAAAAAGAAGCCTTTTAACATAGTGTTTTTCAATGTATTTGAGCATAGAACCTCATTTAAGTGTGTATAAACATCCATTAACACCTCACCTCTAGAACATACTTTATGGAAAAATCCTGGCCTAGATGATCTGTAGCCTTCAGGGCTTCCATGATGCTCTCTGCCTAGAAGAAACAGCCAGGGGAGGGAACTGTCCATGGTCCCACCATGTGTGAGTTTGAGCTTGCTATTGGTCACCATTACACTCACCTGTCTAACTCATCCATCACCTACTTCTGAAGGTTCATCTTGAGCATCACTCACCATAGCCCGGCCTAGCATAGAATCCTCTACAATCTAGAATTCTAGTCCTAAAGTGGTCCTTAGCACCTGTTTGATATAACCTTCTTATTGTATAGATGAGCAAACATCCAGAAAAGTGAAGTAAATTGGTGGCTAAGACAGAAATGAAACTTGGGTTTCCTGACTTTCATTCAAGTGTTACTCTGATTATTCTATTCTTTCACTTGTTATCTCCCTCTTGTCTACCTTGTTTGGAGACTAGAAGTCCTGGTTACACAGATAAACTGACATCACCAGATTAAGTCTTACGTGTACCTTGTCATTTCTCCTCCAAAGCCAGCTCCATTTCAATTCCAGTCCCAGATTCTACTTCCCAGTAAATAGCACCACCATTTTTCCCATTACACATATTTAGAACATAAGAGCCCTCTGGGACCCCTCTCATCCATAATCTCTACTTAATCACTTCTTCATTGGAAAATATATATTGAGTGCCCCTTATGCAGTGGGCCTGGGCCAGGTACTGGGAATGCAATGGTCAGTAGAAATGACTCAGTTCCTGCTGTCACAGAGCTTGCAGCCTGACAGACAACGGAGACCTTCCCTGTCCTTCAGCTCTGCACCTGCAGCTCATCACCAAGTCCTGCTGTGCCTCCTGTGAAACCCATTTCTCTTATAGACCTGAGTCCTCCTCTCATCACTGGGAAGGGCCCTCGTCACATCAAGTCTATAGTGGTGGTTGTGGTGGAAGGATATTCTTTTTTTCTTTTCTTTTCTTTTTTTTTTTTGAGACAGAGGAGTCTCACTCTGTCACCCAGGCTGGAGTGCAGTGGCACGATCTTGGCTCACTGCAACCTCTACCTCCTGGATTCAAGTGATTCTCCTGCCTCAGCCTCCTGAGTAGCTGGGATTACAAGCATATGCCACCACGCCTGGCTAATTTTTATATTTTTAGTAGAGACAGGGTTTCACCATGTTGGCCAGGCTGGTCTTGAACTCCTGACCTCAAGTGGTCTGCCTGCCTCAGCCTCCCAAAGTACTGGGATTACAGGCATGAGCCACCATGCCAAGCCAATGAAAGGGAATTCTAACTGGTCATTCTGCCCTGTCCTGTGAAAACAGCATCAAAGTTGTCAGGAGACCAAATTCACGTACCATGTGATTAGTCAATGAGTTACCTCTACTGCTTAGGAAGAGCATCAACAATGAGGCACTCATTCCAATGCATCATTTTTGTGTGTCTGCAATGCAGTGTACCAAGTCTGTGCTTAAAAATCATGTTTTTAAAAGTTGTCATTCTTGTCTCACTTGTAAGACCTTTGCAAATGTGTTCAATAATTGGTCATTTTTTTCTTTTTCTTATAGATCTCTGGTTGAGAAATTACTTAGAAATTAGTTAGCTTCCACTCCTGGGCAGTCCAATATTTGATGGTAAAGCTATCTCAGTATTTCTCACATTCTTTGCAACAGTGGGCATGGCATTGACTCTGAATAGATGCTCAACTACTCACCCTCTGGCTGATGTGCTTTGTTAAGACATTGACACTGATGTGATAAGATGTAAAAATACTCAAAAGCCAAAATATACAATAGGGAGGCTGAATTTCAAGCAGAAGAAACGACACTTGCAAAAGTCTTACAAGTGAGACAAGAATGACAACTTTAAGAAAGAAAAGAGTGACAACTTTTAAAAACATGATTTTAAAGCACAGACTTGGTACACTGCATTGCAGACATACAAAAATGATGCATTGGAATGAGTGTGTCATTGTTGATGCTGTCCCTAAACAGTAGAGATAACTCATTGACTGATCACATGTTACATGAATTTGGTCTCCTGACAACTTTGATGCTGTCTCCACAGGAGAGGGTAGAATTATTTCCAGTGTCCTTCTTTCACTCTGGGAGAAACATACATCCAAGGTAGAAAAGTGGAAGTAAATGTTGCTCTGATCTAAGAAGATGTGGAAGGAAACTCACCAATCTTAAGAGGTTTAAATCTTGGGTTCTAAGGCTTCTCCTGTTCATAGAAGTTGCGTGACATTCAGCAAAACCCCTGGTCTGCTGGTTGTGGGTTAGTAGACTAGAAATCATAGCATTTTCTTTGCCCACCTCAGGAAGCTTTTTTTTGTTTTTTGTTTTTTTTTGGAGATAGAGTCTTGCTTTGTTGCCCAAGCTGGAGTGTAGTGGCGTGACCTCGGTTCACTGCAACCTCTGCCTCCTGGGTTCAAGCAATTCTCCTGCCTCATCCTCCTGAGTAGCTAGGATTACAGGCACCCACCACCATGCCCAGCTAATTTTTGTATTTTTAGTAGAGATGGGGTTTCACTATATTAGCCAGGCTGGTCTCAAATTCCTGACCTCAGGTGATCTGCCCACCTCAGCCTCCCAAAGTGCAGGGATTACAGGCGTGAGCCACCATGCCCAGCCAGGAAGCTATTTTTGACATATTTATATATTAATTCATGCACCCTTTTGTTCAATAAGTATATATTAAGCACCAACTGTGTACCTGGCACTGTAATTGCCCAACAGGTTCTTCCTGCCTGCCGCACAGAAAAAACTGATTCACTGTATTGTAGTAGAGAGCTGTATTAACACGAGGCGGGCCATACAGGAGACAGAGTTATTGCATGTTGGGAAGTCACCCTGGCTGCAATGAGAAAATGGATGGAGTTGGGGAAGGAGGTCACAACTGTAAGAACAGTTGGAGAGAAATGGGCCTGGCCTAGGAAAGGAGGGGAAGAGCCAGCGGTGGAGCTAGAGGTATGAGGAAGTAGGTAGCAACAGACTTGTTTATGGAATCAGTTCATAGAATGAGCATGGCAATATTTTGGAAACTATAAGCCGTGAATTTTATTGTGCTGTTAATATAAAGATGGTTCAAACATACACTCTTCCCTCTGCTCTTGTCAGGACAGATAACAGCATTTTTATGAATCCTACCTAGAAAAATAACACAAATAATAACACAATAATAGGTGTTTAGTAAAAGCTCAGCAATATGCTATTAAAAGGGTCATCTTATTCCTAAAGTCTTCTAATATTGAGCTTTAATTTCTCTTATTTTTAGATGTAGCTTGCTATTAATTAAGTCTCTAAGTACATAAGGTTTGTATTGAGAGGGTGAAAATGACAAGGATGGACACACCACTGCGTGTAAAATATGAGCAGAACAGAATTTAAAATTCTGTATTAAGCCTTTCCCAAAGGAAACCAATAATGAGGAAAACAAGCCCTTATCTGTATGCAGGTTAGACTGTTCTGGGAAAACCCAGGCTATTTACTAAAGTTTGTAATGGTGGAAAGAAAATATTTTGATGTGTGGGCAGGGAAGAGGTAGAGGGTATTCTAGGCCAAGACAACAAGTGAAGGTGTCTCTCCACCCTACTCAAAACGGAAGTTGAAAAGTAAGGTTGTGCTTAGCTGCTGAGTTTTACTGTAGTTTAAGGCGATGTATAAAGGAACATTGGGAGTTAAGGCCAGAAGGAAGTGTGGAGTCATGCTGAGAAGGGCCCTAACGGCTGGACCTGGCACCCAGACACATTCCCTCCCATTCTGACTTGACTGTAGCTTCTGAACTGTCTGAGAGATTAATGTCTGAAAGTCTGAGCAGAACTGGGAGCCAACCCATTTCCACTGCAGAACATCATGCACCTTAGGGCAGAATCAACATCCAAAGGAGGTGTTACAAACATTGCCAGGAGACCCTCCCGCTCCTGCTGTGGCGTCCACAGGGAGCTCTGCAGGATTACTCCTTTGATCCCATTAGGAAATCAGCCAGAGTGTCTGCAGACTCCATTTCCAGATCCATTGAGGGTAAAAATGGGAGAGGATAATTGCCAAATGAAGTATACTCCCATGTGGCATCAACAAGTCTCTCTCTTTCAGTCTTGGGGGTCGTGTGCCCTCTCGTATTCTGAAATGTCTTATCTTTAGTTGGAGAGAGGGCTGCTCATGGTTTCTGTTTTGATATCTGAGGAAATCGATCTTTAGAGCAAAACTATTTTGGAGAACCCTGCGTTATTCATCAGACAAAATGCCAAGCCAGCTCCAGGATTTGGGGCAGGGGAGACTGCGCATCTGTGGAGCTAGGATGCAGGTTGCTTTTCCCTCTGGAGGCTCCTCCCAGACCTCTGCATCCTCTTGCACTCTGATTCCTCCCACACATCGGATGTGCCTTCTTCATGGGCTCTAGAGACTCCTTCAAATGTGGCTAGAAGAAACATAGGAGCAGGTGCCAGCACAGAACAGGTCTTTCCCTGCAAATGGGATTCTGCAAAATCCTTTACTTTCCTTTAAAACATTTCTTTGTAATGGTCACTACAATACAAGGCCCACTAGGCATGTGTATGCCTCCTTCTGGACCTTCCTGGGCTGGGCTCAGATGAGGAATGTGTGTGTGTGTGTGTGTGTGTGTGTGTGTGTGTGTGTGTGTGTGTGAGACAGAGAGAGAGAGAGAGAGAGAGAGAGAGAGTCAGGAAGTGGGGCGGGGGGCGGGGGGCAGGGGTTATCTAATAAAATGAGCCAAGCAAGTTTTGTGCGTAGCTTGAGCTTCTGTCCTCCTCCCAGATAACAGACAAGCTTCCTCCCAGCTGCACTTTGTGGGTAACGCTTGTTTTGTGTCTGCCTTGGGGCCTGAATCAAACAGAGTTTGTTTATGCAGGATGTACAAGGTGTCAAACCCAAGCCTTGGTTGTGAGGAAGACGGCCTTCCTGACTGGGCCAGCTATCTCCAATGACTTGAATAATTGTCCACAGGCTGAGCAGGGCAGACACTTCTGAAGATATATATGGTCCAGACTTTTGTAAGATTCATTAATGTCTCTTGGCAACTGGCAGGGGAAAGTATAGAAAAATACATCTGAGCAAGATGATGGTGAAAGCTCACCCGGTTTGCTGTGTTCACTGAGCCATCAGCTGAGGGATAAATTCCTTCCAACCCAAGCAATAAAACTCCCTTTCTTTATTTTGATTCTGTTATACAAGGTTTTTAAAACATATGTCTAAGATGAAAACTAGTTGAATTGCTTTCCCTAGCCAATCATTCATTCAATGGATAATCGTTGTGTGCCTACTATGTGTCAGGCCATGTACTGTGCGGGGGATACCAGGTGAGTAGACAAGACAGGACAGGCCTTGTCTGTAGAACACCAGCCCTATATAGCTCTCTGTTTTAGGAAAAATTAAGAAACGCAGTAAGACCCAACAATTTTTTTAAGCTATAAAATGAGTAAGAAGAAAAATCATTCTGAAAGCCCAAAGGAAATGCATCACTCTGATTCACTCCAGATATCAAAACACCTTTTTAGAAATTTATCAGACATATTTAATGATTTATAAAATTACTTGGCCTTTTGAAACAGAAATAGAATGCCGCAGGGAAGGATAAGCGCAGGAGGCAAGGGAATCAGATAAACTAAGAAGGAAATGGAAGGGTCTAATTAAAACCTGAACTGGAGGCAAGAAAGAACAAAATTTACATAAAAACTAAATCAAGGATATTCAGGAAGAAAGTGAGTTGCTCTTCCAGAAAGCATAGGAAAAGGCAAAGACACCAAAATAATAAAAGGAAAGATACAAGATGCAGAAGATAACGAAGAAGACTGAACTAAAGTGTTACAGGTTTTCCAAAGGAAGAAAAAAAACCTAAAACTAAAATAATAAAGACATAAAAAGAAATAAACTTTCCTGAGGTGCAAGACAATATATACTTATATACAGAAGATTTGCCATGTAACAGGTAATGTTAATAAAATTAGACTCATGTCTAAAAATACCCTGGCCCTTTATTGAATTGCAAGAACAAATGTAAAATTGTACAAGTGTTTAAAACAAGAAAACAAATCAAATTAGAAATAAAAGCAAAAAGAAAAATAGATTATCTATAAGTGATTAAAAACTGGTATGATTTTTTTCCCTCTATAATGCTAAAGACTAAAACACAAAGAAGTAACAGCTAAGGAGACACGAGGACAAAGGACTGGTTCCCAGGGATTTTCCAAGGCCAAGTTGCTGGTTATGTGAAAAACTAGAAGAAAGACATTACCACAAAGACAAGAATTCAGAAAAAAATATATCTTTACTTATTTGGTGAAAAAAGAACACTTGAATATGTACATCAATTTTAAGCATGATAAGAATAAAAGCTAAGTACTTAAAATGGGAAAATCCTGGTATAAATGTGTCTATAGTAAATCCTAAAATTAGCTTAAAAGTTAAATTCAAAAGAAAATCTGATTACAAAAATAAAATTTTCAAATATATTTACTGGAAGGAAAGATAAAACAATAATTTTATAATGGAATCTATGTACACAATCACAACTTATATTAACAGAGGACAATAGAGAGAAGGAATAAGTGTAGCAAAAAGGAAACAAAAGGTAGTGCTTCATTTTTGCCTTTGATCATTACAGGACCATAACTTAAAGAAAGTCTGAAAAAACTTGATGGTAGCTACAAAGACAATTAAAGTCAGGATGTATACCTGTCAGATGATTACAGCTGAGAAAGAAAAATAAGCATGCTCATTCTCTCTTCCAGTACCCTATTTTATTTTTCTGAATATATTTATTTTTGCCTACCTTCCTCCATTCGAATGTGAGCTCCTTTAGAAGAGTGAATTTGTTTTATCTACTGCTCATCCACCATACATACAGAAGCAAAAAATATATACGCATTTGTTTCTTTTAACTTACTTTTTTTTTTTTTGTTTTTGAGACAGAGTCTCGCTCTGTCACCTAGGCTGAAGTGCAGTGGTGCAATCTCGGCTCACTGCAGCCTCTGCCTTTCGAGTTCCAGTGATTCTATTGCCTCAGCCTACCAGGTAGCTGGGATTGCAGGCACATGCCACCAGATCCAGCTTATTTCTGTGTTTTTAGTAGAGATGGGGTTTCACCATGTTGGCCAGGCTGGTCTTGAACTCCTGACCTCAGGTGATCCTCCCACTCGGCCTCCCAAAGTGCTAGGACTATAGGCGTGAGCCACTGCGCCTGGCCTAAGTTACATATTTTTATGGAGGCAAATGTATCACTTTTCCCTCATTTCTTTCATTGCTTTAATAATCTTTTTAAACTCTAAGAACAATTAGTCACTAAGGTTCTATTCCAGTATTTTCATGATTTCAATTTTAAGATCTAACTCATTATTCCATGTAGAATTTATTCTGCTGATGTAGTATGAGGTTAGGCTTTCCCAGCAATGTTTGTTCAATAATCACTCCCCCACTGATTTGTGATTTTTTAAAAATTTTACTGGCTTTAACTCTTAACCTTGATGTGATACATTTTTTTTTTATCATTCAATACATGGTATATATTAGGATCTTTTCCTTGGCTGTCTTTTCTGTTTCCTTACTCTGTTGGCTTATTTTTGCATCAAGTCACACTGTTACTACTTTTCATATTTAAAATATGTGCCACTGTTAGAAATAACAATAACTAATCTGTTTCATTTTTATTTATAATATTAAATAAAACATAGCAGTGTTTATTTGTACAGAAACAGATGAAGGAATCTAAGCAACTAATGATAGAGAGAAATGATTAATAAAAATACAGTATAGTTATGCAATGGACTATAGGCTGAGCATCCCAAATCTGAAAATTCAAAATTGTGACATGCTTAAAAATCTGAAACTTTTTGAGCACTGACGTAATGCTCCAGAGGCCGTTTTGGATTTTTCAGTTAGGGATGTTGACCCAGTAAATATAATGCAAATATTCCAAAATAAAAAAATCCAAAATTTCAAATACTTCTGTTCATAAGCATTTCAGGTAAGGGATATCCGACTCATACTATGCATCAAACAAGTCAAAGCTAATGGCCACAGTTTCATTAACATCTGTGCGTATGAACATGCGTAAAATGGACATCGTTTCCCTGGTTTGGAAATAGTCTTGTCCTAAGAACAATGCTTTCATAATCCACACTGGCAGCCAACCATGGGACAGCCTATGATACATTAAAAATGTTATTTCTTAAAAATGTTTAATGACTTAGAAAAATGTCCATGACATAATGATAAGTAAAAAATCAAAACAGAAAACCAAAAATGCAAACTGAGTCCAGTTTTATTTTAAAATCTCTGCATATTTTAAAGGCTAAATAGAAAAGAGAACAAAATGCTGAAAGGCTTATAATGTAATGCAAATAATTTTTTTTTTTACTTTTCTATAGTTTTAAAATTTTCCTCCATATATTATACTTTCATATTAATAACTGTTAAACTACCATATCAAAATAAAACACCACAGGGAGAAGAGGTCAAGGTGCTTATTTTGAGACATATAACAAACTAGGCCACAGCCTGAGAGCCACAAAACGGCTCAGGATGCTCCACGTGGCCAGTGCTAGCCTCACTCTGGGTTAACCCCAGACAAACGTCATTGGTCTTTGATGATCAAGGATGCCTGAATCCTCTGACCTGTGCACACTCTTTCTTGCCAGGGTCTCAGCCATGCTCACGCTGTGGCCTCACAATCTGTGGCCTTTGCCCCACACATAGAAGAATGTGCTATGTGGAATGGCCCTGTTAGTGTCCCCATGAATAGATTTTAAGGGAAATGTTTTGCTGATGTTTTCACTTCACTGCCAACCCTACTGCTGTCATGAAGTGAAGCCACGGTTTGCCCATGAAGACTTGACCGTGTATGTTCTATTACACAGCCTTTAAATCCATAAATCTCACCACACACAGGAGAGAGTTGGGAAGGAGGAGGGTATTTCGATTCTCAGGGTCTTTCCCAATTGTTTTCTGTGATTTGGGAAAAGAGCCAGGTAAATAATTCCAAATTCATTCTCTTTTCCTTCCTGACTGCTGTTTACCCTGTTCTTTTACTTCATGGACTATTGTTGGTTTGGTTTTTTTTTTTTTTTTTTGAGACAGAGTTTTGCTCTTTTTGCCCAGACTGGAGTGCAATGGCACAATCTCAGCTCACTGCAGCCTCTGCTTCCCCGGTTCAAGCAATTCTTCTGCCTCAGCCTCCCGAGTAGCTGGAATTACAGGCATGCGCCACCACATCCAACAAATTTTTGTATTTTCAGTAGAGATGGGGTTTCACCATGTTGACCGGGCTGGTCTCGAACTCCTGACCTCAGGTGATCCACCCACCTCAGCCTCCCAAAGTGCTGGGATTATAGGATGAGCCACCATGCCTGGCCTGGTGTTTTTTTTTTTTTTTTTTTTTAATTGAGATTTGGTTGCCAGTTTCCATTGTCTTTACAGAGATTATAAATCCACATTCATGATGTAGACTGTGGGCTACTTGCTCCTTGGATAAATGAGAGCAGGCCGTCTGGGAATATTCCCTTCTCTATGGAAGTGGACAAAGCAAGGCATTGGTAGTGTGTAAGAACTAGGTAATCCAGCACAGCTGTAGAACACCAAGAAATATTCCTCTGAATGTGGCTCTATCTGACTCTTACAAGGGCCCTGTGGGACATCATCTCCATTTTGAAGGCAAAGAAACCAAGCTCAAATTTGCTTGCAGTTACAGGACGGGTAAAGGACAGGGCCAGGGCCAGAGCTGGAGGTCTTCTCAATCCCCTTTCCACTATTAAATTATATTTTTGGCAACAAGTAGCTATTTCTGGGTTAAATTTATTTATAAGGGGCCACCTTATAAATCCTAGAATGAATGTTCACTCAAGATTGATCCATATTTTCAAGGCCGTGGTATCAGAGTTGGCTATGGAGAAGTTATAAATGCTTCTCATCAGAGTCCAGGCTGAAAGAAAGAAAATTCCAAATTGGCAGAGTTTTAAATGAATATGAATCTAAATTTTGAGTTTGTTCCAGGGTTGCTGGAACATTGCTATAGCAAATATCCAATGTAATCATGGGTAGATTTCATCTACAGAATTGTATAGATCATAAAGAGGCTATTAAGGATCAAAACCTAAACCAAATAGGAACACAGACACCTTTGATTCATTATTAAAATAAGAATTTTAAAAAGAAAGGATTCAAATAGATACTTGGCATATCTTATGGGCAGATGGTGATGGGGAGATGAAGTTGGTAGTGAGATTCTTCTTAAAGGCAATTAACACTAAATGACCTCATAAGTAGGCTTGTAGTAGGCTATCTTAAGCAGTGTAATTTAATATTTCACATTTTCTACCAATCCTGACATACACATGTACATACAAATTATACATTTGCAGTCCTTATGAATTATATTCATAATTACTCATTAATAGCAAATATACTGAGGAATCAAACAGTACTTAATTTTATACTGTATCATGTCTGTTCAGGTTTATTTAACATCAAACAAATCAAAGCTAATAGCTATAGCTAAATTAACATCCATACACATGAACATATTTAAAATGAACACCATCTCCCTGGTTTGGAAACAGCCCTGCTCACAGAATATTCCTCTCACAATCCACCTGGTTGTCATGGCAAGAACGTCTTGTGAGGCAGTATCCTAGTCTGTTTTCTGTTGCTATAACAGAATACCATGAACTGAGTAATCTATAAAGAATAGAGGTTTATTTAGCTCATGGTTCTGGAGGCTGGACAGTCCAAGACTGAGCAGCTGCATCTGTGGAGGGCCTTCTTGCTCATCATCCCATGGTGGAAGGGTGGGAGGGCAAGAGAGCACATGCAAAAGAGAGAGACATTAGGGGTCACACTTGCTTCATAACAACGCACTCTCGTGATGACTAACTTACTCTCGCAATAATGACACCTTGCATTAGGCCTCCCAAAGCTGTTGCATTGCAGACTGTTTCCAACACATTAACTTTTAGGGGACACATTCGAACCATAGCAGGCAGAAACAGCACAGCTTGAATATCAGGTCACCAAATGGCAAGCCTGAGTCATGCTCCTCAGTCCTTCTTTCTCATTGGTAGAATGGGGAGAAATATAGCTGTCTTATGTATTTCACTGTTTATGTGACAAAGGCTCTATGGGGTCAGGGACTATGCCTATGTATTTGCTACTGTGTACCCACCACATCATAGTGTTCAGTAAACATCTGTCAATAATTACACAAGACAATGTACAGAAAGGCTCTTGATACATAATAAAGCATGATTCAATAATAAGAGCTAGTCTGACTATAATAGCTACGATTTATGCAAATAGGCCACGAATTAGGTTAAAGGATTTACACATATCATCTCATTTGACACTCACGACAATCCTCTAGTCTGGGTATTAAGTTATTATCCATATTTTACAGATGAGGTGACTGACATTGCCTGAGGTCACAGAGCTGGCCAGTGGCAGAGCTGGAACATGAGCCCAGAAGTGTGCATCTCCTGTGCCTATGCACTTAGGCCCTTCTCCTCCTTGCTCTGAGCTTTTCAGGGTTTTAAAAGATATTTATACCTTGCATTTTCCAAAATAACTGGTGGGTCTTTATTAGTTTATTTATTCATTAACTCAAGTAAATTGGTTGCCTTGCATATGGACAAAGCAATATGCTAGGCACTATGGGAAAGCAAAGACTCGTAATAGACAATCCTTCCCCAAGAAACTTAGAGTCTATGTGGAGAGACAAAAAATCCACACAGAGATAAGAAGTTAAATAATAATTTAGTGGTTAATAACTACGAGTAATGTTGGAAATCGTAGGCCCATCATAATTGCCTCCTCTAATATAGACAGGTGTTATGAAATCTAGAGAAGGGCATGGTCACTCAGGCTGGAGCATTGAGAAAAGTTCCTAGAAAGAATATGGATGCAAGCTAGCCCTTACTCTTTTTTTGAAATTTAATTTAATTTAATTTTAAGTTTCAGGATACACATGCAGGACATGCAGGTTTGTCACATACGTAAATGTGTGCCTTGGCAGTTTGCTGGACCTATCAACCCATCACCTAGGTATTAAGCCCCACATGCATTAGCTTTTTATCCTGATGCTTTCTCCCAATGTCCCCATGACATGCCCCACTATGTGTTGTTCCCCTCCTTGTGTCCATGTGTTCTCATTGTTTGGCTCCCACTTGTAAGTGAGAACATGCAGTGTTCGGTTTTCTGTTCCTGTGTTAGTTTGCTGAGGATGATGGCTTCCAGCTCCATCCATGTCCCTGCAAAGGACATAATCTCGTTCCTTTTTATGGCTGCATAGTATTTCATGGTGTATATGTACCACATTTTCTTTATTCAGTCTATTATTGATGGCCATTTGAGTTGATTCCATATTTTTGCTATTGTGAATAGTGCTGCAATGAACATATGTGTGCATGTATGTTTATAATAGAATGATTTTTTATTCCTCTGGGCATATATACTCAGTAATGGGATTGCTAGGTCAAATGGTATTTCTGGTTCTAGGTCTTTGAGGAATCACCACACTATCCTCCACAATAGTTGAACTAATTACATTCCCAACAACAATATGAAAGTGTTCCTATTTCTCCACAGCCTCACCAGCATCTGTTGTTTCTTGACTTTTTAACAATTGCCATTCTGATGGGCATGACATGGTATCTCACTGTGGTTTTGGTTTGCATTTCTCTAATGAGCAGTGACGTTGAACTTTTTTTCATGTCTGTTGGCTGCATAAATGTCTTCTTTTGAGAAGTGCCTGTTCATGTCCTTTGCCGACTTTTTAATGAGTTTTTTTTTCTTGTAAATTTAAGTTCCTTGTAGATTCTGGATATTAGACTTTTGTCAGATAGATAGATTGCAAAACTTTTATCTCATTCTGTAGGTTGTCTGTTCACTCTGACGATAGTTCCTTTTGCTGTGCAGAAGCTCTTTTTTATTTAATTAGATCTCATTTGTCAATTTTTCTTTTGTTGCAATTGCTTTTCATGTTTTTGTCATAAAATCTTTGCCCATGCCTATGTCCTAAATGGTATTGCCTAGATTTTCTTCTAGGGTTTTTATAGTTTTGGGTTTTATGTTTAAGTCTTTAATCCATCTTTAATTTTTGTATAAGGTGTAAGAAAGGGGTCCAGTTTCAATTTTCTGCATATAGCTAGCCAGTTTTCCCAGAGCCACTTATTACATAGAGAATCCTTTCCCTATTGCTTGTGTTTCTTAGGTTTGTCAAAGATCAGATGGTTGTAGATGTGTAGTCTTATTTCTGAGATCTCTATTCTGTTCCATTGGTCTATGTGTCTGTTTTTGTACCAGTAGCATGCTGTTTTGGTTACTGTAGCCTTGTGGTATAGTTTGAAGTCGGGTAGCGTGATGCCTCTAGCTTTGTTCTTTTTGCTTAAGATTGTCTTGACTATACAGGCTCTTTTTTGGTTCCATATGAATTTTGAAATAGTTTTTTCTAATTCTGTGAAGAATGTCAATGGTAGTTTAATGGAAATAGTATTGAATCTATAAATAACTTTGGGACTTTTGGTAGTATGGACATTTTCATGATATTGATTCTTGCTATCCATGAGCATAGAATGTTTTTCTATTTATTGGTATCTTCTCTTATTTCCTTCTGCCATGGTTTGTAGTTCTCCTTGAAGATATCCTTTACTTCCCTTGTTAGCTGTATTTGTAGGTATTATTCTCTTTGCAGCAATTGTGAATGGGAGTTCATTCATGATTTGGCTCTCTGCTTGTCTATTGTTGGTGTATAGGAATGCCTGTGATTTTTGCATTAATTTTGTATCCTGAGACTTTGCTGAAGCTGCTTATCAGCTTAAGGAGTTTTGGGGCTGAGACGATGGGGTTTTCCAAATATACAATTATGTCATCTGCAAACAGAGACAATTTGACTTCCTCTCTTCCTATTTGAATACTCGTTATTTCTTTCTCTTGCCTGATTGCCCTGGCCAGAACTTCCAATACTATGTTGAATAGGAGTCATGGGAGAGGGCATCCTCGTCTTGTGCCAATTTTCAAGGGGAATGCTTGTAATTTATTGAGCGTTTTTAACATGAAGGGATGTTGAATTTTATCAAAGGTCTTTACTGTGTCTATTGAGATAATCATGTGGTTTTTGTCTTTAGTTCTGTTTATGTGATGAATTACATTTATTGATTTGGATATGTTGAACCAGCCTTGCATCCTGGGGATGAAGGTGACTTGATCATGGTGGATAAGCTTTTTGATATGTTGCTGGTTTTTGTTTGCCAGTATTTTATTGAGAATTTTTGCATCAAAGTTCATCAGGGATATTGGTCTGAAGTTTTCTCTTTTTGTGGTATCTCTGCCAGGTTTTGGTATCAGGATAATGCTGGCCTCATAAAGTGAGCTAGGGAGAAGTTCCTTCTTTTTAACTGTTTGAAATAGTTTTGGAAGAAATGGCACCAGCTCCTCTTTGTACCTCTGGTAGAATTTGGCTATAAATCTGTCCGGTCCTGGGCTTTTTTGTTGTTGTTGTTGGTAGGCTATTTATTACTTCCTCAATTTCAGAACTTGTTATTGGTCTATTTGGGGATTCAAGGTCTTCCTGGTTCAGTCTTAGGAGGGTGTATGCGTCCAGGAATTTATCCATTTTTTCTAGATTTTCTAGTTTATTTGCATAGAGGTGTTTATAGTATTCTTGATGGTTGTTTGTATTTCTGTGACATCAGTGGTAATATCCCCATTATCATTTTTTACTGTGCCTATTGGATTCTTTCATCTTTTTTTATTTGTTAGTCTAGCTAGTGGTCTACTTTATTAATATTTTCAAGAAACCAGCTCCTGGATTCATTTATTTTTTGAAGGGTTTTTTGAGTCTCTACCTCCTTCAGTTCCACACTGATCTTGGTTATTTCTTGTCTTCTGTTAGCTTTGGGGTTTGTTTGCTCTTGGTTCTCTAGTTATTTTAGTTGTGATGTTAAGGTGTTGATTTTAGATCTTTCTAGCTTTTTGATGCGGGCATTTTAGTGCTATAAATTTCCCTCTTAACACTGCTTTAGTTGCATCCCAGAGATTCTGGTCTGTTGTCTCTTTGTTCTCATTGCTTTCAAAGAACTTCTTGATTTCTGTCTTAAATTCATTATTTACCCATAAGTCATTCAGTAGCAGGTTGTTCAATTTCCATGCAGTTGTGTGGTTTTGAGTCAGTTTCTTAATCTTGAGTTCTAATTTGATTGTGCTGTGGTCTGAGAGATACTTATTGTTATTTCAGTTGTACTGCATTACTGAGGAGTGTTTTACTTCCAATTATGTGATCAGTTTTAGAGTAAGTGCCATGTGGTGCTGAGAAGAATGTATATTCTGTTGCTTGTTAGTGGAGAATTCTGTAGATATCTATCAGTTCCACTTGATCTGGAGGTGAGTTCAAGTCTTGAATATCCTTGTTAATTTTCTGTCTCAATGATCTGTCTAATATTGACAGTGGAGCATTAGTTTCCCACTATTATTTTGTGGGTGTCTAAGTCTCTTTGTAGGTTCTAAGAACTTGTTTTATGAATATGGGTACTACTGTATTGGAGTATATGTTTAGGATAGTTAGGTCTTCTTGTTGAATTGATCCCTTTACCATTTTATAATGCCCTTCTTTGTCTTTTTTTGATCTTTGTTGGCTTAAAGTCTGTTTTGTCAGAAACTAGGATTGCATCTCTGCTTTTTTTCTGCTTTCCATTTGTTTGGTAAATTTTCCTCCATCTCTTTATTGTGAGCCTATGCATGTCTTTGCACATGAGATAGGTCTCTTGACTATAGCACACTGATGGGTTTTGACTCTGTATCAAGCTTGCTATTCTGTGTCTTTTAATTGGGCCATTTAGTCCATTTACATTTAAGGTCAATATTGTTATGTGTGAATTTGATCCTGGCATTATTATGCTATCTGGTTATTTTGCAGATTTGTTGATGTAGCCATTTCATACTGTCATTGGTCTTTGTACTTCAGTGTGTTTTTGCAGTGGCTGGTATTGGTTTTTCCTTTCCATATTTAGTGCTTCCTTCAGGAGCTCTTGAAAAGCAGGCCCGGTGGTGACAAATTCCCTCAGCATTTGCCTGTTGAAAAGGATTTTACTTCTCCTTCACTTATGAAGCTTAGTTTGGCTGGATATGAAATTCTGGGTTGGAAACTCTTTTCTTTATGAATGTTGAATATTGGCCCCCAGTCTTTTCTGGCTTGTAGGGTTTCTATTGAGAGGTCTGCTGTTAGTCTCATGGACTTTGCTTTGTAGGTGATCCGGCCTTTCTTGCTGACTGGCCACCCTTAACATTTTTTCCTCTTTTTGACCTTGGAGAATCTGATGATTATGTGTCTTGGGGTTGATCTTCTCATGGAGTATCTTACTGGGGTTCTCTGGATTTCCTGAATTTGAATGTTGGCCTGTCTTGTTAGGTTGGGGAAGTTCTCCTGGATGACATCCTGAAGTATGTTTTCCAGCTTGGTTTCATTCTCCCCATCTCTTTCGGTTACCCCAATCAGTCATAAGTTCAGTCTTTTTACATAATCCCATAGTTCTTGGAGGTTTTGTTCATTCCTTTTCATTATTTTTTCTCTAACCTTGTCTGCCTGTCTTATTTCAGCAAAATAAACTTCAAGCTCTGAAATTCTTTCTCTGCTTGGTCTATTTGGTTATTGATAATTGTGATTGCATTGTAAAGTTCTTGGGTTGTGTTTTTCAGCTCCATCAGATAATTTATGTTTCTCTCTAAACTGGCTATATTGGTAAACAGCTCCCGTATTGCTCTATAGCAGTTCTTAGCTTCTTTGCATTGGGTTAGAACCTGCTCCTTTAGCTCAGTGAAGGTCATTGTTACTCACCTTCTGAAGCCTACTTCTGTCAATTCATCCATCTCAGCCTCCACCCAGTTTTGTGTCCTTGCTGGAGAGGTGTTGCAACTATCTAGAGGAGAAGAGGCACTCTGGCTTTTTGAGTTTTCAGTGTTTTTGTTGTTGATTCTTTCTCATCTTCATGAGTTTATGTAGCTTCAATCTTTGAGGCTGCTGACCTTTGGATGGGATTTTTGTGGGGACGTTTTTGTTGATGCTGTTGTTGTTGCTTTCTGTTTGTTTTTCTTTTAACAGTCAGGCCCTTCTTCCATAGGGCTGCTGCGGTTGGCTGTGGGTCCATTCCAGACCCTAGTTTCCTGAGTCCCTCCTGCACCTGGAAGTGTCACCAGTAGAGGCTAAAGAACAGCAAAGATCACTGCTTGCTCCTTCCTCTGGGATCTCTGTCCCAGAGGGGCACCAACCTGATGCCAGCAGGAATGCTCCTGTATAAGGTGCCTGGCAACCCCTATTGGGGGGTCTCACCCAGTCAGGGGGCATGGGATCCAGGACCCACTTAATGGAGCACTCTGGCTTCCCCTTGGTGGAGGGAGTGTGTTGTACTAGAGGGAATCCCACTCATCCAGACTGCTGAGATTCCTCAGAGCCCGCAGGAGGAAAAACTAAGTCTGCTATCTATGGAGACTGAATCCACCCCTCCCTCCAGGGGCTCAGTCCCAGGGAGATCAAAGTTCTGTCCCTAAATCCCTGGCTGGAGTTGCTGAAATTCCTGCAGGGAGGCCCCACCCAGTGAGGTGGGATTGGTCAGGCTCTGGACTAAAGAGGCAGTTTGGCCACCATCTGCCACAGCCACTGTGCTGCGCTGTGGGGAATTCCTCCTGGGTCCAAACCATCCAATCTCCCTGGCACCAGCAGGGAAAAAATGGCAGATTGCAGTTGCAGTGATGGCTGCTGCCCCTCTCCCTGGGAGCTTGGTTGTCTTAGGCAGCAGGCAACCTCAGTGATGGAGGTTGACCCTCCATCACTGGATAAGAACTGGGTAGTCTTAAGCAGTCTCCAGCCAAGTGGCTGCTGAGAATCTGCATAGGCCTGTGCTTGGGACCCAAGGCCCTGGTGGCATGGGCTCATGAGGGGGTTCTCCTGACCCACGGGTTGCACAGATCTGTGGGAAAAGCATGGTTTCCCAGGCAGGGTAGCACAATCACACACTGCCTCCCTTGGCTGGGGGATGGGAGCTCCCCTTGCTCCCTGTGGCTCCCAGGCGGGCCATCACCACCCTGATTTTCCTTGCTTTTCTTGGGTTGCACCAACTGCCTAGTTAGTCCAAATGAGAGAACCTGGATACCTCAGTTGCTGGTGCAGGATTCACTCACTATTTTCATTCTTCTTAGTGGGAGCCTCTGACCACAGCTGTTTCTAGTCAGCCATTCTTGGCCCCTCCCCCGGCCGTTACTCTTTAGTCAAGGCATAAACTTGCTTTTGAATGTGGGAGTCAAAAGGGTGCCATGCTGTGCTGTAGAGGCAGAAATCAGGGGTGCTACTGGTATGATTTGGACCAGCTCTTAACTCCTCATCCTTCATCTACAGAACAGAGATAACGATCATACCTCTCTCTTGAATTGTGATGTGGATTAAATGAGATGCCCAACATGCAAACTGATGAGCTCCATACCAGCTGTAGAAACCACTTAATAAATGGTAGTGATGCTGATTCATCTTACTTTTCAACACTTAGAGACAGAAGAAAGATTGTTTATGTGCTAAGTCAAATTCTCAAATTCTTCAATGGAAAAATTTAAAATTTTTGAGAAACATAAAAGGGAAAGTCCTCTGTAGCTTCTACTTTTTTCCTAAAAAGAAGTTATATCCATTAAACCAACAGAACAAATAAGAAAGTTTGAATTTCAAATGCTGACTTCAACTGTTTCCAAGCCCGAGAGTAAAACTTTAAGTGCTTTTTTATATGTCATTTAAATATCATTTGTTTTAGAAGACAAATGGACACTTTTTATAAATCAAAGCTTTGCTTTTGGCACAGTATTTTCTGTTAGCATTTTCTGTAATAATCAAAATGACTTAATAAAAGAAAATAGAGAAGCCATATTTAGCAAAAAAGTAACAGATTTTTAAGAGGACATGTTAATGACAAATTAGGATATACTCAGCAGAGAGATCTAGAATTCATGGCATAAGAAATAGTTTATAAGTCCACGCATCTAGTATTAAAGAAAGGTATCTTGGCCAGGCACGGTGGCTCACACCTGTAATCCCAGCACTTTGGGAGGCCGACGTGGGCAGATCACAACGTCAGGAGTTCGAGACCAGCCTGGCCAATACGGTGAAGCCCCATCTCTACTAAAAATACAAAAAAATTAGCCAGGTGTGGTGGCACATGCCTGTAATCCCAGCTACTCGGGAGGCTGAGGCAGGAGAATTGCTTGAACCTGGGAGGCGGAGGTTGCAGTGAGCTGAGATCGCACCACTGCACTCCAGCCTGGGTGACAGAGAAAGACTCTGTCTAAAAAAAAAAAAAAAAAAGATATCTTTAGGGCACCACAATCATCATCTTCCATTATTGATAGGCTGCCATGTAGAAAGGGGAGAAAACTCATTCTGCCTTGTCCCAAGGAGCAGAAATTAGACCAATTTGTTTCCGTTTTAAGAAACCAGATTGGGCTTATTTTTAAAATAAAAGGAGAAAAAGAAAAAAAAAAAGCAAAATTACCTCTTTGGAGTGTCTAACAGTTCTAGACAAACTGATGGCTGCCATGATAGACAATGAAACGCCCTTGCAGAGCCTGGTAAACCAGGGGCTGAGGACACTGCACTACTCTGCTCACTAGAGTCCCGTCCCATCTACCCTGCCCTGTCTATCCATTCTCCACACCACAGCCAGACTGATCTTTCAAAGTGGAAATCAGTTGATATATATGCATGTAAAACGTTTTAATCCAGTGGCTCTCAAGCCATTGATCACACAGCTAGGGAGTAGCCAATTCCTGACTGAGACCCAGGTGGGTCTGACTCCCAGAGGCTGAGCTCATAAACCCTTTGGCAGTTTGGGTTATAGATGGAGCGGGAGAGGCTAGAGAACTGCAGGTACTGCCTCATAGAGGGTATGGCAGAACTGAATTAGAACTGAAGATTCACAAACAGCATTTTTCAAAAATATTATGCCATGTTAAACTATGCAGAAATTACATCCATGCTACTCATTCACTGATTCATTCACTCATTCATTTATCCATCCATCTTTACATTGGAATCACCTGAGCATCTTTTAAAATCCTGATACCCAGGCAGCTCCCACACCAATTAAAATCAGAATCTCTGGGGGCAGGGCCCAGGACTCAGGATTTTTAAAGCTTGCGAGGTGACACCAATGTGCACCTAGGTTGAGAATAATGCTTTAATCCAAAGACCCAGATTCTTACATGGTTACAAGACCCTCATAGAATAACCCCCACCTGCCTTCCAGACTCCTCTCCCATCCCAGTCTTCCCTATCTCTGTCCTTGCATTCAAGCTTTCTTTACGTTTCTCAATTACTGTTAGCCCTCTCATCACAGGGCACTGGCACACATGGTTCCACCTGCAAGGAACATCCTTCTCTCTCCACCTGACCAAGCCACCTTTCAGCTACTTCCCACTCTTTAGATCTTTCTCAGTCCTCCTGGTCTAGATTGAATTCCTCCCACTTTCCTCACATGCACTTAAAGCTCAGAAAAACTTGACATGACAGTACAATTCATGGTTACTTATATAAACCTTATTTGTGTAATTACTGGATCAACAATTGAATCCTCCATTAGATTATTCTTCATACTGAGTCTCCAGCACTAGCACAGTGCCTGGCATATGGTAGATTAGATGGTTAGATGAATAAATGAATGAATAAATGAGCAGTATAGATGTAATTTCTGCATAGTTTAACATGGCATAATTGTTTTCTGTGATCTGGGAAAAACAGCCAGTCTAATAACCTCAAATTCATTCCTTTTTCCTTCCTGACTGCTGTTTACCCTGTTCTTTTACTTCATGGGCTATTGTTTGGGTTTTTGTCTTGTTTTTTTCAATTAGGCATTTGGTTGCCAGTTTCCATTGTCTTTGCAGAGGCTATAAATTCACATCTGTGATGTAGGCTATGGGCTACTCACTCCATGGATAAATGAGGGCAGGCCATCTGGGAATCTTCCCTTCTCTGTGGAAGTGGACAAAGCAAGGCACTGATAATGTATAAGAATTAGGTGACCTGGCACAGCTGTAGAAGACCAAGAAATATGTCCATGAATGTGACTTTACCTGACCTTCACAAGGGCCCTCATCTCCATTTTGAAGGTAAAAAAAAAAAAAAAAACAAGCTCAAAGAGTTTCAAATTTGCTTGCAGATACAGGACTGCAAAAGCCCCAGGCCTTTTGAATCCCCTTTTCACTACTAAATTATAATTTTGGCAGCAAGTAGCTCTCTCTGGGTTAAATTTATTTATAAGGGGCCACCTTATAAAGCCTAGAATGAAGATTGATCCATATTTTCAAGGCTCTGGTATCGGAGTTGGCTATGGAGAAGTTTAGATGCCGCTCATCAGCGTCTAGGCAGAAAGAAAGAAAATTCCAAATTGGCAGAGTTTGAAATGAATATGAATCTAAATTTTGAGTTTGTTCCAGGGTTGCTGGAACATTGCTATAGCAAATATCCAATGTAATCATGGGTAGATTTCATCTACAGAATTGTTTTGATCCTAAAGAGGCAATTAAAGACCAAAACTCAAACAAAATAGGAACACAGACACATGTACTTTTTATTGAAAAATGCTATATTCAGGCATCTTCAGTTCTACCATATCCCCCTCTGGAGCAGTTCCTGCAGCCTCTCCCCCTCCATCTATAATCCAAACTTCCAAAGAGTTTCTGAGCTCAGCCTCCAGGAGTCAGACCCACCTCAGTCTCAGTCAGGAGCTGGCTACTTCCTACTGTGTGATCCTAGGCCAGCTGCTTCCCTTTTCTGAAATTATTTCCTCATGTGTAGAATGAAGAGACCAATGTTTATTTCATAGTTATTTTAAGATTCAACGGAATCCCTGAGTACAGTGTTTAGCACACACTAGATGTAAATAGTAATAATAACGCTGAGATAACTATTAATTCTACGCTCTTCTCTCGATCAGAATTTTTCAAAGGCTCTCTCCTCGCAAGCTGGATTAAACCTTAACTCCGACTCAGCTCCAGACCTGCTCAGCCATTGTCTTTACTGGTCTCCACCTTACAGTGACAATGGAGAATACACAGCCAGCGGGTTATATGCGGCTCCACGTCTCCAAACCTTTGCCAAGCCTGACCCTTCTGTTTGGAGCAACTTCCCACTAGCTGTCTGCCTGTTCCCCTCCCCCTCCAAAAAAATCCCTCATTCTTCACACTTCAACTCAAAGTCTAATTTCTCTGTGAAGCCTGCTCTGGTTCCTCAGAGAAAGGATCCTTCTCCTACATTCTTTCTGAGCTAAGGCATGCGTCACCACTGACTACTCATCACTCTGTACTGTCCTTGTTCACCATCTGTCTGTCTATTCCCTAGACTGCAAGATACCTGTGGCCACAAACCGTCTCTGTCTATCTTTATATTCACAGATGCTAGTGGAATCTTAGCACTCCAGGCCATTGTGTCCCTGTATCAGGGATCAAAAAACAAAAGTGTGGGTGTTTCTGAAGAAAGTCACTTTTCTCCCAGATTTTGTTTATGATCCTTTCTGGAATGGGCACCCAGGGCCTTTAGGTGCTGTTAAGAAGTCACTGGCACCAAATGGAGCTTTGGAACCTGCAGCCTGGGTGTGCTCTGACTCAGGCTACAGCTAGGGAAAGAGAGCTGCAACTCAGAAGAGTTCTTGCCTCCTGATGGATGAATGTAAATCTCTCTCTGTCCTGGAGAAACAGCATAAACCTGTGCCCGCCTGGTGCACGGTCAACAGAGCATGTCTAATCGTCACTAGTGAACCACTACCGAGAGCCAAGGCCATCCAGGAGGAATAATTCTACTTTTCCCCTGACATCACTTCTAAAATATCTCCCTTTGCAAATAATCATATAGAATGAAGTTTCCCAGTTTTAGAGCCATGTATGTCTTCCAAAAGGTACTTTGAGAACAGCAATTTTTAGACTTTTAACATATTGCTCAGATGAAGGTTGCAGAAAACCTGCCCCAGAATTTACAAATAAGAAAGAAATGGCTTTCTTGGATGAGTCCCTAAGCTTGTGGGGAATGTATTTCCACTGTGCTTACCTCCTGACAGGCCGAGAGATGGCTGTGCTCTAAGAACTCAAATAAACACACACAGATTCATGGTTTTTTTTTTTCTTTCTTGTTGCTGCTATTGTTGAGTGGCTCTAAAAGGATAATTTCTGCATATTAAATTTACACAGAGAGTTCAGCAGTGTTACCATCAAGATTTGTTAAGGTTTGACAATGGAACCAGCTTACAGTTGAAGATATGCCTGCTCTAAAGTAATAATCGTGATCTCCGTATATTGCATTACCAGAGCTGAGAGGACCTATCAGACTGTCAAAATTTGAAAAATAGTCCAAACATGAATTTGCATTTCCTCTGGTAGTTACTGTCCAGGGAAAGAAGATGAGGGGCCCTCTCTGTATAGATGAATTCAGTCTAAAATTATGGCCACTCCTAGCACTTTCTAGAGCCTTTGCTCTTTTCATCCGCACACGGGTTTGAGCCTTTGACAAACTGGAGAAAGTGGCTCTGTTTGGGGTAGTGCAGAGGGTTTCAAACTAGAGCTTGCCTCAGCATCACTGGGAGGGTTTGCTGAAATACAAATGGTTGGGCCCCAGAGTTTCTGATTCAGTAGACAAAGTGGAGTGTGAGAATTTACATTTCTAGCAAGTTCTCAGGTAAGGAAAATACATTTTTTTACAGTCGTCCCAGCTGATTTTGAAGCTGCTGGTCCAATGCTTCAAGAACTACCATGTGGCTAGTGCTTCTTAACAAGGACTGTGCATTAGAATCTTTGGGGGATCTTTTAAGACATAGTAAACCTGAGCGCCTCCCCTAGTGTCTGTTTTAACTGGGACTAAATAAGACAGTGTACCCTGTCCTGACATCAGCTAAACCAGCCTCTCTGAACTAAATTCTGTCAACACCTTAAAAAAATCAAAACAGATACAGAAAAATACATAAAACAAATATGCAATTCAATGAGTTTTTCTTTTTTCTTCCTTATGATCTTTTCTTTTTAAAATTTTACTTAAGCTCTGAGATACATGTGCAGAATGTGCAGATTTGTTACACAGATATACATGTGCCATGTAACAGGTATACATGTGCCACGGTGGTTTGCTGCACCTATCAATCCATCAGCTAGATTTTAGACCGTGCATGCATTAGGTATTTGTCCTAATGCTCTCCTTCCCCTTGCCTCCCACTTCCTGACAGGCCCTGGTGTGTGACGTTCCCCTCCATGTATCCATGTGTTCTCATTGTTTAACAACTCCTACTTTTGAGTGAGAACATGCGGTATTTGGTTTTCTGTTCCTGTGACAGTTTGCTGAGAATGACGGCTTCCAGCTTCATCCATGTCCCTGCAAAGGACATGGACTCATTCTTTGTTATGGCTGCATAGTATTCCATGGTGGGTATGTGCCACATTTTCTTTATCCAGTCTATCATTAATGGGCATTTGGGTTGGTTCCAAGTCTTTGCTATTGTAAACAGTGCTGCGGTAAACATAGGTGTGCATGTGTCTTTACAGTAGAATGATTTATAATCCTTTGGGCATATACCCAGTAATGGGATTGCTGGGTCTAGAATCAATGCATTTTTCTATGGTGAGTATCCTGTAACCGCCAAGTCAAGAAATCAAACTTGGTCAGCTATCCCAGAGCTCCTCCTTGAGCCCCTTCCCAATTATACCTCCCTCCATTCTGACTTTTATAGTAGTCACTTCCTTGGGTTTCTTTTTAGATTTTTCACCCCAGTGTGTATCCCTAGACACTAGTTTCATCTTCCCATTTAAAAAATTATTTGTCATTTAAATGTCTTTTAATATCCAGGATTACCCCCATCCCTTTCTTTTCCTTACATTTATGTGTTGAAAAACACAGGCCACGTAACCTATAGTTTCCAGCAGCCTAAATCTTGTTGACTGAATACTCGTTGTGCAGTGCCATATGTCCCTCTTTCCTAAATATTTCAGTCAAACTGCAGCGGGATCCAAAGGCTTGATCAGACTCAAGTTTGATCCCATTGATAAGACTAAAGGTATGTTGTGTTCTGTCATTGGGAGGCAAACAATATCTAGTTGTCTCTTTTTGTGATGTTAGTGGCTATTAATTCATAATGCCTAGATCTGTTGAGTGGGGATTTTTAAATGGTGTTTTTCTAATTTCATCTTTTTTTTTCTTTTAATTGGAGTGTTTTTATACAGAGATGCTTTCCCTCACCTACTATTTGGTTACCCAGTAGTATGGTTCTTACAGAAAAAAAAAAAAGCACCATTCTTTCCCTTTATTTTTCAATTTGCAAGATAATGAAAATCTGTGAAGTGAACCAATTAGTTTTTTTAAAACTATTATTATAAACTTATGAACTCAAATATTTAATGAGTTTTAATCCATTGCAATTATTATCCTCATTGGAGTAATAACTGTACTATCTCTAGCAAGTGGGAACCCAGTCAAGTTGACTTTTGATATGATGCTAGTGGTCTTCGATAACTTTCTTGCCATCTGCTGTGTCAATAAGTTCCAGGACATTGCCCTTTTTCTACCCCAGACCTGGGATCAGCCATGATTTCTTTTGATAGAAAATGGTATTTTAAAACTATCAGCAGATAGGACATTGTTTCTAGGCTTTTAAGTGCAAAGAGCTGGGATATATGTATGCGTATATTTCTATGTTCCTGCTTATATGTATGTATTTAAGTTTTATTAATACAAATCTCATGAGTTAATAAGATATTTTTAATTTAAATGCAGGGCTATAGGGTCCTTTTGTATATCACATCTGTATCTCTTCTTTTCCACCCTTGAGAATCCTGATGAAATTCTCAAAACCAAGGGATGACTTATTTGCTTCATTTTACAATATATTGCCTAATAGCTTCAGAATAACAATGATAATACAAATATTACAACTGTAATATGTTTATTAAAATTATTAAAGAATTTCCTACATATGCTCTCTTTATTCTCTCCCTTTAAAAAATAGTTGTATCATATCTACATTGCCATAGCATATATATATATATATATATATATACACACAAACACTTTATATATGTACAGATACAGATAGCTATGCACACTATACTCTCTCTTTTTTAACTTTATGTAGTTTTATAGTTCCACAAACTACTATATACTTACTGCTCACCACCAGTCTTCGGTAAATGATTGGAAGTAAAATTTAAAAATCTATTTTTAAAATGAAGACTAAAATTATTAAGAAATACAAAACTGAGTGATTTTAAAAACCAAAAACAGACAAGGAGGGAAATCAAGGGAATTCAAATGAAGGTAACAAATATTGAAGATGGGCAAAGAATATCCAATATGCAGATACCAATATGTTGGTCTGAAGTTCACATTCTACTTTATATTTTTCAGGAAGAATCACATAAACTGAATTCTTTCTTGTTGATAATACATTGCACGTTTCATACTTTGAAGTCAGTTTTGCTGGATATAACACCTGGCTCACATTTTCTTTGAGCATATTGTCCATTTTCTTCTGACATAAAGCATTGCTGTCAAAAGTATGATAATCACTTCATTTTCTTTCTCTAAATTACTTATTCATTTTTCTCTCTAAATCACTTATTCATTTTGTCTAGATGCCCAAAGTTTTATTTTTTTCTTAAAAGTCTAGTCATTTCATTATTGTATACTTTGACACTGATCATTCTGTGTTGATATTATCACATAGGTGGGGTTTTACAAAACTATGTAGCTTTAGATATTTAATTCAGTAAATGATTTCCAAATTTTGTTTGCTATTTGTTTTGCTCTCTTGCTTTCTTTTCTAAGCAGCCTGTTGTCTGCATATTGGATATTCTTTGCCCATCTTCAATATCTGCGACCTTCACTTGAATTCTCTTGATTTCTTTCTTTGTTTCTTTTTGGTTTTAAAAACCACTCAGTTTTGTATTCCTTAACCCATTTATGCTGGAGGTTGCAAATTTTTTGTGTGAAAAATCAGAACTTGGCGATGACCTTGAGCAGTAGGATATAAATAACTACTACAAACTTAGCGTTCCAACAGGAACACTAGCCATCGATGGGTTAAAAAGTTTAGTCTTCATTTTTAAAGTATATTTTAAAATTTTACTTCTAATTCTTTATGGAGTTTGGTGTATCCACTCTGAGTTTTTGTGATTTTAATTTATATTGTTTCTTCATGTTAGGTATCATTTTTCAAATGTCTTTTTGTTCATTTTGAAAGTAGGTTAGTTTTCTGGGCTTGGTTTTTCAGCATGCTTTCACTGTCTTATGGATATTATTCATCTCTTTATTCTCATTTTTTTCTTATTATAACTCTGACCTGGAATTAGATTTGCTGCTTATTTTTATATGAGTTTATTTTATCCTGAAGGAGGCAATGTTCAGAATAACTTTTCTAGCTCCTCAGAGTTTCCTCTTCTGGGCTTTTGTTGATGCTGTTCTTGTTGTTGTTTTCAAGTGTGCAAAAATATGATAGCTCACTCTCTAAATTTTTTCTGGTGTTGTTTCCTACCTTACTTTAGCTGAGAATGATTCCATTCTGAGATATTTGTCCTTGGTATGAATTTCTGTCCCAGAAAGGAGCCCTGGCCAGTTAGTTTCAAATTCAAATTTATGTGGACTGCCTCATCCCCTTTCAGAACTCGCTAAGGAATTCTTCCATTCACTTACTCCCAGTTTTATTCATTGTTCAAAAATTAGTAAGATTGTTTTGCTGTGAATATCTTCTGGGTATTTGGGTTCCTCATTCATGGCTTCTAATGCCCCATTACTTCCCTCCACTTCTTTCCACATAGAGGTTCCCTGGCTGTTGGAGGTTTGTCCCCACCTATTTGTATCTTGGATTTTGTGAGGGATACCTAATCATTTAATGTTTTTGTAAATATTGACTATGAGTTTCTCAATTATTGTTGAGTTACTTTTATCTCTTTTTATGTGGGAATTCAGGGAGGTTCAATGACTATCACACAATGCTGCTGCCATCCGATAGTACAACCACCTTCATTCTTGTACTCCAAAATACCTCTTCACCATTTGCCAAGGGAGGATGAGATTACAGAACTCATAGTTTCACAATGAATTTGCTTGGGTGCAACAGCAGAGGGAAGAAAAGTATCCCTATGTTCTAAAGCATCTCTGCCCAAGGGAACAATCTATGATAGTGGAAACATGCATCTGCACTGTCCAATGCATGCAGTTATTGCGTACTTGAATGTGGCTAATGCAAAAAGAAAATAAATTTTAAACGCAATTACATTTAATTTAAATCTAAATTTAAATAGACACCACAAGAAGTGGCTACCATATTAGACAGTGCAGTTCTAAGGAACTCTGAGTGCTTTTACACATAACCTTTTTCCACTGGGCTGACCTGTGCTCACAGCAGAGATACAGATCAAGTACAATGTTCTACTCTCAAGGAGCTTACCATCTTTAGTGTGAATTTATTGAGGGAAATTAAGTCCCTGCATTTCACAGACTGAGAAATGGCTTCTGTTCCTGCCACATGGGGCTATAAGCCAACTCGAGACAAATATTCCTCAGCTTTTAGCGATACTCAGACATAACTGTACAGAACTGCCTATGGTCAAGATTTTTGGAGGCATTGCCTGGGACATGATTAAGTAAATGCAAGCTGTCCTTTCTCCCAAACTTGAAAATGTCCTTGTTTTCAATATTTCCAAATAGTTTTCTCTTCCATAAGCAATGTAAGGGCAAGTATTATGTCTGTTTTTCTCACTGTACATAGTAGATGTTCAAAAAAAAAATTGGCCTAATGAATTAGTACATGAGTCAGCAAATGGACCCATGGGCCAAATCTGACTTGCTGTCTGTTTTTTGTGTCATTCCTGAGCAAAACATGGTTGCTATATTTTCGTATGGTTGATTAAAAAAAAGCAAAATAATACTAATGACATGTACAAGTTATTTGAAATTCAAATGTCAACGTCCATAAGTAAAGTATTTTTTGGAACACAGCCATCCTCAGTTAGTATTATATACCTGCTTTCACACTACACAGGTAGAGAAGAGACTTACAACAGAGACCATATAATCTGTAAAACCTAAAATATTTACTATCTGGCCCTTTACAGAAAAAGTCTGCAGACTCTTGAATTAGTCAATAAATGCTCATTATTTTCCCAGGAGAAACTTGATTGTGTTTCACATTTTAGAAGAAATTGAACATTTTAAGAAGCTTCCTTCTAGCTGTAGCCAGAGAAAATTACATTCCACACCCAAATATACACAGCTGGGGATCAGAAAGAAAGCAGGAGCCTTAATGGAGTTATTAAAGTTGCAGCACAAGAAATAAAATTCTCCACAGAAATTTTTTTAAGCTCATGCAACTTGAGGGAAACAGAATTTAAAACCCTGTTTACTATTTGATTTCACAAAAATGTCTGGCATGAAAGCAATTACCCATTCTAAATGCTTCAGCAGAGAAAATATTCACTTACTTCTCTCAGATTTGGGGGAGGGGAAGGTGGACATCAGCCAGTAGTATCATAAGTCTTTAAGGAATCAAAACAAGCATCTTTTTTAACATTTTAGGACTTAATGAGAGCTGAACATCAGCCTGGAAGAAATGAATTGGGGAGCAGTTTCATCTTTTGCAAATCTTGGTTACCATCTGGAGTCTTTCTTGCAGGGGGGAGATAAACATCATTCTTCTAAAGAGCAGGCAAGATCTTAATTTTATGTTTGACCGTTACACAGCTTTTCCCCAGGAGCAAAATTTAATGTGTCCTGTTTGAATATTGATAGCATACTCATGAATATTCCTCATAATGTAAAATGAGGGGAGACGCCTGAACACATCTCAAATAATTGTGGTCTCTCTTCAGAGAGAGAACATATTGTGTTATAGCCAATACCAAGCTGTGTCCCTAAAATGATACTAAAATTTTAAAAGCGATATCAGTAAAGATAATGGCAAACAATTAAATAGAGCTATTTACAACACAAATCAAGATGGAAAGGAAAGCTTTGGCATTTGATATTATTTTGAAAAAATTATAACATAGTGAGGACACTATAATATTTTGAATTGGCTAAACACCCAGAGACTGTGCTAGAAATTGCTGAAGATGGTAGTCACTTAGAATTTACATCTCCTGCAGATTATTGTCAGAGTCTTAGAAAGCAGCTTTGGGTATTTCTTTTCTTTTTGTTTACTTCTTTGAACCTTGGGAAAAGACTATCATGTGATTTGCAAAATCTTTCTAGGAGAATTACGGTCCTTAGAAAATCAGTGCTTAGGGCAGAGAAGCAAGAACTAGAGAAGCCAGTTGAAGCCACGTGTAATAAATTTGCCGTGAATGATTATCATAGCCAGCTGGAGAGAGACATTTGGCTTATTAGGATGTAACAGATCTATAAAGGAATCATCAGAAAACTATGAGAGGTACCCTGGCATGATGCTTCAAGACTGTGCTTTGGAGCAAGATGGACTTGGATAGAATTGTTCTGCCTCTAACCAGTTGTATCATGTTGGGCAAGTAACTTAACCTCATCCATGATATTTGGATAATGATAGCATCTGTCTCTTAGGGTTGCATGAGAATTGAAAAAAATAATGCTCATAGATACTTAGCACCAGGCCTGTCACTCAATAAACATTTATGGTAACCAGGATGATGCCAGTGGTACACACTGCTGTCACAGAATAGTGTTGAATGCAAGTCAGTAGGTGAGCTAGTCTTATTTGGAAAGTGGAGCTAGGATCCATTGCTCTTTTTCTCCACATAGCAGACAGGTTTGGAGTGTCCACTATGTGCTCTTCCCCTTTCTTCGAGGACATGCAAAGGTGGTCCCTGTGGTCATATTTGTGCCACACCTCCCTGCTCCTCCTGGCTACTCAATGAGACTAGTGACAGACCCCAAGCCCACACTAGGCCAACCTGATCCTCTTTTTAGGAAAAATTTGTCTCATGACTGGATGCGATATTGTCTCAAGCCATCTCACAACACGTATCAGTAAGTTCCAAATAAAATTAATTTAGACTTCTAACTTTAACAAGTACTTGCAGTAGAATATTCTTAGGGATGACAAAGAGATTGCAACATTAAATCAGTGATAAAGGGTCCTAAATATAGAAAGCCAATAAAATCAGTGTTGTCATTGACATTCAGGTGGTACAAGAGATAAGACAATATAGGGCTAGGGGGAGCAGAGAAGGTACAACGCAAGGGATTGTCAAGACTAAACTGCCTGGTACAAAGAAAAGGTGAGGGCTGATAATTCTGCAGAGAAGTGTTTTAATTTCCCTGATTGCTGAGAACCTTTGCTTAGCTTCATGAGGTAGCTGGGAATGGCTCTTGGCAATATTCAATGTCTTCACTTTTCCTGCAAATATCACCAAGGGACATTCACTTAATGTTTATTTTTCTTTTAATCTGTTTGGCCACAACTAAGGCATTATTTTAAATATTTGAGGAAATGAGAAAAGGAATTTTCATTTTGACCAAGGAATAATCAACTATGAAGATTAAGTAGAAACATAAAACCAGTAAACTAAAGAGTGTGCTTTCTGCTATATTTTGTTTTTTCTCTTTCTTAGTTGTAGAAACTCATATTGGAGCAAAGGAACACCCAGGGTGCCAAGCAATCTGGTTCCTTGTTTCAGACTCAAAAAGCAAAGTCATCCCACCCTGCTCCCTCTCATAAGCAGCCAAGGCCCTACACCACGGAGTTGCTGAGCCACTTTGCAAGACAGCAGTGTGGGCCTGGAGGCTTCTGGCAGGATGAGCCATATCTGCATCCGTTTTCTTTTTCCCTGACTTAGGACTCAAGTATTCTATTCCTCACTCCCTTCAGCTCTGTCTTGGGGCCAGCGATCTTGTTATGTAACCACACAGCAAATGACACAAAAGCAAGATTTCACCTTTATCTTTGTGCAAGCTAAAGAAAAAGGCTCTGAACATTTCACTTGTAGAGGAACTCATTCCTTGGGAAAGGTTGGCACAAGTGGAATGTGAGGGGTAGGATTGGGGCTGGGAAAGATTAGGCATTTATTAAACACCCATAAATTCACTGAGCTGAAAATGGCCCAGTTCAGGGAAATATTCAGGCATATCCATATCCAAACAGAGATTATTAGCCTACAGAAGAGGCAGAGAGTAGCCAAATATCAGATTATTACTCAAGTGACTGTCAGATTCACACAAAAACTAGATCCACTGGAAAGATATGTATTAGGCTTTGGGAATTGTATAATAATCAGTATTCTCGAGAAAAGGCACTCACGTAGTTGAGATTTTGCTTCCCACTTACACAAACTCATAATATTTGTAATATTAGTCATGTTTATCAGCCACTAGAATGCAAATTAAATCATAATGAAATACCATGACATGCTATTAGAATGGCTAAAATTAAATAGACTGACCATACCAATTAGTGACAAGGATGTGGAAAAACTGGAACACTCATCCACTGCTTTTGGGGGTGCAAAACAGTAAAAAGCACCTTGAAAAACAATTTCTTAAAAAGTTAAACATACATATATAATGTAATCCAGCCATTCTACTCCTAGGCATTTACCCAAGAAAAATGGAAGAATATATTTATATAAAGATTTGCACATGAATATTCATGGAAGCTTTAATTAAAATAGCCAAAAACTAAAGACAATCTACATGTCCATCAAGGTGAAGGAACAAAAATCTGTAGTATACCCATACAATGAAATACTACTCAGCAATTAAAAGGAATGAATTTTTGATATATTCAACAACAGTGGTGAAGCTCAAAATAACTATGCTGAGTAAAAGAAGCCAGACAACAGGAGGGCATATTCTCTGATTCTATTTACAGAAAATCCTTAAAAATGCAAACTAGTCTATAGTGACCAAAAGTGGATCAGTGGTTACCTGAGAATGGGGAAGTGGAGACAAGTGGGTGGAAAAGATTACAAACGGACAAGAGGAAGCCTTTGGAGGTGATGGATATGTTCACTATCTTAATTGTGGTGATGGTGTCACAAGTGTATCTTCCTGTCAAATTTCATCACAATGAGCACCTTAAATATGTGCAACTTATTATATGTCAGTTATGTCTCAATGAGGCTGTTTATTAAAAATTATTTAGCGTCTCTCTCTCTCAGAAACATAAGGTCTTTAGGGATTGGGGTAATCTTGTTCACTGAAAGATGTGCAGCATCTCATCTAGTGTCTGGCACACAGTAGGCATGCAATAATTATTAGCTGAATGAATTAATAGATGAACTAGTCCCTAGTCAGGTAAGGTTTTGATCTTTATTACTTCTTATATGGTCAAATCAAAGTCAATGGCCCTAATAATTTTTAAAGAATCCTGTTGGTTATTCGCAGTTGGGCATTAAAAGATGGGCAACCTTCCAACTCATAACAAATGTCTTATAGGTTTGAAATCAGGGATCCTGATTTGTAAATAATGATTATTTCTGTTTCTAAGTATAACATGTTTATCACAGAAAAATTGGGAATACAGACTAATAAAGGAGCATTTTTTGAACTGATAAGTCCTGGTTTATTTTTGGAAAATATCTTCTCTACAACGAACAGGGGAAATCCTGATATAAACAATTTACTTGTCCATAAATCTGGCTTTATGCTGCTGGTTTCATCATTGTCCCCAGGCATCCAGGGCCCTTGGTTGTCTCACACAGCATAGGACACCTCAGTAGGAGTTGTGCTTATCTGACACCTTCATCATATGGCACTTACCTTTCTTGTTTAGACTAGAGAGAACCAAGGTACTGAAGAACCTGATAAGAGGAGAAGACTCTTCTTTTCTTTTACCTTTTCTAAACTTTTATAGAACAAAAACTATTCTTTCATGTTAGTTTGCACACTTAAGAAGAGCATCTGATGATTGGGTCAATTAGAACTCATGCTGAGAGTCCAAGGAAGTCTGGTCACAGAGCACAGTTCCCTAGTGTCTTACAGGAAATCAGAAGCAGGTAACCCTTTCTAGAGCTTAGAGAGGATGGTAGCCTTTGATAAGTCAATGGGTAACACCACCGTGCATGGAATATTTATACTTTAGGTTTTCCTCTCATCTCAATAAACAGCTATTTATTGAACATCTTCTGTTTACAAGAGCTTTGCTAGATGCTGTAGGGAGGGCAGGGGTGAGCAGAATATTTATCTGTTCTCAAAGAGTTGACCATTGGGTAAGAGACAAAGTCAGTGAAAGGTACCATTTGCAATCGGATAATAGAACAGAGATATCAATGAAGAGAGTCAGAATTACCCAAATCACTTTTAAAAATCCACAGATGCCCAGACTCCGCTCTAGACCTACTGGATCCAACTCTGATAAAAGTCACCAATAGACTTGGTGGGGGGGAAAAATGAGGTAAAAAAAAAAATCTAACACAAATTCAATAAGTATTATCTCTAGATATTTGATCCTATAAAGATTTTAAAATAATTTTAATTGTAGTAAAATAGACATAACATATAATGTACCATTTTAACCATTTCTGAGTATACAGTTCAGTGGTATTAAGTATATTCACATTATTGTGCTATCATCACCACTATCCATGCACATAACTCTTTGCATCTTGCTAAATTGCACCCATTAAACAACTCCCCTTCTCTTCTCCCCCAGCTTCTGGCACCCCCATTCTACTTTATGTCTCTATGAATTTGACTACTCTAAATACTCACGTAAGTTGGATCCCAAAACTTTAAGTGCCACATTTATTGTGACTATACTTTTTAAAGAGTCCTTTAAAAAGCAGGACAATACCCATTTCCCTGGGGGAGACCACGAACATACAGCTACAGGATGAATACAGAAAATGACAATCCTGATTATGATGCCACCGAGTTCTTGGAGCTGAGAAAGAGATTTCTAGAAACCTAGATTTTAAAAGTGCTTTATCTCAGGCCCTTAGATAGAAGCAAAGATGATGAACTCTGGAAAACTCAGACAAGTGGCTCAAGTAATTATGAAAACAACTTTTCTCAAAGAATGAATGTGAGAAGTTTGAATACAAATATCCTTCAAAACAGGAGTTTTAATCTCTACGCTATATTCCCAAAACCTAAATGGAGTGAGAAAATGCATCTTTAATTTTTCTTTTATATTAGATTAAGTCAGAAGGCACGATTTCACTCTTGACTTTGATAATTACAGAAATTGTAGTTTCAATATTCTTTAAAAATACCTAAAATCAGGTTTATAACTTTCATTTGCCCTAGAAAATGAAGGCAAACAAACCACCATGATATTCATGCTGGAAATGAGAAAACCAAGGTCATAGCAAGGAAGTAAAACCAAACAGAATCTCTCCCCATCGAAAAATAACCCCGAAAGCTAGAATGAAAGATGACAAAATTATGACCAAACACACAAAAAATACTTCAGTAATCATAAATTTGAAAAGAAAAAATATAAACGATGGGAAAGCTAGCTTGGGCCCACATGCCTAACACCTCCTCTGCCGCACCCTCCTTTGCAATTGAGATGACCAGCGACAGCAGAACCTGGGGGTTCCAGGTAGGCTCGAGGCATAGGAAATGCAGAAAGTAGGAAGTTCCCAGAGGCCTCCTTGCTGCTGGTGAGTCTGCCTGAACAGCCCTGAGATTGCACAAATTCCAGACAGTGCAAGGCAATCCCCTTCATGAAGAGCAAATTTCTTCTAGCGAGCACCTCATAAATTCTGGAGATAGTAAACAAAGTTGTGTTAAAAAATTAATAATCTTGTAATGCACTATTTGGAAACGTAGGAACAGAGTGTGCAGTCAACTCAGCCAGCAGTGTTTGAATTAGCCTCAGAGACAGAGGCTTGTCTGTAAATATGAAATCAAATGGAGAATTGCAGGTGAGTGTTAGCAAGTGTGTTTTTTCCAGGGGCAGTCTCCACAACTGTGATCAGCTCTGGTGTGGCACAGCCCTGCTATCAACAATATGTACTTTATATTCAGAGTTCCTAGATTACAAGCAGTACAAGTTTCATGGGGTCAAAAGCTCATATAATCTTTGAGATTCCTTCAAGAAAAAAAGAACAAAAAATGTGACTATAAAGCTTATTTAGAATGCAAAAAGGAGCTACAGTAAATTTCAAATTTTATAAATTTGACAAATATTGCAGTCAAGATCTCCATAAAATAATACGATAATTTTATTAATCACTGTCTGGTTTCTATATTTTTTCTATAATTTTTTTGTTTACTTACTCTCTGATTTCCTTTTTAACATTTTTGGATGAAGTAAAATAGGAAGCTAATTGAGCCTTTCCTCTAACATGATTGACCAATATTTGTTTTATATTTGTTGATAACTTAGAAACATTTGTGTTCACAACTTGTCATCGGTAATGCCATACAAGTTTTAGGATTGTTGTTAAATTTGGGAAAAGTCCATCATATTCTTTTTGTATTTGAGATGTAACTTTTGGAAGAATTCTCCACAGATCGACCTCATAGCTTCATACAGGTAAAGCTTCATTTCTTCTCTTCTTTATTCCTGGTGTAAAATACCAGATATAACCTGTCCTGATTTGAGGTGAGTTGGCACAGTTAGTGGTAGGAATGTTCCTGGAAGTCATGCTTACATCTCGAGAACAAACAATAACCTGATACAGAAGTGGTTGCAAACCATGAACAAATCTTCCACTAACTAAACCAAATGCTACCCAATTCATCATCCCCTTAGTTAGACCCCAGACATACCAACAGCCACTGCAAAGTCAAACCAGTAAGAAAGAGTGAAGCAGATGGAGGGGAACCTGGAGTGGAAAGAGACAGTAATCTTAACTGATTGCAGACAAGATACTTTACTTGTGCAAATTTTACAAAAATGTATGACCACATTAACATGGTCCAGAGTTTTGGAAGTAGTATAAGCAAGGGACCCTGAAGCTGAAGCTTCACTAGTTTCATGGTGAATTCACTTTTGCCTACATTCAAACCCTGCTTCTGCCTCTCTGCCTCTCACTAGGGACTCAGGCAAGTTGCTTTCCCACTTCGTCATCTTATCTGTAAAATGGGGAGGAAACACCTTCCTAGAAAAAGGCTTATTGTGAAGACTAAGTGTGATAGCATGCATGAAGTGTTAACATGAGGTGCCGTAACAAACAAACTCCAACATGTTACTGTCCAAAGAGCGAAAGTTTATGGCTCACACATCACCCCGATGTGGGAGTGTGTGGTCAGTAGGCGGCATTGCTCCAGGTGACAATGAAGTTCCCAGTCTCTTTCTGAGCTATGATCCTGCCATTCCTTAGGAGCTAGGGAGTCGGTACTTAAACCTTGTAAGGAGAAAGAAATAGTGGGCCAGGAACACTCACTTAAAACCCTGGTCCTGGAAGTGGCACATAAGACCCAGCTCATTGTATTGACGAGACTGAGCTCATGAGCACACCTGCATGTAAGAAAGGCTGGGAAATGCATTCCAGGTCAGCTGCCTCCCAGGATGGAGAGAGGAGTGTACATTTTTGACGACAGCTAGTTGTCTTTGCCACAGTGCTTAGCCCAAGGCCAGGCATGCAGGAGCAGATCAGGTGGCAATCAAAAAGATCAAGGGGACCCATGGCCCCCAAAAAGCCATCCATCTAAGCTAGGGGTAGCACACTCAAATGCCTTTAAGAACCAATCAGTTTGCATAAATGAATGAGGCAGGCCAAGAGAAAGGAGAACAGCTCTGTAAGTGTGAGGACAGGCAACACGTGACACCAAGGAGACCACAGGGTGGGGCTAGACCACCTGGAGACTGTAGACCTCATCTACAGATGACCAGTGATACTTGGGTCCAGGAAATTGTAGCCCTGTGGAAATAGTGGTTCATTTGGCCAAAGCATCTGAATTTTCAACAGAAGCTGGAAATTTGGATTTTTAGGTAAATTTTTTCAATCAATAAATGGAGTCAGTTATCTATTGCATGGTTAAACAAACACACAAGTAATGCCCCAAACACTCATACCGTTACTCATGATTCTGTGGGTGAGGAACTTGAGCAGGTATGATAGGGATGACCTGTGTCATGTGGTATTGCCTGGAGGATGACCTGGGGTGGCCTCCTGCACGGGGCTGAGGACTAGCTGGGCACCAGAAATCAATCTTGGCACCACTATTTACTATGCATTCTTTTACAATGACTAACTCTATTTTACTTGACTTCTATTTTGTTATACAGCATAGAAAATTAACCTGATGTGAAACTTCGAAGGTTTTGTGTCTCTAAAGAACATGCCACTGATAATCCGACATTCCCTTCCTAGTCTTCTCCCTTCCTAGACTCTCGTCTTCCAGGTCAGGGGTGGCCTATGGGAGCCAAATCCTCTGGCTGCCTCTTTTTGTGAATAATGTTTAAGTGGAACACAGCCACACCCACCTGTTTGCATATTGTCTGTGGCTGCCTTCTCTACAAGGGAGAGTTGAGTGGTCATGACAAAGGTGGTATAATCTGCAAAGTCTAAAACGTTTACTATCCGGCCTTTTTCAGAAAAAGCTTACCAGTCCCTGATCTTTCAATTACAATTGGAATTACCAATCATTGAGCAGGGACTTTGTGCCTGCCTTAATATCCATATATCCATGATCACATTTAATTTTCTTTTTTTTTTTTGAGACGGAGTCTCGCTCTGTCGCCCAGGCCGGACTGCGGACTGCAGTGGCGCAATCTCGGCTCACTGCAAGCTCCGCTTCCCGGGTTCACGCCATTCTCCTGCCTCAGCCTCCCGAGTAGCTGGGACTACAGGCGCCCGCCACCGCGCCCGGCTAATTTTTTGTATTTTTAGTAGAGACGGGGTTTCACCTTGTTAGCCAGGATGGTCTCGATCTCCTGACCTCATGATCCACCCGCCTCGGCCTCCCAAAGTGCTGGGATTACAGGCGTGAGCCACCGCACCCGGCCCACATTTAATTTTCACAACACTGCAAGGCACATATGTTGCTCCTACTTTGTAGAGGAAGAAACTGAGGTTCAAGGAGAGCTGGTGACTTGCCTGAGGTTCCACAGGCAGTGAGTAGAGAATATGGAACTCCAAATCTGATGATCCCTCTAGCAGGCCACACTGCCACCTGGAGTGGACCACATTGCACTGGCTGTGGTTGAGAGGGTGGGAAGAAGAAAAGGTATCCTGATGTCAATTGTGCCCCCTGTGTAGACACCTCTGGGTAGAGGATGTCCATGGCTAGAAAGGAATATTGGAAATAATGGAATATTATTTCCATTAATGGAATATAATAATAATGAAAAACGGCCAATAATGGAAAGGGCCTTGCTGGGTAGGAGTGGCCTCTCCTAAATCTTGCCTGCCTCCCTATCAGCAGGCTGGATCACCCTAAACAAATGGCTTTATTTAAAGGGAGGTTTCAAATGGTGTCCAGGCAGGAATCTAGTATTCAAGTGTAAAGAGTTTCATTTTCAGCGCTTCTTGATGATTTCAGTCTTTAAGCATTTGTGTTGGTTGTAGAAGGTTATACTTTGTGAAAAGTAAAAGTAATTTATTTCTTTTTTAAGCCTGGGTTCCTCTGCATTTCCTAAAAGGAAAAAAAGCCCCACAGAAAGAAGCCACATTGGGGTGACCAGATGTGGTCACACCACAGCTCTTAAAGGAGGACTTCCAGCACCTGCCCCAGAGAGAAAGTCATGCTGCCCCTAAGCCAGCAGAGGGTAATGGGAGCGCCTCAGATTTCCTGCTCCTTTACTGCCTAGGGAATCCCACCTTCCAAGGGGCTGGCTCACCTCCCTTCCTCTTCCTCCCTCCAACCTTCTGTGGCCAGTTTAGAGATCCGAGGGACCACAGTCAACTGAAGGGTGTGCAGCTTCTCACCTCATCACCAGGCATTTCTTCACCATAATCACATCTGTTTTTATGGGCAGTCATTGAGAAGAACAGTAAACCATTAGCTGCAGGCAGGTGGACAGGCCCAAATCCTCTGGCAAAAGCTTGCTCTGGAACCCATCTTAAACCATCTCTCTGCCTTGGGTGGGCTCAGGGAGAGCAGCCCAGAAGCGCTTTTTCTGGGGCATAGGGGAGGTGAAGGAGGTTTCTTTTGTTTTGAGTTTGGGACCAACGTTTGGGGCACTATCTGTGTCACTATCTGTACCACATATGGTCTGGTTGTCAGTGGCATGTTCTTCAGAGACACAAAATCTTTGAAGTTTCACATCAGGTTAATTTTCTATGCTGTATAACAAAATAGAAGTCGAGTAAAATACAGGTAGTCACTGTAAAACAATGCATCATAAATAGTGGTGCCAAGATTGATTTCAGGTGCCCAGGATCACTAAACTCCCCAGGGGCTTTAGCAGATTCAGGAAGGAATGGGAATGAGACCTTGCCTGGGTGGCGAGATTTCTCTCATAGTGAAGGTATCAGAGCCCCATTCAGGACCTTTCCCATGTGCAACACCCTGCTATTCTTGGGCACAAAACGGAGGACTTGTTCTTTTTTTTTTTTTTTTTTTTTTTGAGATGGAGTCTCGCTCTGTCACCCAGGCTGAAGTGCAATGGTGCAATCTTGGCTTACTGCAACCTCCGCCTCCTGGGTTCAAGCCATTCTCCTGCCTCAGCCTCCTGAGTAGTTGGGATTACAGGCGCCTGCCAACACGCCCGGCTAATTTTTGCATTTTTAGTAGAGACGGGGTTTCACCATGTTGGTCAGGCTGGTCTCGAACTGCTGACCTCAAGTCATGCTCCTGCCTCAGCCTCCCAAAGTGCTGGGATTACAGGCGTGAGCTGCCATGCCCGGCTGAGGACTTGTTCTCGTTTTCTTCCTTTGCCTTCCTCCCCAAAGCATGTCCCCACTGAGCTAGAGCACTCAGACAGGCCTGCGTAGAGAAAGACATTCCAGCCCCATCTCTTCTTTGTCTGTCTCTTTTTTTTGAAGGACTAGCACAGAGACTGCTGGAGCTTTCCTGCATGCTGTGTGATAAACCCGCATGCTAGCTCAGGAGAGAAATACATCTCTATGAGGATGTCAGGAAAGCAGCTCACACAAACTCAGCCTAGTGTCTTGCTAGCTAGTTTTAAACGGCATATGTGCCTAAAAATGTCTTGTTGGGATCCAGAAGCAGATAGAAAGGCATTGATGAAATTTAAGAAACCTGAGGCTGAAGTTCTTTTTATCCCGTGCTGCTGTTTAGGGAACTCAGTTTTACAAAGTAAGCCTTCATGTAGAGTACTGTCGACTTCCCTACTATCATTTATAACCTGCATCTAGTTTTGTAATGTTACCCTCCTTCCCACTCCCTCCCACCACTGTTCCACTCTTGCATCTCTGGCTCTTTGTCACTATTTGTTCACAATAATGACACCTGAGGTAATAAAAGAATGTTCCTGCAGTCTTTCTTCTGGGCAGACTGGTGAAGTGTAAAGGGCTCTGGATGAGTGTCAGAAATCTGAATTCAGAGCCCTGCAACCTTCAGTCATTCATTTAACCTCTCTGGGATTCAACTAACTTGTGTCAATAAAACAGTGGATTATCTCTAAAATCACTTGCAGCCCCCAGCCCCCAACAAAACACACCAAATTAAGTAGGAGAATGAGAAATGTCTTCAAACAATAATGATAGGTAAAACCAAAATCAATTAATATGAAGAACTGAATGAAGCACTCAGACACCAGGGATCACAAAGGAGGAAATATTTGTCCACTATGGCATTCTATGAGCTGTGCGAATCCGATATTGATGGTCTCCAAGGGCAAGTTCACACTACCATTCACCACCAGTACAATTAAGCCAATTTAGGAACATACAAAGCTACTAGGTCAGTCTAACTTTGGTGGAGAACAAGAAGTGAGGTGCTACATGCCCTCCACCCCAGAGAATGAACCAGATCCTACTGTGAATGAATCCATTAATATTACTTTTTATGGGGGCAGAGGGAAGAGGCTTGCTCCTAAGATATTACAACTGTGCCTTGTTTCCTGATGAAGGCATGCGTGGAAAGCTAATTAGTTCAGATCCATTCTCTAGGACTTCATGCTTGGCTTCTTTTTGCCTCAGCTACTCTTCTAAGAGATTGAGATGAGGCTGTTGTATCTGCAGATCTATGGAGAAGAACAGCACTAATCCATATGGACTATCAGAACAGCAAGACTGCAGCTGCGCAGCTGTTTCCACTGATCAATGGTGGGTTGCAAAGATGTCTATCACGTTTACACAGCGACTGAACATTACACTTGAAGAATTAAATAAATATCATAATAGATATCAAAGAACTTTGCAATCTCAAAATAGCGTAAAGATGTTGGTCATTATTTGGAGCTATACAGTTAACACCCCTCACTTTACAGACAAAGAAACTGAAACCCAGGGAAGGGAGTGATGTGCCTGAAGTCACCAGCAGGAGAGTGGCAAGAGCCACCCTGAGGGTTAGGGCTCAGGAGAGTGGCCAGAAAAACAGACCAAGCTCTGACTAGGAGAGTACAATTTGCCTTTTTATTACCTTAAACATTTTGACTTAGAAGAATCTTAAAATGCTTTATTTGTGGCCCTGAGTGTGCTTGGAAGCTACAATTAAACTCTAAAAATTAAAACAAGCTAGAAAAGTAAAAATTCCTGATTGGCCAGAAATCATATGGAATGAGGAGTTCGGCCTAATTGAGGCCAAACTCAGTGGATGATTTTTATCTTATGATTAAAAGCTTTCATTTTCGAATGTCTGTTTTATGCCAGGAACTAGAGCAGGCATTTTACATGCATGGTCTTCACGTAATTTTCACACTAACCCTCAGGGTGGCCATGGGCTAGGAACTCCTAGCCCATTTCTTCTTTCATGTTAATTTATTTAAATTGGTTTCTCTTACATATAAGCAAAGATTACAAACTATATATCCTATTGTTACCCTGTGGGATGGCTAGCATTTTCATCTCACAGGAAGACAAAAACCACATACCCATAGCCACCCAGTGCAGATCTAGGTTTTGCACCCAGGGCAATAGGACCATAGCTCCCCCGCCTTGCAACACACACCCTCACACTTCCTCCGGGCTCTCCATTGGGAGGACGGCTTCCTGACATGGGCCCAGGGAACTGTCAACCACAATGGCCTCTTCCATGGGCAAAGAGAGGGACATCCAACCTAAGCCAAGCCACCAGCTCTGTCCTGACTTTGGGGCAAAACCCCACAAGGAGGACAGCAGTTGGGGCTGAGTCATTCTGATGAACAGACCCTCAAAAGACCACCCCTGGATTCCTACTCCCAGACCCTTGAGCTATGCCCTTTGTCCCTCTGAAGGCTGTTTGTTCCACTGTCCTTCAATGCCCTCCTTCCAGTGTATAGAAGTATAGAAGCTCCTAACCCATTCCTTCTTTCATATTATTTAATTTTTTTTTTAACTTAGAAGCAAATAATCCAAACTATGCATCATATCGTTACACAGGAATCCATTGTTTCGTTTTTAACTATCAACCATTAAAAATAATTTCTAAAACCTTTAGCATCCACATATCGGCTTCGTTACATACAATACTCTGAATATGTCAATATATTACTTAATGAGAAAATCTGGGGTGCCTCAAAGTGAATACAGAAGGCACAGTAAATTGGCCTGCATCTTTACTGAGCCCAAGACACAAAGTGGAAGATACTTTGGGAGAAAGAGCATGTGATTCTTTTTCTTTTCTGCTAAATCCCTAACAGGAAACTTTGTGTTTTGCCACATGCTTTAAAATGTACAAATCCTTAATCAGGTATAGTAAGATATGCAGACATGGAAATGACAATTGTGAAAAAAGTTTTTATTCTCACGGATCCCTAGAAACAGGGGCATCCCGTACCATACAGGCCATGTAGGGAGGCACCAGGGTGTGTCTGGAGGCAGAAGGAACAAAATGGTATAAGCATGGCTTTTATTGTGGTTTCCGTGGAAAACCAAGGTGGGGTAAACAACTCAGGTTTGTCCAATTTGAATAATGTTGGCAGGCTCAGGGATATAGGGGTGGTCTCTAGTTATCCAGTACCAGGCTCTAGGGTGATTTAGGGCCATGGGAATATCAGCTTTGTGTGTGAGTTAGATAAAGGAGCTGGTTGGGGGTTTGAGCTCTAGATTGGTTGATTTTCATAACAAAGATGTGCTCACAGGTAAGTCATTTGTTATCTCTAGGAATTAGCTAACCCTGGGAGGGGCAGTCCCTCCTCAGGTCTGCAAGGCCCCAAGATGTTAAAGCAACACAAAATACAGAAAATAAAAAACATGATTCTATACCTCAACCTGTGAAATCTCCTTGGTAACCTAAGCAGTCCTGCTATCACTCCCTAGGCGGGCCTTCCCCCAGTCCCCAGGGCTCTCCCCTACTGTCCTCTTGCTTTTCTCTAGCTGGTGCCAAGAATGAGCTGCTGCCTTCTATCCACAAGGTCTCCATTGTTTTTACTTCTCACCATCCTCATTAATCTCCTGCAACTCAGGAGCCTGTTGAGGGTGGGGGAAGCACACAGTTCATGCAAGGCTATTTTTGTGTTAGGGAAGGGAGTTAGAGTATCAAACAAGAGGGCAGTTAGAGGATCCTGCAGTCTCCTGCACCATCCCTGGTGTCACTGCATTGTATGTGGTGCTTGGTCCTGCTATGCCCAGCAGGCTGAACCTATTCCATGCATGGCTGAACCTATTCACTCACTGGTCTTTCTACTCCTTTCCAGACAGGACTTTGCAGGCTGAGTTATCTCAGGTCTGCAGAGCATTTGAGATTTTCCTAGACATGTGTGCACATTCTCTTTCACCTATTCCTCCAGGTGGGCTGGAATGTAATTCTTGAATTTAAAAAGAAGAACTGGTTCTTTATTCTCCAGGATTCCTTTGGTGGGTTTGACCACTTAACAGTACCTATAGCTGCTCCACACCCCTCCCCTTCATGAGGGACATCCAGATGAGCTCCACATGCCACAGACATTCGGTGAACACCTGTGCTCTGTGCTATGTACTGTACTAAGTACTGAGGACATAGAGTTTGATAAAAACAGTCTCTGTCCTCAAGAACTCCAATACCAGGAGGGAAGCCAGGAAAGTAATCATTGTATTACTGTGGGCCACGTACCATATGAGAGATGTAGGGGGAAGAACTGACACACAGGCTGCAGAGAGGGAAACTCTGGAAGCCCCCAAGAATCCCTTCTCTTCTGCTACACAGTGTGCCCAATGAGCTTGGTAAGGGTTGGCCAACTAAGGGGAGAGTTGCAATCCATCACTGATTCCTCACATTGTTATGAGTTCATGCAAAATTCATACAAGGACCTCAGCTCACTGCCATTATTATTGATCAGCCAATGCATATGTATCAGTCACATCAACATCACTCATTCCCCCTCCAACAGGAACTATGTAATGAGAGGCCTCATTTAGCTAATGGGAACATGAGCTTGGCTCTCATCGTGAAGCATCCACAGGCATTCTAAAGAAATCACTGGACCCCATGGGGAATTAATGTGAGAACACCACTAACTGATTTATTTTTCCAACTGGTTCCCTTAAATGCACGAGGGTAACATCGACTGCTTGCCCTTCAGTGATTTTATTTTCCAGCTCCTTTGAGGAGGCGTGCATGGAGAGCTGTCATGCAGATTCCTTGGTTAATTCACAATCTAAGGTTGGAACTGCCTCAAAATAAGTGGGCTGGCAGCTGCCTCTGAAACTACATGGTCTGTGCCTAAAAGTACATTGGACAACCAGGCAGGGCCCCAGAGAGGTCCCGGGCAGGCAACAGTTTAGATTGCTCTTGATTCCTCTTCTCTGTTTTAAAGTTCAGAATCATTCTGGCTTGCATCATGCTTCTGCTTTCTTTTCCCACACCCTAAAGAAAGAAGCTCCTTTGCTTGCTCACTCACTCTTGCAGTTTTCTTCCTCCAGTCCTCTTAGTCCATTTTCTGCTGCTTAAAAACAGAATGCCTCAAACTGGGCAATTTATAAAGAAAAAGAACTTATTTCATACTGTTATGGAGGCTGAGAAGTCCAAGGTCAAGGGGCTGCACGAGGCGAGAAGCTTCTTGCTAGTGGGGTCTGCCTGTAGAGTCCTGAATTGGTGCAGGGCATCACAGAATGAAGGGGCTGAGCCTGCTAGCTCTGATCTCTCTTCCTTTTCTTATAAAACCAACAGTCCCTTTTCCATAATAACACATTAATCCATTAACCCATTGATCCATGCATGAATCCACAAATGGACTAATCCATTCATGAGGGCAAAATCTTCATGACCCAATCACCTCTTAAAGGCCCCATCTCTCAATACTGTCACATTGAGGATTAAACATCCACATGAGTTTTGGAGGGGACAGATACTTGAATCGTAGCAAAACCTTTGTAAAATTGCCTATGGTCAGCTTCCCACAGCAAAATACAAGCTCCACAAGAGATTCATCTGCTTTGCAGGATCCCCAGCACTTTTGGAAGTGGCTGGCGCACAATAGATATTTGCTAAATAATATGTGAATGAATAAATGAATGAATCTTCTTCACTCTTCAACTTCAGCTTGTCTCCATGGGGATAACTAGTTGCAAATCTTCTCCAAAATAAAATTCCATCTCCAGTTGCCTGTTTTCATTTTCCTCTGCTGCCTGCTTACACCAACATGCTCACAACAGAAGTCTTCTTTCTCTTTAGACCAGCATCCCCACCAGACCTTCCTATTTTTACCAGCAACACCATCACTCCTCCAATGGCTCCCATGCAAAACCTCTTCCTTCTGCCAACCATAGCTTGCTATAGAGCCTGCTTAGTTGTTCATTGCAACGTTTCCGGCTACCTTCCTTTAAAAAAAGAAACAAAAAACCAATGCCAATCCCATGGTCTAATTCAGAATCTCATTCCCTTGGACTTACCTGTTACATCAGCCTCATAACTGGTCTCATTGCTTTTCTAATTCATTGAACACTTCTCCAAATTAGCATTCCCAAAATTCTATGTTCATCTGCCTCTTCTCTAACCAAATCAAAAATCATCAACCACTCCCTACTGCCTACTGGTCTTAATCTTGGCATCCAGGGTCTCCCAAGTTCACCCCCTAATCATTTTATACAGTTTCACCTTGAATAATTCAAAGATAAGGACTTTACCTCTATCTAGCCTTCTTCTTGAATGTGGCTTACATCCTCCCCCATCAGGACTTAGGTTCTCTCCTACCCCCTGCCCCAGGAGTGTCTCTTCTCAACTCTGTCTAGTAAAATCTCACCCAGCCTTCAAGCCCAGCCCAGATCACACCTTCTCCATGAAGCTTTCCCTGACCAGTTGAGCCCATAGCTCTCCCTGCCCCCCATCTGAATTCCTATAGCTTGTGTTGCTTATACCTCTCACTTGATCATAGCCTGAAGTCCTTATTAATTTTTTCATGTGTTTTAGTCTTATCTCCTCAGCCAGCTGGTAAATTTCTTTTGAACAGGGCTCATGGCTCATGTTTTCTTATATTCCCTACAGCAGTTCAGCTTCCTGTTCCCCAACCCAGGCCTTGCAGACAGGAAGAACTCAGTGGATATCGGTTGATTCTGAAGTAAGATAAGACTGAAATAAATGAACATCATGACAGGAATCACACTATGCATATTAGGGAATGGCATTTCCTTGGAGTATTTTTAAAGCATTCTCCCTCATTAAAATTGTATATTTTGAATGGTACCAATGTCACATATTAGGTGTGAAATACATTAGCTCACCTTAGGACTTACTTCACTGTTACTAATAAACAGAAGAAAGAAAATTAGAGAACCTATTAAATTCTAGTAATGAAAGTAGGCCATCTGGAAATCGATCTTAACTTTTCATATTTAATGCACTTCATTTCAGCAATAAGTCCATGGATTTGGCAATAAAAGGCTCACAGAGTAACTCTTTTGCAGTATTTGTTTTCAAATCAACACAAAGGCATTATTTATTCTGTTCTTATTCAAATAGGTTAAAATGCATTCACTTTGGATTTCAGGAACAGTCCAATGTGACTCTGGACTCGAAAGCCCAGATTTGGCCCTTGCGCACTCCCTCCCTCATCACCTTCCCCTCTTTCCAAGCCTGTCCCAAAGGCTGGCTCGTCTGCGCAGGTCTGGGGAGTCTTCTGACAAATACAGTTTCCTGGATCCAGTCACAGACCTACGGCTCATGATCTCTCAGACTGAGGCTCGAGACTATGTTAAAAAGGCTCCCCTGGTGATTCTGATGAGGAATCAGCTTAAGGAATCCCTTTAGGCGTGAAGAGGCCAACTGGCCTCTAAGACCCACGGAGTGGCCAAAGAGTCTCTGTTGACCTCAGCTCACAAGCACAGTCTCATTTCAGACTACTCCACTCTCTAAGCATACGCATGTGCTCACACACACACACATACACACGCTTGCACACAGCGCCTTTTCACACTTACACAGCTACTCTACCTGCCTGGGTGTGCCCCTCCCCACCTTACCAGTTCACCCAGTCCTCCTGCAAAACCACCAGACTGCCCTCAGGTTGATCTGAGCCCTTGCTCCCTGCATCACCGCTGCCTGTGCGGCTCTCTAGTTGGACATCTTCCCTTCTTTCCTTTACTGCATTCAATGAACATCAGTGCAGCACCCCTTGTGTGCCAGGCCCTGGGACTGTGGGCACTCGGCACATGGAGCTGCATTGGCCAAGTCCCTGGGTCCCTGAGTTCAAGGAGCTTAGAATCTAACTGGAGAAACCAACCAGAAAACCCAAGATGAGCTTTACACTTTCAATGTCCCTCACACGGGGCAGGCACAAGAAAATAGCATGTAAGTCAGACTCTGGAAGCAGAGCTTCCTGAAAGCTGGTTCTTCAGCTGAGGTTCTCTTCTGTATTGTATTGTAGGTTTGGGTTGTTTGCATGGAGGCAAACGCACAGTGTAAAGAGCCAAACTGTTCAAGATTTGTTGTAGAAAGCCTTTCATCCCTGTTTTTCTACTATTTCTTGTTCATCTGGGCAAGCCACGTTGACCCCCTTCTGCTCAGTGTTTTCATTTTCATCTTCATGTCTTTATATAGCAGATTTGAATTAACCTCTTTTTTTTCAGTTTAAGGAATTTTTGAGATGGAGTTTTGCTCTTGTTGCCCAGGCTGGAGTGCAATGGTGCGATCTCGGCTCACCGCAACGTCCGCCTCCCGGGTTCAAGCGATTCTCCTGCCTCAGCCTCCCGAGTAGCTGGGATTACAGGCATGAGCCACCACATCCAACTAATTTTGTATTTTTTGTAGAGACGGGGTTTCTCCATGTTGGTCAGGCTGGTCTCAAACTCCCGACCTCAGGTGATCTGCCCTACCTCAGCCTCCCAAAGTGCTGGGATTACAGGCATGAGCCACCGTGCCCAACCAGTTTAAGGCATTTTTAATTGATTTTACACTAGGGAAGATAGGACTTTAGTCCCTGCCCATGTGCGTCCTTCTACTTCCCATTCTCCCAGTAGAGCCATATTGTTATTTTAATTGGATCAATATTCAGCGTTTACAATATTATGACATCGTAACATAACTAAGTTGTTTATTCCCTGGAGTTGCTTTTTAAAAATTTGCATAGTACACTATGTTCTTATTAGTAATCTAAGATCAAACTCATAAACAATTGTCTGAATATCCTCACAAAAAGTTTAGATGCATTTGGTACTCTTTCAAGTTCATCTTCCTGAGGAAGCTCTTTCCCAGAACCTTCAGCTGTGCTCCAGGCTGGACCAGTGGCCCTGTGCACCCAGTACCCAGCTGTCGCCCTGGCGTCTCCTTTTACCATCATTTTCATGAATCCCCTCACCTCTGTCCTGCAGTGGATACTTCTTCCTATAGCCATGATTTATGGCCCCATTTTTGTATAGCACATTCTCTGATATTTTCCCAGAAAGGGTGTCTGGAATGTAAACTTCGAAACTTTGCATGTTTGGATATGTCTTTGTTCTAACCTGACACTTGATAGTTCAGCAGGTGTTTTAATTTGGGTTTCCTCAGGAACAGATCCCAAGACAAGGAAGTTAGGGTAATTATTGTATTTGGGAGGTGATCCTGGGAGCATCAAGAGGAGAATGAGGAATTGAGACAGGGACAGGAAGGAACAGGTTACCATTGTGGGCAACTGGGCCTCAGTCTTGCTGGGGAACTCTGGGAGACTGCATAGAGCACACCTCAGAGATGCCTCACCTGAAGGGCAAGAGAGCCCATCCTCAGTTGAAGACTGTGGCTACTCCTGCTCCTGGGGCATTCACTTTCCTTCAGAGTGTCCCAAGAAAGTCCTCAGCCCAGAGTTATAGATGCTTGTCCTGGAAGCCATCAAGTCATCGTGCACAGATTCAGGGAGTATTGGGAATACAAGTGGACACTGACAGCATCTATTAGGGAGACCATTTCCCTATGGGATTGTTAAAGGTCCTTCCATTACTTTCTAACTTTGAGTGATGCTTTAGAGAGGCTAGAGCCCTTCTGGTTCCTGACCCTTCACATATGAACGGCCTTTACTCTCTGGAAGTTGTAAGATCTTTTTGTTCCTACTTTTCTGAAATGTTTACCATTATGTACAGTAGTGAGTGTCTATTTTCATCCATGGTGCTGAGCACTCAGTGGGCCCCTTCAGGTTCTGCTACATTTTCTTGAATAATTTCATAAAAAGATGGTTGCCTCCTGTTTTCTTCCTTTTCTCTTCCTAGACCTGTTATTGAGATGTTGCACCTCTAGGTTGGTCCTTGGGGTCTTATCCCTTCTTCCTTATTTTTGTTTGTCTTTTTACACTCTACTTTCTGAGGTTTTCATCTTCCACGTGTTATAGTACATTTTATTTTTCTTACGTTTTAAATATCTAATGGTTTTGTTGTTGCACTGTTATTGTTGACAGAATATTCCTTCTAATGACATCTTGTTCTTATTTCACTGTTACAATGTCTTCTTTTGTATCTCTGAGGATACCTAGTACAGATTTTCTGAAATTTCCTTTTCCCTTCGTAGCTTGTTTCTTCAAAGTTTGTTTTGTTTGTAATTCCATCTTCCATGTTAGAGGATTTCCTCAGCTGCCTGGCCATCCCTAGTTGTCTGTTTATATTTAAAAGTGGGGGACTGGAGCCTCTGAGCATGTGTGTGGAGCTGGTTGATTGCAGACTTCAAAGCTGTGAACTGGTGGGATCTTTTATTTGTAGAATGTCTGATGAACGGATATTTAGGTCTCTCCTCATTTTCTGCTTTGTTGTGAGGATTGCGGGGAGGCAGGTTCCTAATCACCAGCATTGTGAGGTCAACTTGGGGAAGAGGGCTGGACGCTTGGCATTCAGCATTCAGTGCTTATTTTTTCTATTTTGGGTATGGCACTCCTGTGCCAAACCATTCGTGAAATCCTGTTTTATCCTCTCCAGAGGGAGGGAAAACTAGTCTTCCAGAAGGGAGAGGAGAAACCTGGGAACCAATCACTTCTGATGCCACTTTTTCCTCGTTCTTATTTTAGTTCCTTCCCTTAACGTCCACTTACAGATATACCATTGCAGTAATTCCAGGTCCTTTAGGGTATTCTGGAAAGCAAGTTGGCTTCAGCCTTTCCATTGCAGGTTTAGGATCCAGATTAGTGTTTTTACCCTTGTCTGTCTGCTTCCCAGCTTCCAAATTGTTATTGCTATTTTCATCTCTCTCATCCTCCCTGTCCTTGAGGGTTTATATTTTCAAAATATCCCTTTTCTGTCATTTTAGTGTTGTTTCAAGAGGGAATAGTCATAGATGCATGTTAAAAACTCACCAAATTTACCCAGAAGCTTAATCTGAATTACAGTATAAGAGGAATGAGTCTCATTCATTTTTATTCCCAATTCCTCTGTCAGGGGCTCAATAATGTTCCTAAAATAATAATACAATGCTTGTTTATAGAGGAAATGAAGAAACAAATGAATAAATGAGGCATGGCTCAGCTGCTTCCTTGTGTCGTGGATCCTAGGGCTCCTTAGAGGCCCCTCAATGAGGCTGATGAGAGCTCCAGAGTGCAAGGACCATCTCTTCCCCTTGTTCTTCACACCTCCTCTGGACAATGACTTGTTATGTGTTGGTTGTGTGAACATGAGTGTCTTCACCTTGGTGTTGTCATTATTTATTGAAAGATCTGTCAAATGGCACAAATGTCTTTGAAACATTCACTTAAAAAAGAAACAAAATGAATTATTCCCTAACATGAGGAGACCAAGCATTTTCTGGTGTAAACATCCCTCTCTTGCCCTGAGTCAGGGCAAGTACCAGCTAAGGTCATGGGGTCAGTCAACAAGTGGTTCTCAGGGATGCCAAAGTTGCTACCCATCCCCAGACCCCTCTTCCTTGATTTGCCACAGTGCCTCGATGTGCCTCATGAAAACCACTTCTCTCCATTGTTGCATGCCTAGAAGTTACCTGTGAGCAATCAATGATTCCATCTTCTCTGGGATGACCCATTAAGAAACTGGCCTCCACCAACATAGCAACACAACCACTATTGTACCAATTATCTCAATACCTATGGACATGTGTGTCTCAGGCTAGCTCAGTGTTCTCAAAATCTGGTTCCTAGATCAGCAGCATCAGCATCACCTGGGGAGTTGTTAGAAATGCAAATGATCAGACCTGACTCCCTGTCAATTGAATCAAAAACTGTGGAGTCCAAGAGTTTGTGTTTGAACAAATCCTCCAGGTAATTCAGATGTACACTTAGTGAGAATCACTGGTCTGCAGCATTAGTCTCTGCAAGGCAAGGACCACATTTTATTTCTTTGTGTCCTTCAATATGTCTAGCACTACAGGTGTTCATATGTTTGCACAATGAAATTGTATGAGTAAGATTAACATATTAAGTATTAATCAAATGGAACCCTGAAAGGGTGAGTCATAAAACCCAGGTGACTATTGATGTAAGCAAAGCAGGGAAGTAAGAATTGAGACACATTCTTCAGAAAGAGGGTATTGACAGGTATGGATTGGGGGGCAGGAAATGACAAGGGGAGTGGAGGATGACAATGGCAAGAACAAAGTTAGCCTGTTAACAGTTTCACCTGAGATGTCCCAGAACATCTGTATGATTTTGGTTTGACCTTGTTAATAAAGTATGACACAGACGGAGAGAAGAGAAAAAAAAAAGAAACTATGCACCATGCATTTCCTATTTTCTCCTTGCTATTTCAGGAAGGAAGGAAATAGACTCATTTGTGCTATAACAAGTACATAAAGATGAAGCAGCCGTGCACTCACCTGGGCTCCCTGACAACTGCTGTCTGTGGAGTTGAGTCCATTTCTTGCCAGGTTGCAGGTTGATCATGGTGGCCTCTGGGCTCAGCTTTTTATACAGTCTACACCCAGTGGCTGATGAGTGCTCTGATCCATCACCATCTGTCTTTAATGTCCTTCAGCTGTCTGTGGACATTTATTATTGATGGCCCTGGGCAGGCAGTAGGTTGAGCTACAGAGAAACAAGTAGAGGATATGGCAAAGGACCTACAAAGGGGTTCAGGCTTGTAAAGGGTGTGATCAAATATCAGAGCTGATTATTCACCTGCTGTAGTCATCAGAGAAGTGTTTGCAACTCAGTTCCTTCATGGTTTATTTCAATTCTCATTTAGACATCACATCTGAAAGCTGGGAACAAACAACCCATTGCTCCTTTACTGTACCCATTAAGTATACAAAGAAAGAGGAATCAGCATTTCAAAGCTAATAATAATTGTAATTTTAATCCTAGCTGAAATTCAGGTGAACAGCTACTAAGCACCAACCACAGCTGTTTTACATCCCTTTCCTCACTTCACCTTCACAAAATGACAAGATTGTCTTCAGTTGAAGACCCTTGCCACAGTCACAGGGGTAGAAAGTGGAAAAAAACATATTGGATTTATTGATGGAATCCCAACAGTCATTTCCCGAGCATGTGCTATTTGGGGAAAATCATAGGGTGGTAGTTAAAGAGCCTGAGCTCTGAAGCTCTGGGCTCTGAAGGGTTCAAATTCTAGCTCTACCTCTTAGCCACTCTATGCCTTGGTTTTCTTGCGAGTGAAGTACATATCTCATATGGAAATTGCTAGGATTAAGTGAGTTATATCAAAAGCACATGGAAAGCACTCAGTAAATAGCAGCTATTGTTATGTGCACTGAGATCTTGAATTCACTATCTTCTTAATCTCCACAATAACTTTATGATGCAGGTAATTTATTATCCCCATTTTTCTGATAAAGAAGCTGAGGTCTAACTAGGGAGCAAGGCTAAATGTCAAGACCACGTAGCTGGGAGGAGCCAGAGCCAAGCCCCAGCTCCTAATGAAGCTTTTTCCATCTCACATCACCAGCCTCCCTCATAAAGAACCTCATGCACAATCAAATGCAAACAAAGATACTTTCAGAAAGTTCATTGTTGTGTTAATTCAGGTCCTCCGAGGAGCAGGTATCAACATAGGATGGATGTGGAAGAGATTTATTGCGGGGGAAATGGGAGGCGGAGGCGGGAAGCCGGAGGAGTCTAGCAGAGCTGAGGGATCAGATGCAGGTCTGGTTTGAGTGGAGGATGCAGGGAAGGACCGAGGCAGGCTGGGGAGAGCCTTAGAGGGCAGAGTCCTTCTAAGACATTGGCAAAGCCCAGGGGGCGCCCTCGAGCCCAAGTCTGTTTTCGGAGGATTCTTGTTTCTCCCGAATGAACTTTCCTTAGAATTCCTACCAAGCCCAGTCATTGGCAGTGAGCAGCGTGTGGAGCGTGATGCTAATGGAGGGATGGGCCTCAGCTGAGACCGGCACCAGCTATGCTCCTAGAAATTGGGGATCTGAGAGGAGCACTGTCAAGGCCGTCATAATTACCAACTAGAATACCTGGCAAAATATTCTGTGGGAAGACATTCAATTCTAAGGAATATTTTGGTGTCATGCTTTATAAATCAAGAGGTCAGTTCTTTAGTAAAAGAAAAGGCTACTTTTTATATTTTCGTGTGTACGTGTGTGTGACGGAGTTTCAAAAAAACTCCTCTGTCTCCCAGGCTGGAGTGCAATGGTGTGATCTTGGCTCACTGCAACCTTTGTCTCCCGGGTTCAAGCAATTCTCCTGCCTCAGCCTCCAGAGTAGCTGGGATTACAGGCGCACGCCACCACGTCTGGCTAATTTTTTGTATTTTTAGTAGAGACAGGGTTTCACCATGTTGATCAGGCTGGTCTTGAACTCCTGACCTCAGGTGATCCGCCCGCCTCGGCCTCCCAGAGTGCTGGGATTACAGGCGTGAGCCACCGTGCCTGGCAGAGAAAAGGCTACTTTTTACACAACAAAGACATCTTCCTCCAGGTTGGCCTCCTAAGAAATGCAGGCCAAGGCAGGTGCCTCTGAGTTGCTGGCATCTGGCTGGCCTCCGGCCCTGTCCTGCAGTTGCTCATTTCTGCCTGTACTAGTCTCGCCTCCTTCTCTGACTTCAATAACCCCTTTTCTCCTCCTTCTTTGAAATTCTTTGGTGCTTTCTGACTATTCCAAGGTTGTTTTAAGCTTCTAAGAAAAATGTCCTGATTCCCAAGGTGACCTAAAGATCTACAGGAGTTTTCTGGATTCCTTGAGGGTGTTCCCTGGGAAAGTTAAATATCAGGTGTTTTGTGATGTTACCGAATATTTTATTTTCAAATGTGTGGGAGTGCATCATTTCTAAATCCATTCCTTCCCTTCAAATCACACCTTCCTCCTCACCCTCAGGCAGTGCAACTGTTCCGAAGTACAGTCCAGGAATGAAAAGTGGAGTCAAATGAATACTGTGGGTGGGGAGATGATTCCATTTGTTCTACCCTAAGGTGGCTAAAGAAGAACATACAACAGAAGTATAAATTGTATTACAAAGCCAGAGTATCTAATCTGACCCATGCTTATTACCTTAATTTTTACTTAGAAATTATTATTTTGGGTGGACTTTAACCTGGATCATGGCTGCAAAAAGGTATAAATTGCGCTTTGTTATCATTCATCACTCATGTCATTGAAACTTTTCTTCTTGATTTGGTTCAGTTCTTTATGTTCTTTTAATGCAAGTTTTCATGACTTCATGGGAGAAACAAGTTCCTGTGCTCGGTCAGTTATTGGATACAAACACTGAATTTCTTCTTGCTGACCTCTAAACACTGCAACAGGTCTCCTCATCGACACTGTAGGTCACTTAGCATAATGACTGGCATATGGTAAGTGTTTTAATAATCCTTTGTTGGAATGAAACAATATTCCTCTTCCAGGGACGGAGGCCCATGGTTTTCAGTGAGTCACCAAGCCTTGTCCTCATGGAGGTCAACCCTTTCCTGGACAAAGAGAGGCCAATAAGCCAGCAGTTTCAGTTAAGATAGTTAAGTACAACCAGAGAAGTACCCTCTGGGTGCTAACTCAAATGAGTCCCCTATGAATGGATGCTGGGAGGTGGGAGACTTCACAGAGGCTTCCAGGAGTAAGCCACCCTGTGCTAAACACAAACACAAACAGGCAGGAGAAGGGATTGTCCCTGTGTGTTTGGCCTGCCTCTGTTAAGCTTGTGAAGATACCAAGCTAATCCTCTGCTTCGTTCTTTCCTGTTCTCCCCTTTCCAAAGAGCTCTTCTGCCCATCCACTGAGCCAGTCCCAGCCATCCTGCAAAGCCCAATTCTTGTCCACTTTGTTATTTATAATAGTAATAAAATAGCAAGTTTCTATGTGTTAGCCACTATACTCAGTGTCCTCCATGCACAATTGTCATTTCAGCCTAAGAGCAGGTTTCTTATTTTCCCCTTTTTGCGGATGATAAAACGGAGGCTCGGATTGATCCAGTAACTTTCCCAAGGTCATGCAGCTGGTCAGTTATGGAACCTGGCCTTGAACCAAAGGGTGTCTCACAGGTGCCCCTCAGCCCATCCATCCCATCCTCTGTCCAGGAAGAACTTCTCCCACACTCCTGCTCTCACCAATTCTTATTCTTTCTGAACAGTTATGGTTCTCACAGTCTGTGTGCAACAATACGAATTTTACATTTGCTTGTGGTTTTTGCTGCTGCTTAAAATTTCATATCCCTAGTGGAGCAGCAAACTCTCACACACTGCTAGTGGGATGTAAATTGTTATGACCACTTTTATAAACACTTTGGCAGCATCCATATACCTTATGACTCAGCAATTCAACCCATAGGTATTAATCTAAGGGGAAAAAAAAATTTGCCTACACAATGCCTGGTAAAAGGCTATTCATAGTTTATTCATGATAACCCTAAGCTGGAAACAACCCAAATGCCTGTCAACAAGAAAATACAGTACTATACCAATAATGAGCACAAATAAACTATAACCACACACAGCAATATGAATGAACCCCACAAACATGCTGAGGAAAAAAAGCCAGACAGAAAATAGTACCAATGTATGATTCCATTTTCATATGAGCAAAACGGCAAAAGTAATCTATGCTAATTAATATAGGGATAATGGCTAGCTTTGGAAGAAGATAGAGACTTCAAGGGAATATGAGGGAGAATTCAAAGAAGCTGGTGTTATATTCCTTGATTTTGGAACTTGTTGCAAAAGTGTTTTCAGTTTGAAAGTTATGTAAGCTGCACACTTAGGATATGTGTATGTAAAGTATAGGTTACAGATACATATCCTATGTGTATGTATGTAAATTATAGGTTAATAAAAAGTTAAAGCAAAATCAAAGGAAATTTTATACCCTTTTCTGGACAACTGGCTTAATGACTGGGACCACAGGTTACACTTTTCTATCTCTCTTTTTCTTTTTTGAATGTATAAGTTGGAGGTGTCCCAAACCTATCAATGATCACCTCTGTCTATATTTGAAATCATTTGTTTTTCACAAAAATGAATGAATATTTCTACAATTTTGTAGAAATAATTGCTTATTTTTAAGTTGGGTGTGCGTATGTTGACAAAAATAGTCAAAGCCTGTAAAATATTTTAAGATATTTATTCTAAGCCAAATATGAGTGACCAATGGCCTGTGACACAGTCCCAGGATATCCTGAAAACATATGCCCAAGGTGATTAAGCTACAGCTCAGTTTTATATATTTTAGGGAGACAAAAGACATCAATCAATACCCAGAAGATGTACATTGGTTTGTTCCAGAAAGGCAGAACAACTGGAAGTGGGGGCTTCCGGGTCATAGGTGGAGTCACAGATTTTCTGATTGGCAGTTGTTTGAAAGAATTATTATATAAAGACCTATAATCAATATAAAGGAGTGTCTGGGTTAAGATAAGGGGTTTTGGGCCAGGTATGGTGGCTCATGCCTGTAATCCCAGCACGTTGGATGGCTGAAGCAGGTGGATCGCTCGAGCTCAGTAGTTCAAGACCAGCCTAGACAACATAGCAAAACCCACCTTTACAAAAAATTCAAAAATTAGCTGGGCATGGTGGTGTGCACCTGTAGTTCCAGCTACTTAGGAGGCTGAGTAGGGAGGATGGCTTGAGCCCAGGAGGTGGAGGTTGCAGTGAGCAGAGATTGTGCCACTGCATTCCAGCCTGGAGAGTAGAACCAGAGTTTGTCAAAAAAAAAAAAAAAAAAAAAATTAGGGGTTTCAGAGACTAAGGTTTTATCATATAGATGGAGCCTTCAGGTAGTAGGCTTCAGAGCTCTTTTCAGACCTAAAAAGGGGCCAGAGTCTTAGTTAATTCCCTCTTGGATCAGGGAAATGACCTGGAAAGAAATGGGGATTCTCTACAGAATGTAGATTTTCCCCCACAAGAGTCATCTTTGCAAGGCCATTTCAAAATATGTCAAAGAATATAATTTGGGGTAAAATAGTTTGATTTATTTTCAGGGCCTGCTATCTGTGATGTAATGCTATACTAGAGTCAGGCTGGAATTTGGTATCTTATTGCTACAAAAAAAGTCGTTTTGCTAGTCTTAAGATCTCTATTTTAATGTTAATACTGGTCAACTGTGCCTGAATTCCAAAGGGAGGAAGGTATAATGAAGAATGTTCAACCCCCACTTCTCATCATGGCCTGAATTAGCTTTTCAGGTTAACTTTAGAATGCCCTGGGCCAAGGAGAGGGTCCATCAGTTGGTTGAAGGGCTTAGAATTTTATTTTTGGTTTACACATATATTAAAAGTTGGTTCTTTCTTCCTATAAAATTATGGAGCCAATTCAATTCCATTTGTGATTCTATCGGATTCTGACTGTCCTGAGTGTTATGCCTCAGAGATCTCCACTCTCATTAGTGTCCATTCAGGTTATGAAAGTTCCCTCCCATTGCTACAATAGAATCTTAGTTCTAATTACAAGGCTTATTTAGAACTATAATTACTTTTAATATCTCAAATCCTTTGGAGATACAAAATTATTTGTTGTCAGCTGAACTCTAAGACTCTAATATATATATAATTATCCTTATGTCATAAGACTATTTCAGTGAAGCTCCAATTCCCTTAAAGAATCTATATGCAGATGTCCCCATGGATTAAAAAAACTTATTGACTCTCTTCATTTTTGATATCATGTGTTTTTTTCTAGCACTTCCATTTAACTCTATCATTTTTCATCCCTCTGCTGAAATTCTCCATCTGTTCATGCATGATATCTACCTTTTCTATTACTCTTTTAACTTATTAATCATAATTCTTATGGTCTCTATCTCAAAGTCTCAACATCTGAGTCATCCCTGAGTCTGTTTCTGTTGATCGCCTTTGTCTCTTTACAATTTTTTCCCTTGCTTTTTTGTATATCTCATAATTTGTGACTGTATAGGACAGCAGAGATGAAGGTAAATATTATTTATTCTATAAATCATCCCAATATCTTGTTCTGTGAGAGCATTAGTGTCAGAGTTTGAGGTTATCTAGTCAGTAGTTGAGGTGGGTATGGGTTTTATTGTTGCCACTGTTACCTTCAATAGACCACAGGCTTCAAATTCCTCTAGAGGTGGGAATCGTGTTATCTTGTGCTTAGTGTGAGGGCCAAGGTGCTAGACTCTTTCCCAGGTTTCCTGCTTGCCCCTCAGCTTTCTGTTGTAGAGGGGAAGAGAATTTTTCCTCCCTCTCTGAAGGGTCAAGAATGTTGAAATGAACTATCAATAGACAGATTAACAGGAGACAAGGCATACAAATTCATTAATATGCAAGTATGCATGGGAGCCATACAAAATATGAGATTCAAGGACAGGCCAGATGGCTGAAGCTTAAATACTGTCATCTTCATAGGGGGAGGAAGATGGGGGAATGTAGGCAATTTTGAGGGGTAGTGAATTATTTTTAGGGAAAACCAACGAGCGCAAAGAATAGACAATGGCCTGGGACAAAGTTCCTCTGAGCTGTGGGGAAGGTGGCAACACGTATTGGGAAATTGAGGGGTGGGACTTCCCTGTGAACAAAGGTTGTCTTATTATGCAGATAACATCTTCCAGGTAATATCTCAGAGCTGCCCTCAGAAGAATAGATGAAAAATCTGCCTGGATGTGGTGATGACTTTTAGTCTTTTCTCTTCTCTAGTAGTTCATCTTTCCTGGTGATTTGATGAGATTTCTAGGGGGGGAGTTTTAAGACAATTGCATTTCTTTTGGAATAATTTTTTCTCATTCAGATGAGGAAACTTCTAGAGAATGTCCCTTACTGTGCTTGGGGTTTCAGGGTGGAGGGAAGAAACAGGAGAAGGTTAGAAGGTCTTTGGTTCTGAGGCAGATTCTAAGACCTTCCAATTCCCTTTAATGAAAAAGTACTCAGCATGCCAAAGAATCGTACTTTAGGGTATCATTCTCTGAGCCCCAACACAGCCAGCCTGGCTTACACATGCCACAGAGAATCCTCTGTCCACGCTTTTAGCTCCCCTATCCCAGTGGCAGATGACTCTGGCCTATTATTCAGTGCTGGGCCTATTTTGGGATACAGGGGCAAGGGAAGAGAGGTGGTTCTCAGTTCTTTTGGTTTAGCCTTAGTCTTAGGCAGGCACCATGTGCCTGGGCCTGGGGGTGAGGCTTTCTCAGCATTCTCATCCCTCCTCCCCATGGCAGCCAAACACTGCTTTGGATCTGAGCTTGGACTTGGGCCAGAGTTTCCTGCCCCTCCCTGGCAGTAAGATATCCTGGGCCCAGCACAGCTTCCTGCCCTTTCACTGGGGGTTGGAGATTTTTCTTTGACCCTCCCTAGCACACCAGTCTTTTGCCTGTGCCTTTGGGGAAAGACAGTCTGCTGCCTCTCCCCCGACAGTTCAAGGCTTCTCTCCTAGGAGGGAAGGGTTGGGGAGAGGATCGTGTTTATTCTCCCTACAACTACAGAGAGCTCCCCAACACCTACCCCACCAAGGGGGGCTTGCTCCAGGCTCCTGCCCTACATCTTTCTCTCAGTAACTGGTGGAGCCATGTGGAGAAGAGCATGTGTCTCTGACTTCCTTTGTGTCTGGGCCCCCAGTTATTCCAAACTGACATTCTAGCCCACATGTGGCTTTGTCAACCTAAAATAATCAAAAGGGTCATAATCTAGTTTAAAGAGAGTTTACACAAGCACAAAGTTTAAGGACAGCCAGCTACAAAGCAGAGATTCCAAAGAATGGAAGTCAGTGTTCCAAAATGTAGAAGTTTGGGATCATTTACATAAACAAAGTTTAGGAAAGCTTAACAGAATTTCAACATCATTCTATGTAAGGCTTAATGCATAGTTATGATCTAATCAGTCAAGGTGATTTTTTTCTTTAAGAAAAGGTATATTTGACATTCCACACCAAAGATCTAACAGTCCTGGAGTCTTTTGCCCCATCTGGTCTGAGTTGGGTAAGGACAAAAAAAGCAGGCAGTGAATCTTTAACAAAGATAGATGATTAGGAGGTGAGGGGTCTGTCCTCTGGTTTCTCCTAGTCATTTACAGAACAAGAACAATGAGGAAGAGAAATAGTCCATAATCTAAGAAGAAGAATAGCAAACATGCTATGTGACTCAGTCTCCAGAGCTTAACATCCCCCCTTGGCATAATAAATTTAGAGAGCCCTGAAATTGTATTTTCTTTTATAGCCTTTAATAGTTTTAACATCTTTTAACTGATTTCTTTTTACACATCTGTATGGCAGCCACCTCTCTCTCCCATGTTCTGTGTAAGGTGAATGTTTTTATGTCTCCTCAGCCCTTAATAGAGCCTGTCCCTCTTAGGAATTTGGTTTGTTTGATTGCCTGGATTTCAGCCCTCTGATGGGCTCAAGAAAACTTAACAATTGCTATAGATTTTTCTGCCTTTTTCTCATTGTTATATGTAGGTTTCCACATCCTAAACGAAAACTGATTCTTAATTTTCTTTCAAGTTAAGACCAACAGCAGCAAAACTAGTGTGCAGTTAACCTGCTTTCCATTTTACAATTGGAATTTCTATTTAATATATATTTCTGTTTATGTAAATATGTAATTTCAATAATAAAATACCACATACTGCCTCTTTAGTATCTTCTGAAGGTCAATAACTTTTGCATCACTGTTTAAAGCTAAAGACATAATAAAGATTTTAAATAACATTTTACCTAGTACTTTTGTGTAGAATAAACATTCAAATTGTAGACTCAGTTGTAGATTAATTTATAGTTAAGTTCACTGCATGAAAATTTAAATTTTTCTTTGTAATTCGAACCTGCAATTTAGCAAGGGGTTTCTATAAGCTTGGAAAGGTACAACAAAGTACTGAAGGAACCACCCTTAGGGGCTATAAGCTTCAGGCTTTTTCTTTATTTCTCAAATGAGAATTCAGTATTCTTGCCAAAGGTGGAGCTACTGCAGTAAGCAGACATGTAGTTCAAACAGGCATAAAAAGAGACAGATTCAAAACCATTATTCAGAAATATCTGTTAAAGTTGCTCCGAATTTAAACTTTTCCTCCTACTTCCCGCTTAAGTTTTTATTTTTGTTTGTGCAATGTCTAATTATTATCATGGCTAGTACTTTCATCCAGGGTTTTTAAACCTCGGCACTGTTGATATTTAGGGTTGGAAAATTATTTATTTTTAGGTGGGGCTGTGCTGTGCATTACAGAATGTTTAGCAGCGGCTCTAACCACTAGGTGCCATTAGCACCCCTGCCACCCCATCCCTTCATTTTCTCAACCAAAAATGTCTTCAGAGTTTGCCAAATGTCCCCTGGAGAAAGGGGCCAAAATCACCCCTGCTTGAGAACCACTGTTCTGAATATAGACTATGACTATTGTCTACTTGTTTTTAGCAATTGTATATCCTCCTGATACTTGGAAAACAAGGCTGATGTATATGTGACATGGTTTGGCTGTGTCCCCATCCAAAGCCCATCTTGAATTGTAGTTCCTATAATCCCCACGTGTTGTGGGAGGGACCCGTTGGGAGGTAATTTAATCATCGGGGTGGTTACTTTCATGCTGTTCTCATGATAGTGAGTGAGTTCTCATGAGATCTGATGGTTTTATAAGGGGCATATCCCCCTTTGCTCTGCGCTTATCCTTGCTGCCACCATGTGAAGAAGGACGTATTTGCTTCCCCTTCTGCCATGATTGTAAGTTTCCTGAGGCCTCCCCAGGCATGCTGAACTGTGAATAAATTAAACCTCTTTCCTTTATAAGTCATCCAGTCTCGGGTATGTCTTTATTAGCAGCTTGAGAACAGACTCATACAGTATGGTTGTGCAGGTTATTCACTACACAAGGGTACCTGGCCAAAAGCGTAAGGAGAGGCTGAATCTAGCCATTGCTCTGCTCACCAAGCCATGGTCCTGGAATAGTCTCTGTCTTGGAGGAAGATGCTTTTAATTAAAACTTGCATAAATGTGCTTTGTGGACTAGCACTTATTAACAAAGTGTAAAATGTGATAAAATGTCTAGAATATCTGAAATTCATCTAGCCTCATTCCTTCTGTTTTACAGATTAGAAAATGGAGGTCCAAGGAACTCTGGAAATGTAACTATGAGGGGTTCAACATCTAATGTAGACAGAAAACTTGGGATGGAAAGGGAGAATTTATTACACTTCAAGGAGAGCTTGACCACTAAACAGGGAACACATTCTAAGTCACATTTGGGAGAGGGGCTCTTCTGTGAGTTGGGGAAGGAAGTCCAGCCCAGTGTATAGACAGGTACAAAACAGAGATGAGATAAACCCCTCGTATGGAAGAGAAACTGAGCATGAGGAACAGAATGCCCTCAGCCACATAGGGGTTGTCCCTGAAGAACCTGCTGATGCCCACAACTAGGCTGGGATAGCCACAGGCAGTGTCTAATTCACCTTTATAGTCTCTGAGCTTGTGCTCAAAGCAGAAGCAAAGAAAAATCCAATCCTGGGCAAAACATTGTTGACTGTGGAAACCAGAGACAGGCAGAAACAGGAAGTCCTCCTTATGGAAAGGGTAGGCTGTTCAGTGGAGAGAGCATTCCAAATAGCTACTGCTTCAGTCCCTGCGACCGTCAGAGAATTTGCCTCTTTATAAGAAAGCATGGCTAATACGACACCTGCCCTCTTCCCGATGAGCCACACAGCAAAGGAGATAAGCACAAGTTGTATTTTGCCACTCTCTGCCCTGGTGTGTCCGGCTGTACCCACTGACCCCTGGACTCACCAGCAGGAACACATCCCTTCCCAGGACAAGCAGGGCTGTGGGGCTGTGAGCCCAGTGACATCCTGGCACCTCAGCACACAGACATCTATCACAAATGCACACTGTTCTCCTTGCTCCTGCAGGTTGACTTTGCCTTGGCCAAGGGCTCAGCCCTCTCACAGCTCCCAGCAAGAATCTTGTTCAAGCAGGATGGGTTTAACAGAAGCTGTATCAAATGGCACGCAAGCTCAGAAACCGCCATCAACATGTTGTTCCTCCCCACAGCTCTATGCTGGAACCCCGTGGTAATTCTCCTTCTTGCCTCCTGCCCAGGGAACCTCAAGTTTCATTGGTTCCTGTTTCTCTTGTTCCTCGAGGGTGATATTAAAATATTTAGGAAGCAACTACAGAGCACCAACTAGTCTAACAGGTGCCCTCCAGAACACATGATCAGGGTCCCCAAGGACCCCTACTGGGTCAGAGGTCCAGCCACTAGTGGCTGAATGATATGCAGGCGGTGAGTTCTGGGGACTGTTTACTGGCATCCCACTGGTACAGGAGTATTCAGTGTTCTAACCCTGGTAGGGTCTTACCAATGGATTGTCAGTCCCAAATCTTTCTCTCCTTCTTGGGAGTACAGTTTGGCTCCTGCAAACTCAGACTCCTGTAGCCTTCAGGAGTAGAGCTGCCCTCCTCAGGAGGTGACGAAGGGTCTAGAGATAACCCTATAACAATATCCACTTGCAATTTTCCTTCCCACAGAACACAGCCATGACACCTTTAAGGGAACAGCTTCACTATGCAGCCCAGGCCGCTGAGTCCCTCTCTGTTCTGCCACCGAACTTAGACGTTTCTGTAGGGCCTGACTTCATAGCAATCTATAAGGCACTGACTCCAGCTATAGTTAAACTGGAAGAATCAATCCAGCAGCAGCACGCAGCTGGGGAGGGATATATTTCCTACAACATCCCCAGTGGGCCACAACCCTCCTCTGGCTGCCATGGCATGTGGCAGAGAGCATTCTGTCAACAGCACAGACAGCCAGGGTACACTCTGGCTGTGACTTCCATGCAGGGATTTGGAAATTAGTCATTGGAGCTGCAGTAACAGTGGCATGGAAAAATACAGATACACCTTGGAATGATTGCAGATCCAGTTCCAGACAGCTGCAATACAGCAAATATTGCAATAAAGAAAGTCACACATTTTTTTTGGTTTCCTAGTGCATATTAAAGTTACGTTTACACTATAGTCTATTAAGTGTGCAATAGTATTGTATCTGAAGAAAACAATCTGCATGCCTTAATTTAAAAATATTTTATTGTTAAAAGATGCTAACAATCATCTGAGCCTTCAGTGAGTCATAATCTTTTTGCAGGTGGATGATCTTGCCTTAATGTTGATGGCTGCTGACTGATGAGGGTTCTGGTTGCTGAAGGTTTGGGTGGCCCTGTCAATTTCTTAAAATAATACAACAGTGAAGTTTGCTATATCAATTGATTCCTCTTTTCATGAAAGATTTCTCTGCAGATGCAATGCTGTTTGATAGCATTTTACCTATAGTATTAGAAATTCTATTAGAAATTGGAGTCAGTCCTCTCAAACCGTGCCACTGCTTTATTAACTAAGTAGATGTATTACTCTAAATCCTTTGTTGTTATTTCAACAGTCCATAGCCTCTTCACTAGGAGTAGACTGCATTTCAATAAACCATGTTCTTTGCTCCTCCATAAGAAGCAACTCCATACCCCATTAAAGTTTTCTCGTGAGATTGCAACAATTCAGTCACATCTTCAGGCCCCACTTCTAATTCCGGTTCTCTTGCTATTTCTACCATATCTGCAGTGACTTCCTCCACTGAAGGCTTGGGCCCCTCAAAGTCATCCATGAGTGTTGGAATCAACTTTTCCCAAACTCCTGTTCATGTTGATATTTTTACCTCCTTGCATGAATCATGAATCTTCTTAATGGCACCTACAATGGTGAATCATTTCCAGAGGCTTTCAATTTACTTTGCCTGGATCTAACAGAATAATCACTATCCACTGAAAGCTACAGCCTTACAAAATGTCTTTCTTAAATAATAGGACTTGAAAATAAAAATAACTCCTTGATCCACAGGCTATAGAATGGATGCTGTGTTAACAGGCATGAAAACATTAATCTCCTTGTACATCTCCATCAGAGTTGATTTCTCATGCTGATTTTTCTTTACATGGTGTAGTGAGATAAACGCTCCTTTCTTCAAAGGACATGTCTATCTGGATCCAATGACTGTGGCCTTATTTGGGGGAAGGGTCTTTCAAGAGTGATTAAGTTAAGGATTTGGAGATAAGATTATCTCAGATTAGGATGAGTCCTAAATCCAATGACAAGTATACTAGTCCAGTTTCATGCTGCTGATAAACACATACCTGAGACTGGGTAATTTACAAAGAAAAAGAGGTTTAATGGACTCACAGTTCCATGTGGCTGGGGAGGCCTCAGAATCATGGCAGAAGCTGAAAGGTACATCTTACATGGTGGCAGGCAGGAGAGAAGGAGAGCCAAGTGAAAGGGGAAATCCCTTATGAAACCATCAGATCTCGTGAGACTTATTCACCACCACGAGAACAGTATGGGGAAACCATACTCAATACAGAAGAGAATTGGAGAAAAAAAAAAAAACAGAGGAGAGGATGATGTGAAGACAGAGCTAGAAGTTTGAGTGATGAGTGGACAAGGCAAGGAATACCAAGGATTGCCAGCAGCCACCAGAAGCTAGGAGAGGGGCATGGAACAGATTTTCCCTTAGAACCAGTCCTACTGACACTTTGACTTTGGACTTCTGGCCTCCAAGACTTTGAGACAATAAGTTCCTATTATTTTAAGTTGCCCAGTTTGTGGAAATTTGTTATGGCAGCCAAAGAAAATAAATACGCAGGCTAACTGGTGACATGGTTTGGGGAGTGGCATTGAATGCTGGCTTTGACATCAGAGTAACCTGGATTTGGATTTGAATTGTACCTCTGCCATCTTCTATTTGTACACCTTAGACAGGTGAGTTTTCAATGTTCTGTTCTGTACAATGGGGATAGTAATAATATTTATTTTGTGAGGTTATGAAAACAAAATGAGAGATGCTTGCAGAGCACGTGGCACATAGTGGGTATTAATGAAGTTCAGGTTATTAGCAGGAGCTGCTATCAGAAGTTGGTTGAACACTGAGGTTAATGACTAGTTACAGGGGAGATAAGAAGTGACATAAGCTCCTTTAGAAGGAGGCATTCCAGAGGGACACAGTGGCTCCTCTTCTGAGAAATAGGGACTGAAGACATTTGGAAGAAAAACTGAAGAGTCTATTGGCTGTATTTAGAAGAGGAGATGGGAGGAGAAGAGAGAGAAAGAGTAGGCTGAGGAAGACATGGGGGAGGACAAGTTTTAAAAAAACAAAACAAGTATTGCTATTTTGGAAGATGAATGGAGGGCTGTTGCTCTGTGTTTCAGACAAGGATGGAAATGAGGAAACTATTATTTTAGGGGATAGAAGGAGAAAGGCTATAATTATAAAGGGGGTGTACCTATCACTTCCTGCTGGGTGATCAAACGAACAGGCTCTGGGGAGGAAGTGGAAAGGAGAGGCCCAGGGAAGGATGAATTTTCTAAGCAGCATGCCTCTAGCTATCAAAATGGGCACCTGCCCATCTCCTGGGGCTGGCAGTAACAATAGGTCACAGAGAAATTTCTAGGTAATGGTTCAGCATGAAGAAAACACCACAGGCTTAAGGCATATTCAGCAGAAACTTAAAACTACGAAAAAAGGGTACAAAATGTATTTCTCAGTTCTCATCAATATTGAGCTAGTCCTTGAGGTGTGATTTTGACAGCTGAGAGGGTAGAGTGTGCTCTAGAGGAAAAAAAAAAAGCTTGGGCAAAGATAGTAGGTTCATCAAGGGGGTTTGGGAGGAGATGGGTGCAGGTTTGTGCAAGGCAGAGGTAGAAGAGACAGAGGAGAAGGTGGGCATTGATTACTCCTGAGCAAGAGAGTGCAGTGAGCAGCACTCAGGAAGGGCATGTGGGAAGCTCTGCATAGAATAAACAGTATAGGGAGGATACAGGCAGCAAAGAGGCCATTTAGGAAACACAAAACCCAGGTTAGAGGCAGGAGTCGAGGGAAGGCAGGGGAGGATAAGGGTGGATAGAGTGACCCTATGGAAGTAGAACTGACAAATGAGGTAAGGGGTTAAACTTGGGCTGCCATGTGAAGGGGCTAGGGCTGGGAGTGAGAGACAAGCAAGAGCCTAAACAGGTCCCAGGTTTCAACCAGAGAGGCCTGGGGTTTGCGCCATCACAGAAACAAGGAGCTCCTGGGAGGAAGGGGAGCAGAGGATGGAAGGAACTCTTTAGTTCAGTTTGGACATCCTTGATGATCTCTAAATGTTCTTCTATCACTAGAGTTCAGAATTTATTAGGTTGGTGCAAAAGTAATTGCTGTTTCAGACCATGAATTTTTAAATCATTGTAACTAGGCTCAAACACATTTTTATTAATCAAAATAGAAACCATTACAATCAACACATTTTTGCCAATGAGAAATAAGCTTGTTTATTCCTGTAGTGTAAAAAATCTTGCTTTGGGATTTGACAGACTCTTGGAAAGCATTTTGTGCATCCTGCTGACCATGAAGCATTTTCCCTAGAAAAAAGTTGTAGAGATGCTTTAAGAAGTGATATTTGGTTGGCGAGAGGTCAGGTGAATATGGCAGATGAGGCGAAACTTCATAGCCCAATTCGTTCAACTTTTGAAGTGTTGGTTGTGCTATGTGTGTTCGGGCATTGCCTTGGAGAAGAACTGGGCCCTTTCTGTTGACCAATGCTGGCTGCAGGCATTGCAGTTTTCAGTGCATCTCGTGGATTTGCTGAACATACTTCTCAGATGTAATGGTTCCGCTGGGATCCAAAAAGCTGTATGGATCAGACCAGCAACAGACCACCAAATAGTGACCATGACCTTTTTTTTGGGTGCAAGTTTGGCTTTGGGAAGTGCTTTGGAGCTTTTTCTCAGTCCGATCGTTGAGCTGGTCATTGCCAGTTGTCATTTAAAATCCACTTTTTGTCACACGTAACAATTCAATTGAGAAACGGTTCGTTATTGTGTAGAATAAGAGAAGACGACGCTTCAAAACAATGATTTTTTTTTTTAAATTTTTGCTCAGCTCATGAGGCACTCACTTATGGAACCTTTTCATCTTTGCAATTTGTTTCAAATGCCAAATGACCATAGAAGGGTCAACGTTGACTTCTTCAGCAACTTCTTGTGTAGTTGTAAGGATGATCAGCTTCGATGATTGCTCTCAATTGGTCATTGTCAACTTCCAATGGCAAGCTACTGTGCTCCTCATCTTCAAGGCTCTTGTCTCCTTGGCAAAACTTCTTGAACCACCACTGCACTGTACGTTCATTAGCAGTTCCTGAGCCAAATGCATTGTTGTTGTTCCAAGTTGTCTCTGCTGCTTTACAACCCATTTTGAACTCAAATAAGAAAATTGCTTGAATTTGCTTTTTGTCTAACATCATTTCCATAGTTTAAAATAAACAGCAAGTAATAAGTCATTAGCAAAAAAAAATAGAGAAATGCCCATTAAAATGATGTATAACTTAACCACATTGATTTAAGAATGTATTCCAATATCAAACAGCAAATTCCAACAATGGGAAAATCACAATTACTTTTGCACTCACTTTAATAGAACAGCTAGTTTCTTGTCATTTAGAATGTGGCCCTGGACCCAGCAGCATCAGCATCACCTGGGAACTTGTAAGAAATACAGATTCCCAGGCCCTACCCTACCCTCCAGCTACTGATTCAGAATCTGCATTTTAATGAGATTCCCCGGGGGATCTGTGTGCACATGAAATTTAGAGAAGCACAGATGTAATCTGTTCTTTCTTTCCTTCCTTCTTTGGTGTTTCTTTCAAAGAAAGGGAAACACCTCTCTCCCCACTGCTTTAAATACAGGTGGCAATTAGTCACATATTCTTCCCAGCAACATTATGCATTGTGGATTTGTGATGTTACCCTGAGCCTTCTTCAGTTGGTCATCATTCATCTGCTAAGTTCTCTATTCCCCCCTTGTAGCTAAGAGGAAAACTGTGCTATCACCTTTCCTTTCTCGCCTGACAAGGGTGACTCCAACCAAAGGAGTAAAGGAGTATCTCCCAGAGATGCTAAGTCTTTTTTTTTTTCCACTAATAAGATTAGCCACATAGTTTTCTGCTTTGAAGTCTTTTAAGAAATTCTCTCTCTCTCACACACACACACATACACACACACACAGTTTTCTTTTTTCATTCCAACATAAATATTAATCCCAACCTATTGATGTCCATATAGTACTTTGGAATTATTACTCAAAAGAACTTAGAAGATAAGAAAAACACTTTCGTTCTGGTTATTGGAATATCCTTTAAAACACACTAAGTGTAAACCCAAGACTATGGACTGCCCATCATGAGCTAAAGCCAGCCATCAAATGTATTTTATTTAGCCCCTACAGTGTTTCCTTAAAAAGTTTAAGAGTCAATACCTAAGAATTGAGAGTACTTAAAAGCCAGATTACTGGCATCTCTTGAAAACTCAGAAGCTCTGGTGATGCTGGGTGCACATTTCAGTGTGGCCTCAGGGAGTCTGAGGCAAGGGGCTGCTGACGCTTTAGAAGATTCATCACTCATTGTCACGGCCCACCTTACCTACCACTGTACTCATTTACATGACCTGCTTGGGCCTGGCAAGCCAGACACAGCAAAGTAGATGGCACCAATGGGCAATACAATATGTTCCTGACCTCTCTCCCTGCAGGCCCTAGTGCTGAAATGCATCTTGGAACTGCTCTGTTGAATAGCACTTGGGGGACATTCCACTCCCTCTCTCCCTGTACACAGCCAGACCCTGTGTATTGTTGTTCTCCATTCCTGTTGTTCCCCTTCAGTCAATCTTGCATCAATAACCTTATTTTTACAAATGAAGAAACTGAAGTTTTCTGGATCTTCAGGAATAGTACATAAGATTACTGTCAGATGAGCCTGTCTTTGAATCTCAATGCTACCATCTGCTAGCTCTGTGATCTCAGAGGGGCTTCTAAACCATATGAGATACTATTTCCTTTAAAAGGAGGATGTTAAATGTACCTACCTCATGGAGTTGTTATAAGAATTAAATGAGTTAATACATATAAGGTGCATACCATCAATAAGTACTCAATAAATGTAGCTATTGTTATAGCTCAGAGAAATTAAATGGCTTGTCCAAGGTCATGCAATTATTAAATGAGGGAGCTGATATTTAAACTCTAGACTGCCCATACTCTTTAACTTATGTTCATTCTACTAAGCCACACTGTTTTAACCCTATATTAGAAAGTAGAAGGCTTTATTCCAACTGGAAAAAAATACTTACAAGGCACCTAGTATGTGCAAGGCCTTATAGACATAGATGAACCTTTAAAAATTATTTAAAATCTTACTAATAAGTTAGTATTTTATCCTTATCATTACATTTCTTCTACTTATTTTTGGCTCTTGGTTCTGTATCTTAAGTTGAAAACAAATAATTGATTTTATATCTTTCTTCTTTTTAAATGTAAATATTTAAAACTATAAATTTCCCTCTAAATATTGCTTTAGCTTTCTACTAAAAATTTTGATATGATGTGTTTTTACTTTCATTCATTTTAAAGTGTTTCTATTTTTCTTATGATTTCTTCTGTGACTCATGGGTTATGTAGAGGTGTATTTCTAAATTTGCAAATATTTGAAAAATGTTTAGATATGTTTTATTAGTAATCTCTAAGTTAATTATATTTTGGTCAGAGAACATACTCCATGATTTTGATTATTTTAGACTTATTAAGATTTCTTTTATGGCCCAGCATATAGTCTATCTTGGCAAATGTCCCATGTGCACTTGAAAAGGATGTGTATTATACTATTGTTGGGTTGAGTATTTTATAAATGTCAATTGAGTCAGTTGATTGACAGTGTTATTCAAATCTCCTTTATCCAATATTCATACCTAATTTTGTTTTCGGTCAATTTGTTCTATAAATTATTTAAAGAGGAGTGTTAAAATCTCCAGTTATAGTTGTGGCTCTATTTCTCCATTCAGTTCTATCGCCTTTGCTTAATGTGTTTTAAACTTGTTGTTAGGTGCATATATATTTAAGATTGGCATGTCTTTCTAGTGAATTAACTCTTTCATCATTGGTCTATTTAACATGACCACTTCGGTTTTCTCATGATTAATATTTACATATATATTTTACAGACCTTATTATTAACCTATCTGCCTTTATATTTAAAGTGAATTTCTTAAAGGCAGCATATAGTTGAGTTTTATATTTTCATCCACTCTGACAATCTCTGCCTTTTAGTTGGAATATTTAGGCCATTTACATTTAATGTAATTATTGACATGGTTGGGTTTAAATATACCATCTTGTTTTTCTTTTTTGTCCTTTTTTCTACCCACTTTTGGATTGAGTATTTTTAGCATTTCATTTTACCTCCTCTATTAGTTTATTATCTTTAGCCCTTTTCTAAGGTGATTGCTCTAAGATGTATAATATATGTCTTTAACTCATCACAGGATGCTCAACATTACACTACTTCAAGTATAACCTAAGAACTGTGTATTCTTATACCCCAATTCCAGTATTGTTGTTTTATCATTTCTCCTATGTCATAAAGCCACAATATATATGTTTATACACAATATATAATATATATCTATACACAAAGCAACTTAAAATGGGCCATATATTTAAATGCAAAAGCAAAAACCAAAACTTCTAAGGAAAAACAACATATAATAAAGAGTATGTTAGGAAAGACAATTTTTTTTTGACAAAACACAAAAAACACTAACCATAAAGGACAAAAAAATGAAAAGCTGCACTTTATCAAAATTAAAAATGTCTGTTTTTTGAAGGAAACTGTTAAGAAAATGAAAAGTCAAATGACAGACTGGGAAAGAGTATTTGCAATACCTATTTATGAAATAGGACATGTAACCAAAATATATAGAGAACTCCTACAATTCAATAATAAGAAAAGAAACAACACAACTAAAAACTGGTAAAATATTGAAAACACCCACACACAGAAGAATGGCCAGTAGACATATGAGAATACAGTCAATATAACTGGTCATCGGGGAAGTACAAATTAACAACACAATGATATACCAATACCTACCCACTAGGAGAACTAAAATTTAAAAAGACTGTCAAGATAAAGTGTTGCTAAGGATGTGCGGCAACTTGAATTCTCATACGTTGCTAGTAGGAATGTGAAATGATACAGTTTGCAAACTGTTTGGAAGTTTTTTCCTTTTTATAAGGCCAACACTATACTTCTGCTATGACCAACAATTCTACTCTATTTTTCAAAGAGAAATAAAAACATACTTCAACAAAAATCTTAAAAACAAACATTCATAGTAGCTTCATTTATAGTAGCCAAAACCTAGAAACTTCTCAATGTCCACAAACAGGCGAAGGAGAACTGTTTATATATTCATACAATGGAATACACTCAACCATAAAAAGTAATAGCAATAAAATAACTGATAATATACACAACAACCAAGATCATCCTAGTAGACATGTTGAGCAAAAGAAGTCACACATAAAAGAATGTATGCCTTTAATTGTATTTATATGAAATTCTAGAACCAGCAAAACTTATGATGGTGATAGAAATTGGATCATTGGTTGGCTGTGGGACACAGATTAACTCTGAAGGAGTGCATGTGACTTTCTGAAGAGATAAAAATGTTCTATGTTGGAGTAGCAGTTAGACAGCTGTATATATTTGTCAAGACTCATCAAATTGTATACTTAAAATCTGTGCATTTCATTGGTATAAATTATACTTCAATAAAGTTGATTTAATAAATTCTCCTCCCATTGGGACAGCCTAGAGCAAGAATATAACTGCCAAAGAAAAGACAGATGCAAATGAGTCATGCTGAAAAAGCATACAGCCCCAGCAGCCTCAGCCAGCCCCTTCCAGCAAGCAGCTAGCATCCTGCAGGGCATATTAGAACAGGGCAACATCTTTCAAAGAAATAAAGTGACTGAAAACTCATGGTGTTAGAGGATATACTTTGAGCAATAGAGTAAGTGCAAAGGCAACATCTCAACCCTCAGTCACAAGGGCCCTGAGAAACAAAGTGGGTATTTCACAGAGGCAGTGTGGATGGCTGATGATGGATTAGGGGCATACAGGTGTCTCCATTGTTCTGGGGAAAAAGAAGAGTCCAGCAAGACCAAACTATTCCTTTAGCTACAAAAGTTGAGAATTTTGTTGTTGTTGTTGTTGGTGGTGGTGGTGGTGTGTGACATGTGTGTGAATGTGTGCATGTGCATTTTAACCAACTTCTTAGGATGGAAAATCTGGAGTCAGAAATTAGAATCACGCAGAGCCTTCATAGCCAGTTAACCTGCGTCTAGTTTTCCTTCAAGAGTTCAGGTTCAGACATTCTCCTGGTATCTCTATGATGTCTTTAGTCAAGAGCAAACATGTAGATACAGCATTTGGGTGGACCCTATGAGGCTTATTAAATCAAAATTCTGAAAGTCAGAATTGCTAAAATCAAATTAACTGCTACAGATGTTATCTTCATAAGGTTTCTTTCTGGGTGGAATACAAAATATTAAGCAAAATTCTGGGATCTTTTCTGTTTCTTCTGTGGTTTCAAACTCAGGACAGTTATATTTTTGAACCACATTAGCTGAGTATCAGACCTTGTGAAAATACAGGCATTATCCCCATGAACAGGGAAAAGCTTTGGCAAGCTTTCTTAATGTGAAGATGCTATAACGTTCTTTAATCAGCCTTGAGAATTGCAAATACAACCTAGAGATGGAACCAGGACTTACCTTCCTCAGAAAGATCAAAGGAATCCAGCATTTGTAGCTGAAACTGCAAACAACTAATAGTCATCATACAATTCCATTTGACTGTAATTAATATTTATTACTTTTACTGCTTCATGACTTTTCCTCAGGCTTGTTTTAATCCTTTCAGCAAACTTCCCTTTATTCTCCTCCATCAAACAATTTTCAAGTTCCTGCCCCAGCTTACATAGAGAGAATGACACTTCAGTGGCCCACCCACTTAAGAATAAGCCTCAAGAACAAAATATATGCTGGCAAGAAGCCATACATCCAAGTAAGCATCCTGGCACACATGATATAACAAGCCTAGAGGGGAGATAGGCTGGAGCTGAGCTTGAAGGCTAAAAAAGCTGATGGAGAAGTCAAGTAGGATCTTCCTGAATGGGGGACTGGGGAAGGAGTTAGCTAAGAAAAGCAATGGAGCTAGGGTTGAGGGTGTTCACTAGCCATAGACAATTGCTTGCTTGGCATAATTTGACAAGTCTCATCTAACACCAGTCATTCCTATTGTCCTTCCCTGCTGCATAAAGATATCATTATTCATTTGAATCATGTCTAGGCTAAGGATCCAGGATCTTGGGAGGAAATTACACAGTCCATATTCATTTACTAGATCAAGATTAGCAACTGTCGTCATCCCTCAAAAAAAGGAGGAGGGAGAGGGTCAGGAAAAATAACTAATGGGTACTAGGCTTAATACCTGGGTGATGAAACAACCTGTCCAACAAACCTCCACGACACAAGTTTACCTATATAACAAACCTGCACGTGTAGCCTGAACTTAAAATAAAAGTTTAAAATAAAAAAGAATAAAAGACTGCTTCAAAACAACAAATAAACAAAAGTAAGTCTGGGTCAAGGATGAGTCAGTATTGATAATGGGAAAGGGAAGAAGTGTTTAAGCCCAGCTTAGAGGGTTATCGGTGTGAGAGTCCTAGACAGGGAAAGCCAGGCCATGCCCAGACTACACGTCTCTATTATTCTTCCCCATGGTGGACTTATTTATATGAATGTCTTGCCACTGAGTTACAATCTCCTCTCCAACCCCAACCTCCAGGTCCTGTTTCTATTCAACTATGTAATGTTTGATGAATTGTTGGCAGCAGAAACAGTGCAACATGTGTATGCAAAGACTAGGAAATGAAGAACTTCCATTTCTGGCCATGACAGAGTAGCTGGAAGCTGATATATTTTCCCATCATAAATTACTAGAAAACTAAATAGAATATATAAAACTGCTTTCAGGCATTGGACAACAGGTAGCATTAAGAACATAGTCCCTGAGAGAAGATAAATAACAAGGTGAGCCCCACAACCACTCCAGATTTCTGCCTGGAGGCACCTTCCAGACCTCAGTGCCCAAAGCGATGCCAAGGAGAACACAGCAGTCTTTGTGAATTGACAAGACAGGGATCATAGTTTAGAGAGACTGAGGCAGCTTTGTGAGGTAGTATACTGGAGAGGAAAAAAACGTACAAAGAAAAAGCTCCAGAAATCTGCATGGGTGTCTCTATGGGTCTCTGACTGAAAACTGAGCTGTGTATTTTCAGAGTAAAACTCCATAGAACTGGTCAAAGAACTGCTACCTGTAAGCTGTGAGCTGAGCAATTCCCAGAGCTCACGCAGGGATGCAAGATAGTTTAGCTCCAACCAGCCAGAGTAGAGAGACCTGGTTAAAATCCCAGAGCATTTAGTAGAGACTTCATGAGGGCCATGCCATTGTACTAGCCCTACAGACTACTTTAGGACCACTCTAATAAAGCTTAAAAACAAACCTCAAAAACAAAACAAAACAAAAACAATTTGATGCTCAAATAACAACTTTCTGCCAGAGCAAAGTCTAACTCTCTTTAAAGGATGACAACAAAATCCAAATACTCAACAAAGTAAAATTTACAGTGTTCAGCACCCAGATAAAAATTACTGTACAGGCCAAGAAACAAGAAATGATAGTCTATACAACCAGGAGAAAAATTAGGCTATAGAAACAGAGACTCAAAACCAAAATCCTTAGGTATATTTTTGTCTCTTTTTCAAATTCTTCTTCTCAATTAGCAATTGATTTTACCCCTGTCAAACTCTATAAATATGAAGTCACTCATGTTTATTTCTCACTTAATGTGCTTAACAGCTAATTAACAAGATGTTTACAGAAAGTCCTTAGAGACCAGTAGACGGTCTCTGCCTTGGAAAAACCAAAGGCTGGGCTTGCTTGGATGAGAGGAGAAAAGCTTCTCACCCATGACACATGAAAATAACTAATACTTGATGAATTCCTCCCAGGGACTTAAGGTGCCCATCTCCTTTCCAGCCCGTATGAACTTTTTGAAAGTGTATCTCATCCTCACTTCCCCAACCCACACCTATAGTGATTTCAAAGTAAAAAAGTAAGAAAACCAAATAGCAAATATTGACAAGCTCCCAGAAGAAAGTAGAGAAATGCAAAATTGAGACTCTTACTTGGATCATGCCTTGGTTTTCTCTAGTATGCCTGGGGAGTTATGCCAAATTATTTCCTTGGCTTTAATAAGCACATTAAAAAGTGACCCAACATTCTATAACTATGATTTTATAAATAGCTACCTAGGACAACCTGAAGAAAGTGGCCGTCACCATGTCCATAGAATATATTGCCCCAAGAACAGGTGGAAGGAGAAAATGTTTTCCATCAGAACCTTTAAACAGTAGCTTAGATTTTGCTTAGCTTCCTAATAAATGTGATTAATGCAAATGTAAGCCTTTATTTTAAATGTAATCATCTCTGCCCCTGCACACAAGGCTCTTTACATGGAGAGTTAGGTGCCAAAGCAACTCTAACCATAAGAAGGAAGCTTGTTCATTCTCAGAATATGCTGAAGCTCACTGAATTGCAGAACTATACAATAGCTCCAAATGTTATTATGCCCATATGTCCAGGAGTTTAAGTGGCTTCTGCAGTGCCTCTTACTCATGTCATTGTGTGGGTGGCAGTGTTCTGGCCAACAATGACCATGGGATTGAGCATCTTGTATAATCATCTTACTAGGTTCTGAGAGTTATCCAGAACTGACAGCACAGGGCTGCTTACAGATGCTAATTAGAAGGGCAGCTCAAGTTATTTCCTAGATAATGAGGGGAAGTGTTTGTGATTTAACTTCTACCTACTATTGTTCCCTGTGGAGTTTTTGGAGGGAAGTAATTGCCTCATTGCTGCAAAGTGTTAACTTGGTTTGTGCTTTGTTCTTGCTGCCATAGCTTTTTCCTCCTCTGAACTCTGCATGAGTCTAAGGGTTATTTGTTCCCAGTGGCTTCAGATTCTTCCAGGTATTCTATTAAGATGACTGCTTAATTTCCAAGAGTCGAATGTGAAACATAGAATCTCAGTAGTTAGTCTAACATTTTCCTCAATGTTTAAATTCCCTTGTCAACGTACCCTATATGTGTTTGGTCTCTGCTGGAAAGTCTCCAGACAAGAAACTCACTACTCACTGGCAAGCCCATTTCTCTATTAAGAAAGTTCTTAAAACTGAACCAAAGTCTCTTTCCTACTCATTGGTTCTAATCCTTCCTCTGCCATGCAAGAAATAAGCCTACTCAGTTTCGTATATCATAGCTCTTGATGTGTTATACTCTGCTCAAACCCAGCAGCCACTCCCAACGACCTGTCAAATCCCGAGTGTCCTTTTCTCTAGCCAACGATGCTGCAATAGAATTCTGACTCTCTGGGTTTCTTTTTCTTTTTTGCTCTCATTATTTCTCTGATTAAGAGAAATTTTCCTCCATTCTTCCTTCCTTCCTCTTATTTTCTTCTTTCCTTCCTCCCGCCTCCCTTTCCCTATCTCTCTCTTCCTGTTACAAAACATATACAATTTAAAAACATTGTTCAGAAACACCATCACATGCCTCCACAAGTCTCTGCAGTCTCTTTGGTAGTACTAGACCCAGATCTGGTCCTCATAAGCATTGCTTTCTTGCTCCATAAAAAGAAAATCTCAGGTCCTATTTGTCTGTGAAATCATGGTAAAAAGTTATCTTTGGGGTCTTATTTTTCCCAGAATGCCAATACTGGTCTACTGAACCTAGACCTCATCTTTCCATTTCGTGACACAACTGCTTTCTTCTGAGCACAAAATGGAGCTGAGAGTCAAGACAATTACGCGATTACATTCAGATGACAAACTTTTTGGTCTTAGCATTTGATAGAAGAAAAAATATTTTATTAACATAAAACTTGCTGATGGGTATCCAAAGCCTCCACTTCATCACACACAGTGCAGACATGGCCTTTGAGTGCACACCAAGCTTAGTAACCTCCTTGCTCACTAAACTGTGGTGCTTCTCTTTTCACAAACATAAGCTGGGATCTTAGCAATTCCCCATCTGTCCACAGGTGAATATGTTATTTGAGAGAGGAGGCAGCTGCTACAACTCTTCATGGAAAACCAACATTGTAATTGCAAAAATAATTTGCAAATGATATTTCATGTGTTGCATTATTGCTTGTGATACTGATGGTTTATTAACCTACTTTCTTCTTATTTCTATGGGAAAACACAAAGACCTCATTTTTCCCTCAGATCACGTCAAAGTTAGGATGGATTTAAATGTACATTTATTTATTTATATACAGATATTCAGATAAGTTGGACAGCCACATCCCTACATTTTCTAAAATGACATAATGGGCATCAATAACAGGGTAAAATTGTGGCTCTGAGCCATCAGACAGAAACTGACGTTGCAGCCCAGCTGTGTGTACACAAACACTCAGGCTGATGAAGGAAGGCCACGGAATTCAAACCAGCACATCTTGCTGCTTTGCATTCAGCCTGCATCACCCGGGACAGAAAAACAGTGTGCTAATGAGAGAAAAAGTTGAACAACATAGAGTTCCTCTTTACAGGTTCCTAACATTATCTGGACAAACTGAGTGTTAGAGCTGGCCCGAGGGCTGATGGTGAGCAAGGGAACCGTCCAGGAGCAAATGAAACTGTCACGAAGGAAATGCCAGGCTCAGATAGACCCCACTCAGGAGGAAGGAAACCAGTGAGAAGGGAGGAAGGGGACCCCATCTCTGTTTCAGGACTTGGACTCATGGTTACTGTCCCTTGCTAAGAGCAATGTCCATTCTGTTCAGTCACGTGGGATGCAAACTCTAAACAAACCTTGATGAAGAGGAAAAGAGAATGCATTGGCTCAAGTACCTGAAAAGCCCAGGGCAGGGCTGGTTTCGGGCTTGGCTGGATTCAGAACCCAAGTGATTTCAGGAGTTCACTCCCTCCATGTTTTGCCTCTGATTCCTCTGCCTGGGATCCACCCAGAAGCACCTTCTGCAGTAAGATTGCTGGAGCTGTCCAGGTTCCCCATTCCATCCTCACAGCAACTCTAGCCAAAAGAGAGTTTCTCTTTTTCAGTGGTTTCCATTGAAACCATAGAACTGAGTCTCAGTAGCTCTGATTGGTCAGCTGTGGGCCACATGTTCATCCCTTAACCAATCACTATGGTCAGAGAGATATGGTATTCTCATTGGCCAGGCAGGGTCACATGCTCATCTCTGAAGCTGAGGTGGGGTCAGCCCCACATTGATCACTTGAACAGGGGAAGACTGAATCGTTATCAAAGAAGAGTTGAATTCTATCAAGGGGCCAGGAGTGTAGGACAGCAAACAAAAACAGGTAACCACCTCAGGTTAAAAAACTGCCTGAAGGGAGGGGTCACGGTTTACAGATGGCAAGGAAATCCTAGATACAATGCTAAATAGTGGCTTCATTAGTCATCATCCCACTTGTATCCATGCAGGCTAACAGATTCTGTCATGGATTAGGGCTCTGCTCTTACCAGCCATCATTCTGACCATGCCCACTGTTGAGGACTATGGCTCCCAAGTTGGTCTTGCCATGAGATTTTAAAAGCATGAAATTATCAAGGACAATTAGAATGAATTTGTCTTCATCATCAGCCAGTCAGAAGTTTTGAGAACTAATAATGCTTAAAATCTATAGTGATCGCCTTTAATTATTCTTTCAGCCTGTAAGTTTTCACGTTTTCTTGGCTGACTTTTAATAATGAAACCTGCTGACTTTTAATAGTGAAACCACTGTTCTGACTCATTATTTATATCAGGTGTGTTTCCAATGTGAACTTATAAAGTGGTAGACATTTCTTGGTTATTTTATGTTTTGTTAAAAGTATCAGGGATCATTATGTCTAAGTTTGTTAATTACGTTGATACTTCTCCCAAGGGTTCCATTACTCTCAATGTCAGACAACTGGGAGAAGTTGTTCTGAAAGTCATAGACAGCAGACAAGAGCCTTTTAACTGATGTATTCATTTCTTTAAGAGGCCATGAACTGGCAGTGTCTTCTCTCTGGAATCTCTGTTAGTCATTCCTACTGACTCATAGCAATTCGCTCTCTGAGCAGAAGTTCCCATGAGAGAAGACCCCACTAGATGGTGATGTCAACTGATGGAAGAATTTTGGATGATGTTTACAAAGCAAGGAGGTCTTGTGAGTCTCACCAGCAGGCCAGTGTCAAGTGGAAGAGGCCAGGCCTGGCTGTTGGCCATAGGCTTGGCTGGAATTGGCAAAGGTGCCATTTTAACTTCCACACCCTGCTCATGGCTACCCACTCTACTCCTAACCAAGCTATTTATACCACAAATGCCTGACTACAGATATGGGGACATAAGTGAATGAGAGAGAAAAAGAACGAGAATGGGAAGCATTTTCCCACTTGTGCCATTACAACTGGTCAGGTCCCCAAGCATTCACTTGTTGTCTTCTCTGAGTCTGACAGCCACTCTATGAGTTAGATAGGGCAGGTATTGCTGCCATTTTACAGATGAGGCTTGTCCAGGATCACACAGCCATCTTGGATCCACTACCCAGTAGAGCCTGTGGAATCCATCTCAAAGGGATTAAAAGGATTGAAAATCTGCCCTGCAGATACTGATCAGTCAAGACTTTCTGCATGTTCAGGACAGCTACTGTTCTTTCCTCTCACTATTTCAAATAGCTCAGTCTCAAACTCTAGGCTGATTTGAAGCCCTTGCCTCTTCTCTCTCCCAAAGAGTCAAAAGATATAGTAGCCAGGGAGCCCTTGAACATGCTCCTCCCAACAGCAGCCCGGAGTTCATGCAAGTGAAAGGCTTTGTGAAGACATCAGCCACCCTCTAGCAGATTATTTTATAAATCAGATAAGCCAATTTTTTTGTTTCAATGTCTTCACTTTTTTCTTCTCTTGTTTATTTGTCCAGTTAGTCACTCTCTCGGAGGTAAATTGCATTCCCTCCTGGGGCCACTAGTGTCCCAAAGGAAGAAGAGTTTGTGAACTGTGCTAATAATGCTACGGTATACCTAACCCAAACCCTGCCCTACGTGCTCTTTGCCACATGACTCAGATCATTGGTTGGTCTTCTGTGAGCCCTAGATCTTTCTTTTTAAAGTGTTAAGCCACTGTATTTTCAGTCCAATTTCTAATCATGGCTTTTACCCATTGTTAGTCAAAAGTAGAGAAGAGTATAAGGCCTTATGAGAAACCCGTGTCCATGGTGTTTAGAGAAGTATAGAACTTCAGAAGTCATCCAGTTCAAAGCTTTACGGTGGGTAATCACTAACAATTTCCTTCTCCAAGATTAGTCAGTAAGTAATAGTGAAAATAAGAGCCAGCTTCTCAGGTACTTGCCAGGGGCCAAGCACTTTTTCTAGATATTTTAAATGAATTGATTCATTTCATTTTCATAGTAACTTCCTCATTATCACCATGTTACAGATGAACAAACTGAAGGTAAGAGAATCTAGGTAACTCACCCAAAGCCACATAGTACAGCTGGGATGTAAATCTGTGGGTATGAACCTGTGTTTGAGCTATGATTTGCATAATTCTGGAGCTATTACTCTCACCCACTCAGCTATACTTTTTCAACCAAAAGAAGAGATTAAGCTTATGTATTTCTGTGTGTGTGTGTGTGTGTGTGTGTGTGTGTGTGTGTGTGTGTATAAAAGCATGTATAATAGGCCCTCCCTGCCTCCTTGCCCAGCTGAGGGCCTGGGGGAGGGAGAGACCCAGAGCACAGGACAGCAAAGCTTCTCATTCTTTTTGATTCTCTTTCAGCAGCAAAGATAGAACCTGAATTAATATCTCAATAAATGATCCTTCCCTCCATGGACCAGCCAACGAGCACTCAGCGCTATTCACTCATCTTTTAGCTGGTGTAGGGGACAAGGAGATATGAGTGTGAAGATAATTGTAAAAATTTCAAAGGTTTTTGTTTCTTACTGAAATGACAAAGCTTGAGAGGTTCCTCCCTCCAGTCTCAGGATAATGAGACAGCATTTGCACACTTAAAGAGATTTTTCTCTCTTCTGAATGCTATTGTGTTCCACAAAAAAGCTCTGCTCTCAGTGTAGGGGAGGCTGATGAAGTTTTACTGTAGCCAAACAGGCAGCCTGATAATATGACAGGACGACAGAGAGAGACAACAGTGACAGACAAACAGAGAGGCAGAGAGGTGCTGGTAGAAGAATGAGCAGAGAAGTCAGAAACACACTGTGATGTATAGAGACAGAGAAAAGACACCCCAAGGACATAGAGACCAAGGCAAAACCACAAAAGAGAACATAGCCAGAGTTAGAATGCACCAGTGCCCAGCTGTACATTAAATATGCTATCATTCCCCAAACTTAACTCATTTCAAATTAAAGAATAGCTATACTACTTAGGCCCCTTGGGGAAAAAAAAATTAATTGAGTGGGCTATCATATTGCAAACCTGCTTCCAGGTAGGTATCTGGCCACTCAAAGCAGTAATATATTTACTATCTGTTGCCCACCCTCCATCCCCAAACACCCCTCTGCATGCATTTGGTCTCTCAGAACCTGTCTGGTGTTGGTTTAAAAGCTGCCATGGCCTCTTTTTTTCTGGCCATTCTGGCAAATGTCTCTTAGTTTGCAAGTGTGTTTTAATCAATGGGCCTACAGCTCCAAGTGTGCAACTGACAGCTTCTTGAAAGATCTTTGCAAATCACATTGGAGTAAATAATCATATGAGAATGGATTGGGGTGTCTGCTTTATAAATGAGTATGATAGCCAATACTTAGGTTAAAAAAAATAAAGAAGGTTTTTGTTTGGTTTGTTGGTTTGCTTTGTTTACTGGAAAAATGTCATTCAAGGTATCTGGGTTTGGTTGATTTGTTGTTGTTGTTTTTGCTTCTCTCCCCACAGCCCAAATGAGACAGCTTTGAACTTCCTGAAACACTTTTAGAAGAACAAGTCTTCTGTATCCTATAAGAAGGAAAAGACAGTAGAATTTGTTTCCAGATTTTATCTAACATAAGAAGGCCCTCAGGGAACTGTAGCATAATTGGAATGATGCGGCCCCAGGTATCAAGAGTTCTCTCTTTTAGCCATCAACTTGGGTAAGGAGCCTAAACTTGGCAAGCCAACCTTATAGGGATAATGGCAACAACAAAATAACATGATGTACCCATTCATTAATGCGGAAATATTAATATATTGAAGGCCCCCTCTGGGGACAGGGCTATGAATGAGACAGAGGGGATCCCTGCTCCCAAGAAGCCTGCACTCTAGAGAGGGCAGAAAGGAAATATATATATATGTATTAGTACAGTAGGGCTGCCGTAACAAAGTGCCAAAAACTAGGTGGCTTAAACAACAGAAAAGTACTGTCTTGCCATTCTGGAGCTGGAAGTTCAAGATCAAGGTGTTAGCAGGGTTGGTTCCTTCTGAGGGCTGTGAGGAGAATGAATCTGTCCCAGGTCTCACTCCTTGGCTTGTAGATGGCTGTCTTCACATCGCCATGCTTCTGTGCAGATCTGTGTCTAAACCTCCTCTTCTGAATAATGATGCCAGTCATGTTGGGTGAGGGCCTGCCCTAATGACCTCATGTTCACTTGATTACCTCTGTAAAGGCCTTGTCTCCAAATAAGGTCGCATTCTGAGGTACTGAAGGTTAGGACTTCAACATACAAATTTTTGGGACAGGGACAATTTGACCCATAAGAATATATGAATAATATAACTGTGACATGAAGGAACTTAGGAAAATACAATAAAAACTAATTGTGTGTGTTGGGGGAGGGGGGAGCCGTCACAGTGACGGCAGGGCTCAGGAGGTGGCATTGAGGCTGAGGCCTGAAGGAGGAGAAAGAACTAGGTGAGGGAGAGCCATCCAGGCAGAGGCACAGCAGCATGGTCAGAAACCGCTCAGCTGGTTTTGAAACCGTTCCCCAAAAAACTTTATAAAACTGATTAAAGGAAAAAAGAAAAAATTCAACTAGACTAGCAACACAATCAGCAGAAATCACTAAGCCAGCTTGCCCTTTGGCCCACTTCCTTGTAGCCGGTCGCTGCTCACAACCCCAGAATAAGGTAGCCCTCCTCACAAGGCTCTTTGTTCTACGGATAAAATCTAAGCGTTTCCCCTTTAGATTCTGCAAACTGACAAAACTATCCATCCCCCTCCTCTGAAGGGCCCACTAAGCAGCTGACTCCTGGAAGACACAGTTTCCACATCCTGATAATTTCACTCCTTTACCGGACCAATCGATGACCCCGTATTTACCCCGTATTTTCCAGCCCCTCATCCTCCACAATCCCCTTAAAAACTCTTGCCCAGAACTCCTCAGCAAACAGATTTGAAGCTGGGAATTCCTCCCGTTTTCTTGTTCAGCGGCCTTGCAATTATTAAACTCTTTCTCTGCCGCAAACCCTGCTGTCTGAGTATTGGCCTATTGCTGCACAGTGGGCTGGTGAACCCGGCAGTTTAGCAACAGTTTGATGTGCAAAAGAGAGAGAGTCCAGATGAAAATATACAGTGATGTGGATGGATGAATCTTAAATGAGAAAAAAATCCAAACCCAAGGACAACATCTTGTATGATTGTATTTATATGACATCCTAGAAAAGGCAAAAATCAGACAGCAGAAAGCAGACCTAGGGCTGCCTGGGGCCAGGGATGAAGAGCAAAGAAGCAAAAGCAGCTTTGAGGATGAGGGAAGTGCCTTCTATCTTGGTGGTTACACAGTTATGTATTAGTCAGCGTTCTTTAGAGGGACAGAAGCTGAGGGGCAAGGAAAACCAATCCAAGTCCCAAAACTGAAGAACCTGGAGTCTGATGTTCGAGGGCAGGAGGCACCCAGCACAGGAGAAAGATGCAGGCTGGGAGGCTAGGCCAGTCTTGCCTTTTCATGTTTTTCTGCCTGCTTTATATTTGCTGGCAGCTGATTAGATGCTGCCCACCCAGATTAAGGGTGGGTCTGCCTTTCCCAGCCAACTGACTCAAATGTTAAACTCCTTTGGCAACACCCTCATAGACACGCCCAGGATCAATACTTTGCATCCTTCAATCCAATCAAGTTGGCACTCAGTATTAACCATCGCATATGTCATCCTAGAAAAGGCAAAAATCAGACAGCAGAAAACAGATCTAGGGCTGCCTGGGTCCAGGGATGGAGAGCAAAGGAGCAAAAGGCAGCTTTGAGGATGAGGGAACTGCCTTCGGTCTTGGTGGTTACATAGTTATTATGTACAAGGATCACAATTCAAACACCGTACACTTAAAACAAGTGAAAACTGTTCTCTGAAAACAGTGCCTTAATAAAAAAGGAACACACACATACACACTTGGGCTGCAGTGGAAAATGGATTTGGGGGAAGTGAATGTGGCACTGATGGGTGGGAGACATCCCAGCAGCTCAGGTGAGCAGGGGTGACAACAGGGGTGGACTACGGTGGCCACAGTGAGCTGGGGGGTGTGGTTAGGTGTGGAGTCCACTTTGAAGGTAGGAGCCAGAGGGGTTGCTGATGGATTAGAAGAAGAGAATCAAGAAAAGGACCAATCAAGGCAGGTCCCTAGGGTTGAGGTTTAAGCAGGTGAGTTGATAGTGGTCCCAGAATGCACAATACACTGTGAAATACCAACCAAACATAAAGAAATGTCATCATTTCCCGAGATCCCTCTTTCCAGGATAGAGCATACCCCAAGAACAGCCTGGTAAAACTGTCTCTTCTACATTGTGTCCAGCAGGCAGAACAGAGGGCAGAAGCTCCCACACCAGGTGAGCCTGAGATCCATGTGGGTGAGTGCTCATTACAGAGTCCCAGTTCTGATCCCCAGAGTCTAACTCAGTAGCTCTGGGGTGGTATCTGGGTCTCGATAATCCCATGAATGAGGACACCATGGCACCTGTGCGCGAGCAACCTGAGAACTCAACTTTGAGAACACAGCCTCTGGAAGAAAGGGAATAACACGCCCCTGCCACCCGCCACACACAGCCCACAGTTGGCCCTGGGTCAGACACAGGTTATGTCTTAACCTTGTATAGAGAAAAAACCTTAGACAAATTCAATTTAACAGAGTTTAACCGAGCAAAGAATGATTTGTGAATCAGGCAGCCCCAAGAATCACAGCAGATGCACAGACGCTCTAACGCAGCCACGTGATGGTAGAAGACTTATGGACAAAAATACGAAAGTGACGTCCAGAAAAGGGAAGTGGGGTACAGAAACAGCCGATTAGTTACAGCTCTCGGTGTTTGCCTTATTTGAACGTGGTTTGAACAGTTGGCTGCCTGTGATTGGCTGAACTCTGATTGGCAAAAGAGCAGGTGATAGTCTGCTTACGCATTCAGTTAGGTTACAGTTCACTATGCATGTAGAAACTTTTAGGCTGAACTTAAAATATGTATGGAGGCAGCTTTAGGCTAAATGTAATTTAACAACCTGAAGCCACTGGGTGGGGATGCTTTGGATCCTGATGCCACTTGGCAGCGGCCTAGTTTGCTGAGTCACTTCCCCCAACTAGCAGCTCAGGTCACTGCTGAGGACACAGGCTCACCTATCCATCAAGAGATGGGCTCCCACCCAAGGGGGCCACCAGGGGGTGGTCCTGAGCTGAGGCTGCAGCCAAGCCCTCCCAGTCCAGCCTATACTTCAGGCTCCCAGAAAATCCCACTCTAGGCTGGGAGTGTGCAGAGGTTGGAAATGGGGTTGGGGAGTCCAGGCTGGCAGGGTGGTCAGGAGAGTGAAGTGGACCCCTCAGGGTGCCCCGAGGCAGGATCTCAGCCTCTTCCTTGGGGGACTGCTGAGATGGCAGTTGTGCTGGGGTTGGGAGGGAGTGCCACCTCTGTGGGCACCAGCACAGAGCAGGGGGAGAAGGGAGCTGGCTGCACAGCAGGCTCACAGAGGAAACGCATGCTGCAAGTCCCGGACTGCAGAAACTCTCATCATCCAGAGTCCCTAAGTCCTTCCATCCTCTCTGTTTCCTGAAATTCAGGGGTTCTGGGCAGAGGAAGCAGAAGCAAGCCGGCCTTCAGTCTCCATCTCTGAGTGCCCTCCTGAGCCTTCACCTATGGCAGCTGCCTCCCCCTCTTCCCAGAGCCGGCCTCGGGCTGGCCTCAGGCTTCTGCAGCATCCTAGGGCTTCCCTCTGCCCCCATGGATCCCACATTCACTGGCCACCTGTGCACCTCGATGTCCACTAGGGCCCAGCACCTATGCTCCCACCTGCTCCCACCTCCCCACAAGGTTGGTGACCTGGAGGCTGGGAGGCCCATAGACAGGGTGCTCAGCTGCAGCCTAGAAAGCTCTCAGCTGGCTCTCCTGACCCCCAGCTTAGATCTTCAGCTTGGGCTGCTGCTCTCCCAGCTCCCACTTCTCCCCAAATCTCCATCCCCCTTGTGACTTTCCAGGTTCAAGCTTCCCGTTTACGTTCCCAGTTCCATTCTGCCTGCACATGCCTGTCCTTGGAACATGTTTCTGGAACAATAATCTAGTAATGAGATTCCAACAGACTACAAAACATGAAGAAGGAGACACAAGGAAGGAACAAGGCTCTTTTCTGTTTCTTAATGTTCATTTATTCAACAAATACTAATTGAGCCTCTATTGTGTGCCAGGTTCCATTCTAATGCTGGAGACACAGACAACACAAAACAGATGTCCCCTACTCAAGGGGCACATGGCACACAGGGAATAGATGCCTCATTACATCTGTTTAAGAAACAACATAGCCACTGCAGAGATTCACAGCAGGCTGAACACGTGTTTATCTCCACTCCTCTTGCATCCACTAAAATGATAGTAAAGTTGTAGACCACCCATAAGGACAAAGGAAATCGGAGACGGTAGAAGAGAGATTGATTTCAGCAATGTTTTGAAGATAAAAATCTAGATGGACAACAACTTCAGCCATCTTTCTCTGCTCTGACAAGGGCCTGCACGGGGAGCACGCAGCTTTGGGCTGCAGAAGTCCATCTGGAAAGGCTTGGAAACTGACCACCCCAGGCAGGAAGAACAACCAAATTCACTGCAGGCCAGAACTGTGTGTGGTATTAAATGCGCAGGCTCTGCAGAGAGATTGCAGGATTCAAATTCCGGTCGTCTGCTCACTGGCTGTGTGATATAGGTCAAGGTTCTAAACCTCTCTGTCCCTCTTTGTCCTCATCTGTACACAAGGGGCAGCAAAAGTGCCTTTCTCACAGTGCTGTTCTAAGTGCGCCTGAGAACCCGCTGCAAGCACTCGGTGTAGCCCCGGACACAGAGTGAGCACTCAGTAAGGGGCAGCTATTAGCATAGCTATTTCTTCTCTCTCAGCTCAGAGCGTCTCCCAGAGCAGCCAGTCCTCACACCCTGCCCCCAGAATGGAAGAACAGGTGGAAGCTAATACCATCACTGCACAGTATCGTTGGGAAGTTGTATGGCATCCCTTTGTTTGAGTTAATAAAGCTCTTTCCCTCCTTTAGATTAAAAAAAGAAAGAAATGGAATGAACAGCGCTCTGCCTGGCTTCTCCTCCACATCTCTGAGGCGGGTTTCCCCATAGACCTGCAAATCACTCAGCCTCATGCGACCATCATGCCAGGAGGGGCATGAGGTGGCAGCAGTCCAGCCTCTGCATGTCACTGCACAAAGTTGACTCCACAGAGGGGAGTGACACCCACAAGGCCACACGCTGGTGACTTTTGGGGATGGGAATGCAGAGCCCTGAGGCCTCACCTGCAGTCTCCCTGTCCCTCGACGTTGCTTCCCATGTGAAACTGGCCACAATTCAAGGAGACAGGCAGAGCAAAGGGGGTTTTATAACACGTGAGCCTCAGGCCCTATTTTGTCCCAAACCACACTTGTGTCTCCCACTCCTACCCCTCCCCCTCTTGTCACATGGCTCCTTGTCTCGTGGCACCAGGCTCTCCAGAACCCCAGTGTCGGAAGGTGTCCCTCTGAGCATGGAAGATTTTCCACCACGATGGAGCAGCCGGATTCTCAATGGCCAGAGGTGCAGGGAGAGCAGTCAGGCTTGTCCTGAGGAGCAGTGACAAGGCAGATGGCACCACCTTGTGAGAGAGGAGAGCAGCAGGATGCCCCAGTCACAGCGGCATGCAGGTGGCCCCAGCCAGATGGCTTTTCCCAAGTCCAGATTTTCAGGCTGATCTGGACACTCAAGATTCCCAGCTTCTGTGCTGAGGAGTCCTGGCCTGCTCCTGAGCTGGTGAGACCCCAGTTCCCCTGAGAGCCTGCTTCCCAGCTGCTGTCTGGTTTAGGGCCCACAGTTGACCCCTCTGGGAGTCTGTTTGGCAACTCAGAGGATGCTCTGAGCACCTGGGGGAAGAAAGTACTTGCTGGCCTCACCCCTGGGACTCTCCAGGCCATCTGTGCTTTCTCTGCTCCTCCTGGAATCTGAGGGGTTCTGGTCCCAGGAGCTCAGCCTGTCCTCCTGACATTGACACAGGAGACAGCAAAGCTACACCACAGATATACCACAATACAAGCTTCCGCAGAGCCAAAGAAGCAATGGCTCTGCTATTACATAGGCCTCGATGCTGTTGTCTTGCTCTCACAAGCTGTGTGACCTTGGGGAGGTGGCTTGCCTTCTCTGATCCCCAGTTCATCTGTAAAGTGGTGGAAATTGGATGAACGAACCCATTGCACAGAATATCCAGTGCTACTCAAAATCCTGGCACTGAGTTCTTAGGAAGAAGCCTCTGGACAAGGAAGGCCAGGGAGTGTAGAATTCATCTATCAAATATTTTAAACAAAATGGTCAGCATGTGAGAGAGGCTCAAGACACGACTCTTCTGGGAAATGCATTCATGTAGAACAGCCCGTGCCTCACAACACAGTGACAGCTCACATTGACCAATCACAAGAGCTAACATTTATTGAGCACTTACCGTGTACCAAGCCCTGTACTAAGCACTTTCTATACATGCTTTCTTCATTTAATCCTCACAAAAAAACCCATCTTACACATGAGGACACTGAATCTTTGAAAGGTTCGTAATTTGCTCAAGAAAGTATCTGAGCTGGATTTGATCCCAAGCATGGCTGAGTTTGCTCTTGTCCATTATGAGGGTGGAAAATCACTCTATTTTGATGATATTCATCAGATCAACCCCAAAAGGCAGCCCCTGCTTTGCCTTGGGGGTTCACCCTCAAGTTATCAGCAGTGAGTGTGACTTCAAAGATCATTCTTTTCTATTTGTTTTTAGAGACAGGGTCCCTCTCTGTCGCCTAGGGCTCAAGTGTGGTGACATGATCATAGCTCACTGCAGCCTCAAGCTTCTGATCTCAAGTGATCCTCAGAGGTAGCTGGGATTACAGGTGTGCACCACCATGCTCAGCTATTTTTTTTTTAAATTTGTTGTAGAGATGGGGCCTCACTATGTTGTCCAGGCTGGTCTTGAACTCCTGGCCTCAAGTGATCCTCGTGCCTCCACCTCCTAAAGTGCTAGGATTACAATGTGAACCACTGTGCCAGGAAGGGATCTTTCTAGAGCTCCAGGGTGTAGATATGGGGCTGACTGGGAGTCCAGGATAACCAGCTGAAGATTGGAATGTTCTGCAAAGTCTGCTTCAGTCAATGGCAAGTCCAAGTGAAACACAGTTTATATGATCCAGGGAGAGCTATATAAACTACCCACCTTTAGACAATCTCTATTGTGTGTGTGTCTGCATGTGTGTACACACATGTGTGCACATGCGTGCAAGGAGGTATCTGACTCCTCTTTTTAAGGAAGGCTGGGTCCATCATTTCCTGAAACTCCCCTTTCACTGAAGCTCTCTTTGCATACACACTATCCTTGCTGGCTCCTGGAATACAGGTATGAGCACTTTTTGTGCAATTGGTTTCCATGTGAACGAAAACATTCTGCAATCCCTAAGAGGCTCACAAGCCTCTGGGTCTTTTCATGGGTTTTTCTAATTTCACACTTTTCTCCAATAATTCAAGTATCCATCAGCTTAGCTCACCCCCTTCCTTGGATAGATGCAGGTTCTCCCTGCCCCTCTCCTGCTCCCCTTCTTTCAGGAGGCCTCCTAAGGAGTGAGCCCTGGTGTATGGAGGCTTCTCACTCCTTAGCACCCCTAAAGCTGCTTGTCTTGTCCTGGCTTTGGCTCAGATGGGCCTTTTTCTCCCAAATAGCTGGTGCCTGGAGCAACATCTGACTTAGGTTGAATACCCCTCAGACATATTAATGTTTCTAAAAATCAACATAGTGAATTTTGCTGTATTATTAATTCAACCTTCTTATAGGGGGAATCTGGTTCCCTAAGAGGATAAATTGTATCATTACCTACTGGTGGCAGCAGCGATTAGAGGGATTATAATTCAATTAGGGTTTTAATACCTGATTACCATAACAGTGTTGCCAGTGAAATTCTCCTGCTTGTATCAGAATTGCTATTTACTCTTCAGAGATGCTACAGACTGAGTGTTTATGTCTCCTCCCAAATTCATATGTCAAAATCCCAACTTCCAATGTTATGGTATTAAGAGGTGGGGGCCTTTGGGAGGGCATTAGGTCATAAGGGTAGGACTCTAATTAATGGGATTAGTATTCGTATATGAGGGACCCCAAAGAGTTCCCTTGCCCCTGCCACCATGTGAGGACACAGTAAAAAGACAGGGGTCTATGAACCCTGAAGCACACCCTCACCAGACACTAAATCAGCAGGTGCCTTGGTTTTGGACTTCCCAGTCTCCAGAAATGTAAGAAATAAGTTTTTGTTGTTTATAAGCCACCAGTCTATGATAGTCTATTGTAGCAGCCTGAACAGACTAAGACAAGAGAGTTTTAGTGCCAGGTGCTTACTTTATTCATGTCTCAGATACCCCAGGAGCTCTGCAATAATCACAACTATCATGGTCTGATATCTTATTATGTTGTCGCAAAGGTACTTGCTGTTTTGATCATTACTTTTAATGGCAAAACTACAATTACTTTTGCACCAACCTAATACATTCTAAATCACTAAACCATTGTAAAAGGTCCTATAAGGTTGGTGTTATTCCTGTTTTGCAGATGCAGACACTGAGGCTCACGAGTGTGAAGCAGTTTGCTCAAGGTTAAGTGGCAGAGATGTTGGCAGGGCTGCCTGGCCCCATTCTAAGTGGTTCTTTCCTCCGTGCTATCCTTGAAGAGCACTCTGTATGTGGATGAAAGCAGGTGTTTAGCATCACAGTGTATGATGTCCCCAGGGCATCTGTGACTGTGTTCTATGTCAGTCTGGGGATCTTTCCAGGGCAAAAAAAGAAGAGACACCACATAGCAAGAAGAGACGCCACCCATCACACAGCATATTTTGTGTTAAGATGTTACTCTCATTGTCTGTCACTGAGAGCATTATTATTCCTGATCATTTACAGAATCCACTGGCAAGCAGTCATGGCAGCACCACTGCAAGCACTGGGATGAAAAGATGTCATCAAAGAATAAAAAGGGGCACCGGGTGCAGTGGCTCACGCCTGTAATCCTAGCACTTTGGGAGGATCACAAGGTCAGGAGATTGAGATCATCCTGGCTAACACGGTGAAACCCCGTCTCTACCAAAAATACAAAAAAATTAGTCGGGTGTGGTGGCGGGCACCTGTAGTCCCAGCTACTCAGGAGATTGAGGCAGGAGAATGGGGTGAACCCGGGAGGTGGAGCTTGCAGTGAGCCGAGATCGCACCACTGCACTCCAGCCTTGGTGACAGAGTGAGACTCTGTCTCAAAAAAAAAAAAAAAAAAAAAAAGAATAAAAAGGGGCATGTTTCTTCACGGCAGTACTTTTCAGAGCCTTTAATATGCTATTTTAAATTTGGATCTGTAAGAGGATAATTTAGAATCTATTAATCACATCTGTATTGTATTGTATTTTCACAAAGCTGGACCAGTTCTGTGAAATTCCCTTTGAGAAACACTGGTGTGAGGCCATCTCTTCTTTTCCTCTGCCTTCACACAAACAAAAACTGCTTCTAGATTTCTAGTTCTTCATTTCCTCTACTCCCAGACAGCAGCAATGGTGCAAATTACATTAAAGTATTTATCCTAATTGACACTGAACTCCTTTGGCCTGGGATGGTTATAGCCAGGGGCTATCAAAGCCATTTTCTAATATATTAACAGTTCTTCTTGACCAAAGCAGGTACACATGTCCCCAAGCACGTGACGTGCTGAGAAGAGATAGGACATGCCCATCAAAGTTCTAAAGGCATAAACACAAACACACGTGCAAGGGAAAAAATACTCCCCAAAGAAGCACACATCTTTAAAATTCATGGTAAATTTTACACTGAAATTGGCATTTTACTTTTTAAAACTTAGGAAAATGGTTTTGCTTTGTTGTTGTTACTGTTGTTGTTTTGCTTTTATTTGTTTTGAAGTGGGGACAGACAGAAAGATCCAAGCACTGTGTCAGGCTTCCCTCGAAATGCTACTGTAGCTGGATGTTTCGTGTGTGTGCCAGAGTGCCAGAGTTTGGAATCACTAAATGCTGAAGACTTGGGGAACATGCCAGTTTAGATTAACTACCTGCCAGGCATTCTCTGAAATTTCCACCTGGGGTTGCACGGTGGATGAACCAACCTTTGGAAAGTTCGGTTTTGACAGGTGGGAGTGGAATTTTGAAGCCCGGTGTCATCAACGCAGTGCTCTGCACACCTCTTGGAAATAACTCTTCCACATATGGAGAGCTGGGACAGATGAAATTAAAGCTCTTCTTTAGAAGATGTTTCAGTTGTAAGAAACAGAAAGCAGCTCTAGTTGGGGGAAAAAATGCTTGCATTGGCAGGCTCTGGGTGGCTCACAGTACTGAAAGAAGAGCTGAGCAACCATTTCAGGCAGGCAGGAAATGGGGCACTCTGGGGCATCTGGAAGTAGGGGCTTATGTTTTTCTTCTCTAAGAGGCTGCCATTAAGGTGGCTCAGCTCTGTTCTAGCTCCTAGGAGTGAGATGAGATTGGCTCACCTAGGCTGGGGGTCTCCCTTTTGAGTGGGGAGGGGGAAGGGAAGTTTGCCAGTCATCATTTCTGGAACCCTAGTCCTGTGTGTGAGGATTTTTTCTAAGGAAAGAAGAACCTTCCCAAGTGGGGTCAACTCCAGATGTGAAGAGGAAGCAGATAACTATGAATGTGACCCCCATTTGTTCTGAACCGGAAAGAATGGGACATATCTTAAGTGATAAGTCATGGGAGGTGAGAAAACGGTGAGTTTAAGGAAAAGAACAGTATCTTCAAAATGGTAAAGCTGAGGGGAACGTGCCAGAAGCTTCAGGAAGATGGAGTATGCCCAGACAACAAGGACCATGGCTTTAGCTAGAAAAGCTCTTTAGGAGAAGGGCAATTCAATAGGGCTAAATAGATTGACTAAAGAGCTGGCTCTTCTGCTCAAATTCTAACCCACTAAGAAGACATGTGAGCCCTAAAGGAGACTGCAAACAGCCTGCTCTACATTTTTATGTGACTGATGTGCCATTTTTGTGTTTTAATTAAACAAGTTTGGTGCTGTCACAGATGCTGTTCATTGTCAACCCAATGGCCATTGTTTAACCCTTTTCCCAAGCAGGTAGAATCTTTCTCCTGCAAAGAGACTGAAAATGCTGGATATTCACTCTTCCAAGCCCCCATGACTTCTGGGGGTGGCCATCCAACATCATTCTAGCCAATGCAAGTAAAGGGGATATTTCTCAGGGGTGCTGGGAAACATTTTCTTCCCTGATAAACAGACCGACAAGTAGAGTTATCTTGTCACATGACTGGGCTCCTTTCTTTCTTCGTTTGAGCATGATGGGATGAGGATGTGATTCTTGGAGATGCTGCAGCCACCTTGTGATCATGAGGGAGAATCACTGGCATACTGAAGATGGTGGAGCAAGAGCATGGGAAAGCCTGGGGGCTTTGAGACCACCAACCTCTCAATTTCTTATTATTTTTAATCTTAATAAACCCCTACTGATTAAGCTTCTTTCACTGGGGTGTATTGTTGGTTGCATTCTAATGTATCTCAATGGAAACAGTTGCCCAAGGTAAAATCAAACAATCTCATATAAAATGAAGATTCTTGACTTCTCTTGGGGGAATATGTGTTTGGGCTGGGCGCTGTGGCTCACACCTGTAATCCAGGCACTTTGGGAGGCCGAGGCAGGCGGATCATGAGGTCAGGAGATCAAGACCATCCTGGCTAACACAGTGAAACCCTGTCTCTACTAAAAAATACAAAAAATTAGCCGGGCATGGCAGTGGGTGCCTGTAGTCCCAGCTACTCAGGAGGCTGAGGCAGGAGAATGGCGTGAACCCAGGAGGCCGAGCTTGCAGTGAGCAGGGATCGCGCCACTGCACTCCAGCACCACTTCCCTGGGGTGTGTGCTTTTAGTCTTCCACAGTCTCCACTATTCCTTAATGACCCCACTTGCCTCATTCACTGTATTCTCTTCCTAGTACCTCAAGGTATCTGAGCTTGTGGCTGCCGATCTCTAACATGGACTCTGAGTAAGTTTACTCAAAGAGGAAGAAATTCCGACATCCCACAGCTCCCAGGGTGGGCTCGGACTCTTCACACTGTGTGTAACCTGCTTTTCCAAAGAGACTGAATTAGGAACCCCACATCCAAAAAAAAATCAGGGGTTGAGGAATAAACGTTCTCATTATGGCCATTTAATTGGTACACTGTGATGTTATATTTACTTCACGTGAATAGAGCATGAAATTGAAACATAAGGATCTGTAAAAATGCCTGCCTTTTGTGAACTGGCTTACACTGTTCATTATGGCTCCTGAGGATCCTACCACCAGCTTCATGTTATTACATCATCTGTAATTTGAATTATATTTTAATCAAAGCTTTTACATGGCCAGTATTAGGATTTTCCATGTAATTATCAGCATTAGTAATACTCTGTTGTTACTTTGCAGAGTACTTCCTGGCCATTTATCTTTAAATAAAATTATTTATATTAAATTTACACTTGATGGTCCAGAATTTTAAGTCTTTATTAACTGAAGTACAACCCTTTTCCTTTCCTCTTGCTCAGATAAAACTAGAATCAAATAAGAATGTGGGCCACATCAGGATGGGGTTTTTTTTTTTAACAGTAGCAAAGGATCTTTTTCCTACATTTCTATTTTGGGCTTTATTTTTGAAAATTATAGAGTTTTTAGTTAAATTAGAGTATTGTTTAATTTTCTAATTTTAAATGAATTTTAGCTCAGAATTTAAAATTATGTCTTTTCAATTGCTATGATTTATCTCTTAAAATATCTCACATTCATCTTCAAAGTTGCTTGCCAATGTAACTGCTATAATTTTTAAAAAATCAATGGCTTGACTTTGGATGAAAGTCAATTCAAGCCTCCCCCTCTCCCACTCCATCCAGGGGACAATCACATGACCGTGCCAAAGCCAGTTTGGAAGGACCAGGGCTGGAGAGGGCTGCACTGGGGCTCATGGAGCATAGTCAGTGGTACATGCACTCCAAGCTTAAGCCCATGGAGCTTAACAGAAATGGCTGATCAAAGATATTCTGATGCTTCTAACTTGCACACGCAGCCCAGGGCTGATAAGCTGACCATTTAGGCAGCCACCTGAGTCTCTCAAAATGCAGTCTGTTATGCTAACTGCCCAAAAGCAACACTCTTGGCCAGGTGCAGTGGCTCACGCTTATAATCCCAGCACTTTGGGAGGCCGAGGTGGGCAGATCACTTGAGGCTAGGAGTCCGAGACCAGCCTGGCCAACGTGGTGAAACCCCGTGTCTACTAAAAATACAAAAATTAGCCAGGTGTGGTGGCGGGCACCTGTAGTCCTAGCTACTTGGGAGGCTGAGGCACGAGAATAGCTTGAACCCAGAGGCAAAGGTTGCAGTGAGCCAAGATCACGCCACTGCACTCCAGTGCAGTCTCGACACAGCGAGACTCCATCTCAAAAAAAAAAAAAAAAAAGTGACACTCTGGATAGCAAAGATGCATCACCTCGTAGCACCCAGGCCCAGGAATCTGAACAACCACATGGTACATCCAATCAGAATTGGATGAAGGGGATGCTCCTTGCCTTGAAAAAACTAGCTGGCCAAGGAGCAGCGTGCTCTATACTCAGACTGAAAAAGGTTCATATTGACTGGCTGTATTCAACAATGCAAAGAGCTGAGCGAGAGACACAGCACATTCCTGATTCTGTTCTTGTACCTTCTACCAGAGTCCTATCATGCTGAAATATTGCCAGCTAGATAGGAACAGGAACACACCACCACTTGGAGAATCCTTAGAGCAGAGCTCTGCAAAACTCAGATCCTAAAGGGGAAAAATTCTCAGCCTGAAGTTGCTTCTTATCCCCAATGGCCACTCAGCCACTCCCTTGAGATGAGCCCCAGGCATGCGGTTTCTGATCTGTGAGATCGGTCACATCACTTCTTGCAGAAGAGCCAAGTAAAGCCCCCGTGCCCCAAAAATTCACTGTATGAGGCAGAGCTACAGAAGTGGCTCCATAAACTTAGACTGGAAGATGGGAAGGATATTGTGCCCATGAACCCTCAGGCAACTGCTGTGACCTCATCCCCCACACATGCACTCATGCATCTTCATGCTCATTGTGTTTGGTGGAAGTCTGTGCATGAAGTTATTAATTTTATTTGCTTCCAGATTCAATGATTCAAAAGCCCTGGAAATGCTCAAGCTGTCACTCCAAGTTTCAAATCTATTTTAGAGACGTGGGCTATGAGAAGCTGATGGCTCAGAAAGGTTCTGAGCCTTTGCTTCCAAGCTCAGCACCTGGAATGACCTACAGACAGAGCTGGCTTTGGGTCTCTGAGAAACCTGCTGCATCTCCAAATGACTTGTTGCGCTGGGTGGCCAACACCAAGTCTTCCACGTGGGAGGTTTTATTATGTTTTACAACCATGAAAACATAGGAAGGTGGCTGTTACAGCAAACATTTCAGATAGACGAATCGGCCAAGCTCCCCAAACCCCACCTTCACAGCCTCTTCCACACGTCTCTCAGAGATTGTTGTCCTTCACTTGCAAATTCAAGGATGTTGGAAGTAGACATTTAAAGTAGCAGGAACACCATCAGTGAAACAGAAGCAGAAGTACGATGACTTTGAGAAACAACTGATGAAAAATACACTACAGAAAACCATTTCTATTGTGTTATGATGTCAGGGTGGCAGATGTGCCCAGGGCTTAGTGTCCATCCTCCCAGGACACTGGTCATACCGGGCCTTCGGTGATCCCCTCCAGAGGCAAGCTGGGTGCGCTGTCAGCTGTGGGCCTCTCCTCTTTCTTCAGTGAGGCTGGGACTCGCAGACTAACGTAGGGTTTATGGCAAGCTGTGTTGGCCAGAGGAGGATAGTGCTGTCTGTAGCAAATGTATGCAAAAATGAGGCCGATGACTCCACCCACAAAGGAATCTAGGCAGGAAACAGCAGAGCAGGAAAAATGGGTTACCATTTGTTCAAATGTGGCCAATTATATTTTCCAGAAAGCACTTTTCCTTCCTGTTCTAGGACCTGGTTTGCTTACAGGACCCCCTGAAAGACTAAAGGAAAGAAACCACAGTGGTGGCCTCTGCAAACTGCCAGCATTTCTGGTACTGAAATACTTAAAAATGAGTACTTGATTCTTTCTTCCCGGTTTTTTGTTTTGTTTTGGGTTGTTGTTGTTGTTTTTGATGGAATCTTGCTCTGTTGCCCAGGCTGGAGTGCAGTGCTGCAATCTCGCCTCACTGCAGCCTCTGCCTCCCTGGTTCAAGTGATTCTCCTGCCTCAGCCTCCCAAGTAGCTGGGATTACAGGCACATGCCACCACTCTCAGCTAATTTTTGTATTTTTAGTAGAGGCAGGGTTTCACCCTGTTGGCCAGGCTGGTCTCGAACTCCTGACCTCATGTGATCTGCACACCTCGGCCTCCCAAAGCGCTGGGATTACAGGCATGAGCCTCCACACCCAGCCCTTCCCTGTATTTCTTTAACTCACACCTGAGCATTGCATAAACTCAGATTTGTATTTCTGATTTTTGAAATCAATTCTAAATTCTGGAAGAAGAATTCAAGCCATCTCTGTAGGATCTAAATATCTTGGGAGCTGTAATTTTTTTTTTCTTTAGTAAGTTCCCATCAGAGTCCTGTAGTATTGCTGGTGTGCTGCAGAAAAGCCAGCAGATGCCAGGGTCTCTGCCTCATGGTAAGTGGTTTCCCAGGGATGAAATGAACCTTCTGAGTCACAGACAAAGTGAATAAAACATTTTAAGATATGCCTGTGTTGGCAAACTCAGCAGACCTCTGGCGGGAAGGACTCAATTCTCTAACAGATACAGATCTTACCAGCTGGGAGGCAAGAGGGGAGCAGGTGAGGCAGGGGGGTGCATCTGCAGGGAATACCAGCCCTCCGCCCCAAGGGCAGCCCCCTGCCAAAGAGAACATTCAGGTAGTTCTCAATAGAGACCTCATAAAAGCAGCTCACATAAACAACTCTCGCTTAGTATCTGTGTGTGTGTTCACTTTAACTGTCTATGGGTTATTTTTGCTGAAAAGATTCTAGTCCAGTGGAAAATCTCCCCTAACAAAAAAATTTGAAACTCTTGTTGAACCGTACAGACTTCCCATAGGCAGGCAGGATCAGCCCCATTTTCCCCAAAAGAATTGGGCTTGAACCCTGGAGTCCTGATCCTGCAGTTGCACTGGTCCGTGATGCTGTGTCCACACCCTGGCGGGTTCATTCCAGGCTTGATAACCACATGACTGTCTGAGGTCCCAGCCTTCAGGATGCAGCAGGCCCCACGGGCTGAAGGGTATGTCCATCTGCATTCAGGTAGGAGGCAATGGTTTTCCTGAAGGATCAGTGCTCAGGGTGGCAAGTTTCCCAACGCTTCCCAGTAAGCAACGCACTATATAAAGACTTCAGTTTAAGTCACAAACTAATGTCCCTGCATCTCCTGTAGGTGACATTTTGAGTGGTCATTAAAGAAATGTATCTTTCAAGAAAACAAGCTGCTCAATGCTTAGAAACGTGCATTGCACCTATCAGTCTTTTTGTGATCCTGTTATAGGTATCCTGGTTCTATCTAGATCTAACGGGATAATTTTTGAGGACGGGGACAATATTTTCATATTTCAGTATCTTTCATAGAATTGCTTCTACTTTCAGTTTCTATGAAGCTAATAGTTAAACATGAAAAGTTCTATAATGAATAGCTTTATCTTCTTTAAAACAAATTTAGTAATTTCATGCATGTAATTTTATTAATCCACAATAGCAAAGCAGGAAAAGAAGTACAAATAAAAGAAAAGCTCTTTTATTTTAGACATGTCCGTGATGGCAGCATAAGTTTCAGTGCATGTAGACCAGGGGCCCAGTACGCTGCTCTGGAACTGGACTTGGGACACAGCAGCTGGTGATGTTCTCTCAAGAGCAAATAGGCGCAGCCATTCTCCTGCTTGGCTGACTCCTTCCCACTGCTGTAACAGAACAGCCAAGCCCCTGTGTCATTCAAGGCTGCATCCCTGGCCCTGCCAACCATCCCAGCCATTTCCCCTTCACTCCTCCTACCGAAGCCATGGTCTTCCCTTTAGTTCCTCAAATACATGTGCTGCTTCTCCTCTTGGGGCTCCACATGTGCTGTTCCGATCCTGGATTCCCAGGAATCCCTTCTCCTCATGCCTTCCCCTAATCAATTTCTATTAATATTTCAGGGCTCGATATCATTTCTAGTCATATTTCAGGGCTCAATGTCATTTCTATTCATATTTCAGAGCTCAATGTCATTTCTATTCATATTTCTGAGCTCAATGTCATTTCTATTCATATTTCAGAGCTCAACATCATTGTGCAACATAGCCTCATCTGACCTCCAGACTAGACCAAGTCTCCCAGTTACACATGTTAATAGTCCCTCCCCACTCCCTGTGCAATTAGAGTGGCGAACAATGACAAATTGTGCGATTGTTTAATGTTTAATGCTGGACTCAAAACTCTATTAGGGTTGGCTGTTGATTCCTTCAGCACCTTGGCCAACATCTTGCTCACAGCATAATTATGTTTGTTGAGGGAAATGGATACATAGTAACTCAGGGTTAGGTCGGGTTGCTGTCCTGTGTGTTTTTGGGCATGCCCCTTTCCCATTCTGGTCCTCCTGATGACCTCATCAGTAACATATTAGCATGGAACCACAAGTACAAGGTGGCTAAGAGGCCTTGTTATGTAAGTGTTCCAGGAATGTGATCCTGAGTCAGCCTACTGAGGCCACACATTGAGATTATTTGGAGACTCTACCAAGGTGCATTTAGAAAATAGGTCATATCCCCTAGCACTTTGTGAGACCAAGGAGGGCGAACTGACTGAGCTCAGGAGTTTGAGACCAGCCTGGGCAACACGGTGAAACCCTGTCTCTACTAAAACTACAAAAAAAAAAAAAAAATAGCCAGGTGTGTTGGCATGTGCCTTAATCTCAGCTACTCTGGAGGCTGAGGAAGGAGAATTGCTTGAACCCGGGAGGTGGAGGTTGCAGTGAGCCAAGATCGTACCACTGCGCTCCAGCCCAGGCAACAGAGCAAGTCTCCATCTCTTTAAAAAAAAAAAAAAGAAAAAAAGAAAAAGAAAAGAGAAAAAAATAGGTCATATCTTCTCTTTGGTTCAGATAAAATATCAGTTAGAAACAAAAGTCATTCTAACTAGTCAATGGGAGAGACCAAATAATTGTCACTGCTTTCTCCCCATACGAGTTCAAACTTCAACAACTGATGAATACAGTGTGACTGAGCAGTAGCTGTCTGGGAGAAAGGCAAGGAATACAGGTTCGTGTCTGCTCAGACTTGGTGAGCAGCCATCAGGGTAGCGGGGGGATTGGAGGACAGCAGGGAAAGCAAGAGGCATTCCCAAGAATGAAGAAGAAAAGGAGGCAGCAGATCCATTCCCAAGAGAAGAACTGTTGGCCATTTGGAGGCTCCTGGGGCTGCAGTAAGGTAACCACCACTTATCCTCACCCCCGATCCAAGAATCTTCCACGCTGAGAAATCCTAAGGCTAAGACATTGCAGGCCCTACCAGGGCAAGTTGCTTTGCCTCTCTGAGTTTCCTTCTCTCTCAAATGTGGATCTCAGTATCCGCCTCATTAAGTTGTGATGATAATTTAATAATATATTACTTCTAATGATTATTTCATGGAGCATGCCAAAATAGGACATAAAAATAGTATCCATCCTTGTTATCCTTTTGCCATTCCTCTCACATTCCACTTCAGAGCTGCCGGAGGCTTTCTCATTCTGCCCCATCCTTCTCCTCACACAGCAACTCAGAAGCTTACAGATCTCACCTCTCTGGCATGGCTACATTTTCATAGCATCGTAAATAAACTTCTAAGGAACTTAAAAACACGTTTGTCACCCAAGAAATTGTAAAGCAATATGTACCGTGAATTCTGGAGCAGGGCCACAGGGTGTAATTAACGTGATTAAATGAAGTTGCTTAAATGAAGAATCTCTTCACTAGCTTATGGCCACCAGCCTATAAAATGTGTCAGGCCTTTTACTAGTTCAAGGTCTTAGAGTTGCACTATTGTTTTGTTTTTCCTCTAACCCCAGGAAACAGTCCCATGAGGTATTTCTATTAGCATCTAAAACGATCCACAACATCTGCAGTTGAGCCACTGACTAAACAGACCAAAGAGCAAAACCTACAAATAACACCATTCAACATTCTATTTTCTGAAGCAGCATTTCATTAGGTGGATCATTGACCAAAAGACATCAAACCATTCCAAGAATGTTTCCCAGATTTACTGACATAGCAGCATGCATGGAAATGACAATTCCTGCCAATTCTGTTTCCCATTTAATGGAATGAGTGAAAAGTGATATCACAGGTGCTATGGGAGTCTATGAGAAGTAACAAGGGCAATGAAAGGTCTATCCAAGCTGCTTCTCAGCAAAGTCATTTTGGGGCTGTGTTTATTACAAAGGTGGCGAACAAGATCCAAACAATAACTTACTTTATGAAGGAGCTTGTCATCAATTGCCTCAAGTGGGCTATTGCTATTTTGATAAAATCACATTTGTATCCTCTTGATAGACAGGCAAGCAGGGGACAAGAAAGCCCTTATTGGGGGAAAAACACTTGGGATTAACTTTGCCCCAAATCAACTAGAAGTCTCAAAAGGGAAATAAATGGATCTCAGTGTCTTTGGAATACAAAATACTTCTGTCTCCTTACGTAGCACTGATGCCATTCATTCATACACATGCACTGCATACGTATCAGGGGTCGGGCATGATGGCCAAGCCTAGGACACAGGCTGAACGAATGGGACATGTCCCTGCTGTCCCAGAGTTTCCAGCAAAGGGGCAAGACAGACACTAAACAATGACAGCCGTATCAGCAATTTGCAGCTATGGTAAGCACCATGAAGGAAACGTGTGAGGGTCTGTGAGCTCGCCCAGCACAGAGATCTGGGCTATTCTGGAGCAGAGGTTTTGCTGAGGACATGACCCTCAGGCTAAGACCTGAAGGATGAGCAAGAGTTAACCGGGAGAGGTTGAGAAGTAGAGGAAAAGAGGGCACTGGTGGTTTTCCAGGCAGAGAGAAGGGTATGTGAGAAGGTGCTGATGACAAAGGAGGCTTGGTAAATCTGAGAAACTGAAGATAGACCCATCTTTTAAGAAAGGGGTAGTGTCTTTGTAAGACTACAGGACACAAATTGACCAGTCATCTGGTATGGGCTGGAGCAGAATGTTTTCCATGTCCCTTTGTGGCTCTGTGGAGCCCTCAGCATGGACCAGGGGACCTGCTCTCTCTCTGGCCTGCCATCTATGCACTCTGTGGCCTCACACCTACCACCAGTGGTGTTTCCTGTTTCTGAATCTATCTCCCCAACTACATGTCATTACCTAGGACTCTGGGATGTTTCATTCCTATTTATTTCCCAGAGCTCAGCCGACTTTTATTCAGTAAATGGGGAACTGACATGAGCTGAACAACATCTACAAGAGGCACTAAAGAATCAACATCACCAGCCACAAATGGCCACACATTGTATGGTTCTATTTATATGCAATGTGCAGAATAGGCAAACCCATAGAGATAAAAAGTAGATCAGTGGTTGCCAGAGCCTGAGGCACAGAGAAATGAGAAGCGATTGCTGAGAGATAAGGGTTTCTTTGGGGTGATGAAAATGTTCTAGAATTAGATAGTGGTAATGGTTGCACAACTCTGGATATATAAAAATGTTTCTGTACTTTAAAAGGGAGAATTTTATAATTGAGAATTATAAAGAAAGCTGTTCTTTAAAAAGAGAGGAGAGAATTGACACCAGATGAGCCAGATAAACTCCAATGGTAGTGGAAAGAGTGACTTTCAATCAGGCAGCCTGGATCTGAATCCTTACCTATAACATTGGCAAAACCCTGCCCTCTTGCCATGAGGTCAAAGGACAGGAAGGACCTTATGAGTTCTGCCATACTGAGGTGCCAGGCTGCCCTCATCTGTTGTGGCACAAACAAGCAGAAAGGCTTCTGAAGATGTGCTGTCAGGTCCTCCAGAAGATCATCCCTTCTGTCACCAAGGCAGCCTCCAACATCACTAAGCTAGCTTGACTTGGGACCTTGTATGCCTTGGGCTCCATGACCCAAGGTACTAGGGCAAAAGTCAGCTCTGGCAAACTCAACAAGTGCATGTGATTTTTTTGTTGTTCTTTTTATTCTTTCCAGTGATTCTGCTACTTGTGAAGCTTCATGTTTCTGTGACTTTGAGTTTCTACAAAAGAGCTTACCTAGCAGGAAGTATGCAAAATAGCCCTGGTACAGTATAAGCTGAGAGGACAGCAGCTATGTCCATCTTACTCAGTACTGAGCCCAGTGGAGAACACGCCGGGTACACAGACACAATGACAAGAAGAAAGGAGAGAAGGAAGGAAGGAAGGAAGGGAGGGAGGGAGGGAGGGAGGGAGGGAGGAAGGGAGGGAGGGAGGGAGGGAATATTTACAGTATAACCTTTTGTTTATTTTTAAAAGGAAAGAACTTGTAGAGAATAAGTTACTAGTAAAACCAGCCCAAAGAAAAAATGATATTAGTAAGAAAGGAACATGATTAAGTCAAACTCATTTATTTATTCAGCACATATGTATTGAAGACTGTTATAAATTTAATTGTGTCCTTTTGAAAGATATGCTGAAGTCCTAGTCCCTAGGACCTCAGAATGTGACCTTATTTAGAAATAGGGTTTTACAGGAGTAATCAAGTTAAAATATGATAATCAGGGTGGGCCCTAATGCAATATGACTGGTGTCCTTATAAAGAGGGGAAATTTGGACACAGAGACAGACACCCAAAGAGGGAAGCTGATGTGAGGACACACAGAGAAAACACCATGGGAAGAGAGAGGCAGAGACTGGAATTATGCTGCCATCAGCAAAGGCACATCTGGGGCTACTAGAAGCTGGAAGAGGCAGAGAAGGATCCTCCCCTTACTGATTTCAGAGAGAGGGTGGCTTTGCCAACACTTTGATTTCAGACTTCCAGCCTCCAGAACGGTGAGACAATATCTTTCTGTTGTTCTAAGCCACCCAGTTTTTGGTACTTTGCTATGGCAGCCGTAGGACCCTGATACAAGTACCTACTATGTGCCATGCCAACAACAGAGACCTAAATCCCTGCTCACGTGGATATTATATTCTAGTGCAGACGCCAGCAAACTAAGTGAACACGTTCCTTTACATATTGTCTATAGCCACTTCTGTGCACTACGGCCAAACTGAATAGGTGCAACAAAGATCTCATGGCCACATACAGCCTAAGATATTGATATCTGACCCTTTACAAAGTTTGCCAACCCCTGTTCTGGTGGTTAGAGACAGATAATAATCAATACATAATAAATGACTTCATTTGTCAGAAGGTGGTAAATGCGCAAGGGGAGAGGGACATGGCATGTGGGGAAGGGGCTGCAATTCAAGTGGAGTGGGCATCACGAGACGGAGAAGGTGACACTTGAGCCCAGTTTAGGAGGGAGAGGAGAACAAGCCACGCCCACATCTGAAGAAGAGCATTCCAGGCACAAGGTGGAGCCTGTGGAAAGGCTCTGAGGTGGGATGGGACGGGCCTGTTCAAGGAGTAGCAAGAAGCTCAAGCGATGCAATCATGTGAACGAGGAGGACAAGTAGCTTGAACATAGCATCAAAGAAGTACGGAGGGAGCAGATCTTATGGACCATGGCAGGACACAGGCTGTGATGCTGAGTGAAATGAGAATCACTGGAGGATTTTTGCAAAAGTGACATGTGCTAACGCAGGCTCTAAAGGCACATTCCAAATGCAGTTGAGGGCCAAAGAAGGAAGGAGGGAGCCAGGCTGAGAGGCTTCTGCAATGATTCAGGCAACAACTGAGGATCACTAGACCAGAGTGGGAAGGAAAAGTTGGAGTCTATAAATATGCTGAGCAGGAGGAACCACAGAACACCACAGAAAGCTGAGAAGAGACAGGTTCCCTTGAGTAAAACAAAGGAAGGATGCCAGTGAGACTTGGGAGCAATCAACGTCCATCTTCCCTGGGAATTACATCACGGGGAAACACCAGGGCTATCCTGGAGGCAGGAAGAGGGCAGAAGTCCTGACTGAGAATGCCTCTCTTGAGGCTGAAAGCAGGATATGCAGTGGACTTTGACCGGAGGGAGGGGTGAGCCAGGGGCTGAGGCTTCTTACGCTCTCCTAGGCACCAACACAGAGGCGGGTGGACTTAGATGGGCAGTCAAGGTTCAGAGGTTCCCAGACAGAGGCGGGGGTTGGCAGCCGATGGTAAATGTGACTGTGGGCCCTGCCATACACAGCAGCCAACTGTGGAGGGAAAATGAGGTGACATCAATTCACTTGGGCTGAGGATATTAGAGGGAGAATTTCAGTGTTTTTGTTCTACCCAGGGCTGGCAGGTTTTTGGCAGAAACAATCATATTGTTCCAAGGGATCTTTTTCAAGTCACTTCATTTAGAAAATCTACAGATTGCTTCTGACAGCACAAGGGAGGCCTGCTTATAACAGTGTATGTCCCTCAGCCGTGTGTGTGTGTGTGTGTGTGTGTGTGTGTGTGTGTGTAAGAGACAGAGGCAGACAGAGAGATGGAGACAGAGACAGAGGGGAGGGAAGGGGAAGGTGTTACTCAGCGTAAGGCTTACATGACATAGCTGGATTTACACCCCTCCCTGTTTATCTTTAAGAAATGAGACCCCTGTGGTAAAAAGTTCCCTTTGTAACTGGACTACCTGAAACTGGTTAAAACCAAGACAGCTGACAGAACAACTTCAAGAAGACCTCAGGCTTCATTATCATCTAATTTCCATGCTAAATGACACTCTCACTAGCACCATGACAGTTGACAATTGCCATGACAACAATTGGAAGAAGCCATAAAAGGAAGGCAGCACTCTGGTTCCCAGGAGTTCACCATCCATTTCCAGAAAAAGATCCGATTATTCCTCCCCTAGATTTTACTACCTGACCTCTTCATTAGAGAAACCCTATATTTTAATCCCTTCACTGCTCACTAGCTGAGAAGTTCATCTGAGAGCTGTGTTCCCACTTCTCCATTCTTTCTTTCCTTTTTTTTTTTTTTTTTTTTTTTTGAGAGTCTCGCTCTGTCGCGCAGGCTGGAGTGCAGTGGCATGATCTCGGCTCGCTGCAAGCTCTGCCTCCCAGGTTCACGCCATTCTCCTGCCTCAGCCTCCCGAGTAGCTGGGACTACAGGTGCCCATCACCAAGTCTGGCTAATTTTTTTGTATTTTTTTTTTTTTTTTTAGTAGAGACGGGGTTTCACCATGTTAGCCAGGATGGTCTCTATCTCCTGACCTCGTGATCTGCCCGCCTCGGCCTCCCAAAGTGCTGGGATTACAGGCATGAGCCACCGCGCCCGGCCCCAACTTCTCCATTCTTTGGCCATGGAATAAAGCTTACTCTGCTTGATGCTCACTTTTGATTTCATGTAATGGCTCTGTCACATGGAACAGGGAAGGATCCCATCTTTGGGACTACTGGGTTTATCAGTAACAAAAGGAAGGAGAACTCAAGAGAGTCCTGTGAGTTGTAGAATGCCATCAGGCTTTGAAAAAAGGGTTTCTCCAAAGGGAATAGCTTCTGCCTGGGCTTCTTGAGGCCAGAAGTATTTTGTGGCACATGAAATAGTCCAGCACAATATCCAACTACCAAAACACCTGCATTTGCAGGGTCAGTAATCTCCTGAAGCTTGGTAACTATATTTAGTTCATTTCAAATCACAGACCCTTCACAGCCCAGTCTGGGAAAGCAGGCGAACGCAATAATGGCCATCTTGAAAACTTCAGCCCGGTTAGACAACTGTGTCTGTGAATGACCGAGACGCTTTCCAACCTTAGTCTGGGTGGGAACAAATGAATGTTTCATTCTTTGAGACCTGTTTCCCTAGATTACATCCAGAGGGGGATGTTCTTTCTTATAATGAAACACCACGCAGGCACCCAGGGCTGCTTAAAATGACCTATGATTAGAGGAACAAGTGTTTAAAATGTTACCTCCAAACCTAAAGTCACAAGAGGAGAGGCTGGTTTCAGGTGCAGGGACTTGAGGGGTCAGGGGAGCTCATTATTAAGTCCAGTGATGGAGCAAACACCACATTCCTGCCACTAGTAGTTGTAACCCTCCATTGACAAGAAATCGTAATCACATAAGAGCGTGAATAGAGGCAGGAGTCAGTTTAATGACATGCTCTGCTCTTTCTCTGCATTTATTTTCTCTAGTATGGGGATTCCACAAGTTTGAGCGCTGCTAAACACATTGTTAATCACAAAGATAAGCCTGTTTGAGAGGGCACTGGGCTTTGTAGTTAGCATCATCTGTGAAACTCTCCAGCTTCCAGTTGACCTGCAAGCCAGAATGTCACAAGGACACAGGCCACATCAGCCACACAGAGATTTAGTATTGATCCCACCGGTTTTGTGTCTGGGGAAGTTCTGCTAAATGTTTCATGTCTCCTTCCCTATGCCATGGCCTGTGCCTCTGTATTTTCGTCACTTAATAAAACAATAGATTTGTATATTTGGAGTGGGCTGGGGAGGCAGAAAAGACCAGGGAGTGTCAATAGCAGAAAATAACCATGATAATGGAGAGAGAGAGTCATTAGAGATTATAGACTATTTATTGGATATGAATGTGTAATCGAGTAATTGGATGTATTTCCACATTAGGCACAGTTGCTTAAATCAAAATTGAAATGGAGTCATAAAATCTCACAACATGAATGCTGTTAACTAAAGTCTATAATGAGGGGGACTTGAGTTTTGCTGATGCTAATGGGGCTCCATGTGAATTCTCACCATGATGGATGGCCCCCGCCCACAGTCACTGGGCAGCTCAGTTCACCAAAGGAAAACAAGTTATTTATCTTAATCAGGCATCCTGCCTGAAACATCCACCTACACTGCAGTTGAAGACCTCACTCTGCATCCCTCCTCCCAGTGGGAAACCTTTGAGGTCTCCTTGATTTCTCCCTTAATAATTGAGTATTGAATGAACAAAACTTCCCACTCCCAGAACATTGCTGCTTCTTAACGTGTAACATGGAAAAGAAATATGGAGCTGGGGTATGATGTAGAACAGGGGTTCTCAACCTGGGCAGTATTGACATTTGGGGCTGCATAACTCCTTGTTAGTGGGCGAGGGGTCTTGTGATTGTAGGACATTTAGTAGCATCCCTAGTCTCTAACCCTCCACCCATTGGATGGCAGTAGTAGCACCTACCCCTCAAAGTTGTGACAACCAAGAAGATGTCTAGAGACATTGCTAAATGTCCCCTGAGAGATTGAAAACAACTGGTGTGGACAGCGGCAGATAGCCTCATGAAGGGGAACTCAGGTAAAATGAGCCTGACTCAGAGCCCTTTAGAGCATCCAAGGGAAGTTGTGTTCCTCTCCTGGCTGACTCCAAGGGTATAAGTTGAACACATAATGGCAGAGCTGAACTGGTCCTTAGGCTATATCAATAACCTGTACCAAGAGATGCACATTCAGTTTGGGCTGCAGAAGTCTACCATGACGCAGTTTTTGTTTGATTCCCAAATATGGTTCTAACCATCACTGAACATAAATTCTCTTGCTTTGCTTTCCCAACAGCCCACACAGGATGAATATTCTCCCTTGACTGCTCATAGTTCCTTTCTGTGCCTGTTGGATAGTACGGTTTCAAAGCCCCAGTTGCCAACAGGCCTTGGGTACACCAGCTGCAGCATAAATTCACCATTCCCTAAAGACAAGAGCTGTGATTCCACATTCCTTTACTCTGGCCATGTTACACTACCACAGCTAGGAAATGAGGAACAAAACAGGGTAGGGCCAGAGAGTGCTGAAGACAGGCCAGCCTCACATCCTAGGTTGTTAGTACTATGCAAAGGCTCTTATTGACTCCAAGATAAAGGAAAAATTGATTCAATTCTGAAACCCCCAATCATTCCCCGAATCCAAAGTGGTTGAATAAAAGTGAAAACCTGGCATTCATAGCTTACAAATAAATCATGTTCCAAAAAAAAAGTCTGTCTCCAAGTCAGTTGTTTGGGAAACACAATGCATCCTTCCTTAGAAAAAATGTACTAAGCAACAATGATACCACTTTGCATGTGTGTAGTAAATTTCCATTTACAAAGAACATTTGGATCCATTATTTCATTCAATCTATGAAAAGCTCTGTGAAATATTAGGGATAGTTCCTGTGCTCAAAGAGGAAACTGGCTCACAAGGGATCAATGAGAAGCAGTCCATAAAAGGCCATTTGGCCCGTAATATTCTTCATGGGGAAATGCCCTAACTCACATAGGTGGGAAACAATTCTGCGGGAACATATTCCCAGTTCCAATGGGGGGCTGTGCCTCTGTTTTTGTTGGCCCAGTGACTCTGTCCATCCTTCCATCTCATGATGCGGCTTCTTATCATCCAGAATTTCATCCAAGTCATTGATAAAAACAGAACAAGGGCAGGTTCAGACCTGTGACCCTCTTCTGACCTCCCCCATCAGGAGGGCCTCAGACCTTAGTAGCACTTGATGCTTGCTGCATCCACCTGTCCAAACCATGTCAGCATCTCTTTCCCTATACCCTTCATCCTCCAGCCCAAAGCTCCTGCTGGGGTCACAGGACACCCAGAGCATGAGCTCCAGGAGGATACGGGGTAGGGATGAGACCAGGAAGGAACAGGAGAAGCTGTGTAGTGCTAGAAGGAGCACAAGGTCTCCAGAGAAGATGAGGAAGGAGGGGCTCTCAGCTAGGAGTTCCCCTCAACCCTGTCCCCATCCATTGCCTCATTACCACTGCAACAAACCCCCGGAAAAGGTAGGAAGAGGGCAGTCCTGCAAGGCAGCTGGCTGCAAAGACAGAGAGAGGAAGGAGGTGAACAATGCCCAGCAACAGTCGGAAAACAAGAAAGGGAGAGGAGGTTTGGGTCACAGACCTATCATGGAAGCCCATTCATTCAAAGAAGCTGGATTCAGGCACACTTTCTTTCCTTTGTTTGGTTAAAATTGACACATATGGTGGAGCTCTTTACCAGTGTTTCTTAGACTTCATCAGCAATGACAGGCTTGCTTATTATCCAGGAAGATTCTAGGCCACTGCTCCAGATGCACCCCTAGAGAGTCCAATTTCTAGCTCAGGGCAGCTTGATCAAGGTGATCCAAGGATTGCCCTTGGGAAACCCTTCCCTAGACCCCATGCTTCCTGGAGGCCACACCTCCCATGGACATCACCTCCGTCTCAGCTCTCTGTGTGCTCTGGCAGGTGGTGGTTGTCTTTCAGACAGACTGTGAGCTGCAGTTTGTCTGCAGAAGGACATGGCATGGTTTAGTTATATTTCAGGAACAAGCCCCTCCCTTGTTTTGTGTTATTTTGATTTTTAACAAATACCCCAGGACTGATATATGTATATATATAGGCAAACCTCACCCCAGGCTTGCAGCTGCTGCTTGGAGCATTACTGGAATGAATCCCTGGCTAGATATACCTTTCGGAAGAGCATCCATGGTGACAAATACGTCCTTGTAGGCTGGATTTGATAAGCAAAGGAAGCCAAAAACCACTTGGCACCAACTCTGAGGACTGAGGCAAGTGATCCAGCAGGAAAATCACATTTGGGTCTCAGGCCAAGGGTGACACTAAACCAAAGGGCCTGACATTCTGGCAGGACTCAAGCAGTCTCCTGGAGCATGAAGGAGGAAGAAGAGCTCCAATTCTTTCCCCAGGAAGGCCAGACCTCACTTGAACCAGCATATTTGCTTCAAAATTTTATCCGCTCTGTCATTTCAGCCTCCTCTGGTTTTGGACAATGGGCACTTAGCTCCCCACAATTGGTGCATTTCTACACCCATCCCTGGAGGAGAGGGGCAACCACAGTGAGGACTAGTCAGGCCCTGGGCAGGGACTCACCTTGCCAGTGATGCTTGTAGTCGCACATGCGGGACAGGGCAATCATCATGGCGCAGTACAAGGGCAGGATGGCAGCACAGAGCCGCCAGCTCTTTCCCCGCCCACTCTCGGTGAAGCAGTGCAGCTTGCCCGCCAAGTAGAACGTCGTGAAGCCAAGGCCCGAAAAGGCAACTGCCAAACAGAAACAGCAGGTGTTACTCTAGCAGGTGGTGAGTGGCAGGGACTCAGTGCGTGCTGGGCATTCCGTCTGCCGTCTTGCACACCCCCAAGGCCAAGGCCATGTTGGCACCAGGCACTATCTAGGCAATCTGTGCTCCTGCTAGCACCATGCTGCTATGAAACTTTCAACCATAAGAATAATCTTCCAGGGTTATATGTGATCAAAACCTATTTTATTTCATCCATTCATTCAATAGTTACTTCAGGAGTCTCCACTCTGTGCTAGACAGGCACTGCACTAGATGTGGGGAATAAAAAGATGCATCAGATACTATCTCTGGAGTCAAGAGGCTCATGGTCTAGTTGAAGGACATACCATGCTAAGAGATAATTTTAATATAATGTGATACATTCTATAAGAAACAAGTACATACAGAGCAAAGGACTGTGAGAACTGCTTAGATCTGAAGGGCATGGGAAAGTAAAGGGGCTAGGATCAGCCCCAGGTTTTTGGCTTGGGAGACTGAGTGTACAATGGTGGCATTCAGTAAGATGGGACCAGCAAATGCTACAAAAGAGTGAGTTTGATGGAGAAGTCAGCGATGACAAATACCTTGTTTTCTGTCCGAAATAATGGTTATTGTTTTTTCTGAATTGCAAAGACAACTCATGGCTGTGCTAAATCCATTGTCGAAAGTGTAGAGGTCTGAGTGTAGCATGTATAAGCCCCAAGCTTTACATCCAAGCAGGTATAAAACATAGTTGGGAGCTCAGTGAGATTTAAGTTGGGAAGCGCTTACAACAATGGTCCTCAACCCTGGCTATACAGAGTCACCTCTAATACCTGGGAAGCTTTAAAAAATACTGATACCCAGGTTCCATTGCCAGCCATTCTGTTTGTAGTGGTCTGGAGGGAGCTGAGAGAGAGAGAGAGAGAGAGAGAGAGAGAGAGAGAGAGAGAGAGAGAGAGAGAGTGTGTGTGTGTGTGTGTGTGTGTGTGTGTGTGTGTGTGTACTCCCCAGATGATTCTAATGGTGGCCACAACTAAGCTTAGAGGCTTTTATTGAAGGCAGGTGTTACAGCTCCCCATCCCTCTGGACACCAGTCTAATCCAAACTTTCTTCTTGATTAGAAAGTACTTCTGAGGGGATGGAGCTCCTAGGTAACCAGCCCACACAGTGACTTGGCAAAACGAGTATTATAAATACTCTCAATGCCAATACACCAGCAACTTTAAGAGACTGCCCAAAGCCCTGAGCCACGGTCTGGGCATCATGCAGGCATTTGTGACAAATGCAGATCCTCAGGTCCAACCCACACCTGCTGAGTTAGAATCTGTATTTCACAACATCCACCAGCGATCTGTGCACACACTGCACTTGGAGAAGCCTTGGCCTAAAATACATTCATTGTCTTTATAAGAGACCTTGGAAAGTCCATCTTAAGAAAATAATATAAAATGTAAGGGAAATCTAGAAGATTTTCTGCTCAAAGTTATTGATAAATATTGAAAAACTGAAAATGATCAGTACAGAAGAATAGATAACCAAGCTGTGACATTTCCTTGTAATGGACTATGATGCAACCATGAAAACCACATGATTATGTAACAATATAGACAATACTTAGGATGCATGCTAAGTGAAACAAGTAGGACCCTAAACTGTAAGTTCAAGATAATCATTACTATAGTACCAAACAGTGAACAACCTGCAGCTTTTCCAAATTATCTCTGATAAGAATGTGCCTTCTTAAAAGCGATCTCGGTTACAAACACAAGATTATACCAAAGTAGAACTTTTTTCAGCAACCAAATTAAACAAAGTTACAGTGGTTTAAAAAAAAATTTTAATGGAATATTAAACCAGGTTTATCGTAGGTATAAAGATGCAGCAAAAGAAAGTAAATCTAAATGTGAGTGGTGTGTGCATTGAAACACTTCTGCGTAATGATTAGCACCCTCCCCCTCCTCACAGTGTGTAAAATGCTTGTTTTCTTTGAGAAGAGAGTAGCAAGTTCTATGGCTAGAGTCAGAAAACATGTCTTGGACAGCCTTCCTGGTTTTTTGTTGTTGTTTTTTCTCCTCCCCGTTGAACTTGAACCTGAGCCTTGATGATTTAGAGTCCTAGGATTTCAGAGTTAGGTCTGATGAATAACATCAGAGCCGTGCCAATAGATATTAAGTATTCTGCTTAAAGTAAAAATATGTGAGAAGAAACTGCATGGCCCAGCCCTGCTCTAGATACTGTGGTGGGAGGTTATTAAGTGGTTTACATGATGTTCCAAAGTGGCCCTATCTGGCCACCAACGTAGCAAGCACAACGACTTCTTAAATTCTATCCTCATCCCCTTTGCTCTGTTCCTTCTATTCATTTACATTCTTCCTTGAGGTATTCCAGTGGGAGAGGAGGCTGGAGAGTTGGATCCCATTGGTATTGATCCCATCCTGAGCTCCTTCAGGAGGAATAATGGACTTTATTCAAATCAGGTGGCTTTGCAAGTTTATCCACCTAATTACACTAAATGCAGGGAAACACAAAAAAAACTGCCCTGGGGCTTTGTATGGTTTTGGATGAAAGTCTCCAAGATCTGAATCAGGGGAGAGGCAGCCTTGGGTGTTGCCAAACTGGCATCTCTTAGGGAAACAAACAAACAAACAAATCAATGAACATAGGGCAGCTGTTGAGCAGGAATTTTTATGTGTCCCCATAAAAAATGACTTGGAGACTTTAAGACATATAAGTCATCAGCCCAAGCAACCAATACTGCCTACAGCACCTCCGGGCACATCCAGGGCATGGAGAAGGGGAAGGGCTGTGGAAACCCTCCACTGTTGGGCAAATGGTTCGAGGTGAGATCCTCAGCATCCGCCTGATTTCTCTGTCTCAGGAACTTGTATTTGGCCAGCATTGGCACCCCAGGCTCTAACTCATTCTTTGAAGGGTAGGTAAAATGTATTCTCTCCCACACGGCGGGAGCCAGGACCACCACTGTGACCCCTCCAAAATGTTGAAGCCTCTGCCTCTTTGAAAAAGAGGATGAATTCCAAGTCATCTTTATAGGCAATGTGCAAGGGCCTAGATCCTGTGGGCACCCAGCAGCAGCCAGTCTTCCTGCCCACACGCTACTGGGCCTTTGAATATTTTTTTTAAACTTCACTGTGTGCCCTTACTTTCCTAAGTTACACAATGAGGCTCCAATTTCATGCTAAACCTTATGCTTGTCACTTTCTTACTGATATTTATACTGTTATTGAACTAACATAATATCCTTTGACAAAGGACTTTTGAGGCCATTCCCTCTGGCCCAAGGGCATGTCTGAGCTATGGGAAGCCTTGGTTCTCTGCACTCCTGTTTTTCCAGTAACTACCTGAGGAAGAATGAGACTCTACCAACCCATACTGAATTAGTATGATTTCATAATTTTTCTGACACTCTTCCTGGCAGCTAAGGGGTTTGGGATCAAGGTGCAATCTCTCCCATGAGCCATCTCCCACCCAACTCTGAAATCCTAGGACTCTAAATCATCAAGGCTCAGATTCAAGTTCAACTGGGAGGAAAAAACAACAACAACAAAAAACCAGGAAGGCTGTCCAAGACATGTTTTCTGACTCTAGCCATAGGACTTGCTACTCTCTTCTCAAAGAAAACAAGCATTTTACACACTGTGAGGAGGGGGAGGGTGCTAGCATGGAACAAGTTAAATGACCTGCATTCCAAGTGAGTGTCTGTCCCCCACCCTACCTCCATCCTCCCTTTAAGCACAGTCCTAGCTTTCTGCTTGATTAAGAACTAAAACTGAGACAAGAGCATTCAAAGACTTAGGGCATTAAACATTTTTAAACATGGGGATTATAAGACAGGACAAATGTGCTCATATCCTGCTAACATTACCAACAACAGAAATATAAGTAGAAAACTCCTGAGCCAGTGGGATGAGAGGATATTCAGAGTCTACTTGTCCTGGACAAACTTGTTCATTTGCTCTCCAGAGTTGGAGACACACAGACCACACACACACACACACACACACACACACACACACACACGCCCCTTTACTACTGATGGGAAGGAAGTAAGCATAGTGACCTGTGGGAAGAGCATATGTCCCTCGCTTTCAAAGCCTTGTAGTAGGTTTTCTTTATTTGTAGCAGCTGATTGTTAATATTTATGTGTTGATCTGTCTGTGAGTAGGAAAGATGGTCTAAACTAGGAAGAAGACGAAAGATAATGACTTTTCACCCTGTTTCTGACACTTGGTGATGCTCACTGGCTGTTACGAATGAGGGTAGATAGGCAAAGCATTACAATAAAAGGAGCTGACATAGGCGGTAACACCAGGTCCATCCCATGAACAGGGCTATCTGCCTGCCTGGTGACACTGAAAAGGAATCACTAATTCTTCTCTCCAGCAACCCAGATGAGTTCAAAACTCTCCCTTTGTAAAGAAAGGTCTAGTCATTGCACTAGCTTAGGTGCAATGTTATAGTTTAACTTCATCCCCAGTTGACTCTTAAACCAAGCGGAAAATCTTTGGACCCTACTGATTACAAGAAACACAAAACTGGCACCAAAAAAGAAAACTCTTAAAAAACAAATGAGATAAGAATCAGGAAGACAGGTCCTGCTTTTTATGTTGTATTTTTTTACTTTTGCTAATTATATTTTTCCACACAAGCTGATAATTTCTGGCACTGAACACACAATTGTGCTCTGATGAGTCAATCTATACAAACTTTCCATTTTGGGATGTTCAGAGAGTTGGTATGATCTTCTCTGAGGGAGAAAGGCAACGTTGGGTAGTTTAATAAACCTTAGTGTGGAAGGGTGTTTTGCAGAGGATATAAGTGCATCTCCAGAAGACCATTTGAAAAAAAGGATGTGGGAAACAAGCCTGCCTGGTCAATGCCTGCCCACCCTCATCAGCAGGAGGAAACCATGCCAAGCAGAGCAGGCAGAGGAGCATTCCATCAGAAGGACAGCCAGGTGATCAGAGGTTGAGTACCTCCCATGGGCCAGGCACTGTGCTGGAAGCTTTTCATTAGGTTGCCTCATTTCATCCCCAGAACAACACAATGATGTAGTCATTAGGCCATTCTATGAATGAGAAATGGAGGCTCAGAAAGTACAAATCATTTATATAGGTGTGATGCAGCTCTTTAGAAACTATGTGTTCTCTTTAAATAGAGCAAAAATCACAGATGTTCTTAGCATTATTGCAGTTAGAGCAATGCTAACTGCCTGTTTGTTTTCACACCCCCAATTAGGGACATGCCCATCAGGGTCACTGTTGAAGCTCTAGGACCGAACACACTGCCTGACAATAGGAGGCACCCGATATGTAATGCCCAAATGAAAATATAAATGGTAGAGACCATGTATTCATTTTACAAATATACCTGGACCCTATTAAGGATTCTGGCAAGAGGCCAAGGTCCTTGGGGACAGAAAGACATGAAAGGTCATGTCCTTTATCCCCTGTTTCTAGGCAGGGTGATACCTGAGCTACCTGAGCCATGTGAGATTTTCATCTCATGATGGAAAGGGTTGCACAGTCTTGTTTGAAAATGAGCAATGGGGAAAAGGAAAAGGAACTCCAAAACTCCTAATTAGTCTGAAAGCAAATGTCAGAGGCAGGAAATGCAAACAGAAAAAAGCAGACTATAAACTCCTTTTCTTACCTCATGTTGCATTTTCAAAGAAGATTTTGTTCTGAGAAAAAGAATCAACTCAGGCTCAACGCACAAGAAGTGCAGAGGAAGAACAGTGGTGGGAAGAAAAATGATAGCGGGAGGAAGGTGGCTGTCCTTTTGTCAACTGGCTGGAGGCACTGATCCTGGGAATGGGCAGATACAAGGAGGGAAAGTAGCAGCAGAGGAGGATTAAGAATTTTTTTTTTTTTTTGAGATGGAGTCTCACTCTTTACCCCAGGCTGCAGTGCAGTGGTGTGATCTCAGCTCACTACAACCTCCGCCTCCCGGATTCAAGTGATTCTCCTGCCTCAGCCTCCTGAGTAGCTGGGATTGCAGGTGCCCATCACCACGCCCAGCTAGTTTTTGTATTTTTGGCAGAGTTGGGGTTTCACCATGTTGGCTAGGCTGGTCTTGAACTCCTGACCTCAAGTGATCCACCCACCTTGGCCTCCCAAAGTGCTAGGATTACAGTCGTGAGCCACCGCACCTGGTTGGGGATTAAGGATTTTTGAATGACAGAAGGTGCTTTGGCTCCACTGTCCACCCCACACTCCTTGATGAAAAATGCTTATGAAAACTCATAAATGTTACTCCTTGCACTGGAGAAAACTACTGACAGTCACAAGGATGGGAAGTGGTTTTGCATATCTGAGCATCTTAATCTACAGAAGGTCTAAATCCCCAGGATAACTTTTCCTTTGATTATATGCCACAATGATCTGAAACATAAATATAAAAATAAGCCATCAAAAGAAAGAAATTGCCTTTTTCCATAATGACATTAGAGGAGCTGATATGAGCATGAGCAGGTTTGAAATAAAGATGATATTTTAATGAGAAATGATTTTTTAGTTTACCTTCAAAGGACTTAACAGAGCATAAATTTGATGAAGATATTTGAATAGTAATGCACATTTAAGAAACCACCAACAAGGAGTAGTCATTGATTTGCCCAGTGTGCTCATCTGATCATCCTCTAATTGGGGTGCATGGACTTCAGGAGAAGCCCTTAGGTTGTAATGATTGTTACTGCCTTGCTCTCTTCTAAACGAGTAGCCTCAACTCCTCCTGCCTTTTACGAGATGTCATACAACCTGTCTCAGGGTTTGCTAGAGAAGAAGAACCCTTCTAACCTGCTGCTGGCAGCCTTGCATGAGGGTCTCAGCCAGCACAGGAAGGGAATATAAATGGCCTTTGCATTAAGAAGATCTGTTACCCCTGAAATGTTTGGCTTAAATGCTGACCAATAGGGACAGTCTGTGATGGGTGCTGGCCACATGGCCCAATCAGATATTAAATATTGTATGAGTGGAAAAAGGCAAGCAGATTGACTTCAAGCTACTGTCCCGAGCTAAGCCAGGTCCTTATTTTTGTAACTCAAGAAGATTGTAGCACAACCGTATGAGAAGCCCCAAGTGATTGTATCAATGATGAGGTGGCTTTCCAAGATTTCCTCATGTTCTAGTTTTTCTTGCAATAAATTCCCTATCATGAAAGACCATTCCATGCTCATCTCACACACCACAAAGGAAGCTGACCATAAATAGAACTAGTAGCCTCATTATTTGAAATAAGCAAAGTCTGTCTTTCCATTACTTATGCCATCTGAATTTAGAAAGATATATTTTATGTTTATATGAGAACTGTGAATTTTTTAAAGTCAGGAAGGCCATTTTAAATCTGGGAAAGCAAATAAGTTGCATTTTTCATCTCTTGTAACTTTTGCAGACACTGCTAACTGGATCAATGAACTCTTTATCAAAAAAACAAACAAACAAACAGCAACAACATGAAGAAAACCCAGCTTTGGGCTCCGGATCTCCCTCAAGATAGTGTCCAAGCAGTGACTTGCCCCAGACAACAAATTGAGATCCACTTGCTAACTTCTTTGAAATAATTTAATCCAAGATGGCATTGAAACAAAAATAGAACTCTTCTAGGTATTAAGACTTGGGTTCCAAATCAGTGTGGTGTCCCCCTCAACAATCTCATCTATTCACTCAACAGGCATAACAACATCTGCTTCAGCCAACTCTCCAAAGACTTGATATGTGTGAAAGGACTTTGTAAACAGAAATTCAACATACAAATAAAAGGTGTTATTATCAGAAAAGCTGAGGAAACAAATATCTGGAAATATTGAATACAGAATCTGGTCTCACACCCAGACATGTCTATTTCTTAGCCAAAGTTTAGTTCCCCTTTTCAAATACAAGAATACCTAATAATTCCCAAACCTAGGGCTTCTATTTCTAGCAGTGTAGCAGACTATATATTTTGTTTGAAATAATTAAATGTTAGACGAAATATTAAAACAATCTTTTAAACATGCCGCTATGTTGACACAGAGAAAAATTAATAAAAACAAGGTTCCCAAAAATGAAGGGAGAGAAAAAACCTAGGGTGCAAGGACACAGGAAAGCCAGAGATCCACACTTGGCCCCGAGCATGTCTGTGGGGAACTGCAGACCTTGAGCTTCCAGTTTGAGGACGAAGAAACAAAGTCTCAGGACTACCTGTGGTGGAAAATGTCACAGAAGATCCCTGAGTAAATCTTGCACCCCAAAGACTAAATAACCTGCTTAAGTAGGAAAAGGCCAGGTGCCGTGGCTCACGCCTGTAATCCCAGCACTTTGGGAGGCTGGGGCAGGTGGATCACCTGAGGTCAGGAGTTCGGGACCAGCCTGGCTAACATAGTGAAACCCCATCTCTACTAAAAATACAAAAATTAGCCGGGCGTGGTGGCAGGCACCTGTAATCCTAGCTACTCAGGAGGCTGAGGTGGGATAATTGCTTGAACTCGGGAGGTGGAGGTGGAGGTGGAGGTTACAGTGGGCTGAGACTGCACCATTGCACTCCAGCCTGGGTGACAGGGTGAGACTCCGTCTGACAAAAAAAAAAAAAAAGAATAAGTAGGAAAAGAAGTCTGCCCTTCAGAAGGAAACGGCAAGGACACCTGCCTGTCTCCATCTTTGTGCTATGTGGAGAGATTTTAGAACTACAAGCCAACTCTCGTAGGTTTTTGCTATCCAATTCATGCTTCTCATATGGTCTCCAAAAAACCTTAAGTGGGGAGTTAATTTTGAGTGGTCCTGGGGTAGTTAGTGCTGTCAGGCAATTGGCAAAATATCTCTCTAGAGGAATTCAACTTCAACCCAGACATCAAAGTATTTCCAAAAAATAAACTTCTAGGAAAAATTAAAAGCCCAGAGTAAGAAAACTGAAACACAAAGATTTAGGACATCATAAATGAGAACCTATAAGAAAAACTGGCTAATAACAAGTTTAGATAGTATAGTTACAAGACATGAATATAAAATAACTATTTGCAATATGCTTGAAGAAATTTGAGAGAAGCTTAAAACTAAGGACAGAAAACAAACATTATAAAAGAATAATAAAATAGAGTTTTAAAAAGACCAAATAGAATTTCTATAAATGAAAAATATAGTAATTAAACTTTAAAACTCAGTAGACGGATTAAATAGCAAGTAAAACAAACCTAAGTAGAGAATTAGCAAATTGAAAGATAGATTCAAATTTTATCCAGAATGTAGTTAAAAATTTAAAAAGACATATGAAAAATAATGAAGGAAAGATAAGTGACATGGATGATGTGGTGAGAAGGCCTTAACAAATATCTAAGTGAAATTCTAAATTAGAGGAGGAAGTAATAGAGAAAATGGAGAAGAAGAAATATTCAAGTAGATAATGGCAGAGGGTATCTCAGGATATTGAAAGACACAAACTTGAGATTTATAAAGCCCAATGAATCCCAAACAAGATACATAAAAGGAACTCCACACCTAGACACAGTATTAATAAAACTTTACAACACAAAAAGAGAAGCAAGTTGTTAAAGACATGCAGAAAGGAAGAAAAGAATACCTACAAAGGAGCAGCAGTTTAAGACTCACAGATGACTTCAAAAGATCCAAAAAATCAAAGCTAGAAGCCAGTGAAATAATATCATCAAAGTTCAGAAAGAAAGAGTAACTGTCAAACTAGAATTCCATATTGAATAAGGCCATCTTCCAAGAATGAAATCAAAGACAATTTAGGAAATTCAAAAACACAGAGCATACAGCACACACACACACACACACACACACACACACACACACACACACACACCACACAAACAAATCAAAGGAAATGTAAGGGATATGTTTTAGGCAGAAAGTTGTAAGGCTGATACACGAGGGAATGCTAAGCAAAGATACTGGCATATCTGTGGGTTAAAGTATGCAGAGGTTGGTGGTTTGTTGGGAGGAAGGAGAAAGAATCAAGCTAGAATTAAAATACCAGATAACATTGTCAAATAGGTTAGAACATATTATCGATCAGAGTTAAAGCATTTAATGTTCTTACATTGCTCAGAAGGAAGAAAAGGTATTAACTTGAGACTTCGTTAACTATGTGTGTTAAACTAGAGGTTTGATAGAACTTTCAAACTAAAAGAGGAAAATAATGAATTCAGACATAAAAACAGTATAAGAAAGGACAAAGAAGTATATAAAGAATATACGAATAAGGCTTTAAATATGTGAGTAATTATAAGAAATAGAATAGAAATTTGCTCCCTATTTAAAAATTTTTTAAATACATACATAAAATATAGGGCACACACAAAAAAGAAAGAAAAATGAGACAAATATTAATGAATACAATTCTGTATAAATATTAATGTTTGATTGTCTTTATGGTAAGAAGCAATATTAGAGATAAAGATGATCATGACTTACACAGGTAGTAGAAGGTATAATAGGAAGTATTACAATTCTAAACTGTTTACACATCACTCCAAATATATGAATCAAAAATTGATGAAATTACAAATACCCTAGAACTACAACATTTGCCATAATAGTGGAAAATTTTAATTCACATCTTTGCTATTGACAAATTAAGAATAAACAGAAAACAGAAATATTAGATAGGACATATAAGATCTGAACACCAAATTAACAATCTTGTTCTAATAGACATATAACAACTTTGTGTCCAACAATTTTAAAATTCACGTTCTTTTAAAGTCATATAGAATATTTATAAAAACTGACCTTATGCTAATTCTCAAAGCTAATCAAAGATCTAAGGACTGGTTATCTGTATAGATCTCTATCTGACCATAATGCAATTGAATTATAAACTATTTTGAAGATATAACAAGAAAAATATCTTACTTTTGGGATTTTTTTTAAAGCTCTACTAAACAACTGTGGGTCACAGAAGAAAACAATGAAAATTAGAAATATCCAGAATTAAAATTAATGAAAATAATATGTATTAAAACTTATAGAATATAGCTAATGCAACATTTAAAGGAAAATTTATAGCTAAATTGTTTTTGTTAGAAAAACAAGATGAGCATTATTGCACTGCATTTAAATTAACAATAAGTTTAAAAGAACAGCAGAATACATTCAAAATTGAAAGAGAAAAATAATAAAGAAAATAATGAAAAGCAAAACAAACATACAGTAAAGAGGCTCAAAGCAAAAATACCAGTTCTTTGAAAAGACCAATGAAATAAATTGAAATGACTAAGTTCTAAAAACAAATAAAAATTACTAAAATATCTCAAGACAAAAATATTTTAAAATTCAAGATTTTTTTTTTTTTTTTTTTTTTTTTTTTTTTGAGACGGAGTCTCGCTCTGTCGCCCAGGCCGGACTGCGGACTGCAGTGGCGCAATCTCGGCTCACTGCAAGCTCCGCTTCCTGGGTTCACGCCATTCTCCTGCCTCAGCCTCCCGAGTAGCTGGGACTACAGGCGCCCGCCACCGCGCCCGGCTAATTTTTTGTATTTTTAGTAGAGACGGGGTTTCACCTTGTTAGCCAGGATGGTCTCGATCTCCTGACCTCATGATCCACCCGCCTCGGCCTCCCAAAGTGCTGGGATTACAGGCGTGAGCCACCGCGCCCGGCCTAAAATTCAAGATTTTTATAACTCTAGGTAAACTGATTCTATATTTTGAAATCTAGGACCACATTTTCATGGACATATTTTCCAGGCATCCCTCCAAAAAATAAATCAACTCACATAGACTCTTTACAAAGAATTAAAAATGAGGGGATATTTATTCTATGAAGCTTGTTAACTATGATATTCAAGTCTTATATATTTTCCAATTTATGTTTGATCTATCATTCACTGAAATGTATCTTTACATCTTTTTTGTTTGTTTGTTTGTTTGGTTTGGTTTTTGAGATGGGGTTTCGCTCTTGTTACCCAGGCTGGAGTGCAGTGGCGCGATCTCCGCACACCGCGACCTCTGCCTCCTGGCTTCAAGCGATTCTCCTGACTCAGCCTCTCAACTAGCTGGGATTATAGGTATCTGCCAACATGCCTGGCTAATTTTTGTATTTTTAGTAGAAGTGGGGTTTCTCCATTTGGCCAGGCTGGTCTCAAACTCCTGACCTCAGGTGATCCACCCGCCTTGGCTTCCCAAACTGCTAGGATTACAGGCGTGAGTCACCATGCCCAGCCTGAAATGTATATTTATATCTTAAACAATTTTCATGGATTTTGTAGGTCTCATATTTCTATTTTGTACATCTGTCTTATTTTAGTAACAGTGATTCCAAAACCATACAGGTATGGTACAAGAAATGAGAATTACCAACCAATATTACTCAAAACATATTTACAAAAGTCTTAAACAGAATATTATCAACCAAATCTAGCATTGAGTAAAAGGGGAATACATCTTAGCCAAGGTAGGTTAATTCCAGGAATTAAAGCAGGTTTAAAATTTTTTAAATTGATTACTATAAATGACCGCATTAACACATCAAAGGGAAAGTATCACTTTTTTTTGATGTACAAAATTCGAAGTTCATTCTTAGCAAACTAGAAATGGAAGGAACCTGATAAAGAATATCTAGCAAAAAAGTCCTACTTATTGGTCAGACGTTTAAAGCATTCCCTTAAGATCAGTAACAAGACACAAATGTTTGCTATCCCCACTTCTAGAACATTGCACAAGAAGCCCTAGTTAGAGAAGACAAGAGAACTCAATAAAAAGGGTTAGGAATTAGAAACGAAAAAAATGAAACTGTACTTATTTGCAGGTGGTATGATTTTCTATGTAGAAAACTCAAAATAATTTATGGATAAGTAATTAGAATTACTAGGAGAGTTTTTCAAAATTTCTGCATTAATAAAATTAATATACCAAAGTCACCAGCATTTCTGGACACCAGAAAATAATTAGCTAGGAAATGTAATTTAAAAAATAAAATTTATAATAGCAATAAGAATATAAAACACCAAAGAATTAGTCTTATAAATGATGTGCAAATCCTTTAAAGAGAGAAGGATAAAACCACTAAAAGACATTAAGACCTAAATAAATAGACAAATATACCATATGCTTAGAAAGGAAGATATCACTTCTCCCCAAATTGAACCCTAGATTTACTAAAATCCCAATCAAAATCTTAGTAAGGGTTTTCATGGAACTTGACAAAATGGGTCTCAAGGCTGAGAATAGCTAAGACACTTCCGAAGAAAAGCAATGGGAGAGATGTGGTAGAATCCTCTGCTTCCAGTTATGCAAGGATTACACTCCCTTGCACCCTTGAAATCAGGTGTGGTCATGGGAGTAGCTCTGCCAATGAAATGTAAATATAACTGGCATGTGTCACTTCTGGGAGAAAGCATTACAAGTTGACAAGTGATTCTCCATGCTCTCTTCTCTCATGTGGAAGAACATATTGAGATAGTAACACAGCCTCTGTTTGCCTGGGACCCTGAATGACCACAACTGTATGCATAGCATGAGCAAGAAAGAAGCCCTTTGAGTTTTAAGCCACTGAAATTTGTACCCAAAGACAGCCCAACCTATCCTAATCTATCCAAGGAGATTTGTCTTATTTAAACCTTATTATAAAATTTATTATGTCAAGACATATTATAAAGGTAAAATGATTAGGACACTGCAGCATTGGTATAGGAATAAGCAAACAGACCCATGAATCAGAATTTTAAAAGCCAAGAAAAAGACCCATCCTTACATGAACATGAAATATGGCAGGGGTCATGATATGTTGTAGGTCAGTGAATATCAATAAATGGTGCCGGTATCCATATGGAAAAAAAATTGGACTGCTACTATACCCAGAAATCAATTCTGGATTATGAATTTAGAGGAGAAAGCAAAACTATAGGACTGTTAGAAGATAATACAGTCTTGGGATTGAAAGACATGTGTTTAAAAAGATATAAAAAATACTAATCACAAAGCAAAGGACTGATAAAACTGACTTTAACATTGAGAACTTGGTTCATCCAAATACATAATAAGTCCTAGACTGGATACTTGTTTGACCAAAGCGCTAAAGGACTGCTGGTCAACTGGGAAAATTTGAAGATGGTTTACCTATATGGTGAGAGGAAATCTACTCAAATGAAAACTTGGAGGTTGGTGACTGAAAATTTGTTTTGATTACATATACAGTTGACCCTTGAATAATGTGGGGGATAGGGGCACCGACACCCCATGCAATTGAAAATCTGAGTATAACTTTCGACTCCCCCCAAAATTTTACTACTAGCCTACTTGTTGACCAGAAGGCTTGCTGATAACACAAATGGTCAATTAACCCATATTTTGTACAGGTTGGTGCAAAAATAATTTCAGTTTTTACCATTAAAATTAATACCACTATTTTTTTATTTTTGTTTTTTTGAGACAGAGTCTCACTCCGCCACCCAGGTTGGAGTGCAGTGGTGCAATCTCAGCTCACTGCAACCTCTGCCTCATGGGTTCAAATGATTCTCCTGCCTCAGCCTCCTGAGTAGCTGGGATTACAGGTGCACACCACGGTATCCAGCTAATTTTTGTATTTTTAGGAGAGATGGGGTTTCACTATGTTGGCCAGTCTGGTCTCAAACTCCTGACTTTAGGTGATGTGCCTGCCTCGGCCTCCCAAAGTGCTGGGATTACAGGCGTGAGCCACTGCGCCCAGTCTGCCATTATTTTTAATGTCAAAAACCACAACTTATTTTGCACTAACCTAATATTTCAGAAAATGTATAAGGTGTTCACATCTGCTGGTGCAGCTGCAGTGACAGCTTCACAAATGATTTTTTTCTTTCTTTTTTTTTTTTTTTGCAATGGTCCTTAGGCTCGATTCATTCATCTTGAAATGGTGGGCAACCACAGTTACAGACCTCAACCTATAGTGCATAGTCAGTACAGTTTGACTTTTCCTTGTAATGTCATGACTTTTCTCCACTTCTCGGGAGCACTTCCAGCATCACTAGTGACACTTCATAAGTCCCATGGTGTTATTCAAGGTTTACAACATTGCACCAAACACAATGGGAAATATGCGACAACTGTGAGAAATCACTTTCACTGTGGCCCACCGCCAATTTCGTGGAGACACGAACTGCTCACGTGAAGGTGATCAGCGCCACACGGTGTTTTAGGTAGATATTCAAAACACTTGAGCTCACACAATAGCAATGGGAGGTGGCTATAAAATTACCACAGAAGTGCAGCGCATTCTACAGTTAATCTTACGCAGCTGTGATTTAATACTGCAGCTTCAAGTTTATTGACTGCGAATGATGCCACGTACCACCTATGTTTGTATGTGTAAGGTCTGATAAATTTTAACTTTTCATAATAGATTTGTGTATATTTTATGATAGTAAATGATACATGTAGATGTAGTATCTACATATATTTTATGCATTCATGACATAGCTTTTTAAATTTTTCTTTTAGATTTCTAGGCTTTGTGATTCCTCTATGAGTTTTTTCAAATTTTCACAAATCCCCCCAAAATTTTCAATATATTCATTGAAAAAAAAAATCCACATATAAGTGCACCCTCACAGTTCAAACCTGTGTTGTTCAAGGGTCAACTGTACATACATACACATACAGGTATGAAATTCAGAATATGAAATCCTGCATAAGATGCTAATTCTGGTGACTTCAGGGCAGTAGGAATGTAAAGTTCTTTTTAAAAAGTTTGCTTCTCTGTATATTTTAACTTTCTACAATGTGTATGTACTCTTTCTTTAATAAGGATTATAAAATAAAAGAATTAATAAATCCACGAAAGAAAAATAAATAATAAATACACAAACATCTCCCTTTTTTGTGGAAGGCAAAAAAAAAAATGAACATGAAAAGACAAGCAAGGAAAGGGAGATATTTGCCACAAGTATGACCAACAAAGAACTAATATCCATAATATTTTTAAAACCCTAATAATTAATGAGAAAAAAGTGACAACCTAATTGAAAAAAATGGTCAAAAGGCATGAACAGGTATGTTATATAAGAGAAAAGCTAAGATCCATTAAACTAATGAATGATCTAGCTCAGTAGTCATCAGGAAAATACATATCACAACTACCAGGAGCTACCAATACATCTTTCAGACAAGCAAAAACTAAATTCTGACCATGTTAGGTGCCGACAAGACTGTGGGGCAATGGGAATTTTCATAACTTGCTGGTGAGAGTGTAAAAACAGTTTGTCATTAGTTATTAAAGCTGAAGATAAGCAAATGACCCAAAAATTTTACTGCAAGTAATTTATCTGAGAGTTATATTTGGAAGAAGCACAAAAAGAATTCATGCTGACACTTTATAATAGGTCCATACTAGAGATGACTCAAATGTCCATGAGCATTAGAATGATTTTTTTTAAATTGAGGTATAGTCATGGCTTAAAGTGGCAGATAAAAATGAAAGTGAATAAACTTAGCCTGGGCGTGGTGGCTCACACCTATAATCCCAGCACTTTGGGAGGCCAAGGTGGGCGGATCACTTTAAGGTGAGGACTTCGAGACCAGCCTGGCCAACATGGTGCAACCTCGTCTTTACTAAAAATACAAACATTGGCCAGGTGTGGTGGTGGGCACCTGTAATCCCAGCTACTCAGGAGGCTCAGGCAGGAGAATAGCTTGAACCTGGGAGGTGGAGGTTGCAGGTCGCAGTGACCTGAGATTGTACCACTGCACTCCAGTCTGAGTGACAGAGCAAAATTCCGTCTCAAAAAAAAAAAAAAAGAAAGAAAGAAAAGAAAATGAATAAACTCCTGCTACATACATCAATAAATAGAAGAATCTCAAAAAATAATAATGAGCAAAATTAGCAAATCACAAAACATATGCTGTGTGACTCCCTTTATGTAAAGTTCAAAAACAGGAAAAACTAAGCAATAATTTGCTTAGGAATGTATACATGTGTATGTGTGCACATGTAAAACTATCTAGAAAAGCAAAGAAATAATTTTGAAAATCTCAAGATAATGGCCACAGTAAGAGAGAGAAGGATCAGCCACCAGGAGGGTAATGTAGGATTTCTAAGGGTATAGTTAAATTCAACCTCTTAAACCAAGTGCTGGGTACATGGAGGTCTGTTTTTTTATTATTACTTAATATTTATTAATATTATTATTTAATAGTAAATATAATATTTAAGCCAATGATTATTTTTCTATATGATTTTGTACATACATTTCACTGTTAACCAATTATCCCTGTTAAACAACTGTGGTATGGCAAGAAAATTATATAGTGCAGAGCAAATGCAGAAAGAGCTAGTGACCACACTGTTTGCTCTATAACAAGAGTTATGCAGCCATTCATTTGGTCATCAGGCAAGTCAGACCATTTTAAAAAGGAACAAATTCAACTCCTTCAGCCCTTTTCTCATTGTCAAAGCTTAATTGTAAAATTCCATAATCACAGGGCATACGCTACACATGCCAGGGCTATGCATGCCGACTGCAGCAACACACTAATGACCATAAAGTATTGAATTTGGTTTTTGGAGATGCTAACTATTATAATTAGGGAGGCTTTACATAGCATTTTTTTGTGACAACTGTGATTCAGCTAACCAGAAAAACAGAAGCTGTGCTCCTCAAGAAAAAAACAACAAAGGAAACCTACCCAAACATCACCTCATTATTCAAGTGCAATGAACTCCAACTAATACTTAATTACAAGAGGCGTTTGGAGGTTCAGAGTAGAATAAGACATGGCATTCTCCGGAGGCACTTGATTGATTTCTCAGATTACAAAATTCAAGCCACTGAGAATTCTGAAAACATCGATTTAGCAAGAGAGAGCCCAGGGAGCATTCAAGGCTTGTAATGGGAATAAATTCAGAATAAATGAAACTGGCCAGGTTACCTGTTACAGATCTTACACCAAAACATATTTCAAGCTTCATTGCTATTTTATTTTTCTAATGCAGCTATTTCTTGAGGGTGAAAAGTCAGATTTCATTCCTATTTTTCCTGTTCATTACAACACACACCTGAGACTGGCCATTTGTTACGATGGTCAGCATGATTCCCACAGGCTCAGAAAAATGCTAAGCCAGGACTTGGATTATTTATTTTCCTTGAGAATTATTAGCAATGAAACATGCCCCACAAACATTAGAATGAAATAAAATACTTTTGTTACAAAGTTTTGAGGAGGAAAACAGCCGCATGAATCATCAGTTGGAGATCTCTTCACTGACTGCAACATCTTAACCTAAGTATTAGGTTGGTGCAAAAGTAATTGTGGTTTTTGCCATTAAAATTGCAAAATCTGCAATAACTTTTGCACCAACCTAAATATAAGATAGGTAGATGTGGATACAAAGTAACATCTAGTGCCGAGGTTTGAATCTTAGCTTCACTACTTGCTGTGTGACCTCAAGCAAGATACTTAACTCTCTGCTTCTCACCTGCAAATGGGATCAATACGAATATCCATCTTATAGGGTTTTCCTAAGGACTAAGTAAAACAGCCCTTGTAGAACATTTGGTGCATGCCTAGCATCCAGTAAGTACTCAATAAATGCTAGCTGTATTTTGGAACTATAGTTAGCAGAAAGCCTCTACGCTTAGTTTACTACACTCAACAGGAGACTGGACTTTTTTCTGCATTTCTTCTATCATGAATGACAAACTTGAATTTTATACTCTTGTCCACACCATGTGGCCTACTGCCCAAGAAATCTGAACACTCCCTGCATTCACAAACAGACATGTGGGCCAGAAATAGTTTAAGTTAAACATAACTGTTCCACTCCCGCTGTGATTTCTAACATGACAAAGGAGAACAAACATCAGAAAAATCAAGAACAATGTAAGCCACCTGTCAGCTTTAAGAGAGACAAAAAATACAGGACTAGAAGAATTACCCCCCAGGGCACTAAGAGACTCTCCCCAGTGTGATCAAAAGTTACTTCCAGGAGTCTTTGCAACACGTGAACAGCAGGAAAGCTACCAGAAGCCTGACAACAGGAAAATATCCTGATTTGTTAAAATACACATACATATACATTTAAAGTAAAACTTGGAATTCCAGAAGGTAAAGACCAAAGCTTTTGATACAGGTCTCTGGCAATAGTCACAGAATGGAGTGTGTGATCTAACAGGCCTTACCACTTTAGCTAAGACAGAAAGCAGAGGGGGGCAGTCCTGCAAGCCACAAGCCACCAGTCTGAGAAAACAAGAGATAAAGGGAGTGAGCACACCTATAATTTGCTCCTCAGTATACAGAGCCAGTTACTCTCTTGGAAGGATCCCTCCTTACCAGACTGGAATTTCTTAAGAACAGATGCTGTCTTTTTCACCTTGTGATCCTCATAACTTAATTTTGTGCCTGGCACCCAGGAGGCAATCAATAAATATCTGTTGGGTGAATGAATGAGATGCAAAGAAACCTGCTGAAGGTCAAGGCTGGCAGGTGATAGATACAAGACTTGAAATTACATTCATTCATGCATTCATTCATTCAAACAGGCAGGCACTACGCCAGGCAGACCCGTGCTCTTTCTGTCTCTGCACCCAGTGTGTGTTGATACAGTAAGGTGTTTGCCAAGGCCACAGTTTAGAAGCAAAACAGGCTGAGCAGCAGAGAGCTATTTTGGAGTTTCAGTAGCTGACCGAACAACTAAACTAAAAAGTATGGATGCTGACCTCTTCAGAGACCCCGGTCTCATTTCTGTTCAGTCTTTCCAGATGAGTTGGGTGAAAGACTGAAAACTGTGGTACCAAATAAAGTCCTTTTTATCTAAACTGTCTCACATGGCCCAGGCACAATGCAAGGAAAATACAAAATGTGATTTAAACACTAGAAAAAAGCCAGTTGGGGACAGCCTACCATTTGTAAGCTTGTACATTATGCAGACCAACCATAGGACAAACACGATCTTTTTTCAGTCTAGCTTTGGGAGTAAAAGTTCTACCATGGAGCCATATTTTTCATTTTCCTTTCTAGAGGTAAAAGTAAGTATTTTGCTATGTAGGTTCTGCTTGGTTTCAGTATTTTTAGTTTATTCTCCTTTACCTGTATTTTCCCCACTCTCTTCCACCCCCACCCCCCACATTTGCCACTCGCTGTAATCTGACAGCCACTGGGAGATTATCAGCATTCCCAAAATTTCTCAAACGTGGGTTTGGGGCAGGTAAGGCAGACATATGATACCTGTCCCAAGTGGCAGACAGAGCCAGCTGGTTGCTGGACGTATGCAGGGTGATATGGTTTGGATTTGTGTTCCCACCCAAATCTCATGTCAAACTGTAATCCCCAATGTTGGAGGAGGGGCCTGGTGGGAGGTGATTTGGTCATGGGGGCAGATTTCCCCCTTGCTGTTCTCATGATAGTGAGTTCCCATGAGGTCTGGTTGTTTAAAAGCGGGTAGCACCTCCACCTTCACTCTCTTCCTCCTACTCCAGCCACGTAAGACATGCCTGCTTCCCCTTCACCTTCTGCCATGATTGTAAGTTTCCTGAGACCTCCCCGTCATGCTCCCTGTACAGCCTGCAGAACTGTGAGCTAATTAGATCTCTTTTCTTTATAAAGTACCCAGTCTCAGGTAGTTCTTTACTGCAGTTTGAGAATGAACTAAGACAGAAAATTGGTACCAGAGAAGTGGGGCATTGCTATAAAGATACCTGAAAATGTGGAAGTGTCTTTGGAACTGGGTAACAGGCAGAGGTTGGAACAGTTTGGAGGGCTCAGCCAAAGACAGGAAGATGATGGAGAGTTTGGAACTTCCTAGAGACTTGTTAAATTGTTGTGACCAAAATGCTGATAGTTATATGGATAATAAAGTCCAGGCTGAGGTGGTCTCAGACGGAGATGAGGAACTTTTTGAAAATTAGAATAAAGGTCCTCTTGCTAAGCTTTAGCAAAGAGACTGGCAGACTTGTGCCCCTGCTCTAGGGATCTGCGGAACTTTGAACTTGAGAGTGATCATTTACAGTATCTGGCAGAAGAAATTTCTAAGCAGCAAAACATTCAAGGGGTAACCTGGCTGCTGCTAACAGCATATGGTCATATGCATGAGCAAAGAGATAATCTGAAACTGAAACTTATATTTAAAAGGAAAGCAGAACATAAAAATTTAGAAAGTTGGCAGCCTGACTATGCGGTAGGAAACAAAAAACAAAAACATTTTCTGCAGAGGAATTCAAACCAGCCACAGAATTTGCATACTGGGAGCTGAATGTTAATAGCCAAGACTTTGGGGAAAATGCCTCAAAGGCATTTTAGAGACCTTCATGGCAGCTCCTACATCAAGGTCTAGATCCCTAGGAGAGAAGAATAGTTTCTCGTGGGCCAGGCCCAGGGCCTCACTGCCCTGAGTAACCTGGGGACATGGCACTCAGCCTCATGGCCACTCCAGCTCCAGCCATGGCTTAAAGTGGCCAAGGTATAGCTCAGGCTATTCCTTGAGAGGGTGCAAGCTATAGGCCTTGGCAGCTTCCACATGGTGTTAAGTCTGTGGGTATGCAGAGGGCAAGAGTTGAGGCTTGGAAGCCTCCTGCCTCTTTCTCAAGATATGTACTTTGCCATCAAATTGGTGTGATTTGCATTGTGCTATTTGTTGTTTTAATCCATTGGGACTGCTATAACAAATACCATACACTGGGTACTTTATAAACAACAAAAATTTATTTCTCCCAGTTCTGGAGGCTTGGAAGTCCATGATTAAGGCAGATTTGATGTCTAGTGAAGCCTGTTTCCTGGTTCAAAGGTGGTACCTTCTTACTGTGTCATCACATGGTGGAAGGGGCAAGAGAGCTTTCTGGAGCTTCTTTTAGGAGGGCACTAATCCCATTCATAAGGACCCTATGACCCTATGACCTATCATTAGGCCCTATGACTTAATCACCTCTCAAATGCCCCAGCCCCTAAAACCATGACATTGGTGATTACTTTTCAACATATGAATTTTGGGGAACACATTCACATCATGACAACTGTCATATTAAAATGACCAATAACCAATGGTAACTGAGAAAGAGTAAGAGGCTCCCACCAGGATTTGGCCGAAATAGGTGTTTGAAAGCATCTCTTGGAAGTGCTCAATTCATTACTACATATTTTCTTTCATATCATGCTGCTTTTGGCTTCCCCATGCAATCTCATAACTACAAAGAATCAGAAGAATCAGATAATAGTAACTCGAATGTTGAGAACTCTAATGTCCATGCCCCTCTCAAGCACAGCAGAAGTGCTACCTATGGTGTGTCAGTCAGCAGCAGAGTCTCAGCTTTCTTGGATCCTCCAAAGGCCTTCTCCTGCATCAATTCCATCAACTGCAGTCTTGTCACTCAGTTCTTTGAAGAGTTGTGTAAATCAGCATAGCCTATATGCCTGTCTCTAATCACTGATACAAGTCTATAGCTTGCAAGAAATGAGGCTCAGTGGTGAAAGTTAGTTTGTGTTCTGTAGGGCCAAAGTAGGTCATAGATTCAGTAAAGTTCAGTTAAAACAAAAAACAAACAAAAAAAGCAGCAGCCAAACCGCTTGTCAAGACAGTCAAAATGGTGCTTCTCACCCACCAGCCAGATTGCTTTCCTGGGAATGAGCACAAAAGTATGTGCATGTGAAACACAGGAAATATGCACATTGAATTCAAATAAAGTTCTGGAGACTTCCCAAGACATTATTTTTTGATGGCCAATGGTGATAGAATGAGAATGGATAATGTCAAAAAGAATTAGAATCAAATCAGATTCCAACTTTACCCATTGGAGGGATGATGATATACCACCCTGATTTTGGCTTCAATGTTTCATCCGTTAGATAAAGAAGCTGTGATTCAGTGAAAGGTCATCTCACTATAGGCAGCCAAATACCTGAGTTTAGAGAAAGATGCCTTATTCTCTCTGGTGATACAAGCTTTTTTCAATGAATAAGAATCTGGCCTGCCAGGATTTAGAGAAATGTGTGGACTTCACAAAACATAACATCACACACACACACACACACACACACACACACACACACACACACCCCACCACCACTAACAACACAATCACCATCATTATCACCACCTGGGGCAACAGAATTGAGCATTTTATAAGGAAGCTACTAATTCAACAGATATTTACTCAGTTCCTGCTACAAGTCTGGCCAGGTATTATGCTCAGTTCTGGGGGGCAAATAAGACACACTTGGGTTTTGGCCTTATGGAATTTACAGAGAAATAATTACAAATTGTAAAAAAAAGTTAGGAAAGCAACAAATAGGCTTATGAAAAACAGAATGGTTGATGACAGGAGAGGAGACTCCACTTTATATAAACCTGAAAGATGAGAAGGAGCAACTTATGCAAAGAGCATTAAAAGGAGTGTCCAAGGTGCATAAGTCTTAAGTTCCCCAAAACATAGACACTCATGTAAGCAAGACCTCAATAAACATAGAGAACATTTCCATCACCTCAGAATAATCCGTTACAGCTCTTGCCAGCCAGTTCCCTCCCTTGCCAATGACCTCCCCACTTAGGACAACTACTCTAATTTCTACACCATAGACTAGTTTTGATTGTGCTTGGACTGCATATAAACAGAATATTATAGCTTATACTCTTTTCTGTCTGACTTCCTTTTCTCAACATAATGTTTTCTAGATTCATCCATGTTGCAATATTTGTTAGTAGTTTGTTCCTTTTAATTGCTATCCATTCTCCTATTGATTAACTTTGGGTTGTTTCTAGTTTGGGATCATTAGGAATAAAACTGCTATTAATATTTTGTACAAGACCTTTTATGAATGTATGTTTTTATTTCTCTTGGGCAAATACCTAGAAATGCATCTGCTAGGTAGTAGGATAAGTATATGATTACTTTATAAGAAACTGACAACCAATTCACAAAGTGGCAGTAACAATTTATACATCACCAGCAACATTTGAGAATTACACTTAAATCCATACCCATCAACATTTTGGCATTGCTGATCTTTTTGAATTTAGCTATTCTAATTGTCATGAAGTGATTTTAATTTGTATTTCCCTAATGAGGAATAATGGAGCACCTTTTCATGTGCTTACTGATCATACATACAGTTCCCTTTATGTAGTCTCTGTTCAAGTCTTTTGCCTACATTTGTATTGGGCTTTTTTTATTGCTGATCTGTACATACTCTTTATATATTGTGGATATGAATGCACAAGTCCTTTTGAGACATATGAACTGTAAATATTTTCTTTCAGCCTGTGACTTGCCATTTTATTTCTAGAATATCTTTTGAAAAGCAGACATTTTTAATTTTGCTTGAGTTCAATTTATCTTTTATTTTCTATTATTGGTGCTGTTGTGTTTCTCCTAAAGAAATCTTTGTCTATCCCAAAGTACCAAAGATATTATTCTATATTATCTTCTATATGATTTATAGATGAACTTTTTAGTATGTGATTAATTTTGAAATAAGTTTTATATATAGCATGAGGTAGGGGTCAAGCTTACTTTTTTCCCACACTTTTATTCAGAATTTCTAATATCATTGATTTTAATCTTTCCATTTGCCACTAGATTACCTTGACACCTTTTTTGAAAGGTGTGGGTCAATTTCTTGACTCTATTCTGTTTTATTGATCTATTTATCTGTCCTTAACCACATTGGCTTGATCACTATAACTTTATAAGAACTCTTGAAATTGGGTACTGTCAGTACTTCAAATGTATCCCCCTTTCTGAAAATTGTTCGGCTATCCTAGGTCCTTTGGATTTTCATATAAATTTTATAATCAGCTTTCCAAGTTCTACATACAGAATCTAAATAGGATTTTGTTGAATCTATACTTAAATTTAGGGATAATCAATATCTTAACAATATTGGATAATTCAACTCATGAATATGGTATACTTTCCACTTATTTAAGTCTTATTTAGCTTTTTAGCAATGTTTTGCAGTTTGAAAAATATAGGTTTCACAGTTTTTGTTTATTAATTCCTAAGTACCTATAAATGGTACTTTAAAAGTCTCTATTTTCTAATTGCATATTGACATTGTATAAATATTCAATTGATTTTCTATATTGACCTTGTATCCTATGATCTTGCAAAATTCACTTATTCTAATACATTTTGTAGATCTTAGGACTTTATAAACAAATAATCGTGTTATCTGCAAATAAAACTAATTTTACTTCTTCCTTGCCTTTTATTTTATTTTATTGTCTAATTGTACTGACTAGGACCACCACTAAAATTGTGAATAGAAACAGTAGAAATAGACATCTCTTTATGATGTCTGCAATCAAACAGGAAAAGCATTCAATCTTTCACCACTAAGTATGAAGTTAGCATCAAGCTTTTCATAGATGCCCTTTATCAGACTGGGAAGTTTCTTTCTATTCCTAGGTTAATGACAGATTTTTTGTCATGCATAAGTGTTGCTTTTTCCACATCTATTGAGATGATTATATGATTTTTCTTCTTTATTTTGTTAATGTGCTTACTTGCAATGGCTGATTTTCAACTTTTAAATCAACTGCATTTCTGGAATTAGTTCAAATTCTTTTTTATGTATTGTTGGACTTATCTTGATAATTTGAGAATTCTGTATCTACATTTATGAGGAATATTGGCCTATAGTTTTCTTCTCTGCAATATCTTTATCAGATTTTGTTATCAGGATTATCCTATTACCTTATCTGTATAGCCTTACAGAGCCAGTTGGGAAATGTTCCCTGTTCTTCTGGCTTTTTTGAAAGTTTTAGGTAAGGTTAACATTTGTTCTTCCTTAAATGTATGATTAAAGACACCAGTGAAACCACCTGGGCCTGGAGCTTTCTTGCTGAAAAGGTTTTAAATTAAAAATTAGATTTCGCCTTCATCTAGTATCCATTTTGGTTAGCAGTGGTTTACAAGGAAATTAATCATTTTACTTAGTTTTTAAATTTGTTGGCATGAAACCGCTCACAAGATTATCTTTTCTTTAAGTATTTAGGATTTTTGGAAATATTTAATAGCTTTTCTTTCTTTCCTGATATTGCTAATTTGTGTGGGTTCTCTATTTTCCCTGGATCAGTCTTGTTAGGAGTTTATTGATTTCATTAATATTAAATAACAATAATAATAATAATAATAATGGCAAGTTCAGTACCAGTTTCTCCCTCATGTCTAGAATCAGAAGTACTTTATCTAAAAATTTTGGAATTTTGAGAAAATATTTACAAACTATGCATCTGACAAAGGTCTAATATCTATAATCCATAAGGAACTTAAACGAATTTATAAGCAAAAACCAAACAACCCCATCAAAAGTTGGGCAAAGGACATGAACAGACACTTTTGAAAAGAAGACATTCATGTTGCCAAAAAGCATATGAAAAAATGCTCAACATCACTAATGATTAGAGAAATGCAAATCAAAGCCACCAAGAGATACCATTTCATGACAGTCAGAGTGGTTACTATTAAAAAGTAAAAAAATAACAGATGTTGGCGAGGTTGTGGAAACAGAATGCTTATACACTGCTAGTGGGAATATAAATTAGTTCAGCCATTGTGGAAAGCAGTTTGGCAATTTCTCAAAGAACTTAAAACAGAATTACTATTTGACCCAGCAATCCCATTATTGGATGTATACCCACAGGAATATAAATTGTTCTACCATAAAGACATAGCATGGGTATGTTCATCGCAGCACTATTCACAATAGCAAAGTCATTAAATTAACCTAAATGTTCATCAGTGGTAGACTGGATAAAGAAAATGTGGTACATACACAGCATGGAATACTATGCAGCCATGAAAAAGAATGAGATCATGTCCTTTGCAGCAACGTAGATGGAGGTGGAGACCTTTATCCTAAGCAAACTAATGCAGAAATAGAAAACCACGTACCATTTGTTCTCACTTATAACTGGGAGCCAAACACTGAGTATATATGAACACAAAGACGAGAATGACAAAAACTGAGGCCTATTTGAGGGTGAAGGGTGGGAGGAGGGTGAGGATCAAAAAAACACCTATTGAGTACTATGCTTATTACCTGGGTGACCAAATAATTTGTACACCAAAACTCCACAACACACAATTTACCTATATAGCAAACCTACACATATACCCCTAAATCTAAAAGTTAAAAAAAAAGTTTGGCAATTTTAAACAATTGCCATCTACATTAATTCCCCAAATCTAACACCAATCATCATGGTCCACATGTGTTCATTATTCTTAAGAAATTCAATAGCATGTGACTAAAACAAATCAGCATATTTGGAAAGTTTCATGATATAACCCTCATAATAATATTATGAACTATTATTATATCCATTTCAAAAATAGAAAATCAAAGCTTAGAGAAATTAAGCAATTATCAAAGTCACAAAAGCTATTTTGGATTCAACTCATGTCTCTCTGTTCCAGTGCCTAGGAACTTCCCACTATTCCAATGCCTATGAACTAAACCATGACGTTTTCATGAACAAACAATTGAAGGTCCTATAACCAACACTGGAGCAGTCAACCTTTGGAAAGGTATGGTGCCTCATGAAACTGCGATAAATACAGATGGAAAAAGGGAATCTATGATAAAAAGGGATGTCTCTCAGTTTTTCACATGGGTCAAGAAGTTTCACATTGTACTGAATAAAATACTATTGTTGATGGAAACAACGGAAAGCAACACTTTGATGAATGCAGCTCTAGAGGAATGTAGCTCTTTCTTGACTTATTAATAATCAATCATTCTCCTACTGGGTTTCTCCTCCAAAATATCAATTTTTAAAACACATACACAATTTTCAACGTCCACTTCAAAAATGTGATTAATGAGGATGGGAAGCATCGCTTGCAAGTTTATAATATGCTGTGTTGATCAAATCATGCCATTTCTTTTTATTAAATAATAGGTTCTCATAGGGTTATGATTTGCCCTCTAATTTCTAGAGATTTCTTTGAAATAAATGCCTTTCTTTGAAAGGCATTTATTTCTTCTTAATCAAGAAATATTAGGGTTTAACTAAACATTTATTTCAGGACTTGTTCTTATTGAATGCCTTATTTTAGAAAATGAAGAAAAATAACTTTCATTTCCATTATCTATGTTCATCATTCTTAAAGATTAAAAAAAAAGACAACTATTTCAGGAACATCTATTTTTTAAAAAAGAACATGCTACCTAGGGTCCCTGAACTCTAGTAAAACATTGAACATACATGTTAGACCTACACCTGTGAACATCTATTATTCATTTCACCTGTGAATCAATACACATAACAAATTATCCAGTGCTGAAAACAATCATAGAACTGTGCTTTTAATTCTTCTTTACATTCAGGTTTACAGTGGGAAACACTCTCTCATGTATTCTCTAGCATTATCCTAACAACCACTTTGCAAGGGAGACAAGATAGATGATATGGAGAAGCAAATGTGGATCTTGATAATCAAAGGTTTCTAGGAAGTTTGGAAACATGAATCCAGACCTGACAGATGGGTAGGCAGGATGTGGATGCATTTTCTCAACATCTACTGTGCCAGGCAGGGTAGGCTATAGGGAAGAGCCAGGAGGGCACTGCGTTGGGGGAAGGAGCAGGAGCCACAGACCAGGGCAAGGACTGTGAGGACTTGGGACTGACTGGTTTGAAGAGTACATGCTGGAGGAGAGAGAATGTGCTCTTCTCAAATGGGTAGGAGAGAAAATGCAAACTGGTTCAAGCATGCTTTGGGAAAATCTCCAGGTTAGAATTCCCCAGCGAGTTATTAAAGGAATTGATGAGTGATTCTGAGTGATGCAGATCCCTAGGTTTTCAAGGCTGGTGCCACAGAGAAGAGATGAGGACTTCTGGTGCCACTGTGTGAGAGAACTGAACAGGAAGGCTCTATAGCAGGTTGGGGGACAGGGGAGGTATAGAATGCAGGTCCATTTTCCATTCTCAAGAAGGAGTTTGTGTGAGTCAGGGTTCTCTAGAGGGACAGGACTAATAGGATAGACGTATATATGAAAGGGATTTTACTAAGGAGTATTGACTCACACGAACCCAAGGTGATGTCCCACAAAAGGCCATCTGCAAGCTGAGGAGCAAGAAAGCCGTCCAAGTCCCAAAACCTCAAAAATAGGGAAGCCCACAGTGCAGCCTTCAGTCTGTGGCTGTAGGCCCGAGAGCCCCTGGCAAACCATTGGTTAAGTCCAAGATTCCAAAAGCTGAAGAATTTGGAGTCCAATGTTCAAGGGCAGGAAGCATCTAGCACAGGAGAAAGATAAAGGCTGGAAGACTCAACAAGTCAAATCCTTCCACGTTCATCTGCCTGCTTTATTCTAGCCGCGCTGGCAGCTGATTAGATGGTGCCCACCCAGATTGAGGGTGGGTCTGCCTCTCCCAGTCCACTGACTCAAATGTGAATCTCCTTGGGCAACACCCTCACAGATAAACCCAGGAACAATACTTTGCATCCTTCAACCCAATCAAGTTGACACTCAATATTAACCATTATAGATTTAAATAAAAAACTGGAAGGCAGCCAAACCCCTATCCAACCTTCCTTTAAGCTGCATTGCCACTTCCAGGGCAGAGTGAGACGAGACAACATTCAGGACCCCACTTCTGCTGAGCATGGGTTACCAGCAGAAGAGGACAAGTGAGGTCTCTGAGCCTCCCTTCCAGGGCAGAAGCATCACCCTAGCTTCCCAAATGCTGGAGGGACACAAAGAGAAGGAGAAAGAGCCAAAGCCCTTTTCTGGGCCTGCTATGAGAAGGTAAAAGTGAGCAGAGGCCAGAAAAACTATCAGGGCAATGAAAGGAAAGAATGTCCATGAGTAAAGGCAGAATATCATACTCGTCCCTTGGCTTTGTGTGGCCAAATCTCTGGCCCTGAAAATCACAATGATGTAGTAGAAAGACAAAGATGGGAAAAAAACAAAAATCATTCTTATCCTATTAAATTGCTTTCGTAAATAAAGAGGAAGCCTTGGGCCTCCACCCAGGACTTAGTTTCCTGAAGGACCAGGAAAGGGTAAGAGCAAATGGATTTGGAATTGGGCAATGGCAGGTGCTGGCTAAGTGGCTGGCTCTCCAGTTTGCCTCCTTGTGTCTGCCACAGTGCCATGCAGGCAAACTGGCAGCCCTATAAAGATCCTCACCTTCAGAGACCTACAGATGGTGCCAGAACTCTGATCAGCAATGCCTTCTCAAAGCAGAAGTGACGCCATCAACCAAGCACATGTCACTCCTCAGCCAAAACCAAACGCTCAGGGAGAATCCCTGGCCCTGACAATGACCCTTCTCTTCTTCTGGCATAGACTTCCCTAGCAAATGTCTGAGTGGAGATGGCCTGGGCATCATCCTATTCCCTGGTTGACACTCTGGTCCCCTGGCTCTGCTCAGATGGGCTACACAAAGCCTCAAACCAATGGGCCCTCCTGCCAGTCTGATTCAAAAGTTTCCCTAGGTTTTCTGGTTTCTTTCTCTGTGGAAGTTCAACAACTCAGCCTGTGCTGTTCACCAAACCTATAACACATACAACGTGCTGGGCTGGGCCCAAAGAGATGGGGAGATGAGCAGGCAGGCCTGCTTTCCGGGGGCTTGTAGTCTAGAAGGGAGGACAGGCTCACACTCCAACCTCCACTGGCTGGAGGTGGAAGAGGGAAGAGTGAGGCCCGGGGAGCAGGAGAGTCTGTGTATGGGAGGGGAAGTTTCCTAGAAGGTGGGGGTGTGAGCTGGGCCTTGAATGAGAGCCTTGACCAGGGCTCTGTGTTGCGGGGCAGGAAGGGCAGTGAGGAGCTTAGCAGCAGGAATGGGCAACTTGCTTTTGGGAGGATCGAGAGAATGTGGAAACTCAGTTACTACATCTTCATTTTACTTTGACTCTAGTCTCCCAGGCAGAGAAGATGACACATCCCCCCAGGGGCTCTGTCAAAATCTCAGGGAGTCCACTATAAAAAAAATTAAAACCGAAAATAACAAGTATTGGCAAGGACGTTGGATATGTACTGTTCGTGGAAATGTAAAATGATGCAGCTGCGGTGGAAAGCAGTATAGTGGTTCCTCAAAACATTAAAAACAGAATTACCATATGATCCAGCAATTCCACCTCTGGGTTTATACCCAGAAAGAATGGAAATCAGAGGCTCAAAGAGGTATCTGTACCCCTGTGTCTGTAGCAGCATTATTCGCAATAGCTAAAACATGAGAGCAACCCAAGTGTACACTGCTGGATGAATGGACAAACAAAATGTCACGTACACATAAAGTGGAATAATATTCAGTCTTAAAAAGGGAGGAAATTCTGAGATATGCTACAACATGGATGCATCCTGAGGATACGTATGCTAAGTGAAAGAAAACAGTCACAACAAGACGAATACGGTATGATTCCATTTATATGAGGGACCTAGAGTTATTGAAATCACAGGCGGAAAACAGAGTGGTGGTTGCCAGGGGCTTGGCGAAGGGGAATGGGGAGTCAGTGTTTAACGGGTACAGAGTTTTAGTTCTGCAAGATGAAAGGAGTTCTGTGGATAGATGGTGGTGATGGCTGCACAACGCTGTGAATGTACTTAACGTCACTGCACACTTAAAAATGGCTAAGATGGTAAATTTTCTGTTATGTATATTTCACAACACCCAAAAAATCTACACCTTCAGAAATGTTCTCTCCTCTGTCCCTCATGGACAAGGCTGCAGAGATTAGTCAGGGCCAAATGACAAGCTGAGTGTGTTTTTTTTTTAATTGCATTGAGCATCTGCCAATCTGGACTTGATGCCAAAGGCTAGTAATGCTTACACCCTCATCTGAGCACCAAGGGCTTCACAAGCTCCAGCTCTTCCCACCATAGGAGCTATCAGGGGTAACAGGCCAACCATAACAGCAGGGAACCCTGAGACAGGCAGCTGCAAGGTGCCTGGGCTCTGTCCCTCCTCTGCCTCTACCATCCACAGGCAACATCCCCCGCTAGACAATGCCAGCTTGAGGAGGAAGGACTGAAAAGGTGCCTGTGCTAAAGACACTGACTCTAGTCCCCTGGGTGTCCCTGGGACCCCCGGCTCTATCCCCTGTGATGTTACTCACTTAGCTGTGGCAGGCAGGTCTCAAGTGCTGGCAGAGCCTGGTGACCCTTCCCTACTGCTCATCTCTACCAAGGTGGCCCAGTCCTGCCACCCACACCCACACTCACCCACCGTCCTGGGGATGGGTGTCAGGCTACACACATTACCACGTTCTTCATAATCTCCTTCTACATGCACATGGTCCCTATGACACATTTCTTGGAGCAGCGTCTCTGTCTCTCAAGAATAAAGGACACGAACTGCCTCTGGGAGAAGCAAACCTCATCCCACTACATGTTGCAAATGCACAGAATAATTTTGGAAGATGACGCCATCTTTTGCCCCACAATCAGGGGTCTAACTGATCCAAATGCCCACAATGAAGCATCATCGACAGTCACTCTGCAGTGGGTTTAGAGATTGTTACTGCATGAAAAAGCTTTTACCACGTAATTACTCAGCAGCGCCTGCGGAATTGAGAATGTAGGCTGAGTGCAAGAAAAGAACTGAACATACTTTTACAAAGTCACTTTTTTGCTGAGGTTTACACATGTGGGGCAAAAGTCTTCTAATAGCACCTTTTCTGGGGGAGGCAGCCAGCTCGTCTGCAATGAGAATGCATGGCCAAGCCTGTGCAATTCCAAATCCCATCTTTCATAAACATTTTGGAGGAGACCCAGGAAACAGTGGTCCCCAGGTTGCCTCTAACTTTTTAGGACAACTATCCTAGTTGTACCCAGAGGCTTCCTTTGTGTCTCTAACAATTGCTTCCATAAATTATGTGATTCACTATTAATTCTGTTCTTCCACTTTAGCCACCATCCAATAAACAATACAATGAAGAAAACAGCAGGTAATGACCTTCTGTCCCCACTGTTTAAAGTCAGGCTATGACTCTGGTCATTTGCATCTGAGCCCATGCTGGCTGACACACTGGCTGACCTCACCCTGGGTGTTCCTGCCTCGGTGACCTCTGTCGGTATGGGTGCAACCACTAACCAATATTCCTGGAAATGAACCTCCAGCAGTCTTCCTCACCTCCAAGCTGGAGGCTAGCAGGCAACAGCGCCTTGCTGTGCTCATTACATGTGGCCACCTCCAGAGGCCTAACTCAAGGGAGGGCTCTTTGAAGTACACACTGACTTTCAAGAATGACTTAATGAATCACGAGGTCAGGAGTTTGAGACCAGCCTGGCCAACATGGTGAAATCCCATTTCTACTAAAAATACAAAAAATTAGCTGAGCATGGTGGCGGTCGCCTGTAATCTCTCAGCTACTCGGGAGGCTGAGGCAAGAGAATTGCTTGAACCCAGGAGACAAAGGTTGCAGTGAGCTGAGACTGTGCCACTGCATTCCAGCCCCAGCAACAGTGCGAGACTCCATCTCAAAAAAAAAAAAGAATGACTTAAATGGCACTTCATGCTTCTTGAATGCACAGCAGGCCATGACCAGAGAAACAGTCAATTTTTTATTTTTGCTTTGAACAACTACAAGACATGGAGTTTCTGAAGCAGGTGGATCTGTACTCAGAATCAAATTAATACCATAAGTGGAGACATGAGAACCACTCCAAAAGGAACGTGTTGAGTAAATATATGTCCCCCCTCACAGCAAAACACATGCCATGGAGGACATCATTAAGAATGCAATAATCGAACAAGTACCTTTCAGTGGGGAAATAAACTGGACTGAAGGATTTGTAGCTTCCTCTAGTGTTGCATTAGACAAAAGTGCATTCCAGTAGGTACCTGTCAGGACAGTCGCTGGCTCTCCCATCATCTGGGGACAGAGATCAGTTTCTGACTTCTCCAGAATCACAGTTCCATAGGGAATGGCACTGCATTATCCCATTTAATCTTCCCTCACACCCTGAAAGGTAAGGACTGAAACTCCCATTCTAGAAATCAATAAACTGAGGCAAAAAGTGAAGCAATTTGCCCAATATTGCATTATTACTAAGTCATGGAACCAGGTCAAACTCAGGTCTGTCTGAAAATAATTCTACTCTCATCAATATAGAAACATACTTAAATACGAAGTAACTCAATTTATTTATGTAGAACAATGATTATAAAAGCAAATATATCATTTTTAGCCCCAGGTAAAGTCCTAAAAAGGCATTCTTTTGACACGCAATAATATCTGGTTACGAATATACAGAAAAATAATTTTAAAATGAATGGTCATGGTATTTAGACCAGAAACTCTAAAGTTAAAATGCTCTACATGGTCTGCTCCTTCTCCACCACAGGTTAACTCACCTCCCTCTCCTGCACATGTGCCATGATGACAGGCAAGTGCACTGGAGGGTGTTCCGCTCAGAAATGCTCTCACTTCTCATGGCCTGTTCTCACCTCATTCTTCCTTCAGAAGTAATTGTCCCAGATTTCTCTATGCTAGAGACACCATTATTATGCATTATATAGTTTTCATACTAGTGCATAACAGGATTGTAATTAAGTGGCCATTTCTGTAATTATTTGTTTAATGTCCATTGCTGTCCATCAGGGCTGCCAAGAATAGTTATTCAGGATGTGCAGGGCCCAAGGGTGCCCAGCAGAGGAGCAAGGCCTCTTCTCTTCTCACTTTGCCCTGTACCTTGGGTTGCACCTGCCAGGAGGATGCGATGCCTCTTCCTAATTGGCATAAGGCATTGTATGGGCTCACAGCGGTCCTGCCCTGTAAGCTCTGCTAGGGTGGGGATTGTGTCTGTCTACTTCCTCCTGCACCAAACATAAACCTAGTAGGTATCCAGTAAATATGTGTGGAACAAATTATTAAGTGACTAAATAAATGAGAATGAATACTTTTTAAAGAGTTTACAGAGTATTGAGAGTTTTACCAAAGATATTGTGACAAAGGCCAAATTGTGAAGCATAGCAACATCATGTCACTTGTTCTAGCAGTTAAAACCTTAGCCACAGGAGGACACAAGACCCAGGTTCACAGGACAGGCCCTGGGGAGAGCTGGGCAGCTGTGCATTTGGCTCCCTTGCTCTCTCCAGAGTCAGCAAATGTAGTCATTTTTCTTCTTTTTTGGAAGAAAATAGTTTTGATAGAAAATAATTAGAATCTTATTTATAAAGTATGGGAAATAATCCCTAGGACAAAATATTTGAAGATTTGACCAAAAGACCATATTAGTAAAGGGCAAAAATTGAGCCTTTTTTTTTTTTTTTACAAGTTTACTAATCACCTTGGGATCTGTGGAGGGAGGCTCAGCTGGTGGCACTCAAAAATACCAAGTGTTTTCCCTAGCATCTGTTATTAGGTAGGCACAAAAGTAATTATTGTTTTTGCAATTACTTTTGCACCAACCTAATAGTAAATAAATGTATATAAGGAAAGCAAAGGTCCTTCCTCCCTCACTCCTCCCAAAATTATATAGAGTTCCTCATGACCCAGAAAACTGAGGGAGAGCCCATGAAAGAGAACAACTTGTGGCCTGAAATGGAATCCATTTATTGGTAGAAATAAGCAGAAAGAGGCTCTCAAATAACTTTTACCTTCTGAAAATGTCTGCTTATTAAAAATAAATAATAAAAGGCTTGAGGTATGTCCAGGCTCTGGAGTAAAAGTGATCATTTATCTCTGCCCCGCCCCAAGTCCCCAGTTCTCCAGGTCCACCTCAAGCTTCCAGGTAGCAAGGGCCCTAACTCACAGGTGTTCATGTTAGTCTTTCAAATCCTTAGTTCTGCTGGGAAGGCAGAGAGGGAATCCAGCAGTTACAAGGGGCCCACTGTGTGCTGGGCACAGTGCAATGTATTCACACCTCTTATCCCTTTCAATTATCACCAGACCTTCTTTGACAGGCATTTTAAGCCCTCTTATAAAGCTGATTAGACCGAGGCTGAAAGAGACCACAGAATTTCCTAACTCCAAGTGACCTGACCTGTGACCATATCCTGACCCCTTCTGCCTCTAACAGCAGTGGCTCTAGGGGACGGGTTAAGCATCTGCTCCCTGCACTTCCAGTTCCCCACAAGCACAGGCAGCATGGGTTCTGGCAGCCAGCAGAAGCCCTCAGAGAGGAAGGTTCAGCTGCCACTAGTTGGAAATCAGACAGGTGTGCAGGGACGTAGTAAGGGCTGAAGGAATTAGTATGTATGGGCTTCTGACAGCACGTGGGAAATACGGGAGAAGGGCAAGTGCAAAAGCCAAGGAAGGAAAGAGAAGCAATATCTCCTGTGGAGTCTGCTGGCAAGAGCTGAGCTCTGAAATCAAGGGTTTGGGTTCTGATGTCAGATGATCTGGGTATAAATGCCAGCTCTGTGACATGCTGGCTGTTGAGATTGAGACAAACTATTGCCCTCTCTCAGTTTCCTCAACTGGACAATAGGGCTAGTAATAGTAAAGACCTCAGAGATTTTGAGGATTAAATAAAATAAAGGCTTTAAGGCCCTTAACACAAAACCTGACACATTTCACACACTTAATAAATGATAGCCATTTGCATTATCATGAAAAGGACAGGGTGGCTAGAATGTAATGTATAAGGAGGAGGGGAGAAGGACATGAGGTTGAAGAGACAGCAGGAGCCAGATCCTGGAAGGGCCTGAAGACCATGTGAAAGGGCCTGGGTTTTCTCTCAGGTGCAATGGAAGACACTGCAGAGTTCAAGCTGAGGAGTGACCTGACGTGATCATTCTAGAATGTCATTCTCCAAAAACGTGAAACGCCTTTTCTATGTCTATATCTCCAGCACTAAATCTGCTGCTGGCATAGAGGGAAGGTGCTATTTAGCACTAATTAGCAGACTCCGAAGGCTGATGAAAGGAAAGAAGCATTGGTCTGAATCATCCAAAGATGGCACAGACTTGGCTATAGAATGATCTGTTTCATTTTCCTTTGGCAGAGTTAACTCCCTAATTATGATGGTTCTGGCTAATGTTCAAATGAGTTTGCATTTTCCAAGGAGATGCCAAGAGAGGCAGCCCAGCCTCACCGGGAGGCATAAAGAAGCAAGCCTGGAAGGAAATGTTTGCTGTGGAGGCCCCCATGGGAATGACTTATCCAGACTTATGAGTTCTATCCAAAAGGGAAAAGAAAATATTCTGGTTCTAAGGAAATGCATACTAGATATGAATCTGAAAACACACACACACACACACACACACACACACACAGAGAGAGAGAGAGAGAGAGAGAGAGAGAGAGAGAGAGAGAGAGAGAGAGAGAGAGAGAGAAAGGGCCTGGTGGTTCTGAACCCAAAACAGAAGGTTTCTGTGGCAGGGCCCTGGCTGAGGATGGACACCCAGCTCAGGATTGGGACAATTTCCAGAAAAAGGGAATGCGGAACAGTGCTCGCTCATGGTATTTAGATCTTTAATTGTTTTCAGCTTTATTGAGCTATAATTGACAAATAATAATTGTATATATTCAAAGCATACGATGTGATATTTTGATATATGTATTTATTGTGAAAAGATTCCCATGAGCAAGCTGATGTACATATCCATCACCTCACATAGTTACCTTTGGGGGAGGGGTGAGAATGCTTAAGAGCTATGCTCTTTGCAAATTTCAAGTATACAATACATTACTAATTATACTCACTTCCTGTACATTAGGTTTTCAGAATTTATTCATCTTATAAGTTTGTACACTTTGACCAACATCTCCCCATTTTCCCCAACCCCACAGCTCCTGGCAATCAACTTTCTAATCTCTGCTTTGATGAGTTCAACTTTTTTAGATTTCACATCTATGTATGTAAGATCATGCAGTAGTTGTCTTTCTGTGTCTGGCTTATTTCGCTTAGCGTAATGTCCTCTAGGTTCATCCATGTTGTTACAAATAGAAGAATTTCCTTTTCTTTTTTTGAAGCTGAATAATATTCAATTGTTTATCTATATCTATCACATTTTCTTTATTCATTCATCCATTGACAGGGTGTTTCCATATCTTGGCTATTGTGAATAATGCTGCAATGAATTTGGTGGTACAGATATCTCTTTGACATACTGATTTCATTTCCTTTGGATATGGACTCAGAAGTGAGATTGCTTGATCATACGGTAGTTACATTTTTAATTTCTTTAGGAAGCTCTATGCTCTTTTTCATAAGGGCTATACCAATTTACATCCCCACCAACAGTGTACAAGGGTTCTCTTTTCTCCACAACTTCGCCAACATTTATTATCTCTTGTCTATTTGATAATAGCCATCCTAACAGATGTGTGATGACACCTCATTATAGTTCTGAATGGCATTTCCCTCATAATTAGTGCTGTTAATATATCTGTTGGAGATTTGTAGCTTTCTTTAGGACAATGTCTATTCAGGTCTTTTGCTCGCTTTTTAATTGGGTTATTTGTCTTTTTGCTATTTAATTGTATGAGTTCTTCATATATTTTTGAGGTTAACCTCTTATTTGATATACAGTTTGCAAGTATTGCCTCCCATTTCAAGGTTGTCTTTTCATTTTGTTTATTGTTTCCTTTACTGTGCAAAAACATCAGTTTTTTTGTAATCCTACTTGTTTATTTTTGCCTTTTTTTTTTTTTGCCTGTGCTTTAGGTATCATATGCTAAAAAACCATTGCCAAGAAGACCAAAGTTGAGGATCTTATTTCCCTATGTTTTCTTCTAGGTGTTTGATGGTTTCAGGTTTTATGTTTAAATCCTTAATTCATTTTGAATTGATTTTTGTGTATGATATAAGATAAGGACCCAATTTCACTTGTTTTTGCACGTGGATATCCAATTTTCCCAATACCATTTATTGAACAGAGTACCTTTTCCCTCTGGTGTGTTGTTGGAGTCTTTGTCAAAAATTAGTTGACCCTATATGCATCAGTTTCCTTCTGGGCTTTCTATTCTATTCCATTGGTCTGTTTTTATGCCAGTATTATACTGTTTTTATTATTACAGTTTTATAATATAATTTGAAATCAGGAAGTGTTATGCCTCTAGCTTTCTTCTTCTTGCTCAAGATTGATTTACCTATCTGGGGTCTTCTGTCTTTTCATGCAAAACTTAGGATTTTTTTTCTATTTCTGTGAAAAATGCCTAAATGCCTTTGGAATTTTGATAGAGATTGTATTGAACCTCTAGATTGCTTTGGATAATATAAACATCTTGACAATATTGATTCTTCACAAGCATGAACTATCTTTCCATTTATTTGTGTCTTTAATTTCTTTCATCAATATTTTATAGATGTCCATTTCCCAAAAGATGTCCATTACAAAGGACACATGGTAATTTTGAATTTCTATTTTTGAAATGTCTTGAATGATCTCTAAACTCAAATTTGGAAGACTGTTACAAGTCAGTAATTTGAAACAGTAATAAAAGAAAACCACACAAAATAGCTGCTATCCAATCCCTTTATAATTTAAGTCCATTCCATCACCAAGGGTTAAGAACAAGAACTCTGTTATTAAAAGGTTTCACAATTGATGATCCCAGGGGGGTTTGCATCCACATGAAGTCACATCATGAAACAGGAAGAGATAAAATAAAAAACGAGGACATTTAATATTGGAAAAAAAGGCTCAAAATATCAAGAAGACATGCTAATCATAAATATGAATGTGCCTATGAACAGAGTTCCAAAATATATGAAGCAAACCCTCACAGAACTAAAAGGAGAAACAGACAAATCTACAATCATAGTTGAAGACTATCAAACTCTACTCTCAGTGACCGATAGAATAAGACACACACACAAAAAACAAGGACCAAAAATCTCTGAACAACATCATCTTAAGTAATTGACACATGGAATGCAACACCCAACAGATGGAGAATAAATTTTCAGGTGTGCATAGAACATCCACCAAGATAAACTATACATTGAGCAATAAAACAAACCTCAATAAATGTCAAGAGAGTAAAATTTCATATGTTTTCTATTCACAATAAAACTAAAAATTTATAACATTAAGTAGGGAAGTCTTAAAAATTTGGAAAGTAAACAATCAACTCCTAAATAGCCCACAGATAAAGGAAATCACAAAGGAATGTAGAAAATGCTTGGACATAATAATAATACCACCACCACAGGTCTCATATTGTGGGGAAAATAGACTTCGCTAAAATAATCCAGCCATTCATTGCAAATGACAATAATAAGCTTTAGAATGCAAGGTGACTAGTACTGAGAATTTCTCTATTACCTAAATTCGCTGGTCTCCAACAACAACAAAAAAATGAGACATGCAAAGAAACAGGAAAGTCTGATCACACACCAGGAGAAAAAGGAGGCAACAGAAACTGCCTGTGAGGGCCACCAGATGCCAGATTTAACAAAGACTTCAAAGTAGCCATTATAATTCTCTTCAGAGAACTAAAGGAAAGCACGCCTCAGGAAGGGATGGAAGGGATGATGACAATGTCTCATCAAATTAAGAATATCAATAAAGACACAAATTATAAAAGAGAACCAAATAGAAAGTCTGGAATTGAAAAGTACATTAACTGAAGGGAAAAATTTACTAGAGGGCCTTAGCAGTAGATTGGAAACAAAGAATTAAGAATAGGCAAATTTAAGATAGTCCGATAGCGATTTTCCAATCCAATAAACAGAAGGAAAAAAGAAGAGAAATAAACAGTCTTACAGAAATATAGGACACATTTAAGCATACCAATGTAGATGTAATGGAAGTACCTGAAGAAGTAATAAGAGAGGAGGGGGAGCAGAAAAAAAATACGCAAAGAAATAATGGCTGAAAACATCCTAAATTCGATGATAAACATTAATGTATACATCCTAGGAGCTCAGTGAACTCCAAGTAGATAAACACAAAAAGATCCACATACAGATAAGTCACAATAAAAATGAGGAATGCCAAAGAAGGAAAAAATATTTAAAGCAACAAGAGGAAAAATGATTTGTCACTTACAAGGGAACCCTAATAAGATGAACAGCTCACTTCCCAATAGAAACAACTCCAGAAGAAAACAGAACAATAGACTCAAGGAAAAAAAAAAGTCAATCAAGACAAAATCATTGTTCAAATATGTAGGCAAAATAAAGATGTTCCCAGAGAAACAAAAACTAAAAGTGAGAGAATTCATTGCTAGCAGACCCCCCTCACAAAAAATACTAAAGTCTTTAGACCACAAACAAGTGATCCCAGATAGTAATTTGAAATCGTACACAAAAAACAAAGAACACCAATAAAGTTAATTATGTAATTATAAAAGACAGTATAAATGCATCTTTCTTCTCCTTTCTTAACTGATTTAAAAAGCAGTAATAAAGAATGATACATATGTAATTGCATTGTTGTTCCTACAACATATGGAAAGATAATATATTTGCTAATAGCAGCACAAAAGAACTGGGTGGGAGCAAAGTCGGATTGGACTAAGGAAATGAAACCAGATGGTAACTCGAATCCACAGGAACAAATGAAAAGAACCAAATATGGTAAGAAGGTAAATATAACAAATTCTAGGAATATATATTTGCTCTCCCTTTTTCCCTCAGCTTCTTTAAAAGACATAAAGTTAAATAATAATTGTAACAACATATTATTGGGTTTGTAATATATAAAGATACAATATGTACAGTAATAACAGCATGAAAATAGGGAGGAGGCAAGAGAGCTATATAGGAAAAATGTGACCTTGGGTTAGGAAATTGTTTCTTAGATATTATGACAAAAGCACAGATAACAAAGGGGAAAAATAGATAAATTTGACTACATCAAAATGTAAAGCTTTTTGCTGTAAACAATACTATCATGAGAGTAAAAATACAACCCACAGAATAGGAGAAGATATTTGCAAGTCATATATTTGAGAATGGTCTTGTATCTACAATATGTAAAACCACACTTAAACTTCAATGATAAAAAGACACAAAACCGGATTTAAAAATGGGCAAAGGATTTGCATAGAAAATTTTGCAGATAAGATATACAAACGGCCAATAAGCAAATGAAAAGGTATTCAACCTCATTAGTCATTAGGGAAACATAAATCAAAATCATAATCAGATACCATTTCACACCAATTAGCATGGCTATAATAAAAAAGATGGAATATAACAAATGATGTCAAGGTTGTGGAAATATCAGATGTCAGTCTGTTGGTCAGAATATAAAATGGGCAGTTGTAATGGAGCAGGTTGGCAGTTCCTCAAATTTATACCCAGAGTTACCATATGCCCATCAATTCCATTCTTAGTTGTTATTACCTTCAGTGGCAAAAACCACAATTACTTTCGCACCTATCTAATATATACCCAAAAGAAAACATATATCCACACAAAAACTTGTATACTATTTTTATGGCAGCACTATTCATAATATCCAAAAGCTGGAAACAACCCAAATGTCCATCAAATGACTTAGATTCATGGATAAATAAAATGTGACCTATATCCACATAATAAAAGATTACTGAGCAATAAAAAATAAAGTACTAATATATGCTACATCATGAATCTTGAAAACATTATGCCAAGTGAAAGAAATCAGTCACGAATGACTATATATTGTATTATTTCATTTATATGAAATGTCCAGAATAGGCAAATTATAGAGACAGTAAGTAAATCAATGTTTGTTTAGGTCTGGGGATAGAGAAGGGTGGGGAGAGGTGGAGGGAGAGAGCTAATGGATTCAGGTTTTATTTTATGAGAGACAAAAATGTGAAATTAGATTGTGGTGATTGTGCAAATGCTGTGAATATACAATAGACAATATACTAAAAACATATACCATAAACCATTTTAAATGGGTGAATTGAATCATATGTGAAATTTATTTCAAATGAATTTATTTAAATAAAGATCTTGTCTGATGTCAAGATCTAATATAATGCTATACTAATCAATATAGTGTGGTTCCATATGTTTATTGCAGCACTATTCACAATAGCAAAGACTTGGAACCAACCCAAATGCCCATCAATGATAGAATGGATAAACAAAATGTGGTACATATACACCATGGAATACTATGCAGCCACAAAAAAAGATGAGTTCATGTCCTTTGCAGGGACATGGATGAAGCTGGAAACCATCATTCTTAGTAAACTAACACAGGAACAGAAAACCAAACACCGCATGTTCCCACTCATAAGTGGGAGTTGAACAATGAGAACACATGGACACAGGGAGGGGAACATCACACACCAGGGCCTGTTGGGGGCGTAGGGGCTAGGGGAGGGATAGCATTAGGAGAAATACCTAATGTAGACGATGGGTTGATGGGTGCAGCAAACCACCATGGCACATGTATACCTATGTAACAAAACTGCATGTTCTGCACATGTATCCCAGAACTTAAAAGTATAAAATATGTATGTGTGTATATATATATATATGTGTGTGTGTGTGTGTGTGTGTAGTGTGTGTAGTGTGTGTACACACATATATATGTGTAGTGTGTGTACATATATATATATGTACTGTGGTTCTTGATTAAGGATAGGAACACAGATTAATGAATTGTATGCAGAGTACAGAAGTAGATCCAAATTTATACAGTCTATTAATTTTTGCAAAGGCACCAAAGTAATTTGATAGTGAAAGGAAAGTCATCTCAACAAATGGTGCTGAATACATGAATACTGATATGAAAAAAATGAACTTCAAACTCTACCTCATACTATAAACAAAAATTAGAGAAAAGCCTAAATATAAAAGCCATAATGTTTTAAAGAAAACATATGGAGACAGATTTGTAACTTGAGGGCAGGAAAAGGTTTCTTAGGACACAGAGTGCAATAGCCATAAAAGAAGAAAGTAGTAAATTAGATTTAATCAAAATTAAAAGATGCTGCTCATCAAAAGACATCATTAAGAAAATAAAAGGCTGCCAGGCACGGTGGCTCACGTCTGTAATCCCAGCACTTTAGGAGGCTGAGGCGGTCGGATCATGAGGTCAAGAGATCGAGACTATCCTGGCCAACACGGTGAATCCCCGTCTCTACTAAAAATACAAAAATTAGCTGGGCGTGGTGGCACGTGCCTGTAGTCCCAGCTACTTGGGAGGCTGAGGCAGAAGAATCACTTGAACCCAGGAGGTGGAGATTGTAGTGAGCCAGAGGTTGCAGCGAGCCGAGATGGTGCCACTGCACTTCAGCCTGGTGACAAAGCAAGACTCCGTCTCAAAAAAAAAAAAAAAAAAAAGAAAATGACAGGCATACATTTCTTCTTCTTTCTTTCTTCTATTCTTTCTTCTATTGATAGAAGAAAATAGGCATGAAAAATTATCTGACAGAAGGCTTGCAAACAGGATATGGAGAAACTCCACCAATTAATGTAGTAAGATAAGTGAACAGCCTGTATGCAAATGACAAGGTGCACAGCAACATTAGTCATCAGGGAAATGCAAATTACAACTACAGAGATACCACTATGCACCCACCAAAATGACTAAAATTGAAAAGAGTGATGACACCAAATGTCGGTGAGGACATGGAGTACTGGAATTTTCATAGATTGCCCATGAGAATGCCAACTGACACAAGCATTTAGTAAAAAGGCTGGATGGTTTCTTCCAATGTTAAACACAGACCTCACTTTTAACCAAGCAATGCCACTCATAGATACTTAGCCAAGATAAGTGACAACATATGTCCACTAAACAATTGCACACAAATGTTCAGGGCAGCTTTATTCACAACTGAACAAACTAGAACAACCTAAATGTTTAGCAAAGATAAGACGGATAAAGAACGTGTGTGATACTCATTATAGTGAAATACATTTCAACAATAAAAAAGAATACGTTACTGATACTTAACATATATGGATTTCAAGACATACTGAGCCAAAGCTGTCAGACATAAAAGAGCACATACTATATGACTCCATTTCTAAGAAGTTCTAAAATAGGCAAAACTAATCTAAAGTTTAAAAAAGACAAAAAAACAAAAAACAAACAAAAAAAAACCCTGAACAGTGGCTGCCTCATGGGGATGAAGATTGACTGGACATGGACATAAGAGAGATTTCGGTGTTATGGAAATATTCTGTATTGTGATAGGAATATGGGTTATACAGTATGTCCATTTGTAAAAACTGAATGGTTATGATTTATGCATTTTGATGCTAATTTTACCTTAAAATGCTAAAATAACTTTAAGAATCATCATCATTGAATGGTGGTGAGAAATGGGTAGAGAAGGACAGGATACAAGAAGGGCAGAATGCTGTACCCGCGGGGGATGAGGATTCACTAGACATTGCTGTCTTTCATATGCCTGAAATGTTGTATAATAAAAAGTTGAAAGAAAGAGGCATTGGATTTTTGTTTGTTTGTTTGAGACAGGTCTTGGTCTGTTGCCCAGGCTGGAGTGCAGAGATGGAATCATAGCTCACTTGAGCCTCAAACTCACAGGTTCATGTGATCTACCCACCTCCTAATAGCTAGGGTTACAGGTGTGTGCCACAATCCCTGGCTTCTTTTTAAAACATTTTTTTGTTTCTTTTATTATTTTTTGTTTTTTCTTTTTTACAAACCCTTGTGTTGAGGGCTTTCAATAGATCTCAGCGAAGGAGCTGCTCTGCTGCATACCAAAAAAATATTTTCTAGAGACATGGTCTTACTATGTTGTCAAGGCTGGTCTCGAACTCCTGGCCTAAAGTGGTCCTCCTACCTCAGCCTCCCATGGCACTGAGATTACAGACATGAGCCACTATTTCTGGCTTTGCACTGGGTTTTCATTATAACCTTTAATCTGACTCTGATCTTTTTTTCATAGAAATCAAATAGTGAGCTATTTCTTTGAGAAAGAGTATTTTGAATTAATTAAACAGTATCCATTGCTAAAAATATTCTACTTATTCAGACCAGGAACTTGGAGAGTGGACGAATTTAACACAGTGATCAATTTCTTCCATATATTTGCCTAATTACCCTAGAACAGGCTTCCTCAGCCTGGACACTATTCACATTTGAGGCCAGATAATTCTTTGCCACAGGGGCTGTCCTGTGCCCTGCAGGATATTCAGCAGCATCCTTGACCTCTGTTCTCGAGATGCCAATAGCACCCCCTGTTACACATGCACGCACACACACACACACACGCACACTTGTGACAACCAAAAATGTCTCCAGACATTGCTAAATGTCCCCTGGGGGGTGCAAAACTGCCCAGTGGAGAACCACTGCCCTAGAACATGCATTCTCATATGCCCCCTGAGGAGATGAAAATTGGTAATTGGTTCCTGGGGAGATCTTAAAATCTTAGAAATGACAGTTATTTAGGGAAAAAATCATTAGGGAAAAAAAAAAAACATGAGGGGCTCTTGCCTAGTATGCTGATGTCCCTTAACATGACTGTGAACCTAGATGCTTATATTTTTAAGACATAAACAGATATACAATATATCTGCAGCATTAACATTTTATGGTGGGGAATTATTTTTTAAAAATCTAAAAAGGCTCCATGGGGAGGAGGGAGTGATAAAAAAACAAAACAAAACAAAAAAACAACAAGTTGAGAAACATTGCCCTCCAAAGAGGTCTGATTCAGCTTTAAACAACCATTCCCTCCAGGGACTTGGCATGCCCAAAGCAAGCCTCCCAGGATCTAGGGGGAGTCTTCCTTTATTTGGCAAAACAACTGTTGTTACTTCCCAGAACCTCCGCAATTGTCTTGGAAGCTTGAGATGTAGGGTTATAAAAATTCAGGGAAAAAACCATGAGGGGATCTTGCCAAGTTCGCTGATACCCCTTGACATATCAGTGAATCTGGGAGCTTTCATTTGTAAGTTATAAGAGAAACCATACAAGTTGAGGTGACCTCAGACACATGGCCACCAATGTGTCCTGTTGGAACAAATGACCTAAGCAGCCCATGCCATTTTATACAATTCTTAAAAGAAAGGAGAGTGGCGGCCGGGCGTGGTGGCTCACGTCTGTAATCCCAGCACTTTGGGAGGCCGAGGCGGACGGATCACGAGGTCAGGAGATGGAGACCATCCTGGCTAACACGGTGAAACCCCGTCTCTACTAAAAATACAAAAAATTAGCCGAGCATGGTGGCAGGCGCCTGTAGTCCCAGCTACTTGGGAGGCGGAGGCAGGAGAATGGCGTGAACCCGGCAGGCGGAGCTTGCAGTGAGCCGAGATCGCGCCGCTGCACTCCAGCCTGGGCGACAGAGTGAGACTCCGCCTCAAAAAAAAAAAAAAAAAAAAAAACGGAGAGTGGTATTTTTCAAATTTCCCATCTACCAGCAAAACCCCTTGACAGCAATTTCATTCCATTAAATGAAGCAAAACAAACAAATCTTGCAATTTCCTCTACTTTCCTGTTTCCTCTTTCTTTATGCAAAGGCCTGCCCAACCACTCTAAGAACCAGCTGGTTTATAATAATGAATATTCATGCTCGATGGCATTAAACCTGGCATAGATGCATGCTATCATGTGATAATTTCTCAATTCATAGTTAAAACCTACTTAGATTCCTTCAGCAAAAGCAAACTCCCAGACACGCAGCTGGTAAAAGACCCTATAGTCTGTATCCTCCACCCTCAAGGACTCTGCTATCAACAGTAATAACACTGAGGCAAAGCAAGAACTCTCTAAAAAATGATTCCTCTACAACGAATGCATTAGACCATCATGATGGTATTTGTGACTTTAAAATGATGCAGGAAGAAAGGAAAAACAGTGTGATCGGTAACCTTATGTGTCAACTTGGCTAGACTATGGTGGCCAGTTGTTCAGTCAAACACACACCAGCCTAGATGTTACCGTAAAGGTATTTTTAGCAGTGAGGAACGTTTGCAATCAATTGAGTTTAAGTAAGAAATTATGGAGGGTATTATTTATTACCCTTTATATAATGTGAGGGGCCTCATCCAATCAGTTGAAGGCCTTAAGAGTAAAGATTGAGGTTTCCCAGATAAGAAGGAGTTCTACGTCAAGACTGCAGCGTAGAAATCCTATCTGAGTTCCAGCCTGCTGGTCCGCATATTTGGGGGGTCAACAATGTAACATCAATTCTTACCTGAATTTCCAGCCTGCCACCCTGCCCTATAGATTTCAGACTTGCCAGCCACTACAATTTCATGAACCAATTCCCTAAAATAAATCAATCAATTGATTGATTGCTAAGATAGATACATGACTGATGATTGATTGATAGATAGGTAGACAGACAAATAGACAGATAGGTAGACAGACAGACAGACATCCTACTGGTTTTGTTTCTCCAGAGAGCCCTCACTAATACAAACAAGAACACACATTCCATCTCGGAGCACCTGAACACCACATCACTCTATGAAGATGGGAAGCAGGTGGCAAAGTAGATACTGACTTGCAGAGCTGAAGACAGCTCAATCTACACACCTGCAGAGGGTGGTGCTGATGAGAGGCAGCCCATTCACCAGGCAGGGCCCTGCAGAGCTTTGAAACTAAAGGCACCAGGTACTGCAGAAGGCAGGGGGTGAACTATGGGGCTAGAAACAGGCAAATAGGTGGAAAGTGCCGATAAAGAGAAGCTAAACTCTCCAGGTTTCCACCCCTCCTTCAAAGCCAGGAAACCATCCCCTTTCCAACTTTTGAGGAAGACAGAAGTTTTAACTATCTGAGGCTCTGGTTTTGGAAAAACAGATGAGTAGAGGGCATGCCTGAACAAACAGATGGAAAATAGGGAGATGATGTGAAAGACTAAGAACTGACCTGTGAGCACCTACGCCCTTCTGCACAGCTTCCAGAATGCCAGGTTCACATACACCAGGCAGGAGTATGAAGAGCCTCCTCTAGGGAATCAAACAGCCTCAAAGTAAAGGCCAGACGCTAGCTAACACTGGAGGTCAACCAATGAAAACCCAGCTCACACCAGTCACCCTCAGTGAAGCCCAATTAACAAGCCCTGCCCAATTAGCTTTATGACTCAACCTTAAATCACAACACACAGCAAAGGTACCAGATATTTAAGGAAAGCTAGATACAAAAACACACAAATAAAGGGAAGGCAGGGCACACATGAAACCGGCAAACAAAGCGGGGTAAGAGATGATGTATCCATGAAAAGACAAAAAAAGGATGTTAATGATTTTTCTAATCAGAGTTCAAGAAAGAGCTCTTGGAAATTAAAAATATAAAAATCATAATAAAAATTCTATAGAAGCTTTAGTAGATAAAAATTTTAAAGTCTCCCTGATGGATGAACAAAAAAGACAAAGAGCTAGACAGTAGGAAAGAAGAGATACTAAAAAGATAAGATCAGTCCAGGAGACTCAACATCTGCCTAATACAGTTCCAAGGAGAAGAAACGGGGAATACAAAGGTGAGGCACATGAAGTTCCAGATTAAAAAGACCTACAGAGTTAGCAGAACGATAAATACCAAAAACAAATCCCGGTAAGGTACATCATTGTGGACTTTAGATGGTGAGACACAGAGAAAGGACCATAAAAGGTTCCAAAGAAAGAAAGAAAAACAAAGCAAAGGAAAGGAATGCAGTCAGACTTCTCAAGCACAGTGTGAACTGGAATCCTGCATGGAAATGATTTTCCTCCTAGAATTCTACATGCAGCTAAAGAATAGTAAACATCTCAAAACATGTAACTTGTATGTACTCATTTATGGGAAACTACAAGATAAAGGGCTTTTCCTCCCTGGAGGCTTTCCCTGTCCCCTGATTGGAATTCTCAGCTCCCCAATCCCAGAGTGTGGTGTTCAACAACTTAGTGTTTGCCTTCATCCTGGAGGAAAACGTGGGCCATGTCTGATCACCCTGTACTCTCCCCAAGGGCTCATCCTGGTACATACCTAACGGAAAGAACTCAAGAATCATCTGTTGAATCTTCATCAGCCAGGCATACCTTTTAGGCTTTCTCCGTCATTTAAAAAATGTATTCCACAAGCAACAACTGCCCCTTTTTATACTGTAATAGAGTTTTAAAATGTTTAAAATTGAAACATTCATGTGCACAATTTGAGTGCACTGGTCTTGCTTTAGTAAAGCTTTTTAATACTATCTGTTTGGAGCATGGGCGACTGCAAGGTTAGTAAATTTTCTCTGTAAAGGGCCAGATAATAAATATTTTCAGTTTTGTGGGCCATGTTTCTCTTCTACAACTCCTCAACATGGCCATTGTAAAGTGAAAGAGGCCATAGACAACATGGAAATGAACAGGCATCTCTGTGTTCCCGTAAAACTCTACCTACAAAAGCTAGCAGCCACTGGACTTGGTCCACATGCTGTCATTCGCTGACACCTGGATGAGAGTATTGCTTTATTTATTCCCACCATTTTCACAGGAAAGAAGTTTCTTAATACCTCGACTTAGCATTAATAATTTGTTTTTTCTATTTTTCTCTCATATCTATCCTCTCTCTGGAAGTTGAATCAGTACTCAATAAAAAATCGGGATTACGCTCTGAGAGACAAATTCTCTTTTCAGAATATCCCTGCTTTAAGCACTATGGGAAGGTACACTGCCTTTCTCCACTTTAAAGCCTAAGCTTCTTTTAGGTTGGATGAAAATCACTTGCTCTTTGAAATTGTGGTCTCTGCTTTTCCAATCAAGGGTGGCTTAGGCTGCCTTACAGAGCAAGCCCCATAAAAACGCTGCCATGGGGAAATGCTGTTTGCTGAGAGTTTGACACAAAAGCCCTTCAGACAAGTGTTGTTTGGCTGCTTATGGTAGATTAAGAACAAGATCCTTTGTTTCCAAAAGAAATCAATGTTTGTTCTTAAGTTCAAAGAAAACCAGCTGTTCTAAGGACGATATGAGGACCTGGACTTCATTCCAGCCGCCAATTATCTGCAAACACAGCAGAAGCAAAACCCATGTCTACCTAGCATGGAGAATTAGTCTTAGGAGATCCCTCAGTCCAGAACTCCCCTACCCAGTCACTCAAGTCCAGCCTATGAAATTGATTTTTTAAGGAAAAAAAAGAGTGTTTATATCAAAATGGGAGTCCACTTAGGTCACCCCCTCTGAGGAGCAGTCACATCAACTACTAGGCTTCTTATTAGCTACTAAGAAATCCAGAAAACAGCATCGGTGTTTTTTCTAAGTGGTTATGGCACTCCCTTCAAGCCAATCACTAACCTGTCATTTAAAAAAAGGAGAAAATAAATGAAAATACCACCATCAAAGCCTACAGACTGGGTAGAATTCCATGTCTGCCAGGTAGTAAAAATGGGTAACATTTTAAGCAGCATCATAAGCAAAGGATATAATTGCCTCTGTCAAAAAGCTTGTCTAGCACAGATCAGATGTCAGCCACCATTTGACAAGGCAGCCGAAAGCCAGCCATGTCGGAAAATGCTTCCTGCTGGTTGGAGGGGAGGGTGCGCATCTGAAATCAACATCTTTTTTGGGGTCCAGCTTCTAACCTCTGAGGTCCAGTAGTCTGACAGCTTGAGATATTCACATGACAGCTATTTCGTTCCCAAGTTCAAATGCAACAGTAGACAGTAAATTGTGCTACAGTCCCCTACCAACCATTCTGGAAGCCCGTATTAAGGTATTCCTTAGAATTTCACTTCTTAGGTGCTTTTAATTTCTGAAGCCCCTTAAGATTCAGCACCAAGTCTTTGGGAGGACAGAAAGTGACAGGAGGGAGAAGGGAGGAATGAAAGAAGGAAGAGAAGAAAAGGAGAAGAGAACAAAGGGAGAAAAAATCTAAGAGAACTTGAGTGACCCTACCAGGAGACAGATGGAGAGCAGATGGGAGCTGATCCCAGGTGAATACTATTCCAGGTACCTCTAAACAATGCCAGCATGGGACTCCCTGGAAACAAGGAGACAAAAAATCAATACAGAAGGAATTCCTCCAGCTGGTAACTACAAGGCCTCCAAAACAGGTGCTCACTTAAAATGGGACTGCATAGAGGAAAAAAACATGTTTAGAGAGGAAGCAACTCCAAACGGGTGTTCTGCCGTAAGTCACAGGAATGGCTAGAGCCTACAAGAATTTTGAGCTTTTTTTTTTTTCTTTTCTTGAGATGGAGTCTCACTCTGTTGCCAGGCTGGAGTACACTGGCACAATCTTAGGTCACTGTAACCTCTGACCCCCTGGTTCAAGCTGTTTTCCTGCCTCAGCCTCCTGAGTAGCTGGGATTACAGGCATGCGCCACCAAGTCCAGCTAATTTTTTTGTGTGTGTTTTTAGTAGAGGTGGGGTTTCACCATGTTGGCCAGGATGGTCTTCATCTCCTGACCTCGTGATCCACCCGCCTTGGGCTCCCAAAGTGCTGGGATTACAGGCGTGAGCCACTGCACCTGGCCGATCCTTTCTTTTATAAGGACACCTGCCACTGGGCTTAGGGCTCACCCTAAATCCAGAATGATCTCATCTCCAGATCTGAACTTAATTGCATCTGCCAAGATCCTTTTACTTTTCCTTTTTCTTTTTTGGCATGTAAAACAGTGTTCATTCTTTCAAATAAAAATACACATAGCGAAAGGATTACGACAGTCAAACAAGTTACCATATCCATCTCATCACATGGTTACTTTATTTTTTTGTGATGACAGCACCTGAAATCTACTCTCTTAGCAAATTTCTAGTCTACGATGTCATATTATTATCAACCAAGACACTTTTTCCAAATAAGGTTCACACTCACACGTTCCAGGGGCTGGGACTTAAACGTATCTGTTTGGAGGCAACTACTCAACTCACCACCGTTTCCAACAAACTAGAGAAGAAAATTTGTTATTTACTTAAATAAACATGGACTGTAAATGTTTTGTTGTATTTGATCATTGAAAGTCCCAAGACAGCAGGAATTCCTCCAGCTGGTACCTACAGCTATTCCTGTCAGAGCTGGTGTCCTTAGACAAGTTACCAAGCCTGCCTGATCCTCAGTGCCCTTATGTGTAAAACTGGGACAATCCCCCACCTGGTAGGTTGTTGTGCAAGTTGACAGTGATTCATTTAGAGTGTCTGCCCCCAGCTAATGTCTCGTTGACAGGCCCTATTCTTCAACGGCTCTGAGCAACATGTTCAACAGACAGTCCCCAGGAAACAGCGTTCAGTTATTTCTTGATTCAGCCATTAGTAGGATGTGTCTCGGGTATTTAGGGAAAAAAGAAACTAAAATAGCAGGCTTGCTAAAGGTAAATAATAATCAGACTCGTGGGAGAATTAAGGACTTGGCATCATGAGAAGAGCCTGTCCTATTCAAGATGGTCACCTGTGACCATAGTTCTCCAATTATCCCAGGAATCATCAACTTAAATACACCATCTGTCACTACCTGGGCACTCCCCAGGACACAAGCTGCATCTTATTTATCTTTGCATCCCCCATGCAATATGAACTGATGAATGGATGATGGCACAAGCCAGAATACTCAGGAAACTTCAGCTCTGATAATCAATAATCATGTAGATAACTACTGTTTATTGAAAGTCACAATACTAAGCGCTTTACATATACTGCATGGATTAAATAAGATAATTTATGTTGCCATTTTGGCATAGCTGCTGCTCCAGAAATGTGAGCGATCATCACCACTTATTTTAATCCTCATTCCAACCAATAATGGAGGCATTCTTATTCCCATGTTACACAGCAGGAACTGAGGCACAGGGAGGTGAAGTCACAGAGCTAATACCTGGCAGAGCCAGGGTTTGTTAGACTTCAGAGACCTGTCTCCTTTTCAGCTACATTGCACGGCTTCTGATTCACAGTATTAAGTCTTTGTTTTAAGGTGTTCACACATCTATAGTCAGACTATAAACTGGAGGCATGGGGGAAAGTATATGTATATACATGTAACATATGTATGTATATGTATATATGTATACATATGTGCTATATATTTGTGTACACACACACGCAACACCTGAATTGAAGAAATAAACTAGAGAGAACAATGACCTAAACAATGGAGGCTCCCAGGGAGCGTAGAGAATTCCCTTGTCCTAAATCGTACTGTGCAGGGGTAAAGTATCACATGTTATGCTCTGCCAAGCTCATGAAAGCAACACATGCAATGTTTTATAAGCTCCAGAGCCTCATCCTGGGCATATTACTTCCTGTTGAATAATCTTGTTTCTAAGTCAAACGCCGTAAAGTGAAGAAAAATGAACTGCGCTTAACATTCCTGTACCAGTGCTTTTCTCTGCACCTAAATTCCCAAAGACAGTGAGCAGGAAACATGACTGGGGGCATTAAGAGAATCCCAGCCATGAACTTACAGGAGGAATGGATGCTGGGGAAGCTTTTGCGGCCCTCGGACACCAGATCGGGGTCACCTGTGCAATGCATTTCCGAGTTCATCACTCCATCTGGAAAGCAGCGGTAAAAGAAATCGGGGCGAGGTCTACAAAAGACACCATGGACATTTTCAATATAAAATGCTGCCATCACAAATGACCCCAAGCTGACCCCCCCAACTCCCCACTGCCCCCAGCTCTTTCCTCAGCCCCCTTGGCTGTCAACACTGGAGCTCCTCACAGAATACTCTAGACACAGCCGTTTGGGAAAAAGCTCAGGTTTTGGTGTCAGAGAAATCTGAGTTGGCGCTCCCATGTACCACTTACTCACTTTATGACCTTGGGAAGGTCAGTTGGTCTCCCCCAGCTTCAGTTTCCACATCTGTAGAAGGGGGAAATCAATACTGACCCAAAGCTGAGGTCCTGTGGATAGAGTGACATGACTTACAGGAGGCACCTAAGCAGTGTCCTCTGGCCCAAGTTCCTTGTTTGACAGGTGTGAAAAGGAAGGCTTCATGCCATCTGTGGACTAGAAGTTACTTCCTGTCTTGATCTACCGCTCTATTGTTGGATATTGGCATGCATTGCTCAAATGCCAATCCATAGGTCTCAGCCTGAAGAGAACGATAAATAAGTAATCCTATTAATCTACCACTCTACCGCTTGATCTATTTCAGAGGTTGCCTCTGGGATCCAAGACTCCAGGCTCCTCGTGTCCGTATATCCTGAATTTGGGTGGCCACTTGCCCTTCCTGAAATGGCAGGCCTCACCTGGCCTCACTGAGAGACCTTGAACACTCAGCTCCATGATGCAGAAGACACAGTGCCCCAGGTTGGCCTCTCTGGTCTAGGACATGGGAAAGAGATCTCTAGAGGCACATAGGGGTGGCCCTGGGCCTGAAGTCGAGCCTCCTGCAGCAATCACAGCTGCAGGAAGTCCTGAGTGCTTACTAGGCTTCAGACACAGTGCTAAGCTCCACACACCTGCTGTGCCATATAATCCTTAGGAGAACCCTGAGGCAGAGCCTGGAGCTGTCTGTATTTTACAGGTGCAAAAATGAAGGCTCTTCATTGCTCAAGGTCACACACATCCCGTAAGTGGCAAGGACAAGCTTTGAACACCAGCGCCTGGATCTTCATGCTGACACATTTCACCCCATGCTTTACTGCCTCACTTGAATGAGGGTCCTCACACAGGTGGGTGATGGCCTATCACCTCACATTCATACTCAACTAATATTCGCTGAGCACCTACCACGGGTGAAGTTTAGCTAATGTTGGAAACATAGCGCTTGCTTTCTGAGCACTCCAGGTCACAGTCCTGGTCACTGGTCCTTCAGCTCTGCAACTCCAGTAGGGCCTAAGCAGTCTACCAGAACAGCTGGGGTACTGTCTCTCTGGTACTCAGCCACTGTTTCTCCAAGTATGGATGTCCACCTAATGCACCAGAACCTCAGAGGGGTGAGGCCTGAGAGTAAGCACTGGTCAGGGCACACAAAGTTAAGGGAACACAGCAGCAACAGGCCATGTACTGCCTGATTTTTATCTATCTCCTGCCCCCTCAGTCCCTGGCCTGCATCCAGTAGATAAAATAAATCCTAACGTTCTGAGAGGGGATCTAGTGTGTCCCAGGCCAACAGCCAGCTAGAGTTAGTTAGGTCTTGAATTCAGATGTTTTGACTGCTCATGTCTGTAGAGACCAGCTCTTCACCAGAGCAGTCAGAAGAGAAGGAAAGATAAATGGAAAACAGAAATCATTTCTCAGGGGCATTAAGAGAAATGTGCCATAAGCCAAGGCTCAAATGCCAATCCATATGTCTCATCCTGAAGAGAATGACAGGTAAGTAATCCTACTTATTAGAGGCCAAAACTGACAAGTGAGTGGGTGTCAGGGGAGGCCCTGGGCTGGCAGGGGAAGAATCTGAAAATGCCAGCAGTAAGCTTTGTCCCACAAGAAAGTGCAGTCAGTGGGCACTTCCTTGCTAGTGATCTGCTTTCTAAAATAGTGAGTTTGTAATTCAAAGGAAAGATCTGTGCTAAGGATGGAAATCTCAGAAGGACAACAATTTAAGGGAGAACTAGATGAGCTCAAATCTGTCCCATCCAGTGTCCTCTGGCCCAGCTTCCTATATAGATGACCTTGATAGTCTAAGTCACCATTTCATTCTTCTTGGAACTTACCTTCCCACTATTAATTTAATAGTGTTTGTGCAGACTCCATTCAAAGCAAGAGCCAAGGACACCGCTACAAAACAAAACCAACAGACAGAAAAATAGCAAGCTGGCTCTTAAATCAAAATCATCATCATCATTATCATCATCATCACTGTTACATTATAATACTATTTAATGACCAGAGAAATATGAACGAATACTTTGAAAACAGAGATACGTTTGGGTTGCTAGAGAGCAAAATATAATTATGCCAGGACTTTGGAGAGTGACTCATAAAATTCTAGGCCCCTGTGACATGAAATTTATCTCTCCTCCTTGACTGAAATTTTCACAATCACAGAGGAGCTTATCTATCATTTTCTGGCCTGATATGAACAGATTTAATACCACAGCATGTAGAATTTCTTTTACTGGTAACAAGAAACATAACTTTTTTTATTTCCTCCTGGCAACCTTCTCAGACATAATTCTAATCAGAGCAGCTGCTGGAATCCTACTGCAGAAAAGGACATTCCCACTCGGCAATTATCTCATTATTGACCCATCACCGGCCGACAGCTGTCCATTTGTTATCAAACAAATCACTGTTTCTGCCAAGGTGCAGAGTCCAAAAGCCTCACTGGGTTTGGAGAAGGTCTGCCCGGGCGGTGCTTTTTGCCATCTAAAACAGCAAGAACTTCTGGGATACATTATTTGACCATACAGAGCACAGGGACTTTCTCCAAACAGTCTGGGAAGACTTTGCCAGATGCAGCACAGATTGTCCCGAAGGCGGCAGGTAACATGAGTCACAGAGCTTTCACTGCAAAATGTTGTACCTCTCTCCTGTGGTTTATCGAGAGTGCGTAAAAGGCAGAGTCATCACCATCAATGTGATAGAAGGTCAAATGCCTCACAGAAGCAGTACAAACCTATTGATGCCCCATCCACTGCTTTGTTGAATAATAAAGCATGTGAGCTACCATTTCCCTTTGGCAAATATTAACTGTTCAACACTAGCTGAGATTTATATAAGAATATAGCAGTGAATGGGGGCATTTTCGGGAAGGAGCTGCCTAGGGCAATTCATGGCCCATCGAGAGAGACAAACGTGTTGTTCTATGAGCAGAAAGTACTGTGGAATGGCCAACATGGTCACTAAGAGTACAAGCCACAGAGATGGGAACACAACCCACCTGCTTTTAACAAGTTATCCGAAGCAGAAAGAATGGGAGGGACACATTCAAATGAACATCTTTGTCAAAGGGAAACAAATCACCTAAGTGTGAGATGGGGGCAACTGGCCATATCTGAGTGTGGCAGAAAGGAGGGACAGGCCACAGACTTGGAGGGCAGAGTGTGAATCAGCCGCACAGCACTGCCATTAAAACACTGAGCATGCAATGGGGGTGCAGAAATTGGAACTGAATATGAGGGAACTTGGAAAGATCCACTGATTGCATTCTGAACACACAGATCCTTCCTTCCTCAAATGCCAGCTTCCCTTCTCTCTGGCAAGCTCAGAGCACTGTGGAGAGGCCTGTCTCCAAAAGGCGAGAGCAAATTCTCTGGGATATCTTTGCCATATTCTCTCCACAAACCCTGATAATTAACAGGTTGTGAGATTGCCGCAAAATTACTGTGGTCTTTTCTCTGTTAGGGCTGGCCTGCCACGCTCACGGCTGTGTTTTCCCAGTGGGGCTGAACTCATTATCATCCTGGTCCTAGCATGGCCTCTCTGGGAACAAGCATCCCTAGCCAATTCCCTATCGCCCCATGTAAATCTTGGTGAACTTCATACACAGCCACATGGATCACTTCCCCAGCCTCTGAGCCTGGTGGGCTTATCGCAGCACAGAGCAGTTCTTTAAAAAGTCTGAAATAGCTGAGCTGGAAAATGTATGGATATGATATAACCACCTACAGTTGGCAACTTCCCTGTCTAATCCAAACACCTGAAGGAAACAGAAAGGTAGGAAGCTGGTGATGATATTTAACATGGAGGTCATTTCAGCATTCTAGAAGGAAACCAAACTGCTTAATATTTTTACTGGAATAGCACAACCCTCCGGGGATCAATGCAGGAGCCCCTCATTGATACCAGAGAAGGCTGTGCTGGGATCAGACCCATGAAAGGCTGGACAAACAGGAAAATAAATGGCCCCTATCAGGAATACTTGTTCATTAGCAATAACCCAGTGGGTCTGATTCATAAGGGCTGTTCTCTTTTTACAGCATCCCACAGCACTGTGGGTTTCAGAGAAGAGTCAAAAAGACAAACCATACTGTGTCTGATAAAAAATCTCAAAGCAACATGTCCCGTGAGTCGGCTTGTAAGCAGCCTGTACTCAGGACGCTACTGGTTATAAGCATTCCAGGAGATTAGAGGGCTTTTGTTGTTACTTTTGTTGTAGGAAATTCAGCACTATCGTGCTTTTATAAGAGGGTTCTCTATTATACAGACCTGACTGTTCTGCAGCCTGAATTCCTAAAAGCCCAATGCTGCATGGGGCAAACCTCACTCCTCTCATCCAATGCCAGATGCACAAACATGGCCACTGTTTACCTGGAGATGAGGGCAGCACTTGGGATCCAGGTTTGGAAGCCTGGGTTAAAGTCTGCTGAAGACATCTGAGTAAAGAAGCATGCTAAGAACTAAACCTCCTGGTCGATAGAGTCCTGAATTCCAGACAACACTGGAAAATCTACACCCTGTTTTCTGTCCTTGGCTTTTAAGGATCACCCACTCCCACCCGCTACTTCCGAGGCTTCCTAAAAATAGTGATTGAAAAAAAAACCTCTACACACAATGGGAGGCTGTTCATCATTTTTATATGGCAGGCTCTCATTTATTTAGGCAAACAGAACATCCAATAATTCCACCTTCTCTGTTAACGTATAGGAGACAGAGTATGATGTTCAATTTTGAAATGTCACCCTAAGGGAGATTTAGCTGAGAATGAAAAGTCTGGAGAAGGCAACTGTGAGCTACTTACTGCTGTGACAGCAGCCCCACTCCAAAAGCCAGCCGTCAGTGAGAACCATAACCATGAAAGACAGTTCTCACCCACAGTCACTTATCTTGAGACTCCATGCCAGGGGAGCCACTAGAATAAAGAATGAACTAAAGGGATTTCCAAATGAACTGAGGGGGCTCCCAACAGCACTTTTTGGAGACTATGGTGATATCCATCCAAACACTGCCCGGCCACTCAAGCCATGTGTGGAGGCACACCTACCTGAATCCTTGGAGAATGTGACCTTTTTCCACCTCAGCTGAGGAGACTGAAACCTGTGACCAAAAGTCCAAGCCACACAAGGGCAGCCTGCGGTACACACCTGACCTGAGGGAGGGCATCGACAGGCTGGCCAGGGACTCATGGCTTTTGTGTCCAGGCTGGAGAAATGAGCTGAGCCAGAGACTCTGTCTAGGAAGTCTGGACCAAGAAACACAGTGAAGCTTGGTGGGTGGGCACCGAAGTTGAACAGGCAGACAGATTTGTGGCAGAAATCACCACCACTGCAAGCCCAAGCCTCACATAAACCAGACATGGGGCAGCAGAAACAAAGTTGAGGCAGAAGAATCAGGCTGGGAGTGTGAGGAGAAGAGGCAAGGCACATTGCAGTGGTCATGAGCCAAGAGGGAGGTCTCCCCTCCTGATGGCCCAGCTCCCCATTCCAGTCCCTGTGAGGTGCCTCTGAACCTTTCCCCCTTTTTCTTGGATGTCTGTGAGATTGCTTATCAGAGCCCTGTAATTAAACCCCTAATTTATTTGAGCTAATTTGAGAGGGATTCTGTTCGTTTCAAGTAGATAAGGCCTAACAGGAGCCTGGTTATATAGGAAGCGTTCTCTGTGCTGCTTTAGGGCAGGAGCTGCTGCTTGTCCCACACTCCCTAGATGCAGCTCTCACACTCACTCCCTTACCATGGAAAAGGGAGGATCATATTTTGCTACATTTTCATTTCCCCAAAGCCCAATAATTAACAAACAAACATACCCTTAAGTGAAGGCTCTCATTTTCCAGACTTACTAGCCCATTGAATGGTAAGTCCATATAACACACCAAAAACAAAATTTGGGCTGAGGATTTGGGTAACTTTTAGGTGACGTGTCAAAAAAAGAAAAAATCAACCTGATTTGGTTTTTCTCACGGTCAAAAAGCTGAAAACCTGGCTACAGGTTAGTTTATTTTGTTTGCTAAACAAGCCAAGTCGTTTTGGCTATCTCTTAATGCTGTCATTTACTCAGGATTTGATTATCATGAAGACCAGAAAAACGCATTTAATCCTGAAATGTCAAACTCTTGTCCCATGCAGACATGGCTCGTCTTGGGAAGACTTTATAACAATGATGTTATAATCAATGACAAAGATCATAGCACTCTTCACATAATAATGAACACTTAACTACCAAAATATCTTCAAACTTAAGATGAGTTATAGAGCTTGTTTGTAATATCTATTTTATTTTACTCCCGCATTTGCCTATTATTGCTTCTAGCCAACAGTGTTTGGTCGAGGAGTCTGTGGTTGATTGCTGAATTGCCCATAATGTGGGTCTATTAGCCAAAAATGTGAGAGTGGACAGTCAGAGGCAACAAAGTTTTAGATTTACTTTGCCTTACTGCCAAGAGCTACCCGGAGTCTGCGCCTGAGCAGCACAGCTCTCTGGTGTGTACAGGGTGTTACGAGCATTCAGCACAACGGACAGCGACAGTGGGCGGTGTCTGAACATCCTTCATTTAGGACCGCACGTTGGCTCTTCTTTGGGCTTAAAGTTTATCTTTATCTTATCTTGTTCCTCCCCAGCTTAATTTGACCAAAAGAAAAAAATCAGTTGGGTGTAACTGAGATTTCTTAAATGTGATCATCTAATTAAGGTCAGCCCCATTCCCTAAAGCAGGAACTGTGAATACTCTACCTAAGAAGGCTTCCTTAATTTCAGTCTTGTCTGTTCGCCGGATAATTTTCACCACACAAATAACAGCCAGGGGTGTGAGGAAAGAAATTGCCTGGAAGAAATAACAAACAATCCCTTATGAGGACATCAGTTTGCTATCAGAAGGGCTGATTGATAATTAGTTCCCGTTAGTTTCATTTAGACTCCCTGGTTGAATAATCTTACTGAACTCCTGACCTCAAACAAACAAAAAAAAAAGGATGATGTATGTCTGTGTTTAGAGACTACACAGACTTTAAAAATGGAAGATCTGATTGTAGGTTATAATTGATTTGTAATTGCTGAGAGCCATGTTTAAAGCAGTGACTTTTTAAATGGAAAAGAATAGTCTATAATTACGATGAATCATGTCTGCCAGTAATTCCCCTCATGCTCTCCTCTGTGGAAGGGTGAAGAACCCTTGGCCTCCAACTCCTATCTCTCTGGAAACACGAGTGCATTTGAGACTCACTTAGAGTCAATCAATTCATTTTCTTTTGGTGTTCTTTTGTTGAATATTTATCTCTTCTGCAAAGCAGAGTTTAGTCCGTTTGTTTAAAGACTCTACTCTTCCTTCCTCTATACCCTTTCCTCCACATAGATGCTCAACTCAGACTTAATGAGTTAAACTGGTGGGATTCAGATGCAGCCAACACTCATTACAGAACCTACTGTGAGGTGGAAACCATGGTACTGGTGGTACCATCAAGTCCAGGAGCCTCTTACATCCTCATGATAACTCTGTGACTGCCTCCTCCAGGCTTGAGGACTAGGTGATGTGCCTGGGAACATACAACTGGAGAGGGGCGAGGCTAGGATTTGGGGACAAGGTTTCCATTCCCATATTGAGTCTTTATTCCAGCTTCCGTAATTAGTAAATTGTTTTTAAACCTTCCACCAACCATATAAAAGGCATTTTTTGTTGCTTCTTCATGACTATAACATCTCAGGATAACAATATCAGAAGAGACTGAACATCTCACAAATCCAGAATTGGCCTAGCAGTCAGTGGTGGGAGGGCTGGGGTGTAACTGTTGACGAATAGTGTTCATAATTCTGGAAATCTCTCTCTCTGCTCTAGTAAGACATCACTTTTTGGAGAGGGGTTTCCTGATGGAACTAAGGCATGGCTGGAATATGCTCTTCTTTTTTAAATGTATTTTTTATTTTTTTAGATAGAGTCTCACTCTGTCACCAGGCTGGAGTGCAGTGGAGTGATCTCCGCTCACTGCAACCTCCACCTCCCGGGTTCAAGCAATTCTCCTGCCTCAGCCTCCTGAGTAGCTGGGACTACAGGTGCACACCACCACGCCCAGCTAATTTTTGTATTTTTAGCAGAGATGGGGTCTCACCATGTTGGCCAAGAGCTCTTCTTTTATAAAAACAGAATTCAACCAAATGAATGCAGGCTTAGATGCTCCACACCCTTACTACAACCAGACTGCTAGAGCTCAAATTATCTCGGGGACTCCTCTTTGGGAACTGTCTTCAGAGGCCATTTGTATGAGACATGAAAAAAGCCCTCTCCTTACCTGCTACCATTTATTTCTGACCAGAAGTGGTAGTAACCAGTTTGATGATTCAGCTGTGGCCCTGAATGACTTGGATTGTTTAAAAGTCAAATAAGCAAGTCTTGCCACCATGGAGGGTATTCAGGTGCTAAAGGGCTGATGCACTAGAGGAGATTCAGAACTGCTACAGAGAAAACAGAGGATTCCCCTGGGGGCTATTCAGAAGGGCAACACTCCTGAGTTAAGAGGTCCAGTAAGTCTGTGCCATAAATTATTGGGCAGCTCTCACACCTAAATAACTACACGGCTTGTTGAAGTACTGATTTCCTCAAACATGCTTATACAGCTGGTCTGGAAATGTACATTTTGTTTTTTTTTTGAGACGGAGTCTCACTCTGTCACCCAGGCTGGAGTGCAGTGGTGCGATCTCGGCTCACTGCAAGCTCTGCCTCCTGGGTTCACGCCATTCTCCTGCCTCAGCCTCCCAAATAGCTGGGACTACAGGCGCCCGCCACCACGCCCGGCTAAGTTTTTGTACTTTTTTAGTAGAGATGGGGTTTCACCGTGTTAGCCAGGATGGTCTCTATCTCCTGACCTCATGATCCGCCACCTCGGCCTCCCAAAGTGCTGGGATTACAGGTGTGAGCCACCGCACCTGGCCCGGAAATGTACATTTTTAACAATATCTCAAATGGTACTGATGCTGATGATTGAGAATTATGCCTTAGACTTTTGTCTCATGCATTTAGTGCTTAAAGAACAAGAATTGAAGCACCACTTACTAAAGTCCAATGTTATGGTCAAGGTCAAAGAAGTCCTTGTTTCTCCAAATCCAAACATGAAGGCTACCAGCTTACCTTCCTGTTTTCTGTCCCTTTAAGCACTGCATACAGACCAGGCAATGTGCTCCCAAATAGGAGAAAGCAACTCACTAAATAGTGGACGACCCAGTAATGATACTACCAAGTCAGTGTTTATATAGGAGAACAACATGGTTTTGAAGGAAACATTTCAAGGCAATCCCAGCTGGTATAATCTAAGGTTAGGCAACAATGAAACCCCAGAAAAAAGTATGAGTTGGGATGACTTTCCCAATGAGGCTTCCAAAGGAAATTCCAGAGCAGAAAGTCACTGCCCACATAGGAGATGTGGGTGCCAGGTGGGAGGCGCTCAGGATCAAGGCCAGGTGTGCAGGCTGAAGAATTCATTAGAGCTGCCCAATGACTCCAAGCTCATGGCCTGATGGCCCAGTGGTCTCCTTTAGAACTGCGCCCTGCCTCAACTTGCCTCTTCCTAATTGGACCCTCACCCCCACTTCCCCAACAAGGCTGGACTTAATTTAACTCATGCTGCAAATTTCCTAGGTAGATGCATATTGGTATCTTTTCTAGGACCACTATCAACTGCTCTTGAGCCAATGCTAAGCACCTAGGAGGGCCCAAGGCTCCCCATATCAAGGGCTTCCCAGGCAAGGGAATGCAGCCTTCAAAATGCCATGGTTCCCACCCCAGAGTTGCTGCAGCAGAGGTGTCTGTGTGATTGCAAGATGTGGCTTGTTTCCTCCTCTCATCCTAAAAGCAATGGGCCCTAGTGTCTCATTCTTCTCCTGGAAATGTATCTGCCATATCCTTGGGCAGCACAGTCCGTGAATCAGGATGGATAGAGACATAGTTACATGTATCATTCACCCCCTTGTACACAAACATTTTTAAATGAAAGTTGGAATTAAGAGGTGAACTTCAGAAGCCAACACATTAGGAAAACGACTTCCTCCTAGGGCAAAACACCTCTGAACTGGGTAAAGGAGGAATGAGGCGAGTAAGCACCCCACCACCTCACTTTCACTCAGCAAAGCAGACTGAATTGAAACCAGTGCATAAGCATTCCACTCTTTCGACAAAGGCCATTGGTAGCTGCAGTTCTGCTGCCCGAGCCAGGGGAGCAGATGAAGATGTACAGAGGGACGTAAGGTGGGGATGCTCCCTTGTACCTCCACACATGGGCAGAGGTGGAGGAAAAACATGAGCAAGCAAAGTCTCCCTTGGTATTGTTTTCTCTTCTGTTAATGTTTCCATGGCTAATTTTAAAAGAATCAAATCCTAGGAAATCCTAGGATGAGCCCAGGGTAGGAAGATGGGGAGTGGTCAGAGCTTATTAACTGAGACCTGAGAGAAAACAAAGAATTCCAGCCGAACACTGCTGCAGGATTCAGAGAACATATTGAACCCTTCTTGGACTTGAGTTCTGCTCACTTGTTATGAGTATGGGGCTGCTGAATGTACATACCTAGGTTACAATAACAAAGGCTAACGTGTACTGAGAACTTACTAAGGACTATAGTCTATTCTAGGCACCCCATGCAAATTAACTCATTCACTTCTCACAGCAATCCTACATGGAAAAGGCTTCTTACTTAATGCATAGGAAAATAAAGCACAGAGAGGTTCAGCAACCTGCTGGAAGTCACACAACTAATCAAGTGGTAAAATGAGGAGTTGCACCCAGACCATCTAAATTAGGCTCTGCACTTTTGACCACAATGTTAGAGCAGTTCCTACCCTAGAAAGTAAACATTAAATAAAACATAGTGCATGCTTTTTTTCCAAGTTAAAAAAGAAAGGTAAGGAGGCTTGTTTCCAGGTCATAGATAAGTCATAGAAATTTCAGTGACAGCTGTCATATCTTAAGCACCTACTACGTGTTATGGACTTTCCTCACACTTTCCAATCTTCTAACTATTCTGCTATGGAAAATATTATTCCCATTGTACAAATAACCAAACTAAAACTCAGAGAGATGAGTGAACACACAAATGCACACAGCTAGTAGGACCAAGACTCCCAGACTGGGTTGCCATGCTCCTGGGTTGGAGTCCTGAATCTCGGTGATTCCCTTAGCCCAAAAGCTTTAGTTTACAGATGGGGAAACTGAGGCTGGCAGAGATTATATATTGAACACCATCTTTAAAGTTACTAATTGTACTGCACAGTGCCCACATAAAGAGATAGTGTATGTATCATTAAGCAGGATCTGGAATGTGGCTAGTTTTGTATGTATTCCACAGGCTGGGAAGCCAGAGCTCTGTACAAAAAAAAATGTGCGGAATGGACTCAGATTGAGGAGAGGTGAGTTCAGCCCTAGCTCCTGACACTTATCCATTCTTTGTCCTTGAGCAAATCATGTAACCTCTTTGATTCTCAGTTTCCTTATCTATAAATGGGTATGACGATAATAATATCCATGGCAAGTATTATTGGCAGGATTTCAATTCACTAATAGTTATGGAATGCTGATTAGGTGCCACACACTAAGTGAAGTGCCAAAGGTCTGTCACCCCCATCTGATGCTCTCTAGAGCTTGATGGGACATGTTCTTAAAGACACCTTTCACAGATAAAGAAAGTAAGGTGCTAAGAGGGGAGGTGATCTTCCAAATTTGCATAGCTAGTGAATGGCAAAGCTGGGAGTTGACCCCTTGTAGGCCACTGTGGAGCCCAAACCAACTGCCCACCAACAGGATCCAACAGAGAGCTAGCATCCGGCAAATGCTGGTTGTTGACTAGTATTTCATTATTTTCTAGAAAAGACTGTTAAAAGGGTATCAAGATCTTGTCACCAGACACATAGGATTGATGCATTTTCAATTCAAGCCCACCTGCACCCTTAGATCTAAGTAGTGTGCACCTTTGAGTAGCAGGAGGAGGTTGGGGAGAGAAGAGGGAGCCTAACTCTCCCAGGCACCCTGACCATACCCTAAACGACAAACTAAGTTATGGAGCATCCACCCATGAATCAACACAGGAAGGGGCGTCAATCCCTGGCCAGTGCTGCACCCAGAAAGTGAGTCATCCCCACCTGCTGATGTAAGGCACCATGCACCACACTGCCGGGGCGCTTCTGGGAAACCACAAAATGTGAAGCAGTGTGTTTGATGGGGGAGGGCATGAGGATGCCAAGGACTTCTAACAACCAGAAGGGATCGAAGCCAGAGCAGCCTCGATGCGAGGGTGTTAGCCAGAGAGGAGCTTGTCACTGGGGTTTATTCACAACAGACAAAACAAAACAATGGGCCCAAAGTGCCTTCATTTCTGGCTTTTGACAGAAAGGTGTGCTGCAGGGTGATTATAAAGACAACTTTAAGACACTCAGACACTTGGAAAAGGCCCTGCTCTGGGTAAACAATTACATCCCATCACAGATAAAAGAGCTGTCTAAGACTCTTAAAAAGAGCCTAAAAATTAAATTGTCTATCATGATCCAGCCTTGTCTCTTTTTCTTCCTTCTTCCTCCCCAAAATGACTTTATTTCTGCCTTCCTTAGAAGCATCCTATCCCAGAATAGAAAACCCTGGTATCAAATCAACACAGTATCTATCAGTAATAGTCTATGAGAATGTATCTTCTGGACATATCACGGTCGAAGCAAAAAGAGAAGAGGGCAAAGAATAGGCCTTGGGTGGATTTCTTTTGGAAGCCAAGGAAAAAATTTGCAAAACCTATCATTCCTTAAACTTCTTACTGAGTCTTACCTATTCCTCAAGGCTTTTTAGTGATGCTGAACTGTTCACCTTGTGTTCATGTCTGTGCCCCTCCCTAGACTAGAAACCATATCTTATTCATCTTTCCTCATGGCAAGTGTTTCATAACCATCCACTGAATTAGCTTGTAATTAACCAATCTAAAGCTACCCCCAGTCTAGCTCTATCCCTGCCCCCTTTCTTAGCCCTTACGCATAGATACTCCAAACAAACTCCTATTGACAGGACCCACACAGGCTCACTCTCCATTTCTCTGCCTTTACACGCCTCTCCACCTAACCAATCACCAAGGAAGCATCACAGCGGAGTGCCTCCAAGTGAGAGTTTGCACTCACAGCCAGTGCTCAGATCCTGGTTCAGCCACTGACAGTTGTATAATCTCGGACAAGCTGTATAATTTCCTCAGTTTTGTTTTCTCCACTGACATGAGATTAACAAAAGTGCTGACCTCAAAGGATTCTGAAGATTAACTGAGATGTTCTTTATAAAGTGATAAGCACAGCCCCTGAATTCAAGAAATGTTTACTGTTGTTGATGATGATGATGATAATGATGATGATGATGATGATGATGATAATGATGATGATGATGAAGAACTTCCCTAGAAGTTTACCTGAGCCTCTCCTCTGGCCCTTTTCAGATTCCATTTTGTATTAGAGTACCATCCTAATGTACCAGGGATCCTGGAAGGTCCCTGAGGGTACCTCCCAAGTCTCATTGGACTTCTCATCCCCTATAGCCCCTATGGTTTTCTTTACCCACAGCAGGCTCCCTGAAAATGTCCCCTGAATGTACAAAGACACAACTACTATAGACAACAAAAAGTATACCAAAGAGCAACAACTAATACCGATTAAGTTGTCCTACACAAAAAGTAGGTTTTAAAAAATATTCTGATAAACCTCTCACACTCAGCAGGAAACCGGTACCTCTTTTGAATGAGGAAACAGCCTTCCATAAAGGCCTTGGGCATATCCCAGAAATGTTAAGCAAGACTTTTGAGTGCATCTGAAAAGAATTCTCAGCCAGTCTCTCTGGTCAACAGGAACACTGGGTTGTCAAGGGAAACAAGCTCTTGGAATCAAACAGTTCCAACTACACCCAACTTTCAGAGTGACAGACATCACCTGAGCTAATGGTGCCACAGACAGCGAAAGTGCAAGTTAGGAGGCTTCCAGTGACATTATTACCATTTACTCTGCACTTAATCCCCTAGCCATCATTCTGTTAATTTTCTTGTTACATTTGCCGAATTGGCTCCTCTAAATTGCACACAGATGACTCTAGAAGCATTCATTATCCAATAAAAGAAAATCCAAGTCAATGCCAGCTACCTTTAAAAAACACCTTGGTAAGAAAGAAAGTTCATCTTTAGATTAAAACATTCCAACCAAAATTAAAGGAGACCCCAAGAATTTTTTTATGTAGTAAATGAAAAAATGTGAGCTTTCAAAGAAAATCAAGCCATTTTATACATCAGTGAAAATGGATGTTCTATTACCAATTCTTCTACTAACATCTGAAGGTTTTAAAAGACCAAAATAATATAATGCCTTATATTAAATTCTTAAAACCCAGGAGAACAAATCTTTTTTATGGGGTGACAAAATATTTTTCATCTTTGTGTTATAGGTATTATAAATGTATCTACTGCTTTCCTTATGTTATTATGGAATTGTACTAAATCGTGTGACCAAATGAATGAAATTTATCAACTGCTATTAATGAAATAAAAGGTTGAACTTATTTCATTAGAATAGAGGGTATGAATCAGTATGTGTAGCTGAATATCCTTCTGTTCTCTGAGAACCCCAGCACTGAATAAGCCCTCTACTGACTAATTTCTACCACCGCCAGCATGCAAATTGCTCCATCGTATTTACGTCTGTAGCCAGAATATTTGTGGCATTTGTATCTAGACTTCAAAACAATCCATTGTTCATAAATCTAGGACACAGCCACAGATTTCTCACAACATCCCATATGAACATTCATCTCCAAATTGTGTTTTTACAACACATGAAATGTAAAATGTTATGAAAAATAGGAGTAACTGATAAATAGAAGCTTCTCCCTATTAAAGCCATTGAGTAAACTCATTACACACACACTGCTTCCTTTATATCTAGGATTTATAGAATATTTGAGTTACAGCAGAAATGAAAAAAGGCTGATTTTAGTAGTCATGTGTTAGTAATTCCCTACTCACAACCACCCTAATTTGTCAATTTCCCTAAGATTTATAAAAATCCAGTTTACTTTCCAGTAGAAAAGTAATTATTAAGAAGCAATTAAAATAATACTTTAATGCTCGCTGGCATTATGGGCATTTCCAAGAGTTTGCAAAAACACAGATCTTTCCAATCATCACTAATTAACAAAATTTCCTCTGTAAAATCAGAGGGATTTCTTTCAAAATACAAAAATGTTCCCGGTGTGTCTATGAAGTTTCTGGAGCAGTTCCCAGAGAGGCACAAGACACCATGGCAGGTCAACAGGAATAACCTTCAAACTGCTGGGAGGCTGCCCATCCAAAAGTGACATTATCGTTCCATAACAAAGAGGAGCTTAAATATTTCCTCTGTTCTAGAAAGGTTTGATGGTAATCCTCCAATTCTCCAGGGCTTCATTAGCATCAGCAAGGAGTCCCAGACACTCTGCCCCCAACCCTCAGGGCAGCCTCTTGGCTGAGAGCTGAGCTCCAAGAGCTGGCCGCTAGAACCTGGTGCTGTGCTCACTAGCTGTGTGACCTTGGGCAAGTTCCCTCATCTCTCTTGGAATGCAGTTTTGCATCTGTGAAATGTGGACAATAATGACATCTTCCTCACTGGGATGCTGGGTGGAATTAAATTAGACCACCATTTCTTAAGCTCTCCGCAAAAAGCCTGGCATATAGGCAGTGAAATGTAAAAGGTTACAACTGCCATGTGGCAATTGCCATGTGGCATTGAGGGTGGGAGAGGTAAAATTTATCTCAATATATTCACCAGCTCTATGGGTGCTTGCCCATTTATTCTAGAAGGAGAGAGACACAAGACACTCTCAAGAGGTTGAAGCACAGGGTAGTCTTATTAGTGGCCAAAAACTGACCAGCTAAAACCAGAACAGAGGTTTAAACAGAGCTATCTGGGTACCTTCATTTGGCAGAATCAAGGCTTATCCTAAAAAGAGAGGGGACAGAAAATTCTCATCACTGGCTTCTAGTCTTCCTTTACTGTAACTCAGCATAGCCCAGACAAACAAGTCCTCTCTCATTCCACAATACTGGGCAATGACTTGTAGAAAGTAGAAAAGTTCCTCTTCAAAGCTCGTCTTAGTTTAAAAATAAAATAGGCACTAGGAATAATAGCTTCTTACTCTAAAGCCTCCTATCAACTGTTAGTTCTTACACTTTAGCCCAGTTAGTTGCTTTGGCTTACTCAGGCATGTCTAGACAGGCCGAGGCAAATCTTAGCTTATAGCTTATGCCCCTTCCTTATTTGGAAATGTTATTGCTTCTTTAAATCTTTCATAAGCAACTTCCTCTTTTCCTTTGTTCTCCCTTGCCTTTACCTATTTAAGAAAGTTTTCAGCTGTTAGCCAATCGGGTATTAGTTTAGACTGTGAGGTCTGGCTCCAGCCAATGGAGACGGGACACAGTAGCAGGGACAAGCTGCATAAGGGATAAAAATTGCCTCCCTCCTTTGTTCAAGCATGTTCCCGCCATTGTTCCATCTGCGATGAGCACCCTTTCTCCAGAAAGTAAAAATGGCCTTGCTGAGAGAATTAAATTTATGTTTGAGTGCTATTTCTTTGTGGTACCAGGGAATGAGCATTTCTAACAGACTACTTCTCACATGACCAAGCAGTTCTTATCATGACATGGAACTGGATTTTAATTTGATGGGCTGCTCTCCTTCTCTTTCTCTCAGGCCACCCACTGTCTTCAGGGTTAGAAAAACAAAGATGAAAACCCATTTGGTTCATCTTTGAGAGAGCAGTCAAATAAGGAATGAAATCATGGTACTTACAAACATGAGGCGGGTAGGTATGTTATCTGATTGCACCAAAGGATTTTTATAGAGCCAGATCTCTTCTGGCTGGATGACTCTCTGGAACGGATCCAAAAACTCTGTAAAACTGAAACATAAAAAGAAAAGTACATGAAGGTTGAGCGTTCTGTTGCTGTGGGAAGTTCCCAAGGAGGCCCCCCTTCTATGCACCCTCAGGGTGGGAATCCAGCCTGCTGGGGAAGGGGAAAGAGACAGGCCCTGCTGTCAGTTCTCAGCTGGTTCAAAGGCTTGGGAAGGACTGAAAGAATCACTGAGACTTTGCAGACTCTTCCATCACTACCTGCCAGAAGGACCAATTCCATGCATAAGGGAGTAGCTTTGTGTGTACAAAGACTCCAAGGACTTGGGGTTCCAAAGTAAACTGGAAACTGAAGTCAGAATAGGGCAAGGCCAGGGCAGCAGCATGGTCTCTTGAAAACAAAATGGGTTTGAGGTGGAACATAAGGGAGGGAGTAACTGGCACAGCTGCCCGTGTGCTGTCTTCATCGGTTGGTCAATGAAAAGCAGTCACTGCCAAGAGAAAAACTGGGGGGAAGAAAGGGGCAGAGATGCAGGGGTTTGCTTTTTCAGATCTCAGCCATCAGGCCACCTCCCAGCTCTCCAGCCAATCTTTACCTGAGGAACTAAGTTCAGCACCACTTCAGATGCAGTTGGAGAGGGCAAAAGAAGCCAAGTCATTTGGGGCTGTGAGTGCCAGGCTAGAGGACTTTGATTTTGAGCCAAGGAGAGGTTTGGCAGAGGAGCATGGAATGAGAATTCCAATTCAAAATGGCGGCCCTGGCCATGGTGAGGATGGGACTCAGAGGAGAGAAGAGAAGGCAAAGTGGGAGGTGCTGGGGTTGCGGCAGCTGTCCCTACAAGAGAGACTAGCAGATTGGGGAGGAAATGGATGGCATGGAGAACCTGTGGGCAGGAGTGGCTGAAGCTGATTCCTAGGCTTCTGGTTTGGGCTTCTGGGAAAAGGAGTTCCATGATCCAAGATGAGGAGCGCAGGGGAGCGGGAGAGGAGGAGAAAGCTGAGCTTCTCCTAGGAAACCCTCTAAGGTGGCCAGCTGTCTTGGTTTGTCCATAACTTTTCCAGTTTTAGCACCAAAAGTCCTATATCCCAGGAAACCCCTCAGTCTTGAGCAAACCAGAACAGTTGGTCACCCTAAAGCCGTCCCAGTCTCCAGACAGAATCAGGAGTCCCACAGCCCCGCTTTCTATCCCAGATTTGGGACGTTGTATGAGCATGTGCTGTTTGCAGCTTCAGCTCCCCTGTGAGGGTGTGAGGGCAGGAGCCACTCCAGGGCTGTCACTGTAGAGTGTCACTCTGGAGGGCAGGAGACACTCCAGAGCCCAGTAGCACTGCTGGGCCACTGTAGGCACTCAGAGACCACAGAAGTTAACATCTATTTGGGACTTTGAACAGGTGACACTGAAACTATTCTCACTTTGATCAGCCTGACTCTCAATTCTATTGCATATCTAAGAGACCTAAAATCCACCCATCTGCTGTGTCTCTCTCCCTGTCTCTCCCTCCCTCCTTCTCTTCCCCCTTCTCTCCCTGCCTCCCCTAACTCTGAGGTTTTAAGTCCTAAAAGTCTGTGTATTTATGTAATTTCAAAAAGCAGTGGTACCCATGACTGTTCTGCTCAGCACTGGGCCCCCAGCGCCTCTGCCTGGTACACAGGCATCGCTTGTAGCTATTTGCCAGATGACTGAATGGACTCCTGCAGTGCCATCATCACAGAACCCAGTCAACCCTTCACCAGCCCTAAATCTGGAGCACTTCTATTACAGAATCCCTATTGCATCCCCTCACTGGGGTGCAAGTCACTTCTGCTATCAGCCCTCCAAAATTCCTCTAGAGCAGCATGGAGGAGCACCCTCTCTGGGCATCAGCTCTCTGCCCTGGTCTCTGCCCCAGCTGCTCTCTGCCCCTCTGCTCTCTGCCCCAGCTCACCAACTGAGCTACTCCATGCTGTGGAGCAAGCTGCTTCCCCACCCAGGGCCTCTGCAATGGGGGAGGCTGAACTAAATCAGAGACTTCAATTTGAGAAGGGTCAGAACCTTCTAGAAAACACCCTACCACAGACCTAAGACTCCAAGTGAACATTGTCTGGTAATGTGGATTTTAAAACACTCCCCTAGGTGGCCCTGATGGGCCAGGAGTCCCCAGCATTGAACTAAATGATACCTAAGGGTCCCAAACCCTTGGATCCAAGGACAGGACATCCTGTAATTTAACTCTTCTCATTAACAACTCTTCCAGCCACTGCAGGACAGGCTCTAGAGTCAGGTCCAGCAACGTTCAAATCCAAGCTCTGGCTATGTGGCACATAATGAGTCATTTAACATTTTCTGAGCCTCAGTTTCTTCATCTCTAAAATAGACACACCTTACAGAGTTGGAATGAAAGTTAAACAATGAAATATATATGTAGGGCCTGACAGAAGAGAAACAAAAATTAGAATTGTATTACTATTATCATTTTACTCTAGCCTAAAGCTGCATATTTTTACTAGACAGTTTTCGGTCTTTGTTTGATTTTGTGACAACCTACTCCCTGCTCCCAAGTGTTTTTAAGACATGAAATGAAATGAAATAAATTTTGCTTGAAGGATGTTTTTAAGAATATGTAGTGTATCTCTGATAACTAAAGCTTCAGAATACTCCAGTTTCTGTAGCTACGTAACAAATTACTTCAAAACATTTTATTTTGCTCATGAATTTGTGGATCAGGAAATTGAGAGGGGCTCATCGCCTAGGTAGTTCCTACTTAGAATCTCTCATGTGGGCACAGTCAATGGCTGTCCACTGACCAGGCTGTTAGCTGGAACCCTGGCAGGAGCTGGAACCCCTGCTATTATTTTTCTTATAACAGGACACAGTCTCTCCCCTCTTACCTCAACTTCCTATTCTGGGGGTGGGGGGAATCAGTGATACTGGAGATGACTAGTTGCTGTGTTATGGATTTGATTTGCATTTGGCTATAAAACAATCTTGTTGGGAAAAGTGTGGGGGAGAGAACCTCTTCCCACACACACATTGAGACAGATCCTAACTGGTCAATGATCTTGTTTGTAAGAAAGAGATTCGGTTGGTTGAGTGCCCAAAGAGAAAGGTGGATTGCCTTCGGATTATACCAGCTTAGCTAGCATTGCTAACCAACTGTTGCAAGCTCTGAAAATAAAGGATCTGGAACCCCACCCCACCCCCCCACCCCCAGAAAAACCCTTCCTCTCTAGCACTGTGGGCTCAGGGTGGTCAGAATTATTCATAGCTACTGGCTTCCCCCACAGCAGGTATCCCAGAACAAGGCAGAAGCTCAGTGGCTTTTTCCAACCTAGTCTCAGAAGTTGTGGGGTGTCATCTCCAGTTAGAAGTGAGTCCTAAGCTCAGTCTAGATTCCAGGGAGGGGAAATGACTCCACCCATTGACTGGGTAGTGGCAAGTTCTTACTATAGAAAAGCAGGTGGATGAGGGATATGGCTGCAGCCACCTCTGAAATATATTCTGCCACCCACAGGGTGCGATTGACACTGTGATGGCCACACACCCCCACTCTGTGAGACCCCAGAACCTTGACTCCTATTTCTTCTCACACAACCGGCCACAGGGCAATGGGACCAGGTACACCACAGAGCACCTTCCTTCCTCGTCTTGTTTGTCTTTCAGGTTTTATTATCCTCGTGGCAATTTTTCTAAAGACTGGTGCACCCAGGCTTTTGCACAATCCCTCACTCTACCCTGAGTAGCTGCAGCCAGAACACATCTATCAAGCAAATTATATCCTCTGGGAGTAGCAGTACTAAGAAAGATTGATGTCCCTTCTCCAGCCATGCTCCAGCCACTGGCGTCTGTCTCAAAGCATGCAGACAGTGGAGCTAATATGCAGAGGACCAAGGTCTTAATAAAGCTTAAGGATCTTAACAGGGACAGAGGTGGGCACATAGTGGAATGGAAAGTCCTGGAGACATTAAAGGTGTTCCCAAGAGAGGACATGCCCAGGCCTGGAAACATCCTCCCACAAGCTCTTTGGAAGTGGTTTGGAAGTGGTTTGGAATCCAAGAAATGGGAACCCTGCTTCTAGGGAAGGTGTGAAGGTGTGGTCTCCAGCAGTGTGTTAGGTCGGCGGTTCCCAAACTTTAATATGTCCAGGGATCACTTGGGAGTGTTGTGACTGCAGATACAGAGACAGCAGGTTCAGAAAAGACCTTAGAGCTAGCATTTCCAGCAAGCTTCCTGGGGGGCCCACGCTGCCGATCTGTAGATCAAACCTTGAGTCACAAGGGGCCAGGGCAGCAGCATCATGTGGGATCTTGTTAAAAATGGAGAATCTCCAGCCCCACCCCAGACCTAGTGGATCAGAGTCTGCATTTAACATGATCCCCAGGGGATCTTCTCCATGACTGTGGTAGAAGGTGGGTCACATCCATGTATTACATTGGTGCAAAAGTAATTGTGGTTGTTGCCATTTAAAAAAAAAAAAAAGCATGGCAAAAACCCCAATTACCTTTGCACCAACCCAATACAATCTGAATCTAAACTCACCTCACAAAGCCATTAAAATCATCTCAAGCACCACTTGTGTCATGGGGGAGAAAAAAATATAGAAAACAAAATGAAAAGGCACAGCAACCTGAAGCCATTCAGCGTAGAGGACTATAGCCCTGCCAGCCTTAGTAGCTTGCAAGTGTCAGTATATTCCTGGCCAGCATAATGACAGACGTCCTTGAGTTTTTCAAGAAAAGGCTAAAGAAATTGCAGCAACTCTTTAACCAGTAGAAGGTGGGTAAAACCATTTAGTTTACTTTTACTTCCAATAAAAACAGAACGGCTAAAAACATCTTAATGTCCAGAAGGCTCAGACAGATCCAAGGATGCAGAGTGCCTTTGGGGATGAGGGTCAGGCCTGTTGTTCTCACTGTGACAGCCTTTCCCCATCTCTGCAAAGCCTTCATTAAGAATAGAAGTGATTTTGGGAGGCCAAGGCAGGTGGATCACATGAGGCAAGGAGTTTGAGACCAGCCTGGCCAACATGGCGAAACCCCTTCTGTACTAAAAACAAAAAATTAGCTGGGTGTGGTGGTGCGTGCCTGCAATCCCAGCTACTTGGAAGACTGAGGTACGAGAATTGCTTGAACCCAGGAGGTGGAGGTTGCAGTGAGCTGAGATCATACCACTGCACTCCAGCCTGGGTGACAGAGTGAGACTCCATCTCAAAAAAAAAAGAAAAAAAAAAAAAGAATAGAAGAGCTGGTGTGTCTATGTACATAACTCAGGGCCCTCTGTACTGAAATCATGTGGATAATACCACTAGTTATCCATTGTATCATTGCATCTCACAATTTATTTAAGAGTAGAGTAAGACTCCTAAAACTTCATTAGGTTTGATGACCAAAAATAAACCGCCTTACATGAGTAGGAGGCATGGAACTCTAACAGATTACAAGGTATCATTTATGAATCATTTCAAAGGAAAAAATGCTATTTAATGACACTGTATAGGTGTGAATGCAATATTTTCTTCATTGTTATCAATAAACTCTAATTCAGCAGCAGTGCCAGTCTCACCTCAAAATCATGGACTTCCCCCATTACAAGCATTCATGAATTGTTAACTATGATCAACATCATTTCACTTAATAGGGATTCAAACTAAAAATAAAATGTCTAGACTGCGTAGGTCAAATGTTACTACATTGAAAAGCAAAGTTACTACTACAGTAAACGTATTATTTTCTTTAATGATAATTTTAACTGCCCAAAGTCAGATAAATTGTTGTTGGATTTTAATCCAAGACATACTACTATTTCTTTCCTGTTTAAATTGGACAGTTATCTTTTTTTTTTCTTTTTTGAGACAGAGTCTCGCTCTGTCACCCAGGCTGGAGTGCAGTGGTGCGATCTCTGCTCACTGCAAGCTCCGCCTCCCAGGTTCACGCCATTCTCCTGCCTCAGGCTCCCGAGTAGCTGAGACTACAGGCGCTGGCCACCACGCCTGGCTAATTTTTTGTATTTTTAGTAGAGACGGGGTTTCACCATGTTAGCCAGGATGGTCTCGATCCCCTGACCTCGTGATCTGCCTGCCTCAGCCTCCCAAAGTGCTGGGATTACAGGTGTGAGCCGCCGCCCCTGGCCGGACAGTTATCTTGATATATTTGTATCTTAATTTCTCCTGGGCAAAGTGGGGGCAGTTATATATATTTTCTCCTTAATTTTCTCATGATATAGTTTGAAGACCTTAAAACACATTCACTCAGCACCATAAGACAGGGCAAGAAAAAAAAATTCATGAAGAAAATTCAAAGATGTAATTCTAACTTTATGCCAAGCAATTTTCTCTTTAGTTTGTGCATTGTTCATGTGTGGTTCAGATGTTTAAATCTTCCTTAAAGCTTATAATTATATATACATACACACAAAATGCACACACACACCCCACACACATAAACACACACTTGTGTGTGCACACACATACACACTGCCTGAAATTAAGTGAGTGGAAGGCAAGCAAAAGGATGTAATTATTTAAGATGCAGGGATAATCCACTCAAATTAACCAAAATGGAAAAGAGGTAAAGGAGAATCTGATATTGACTAAGAATGAAAAGCAGGAAGAAAACTAAAGTTGGAGTGATCTGAAAGCGAAATATAACAGAAAACCACACACCCCTCCCCTTTAGGCAAACCGTGGCTGCCAGTGGCTCTTTCACTGCTAAATCACAAAAGCACCACCGACTACCTTTTTTTGGTCACCTGAATCTTCACCTACAAGCAGCAGATGCAATTCCAGAGGCACACGTGGCATCACTGGGGGCTCTCCAGGCCTTTAACCGCCTTGGCATCAAATTAAAATATGGTCCTACCCCCTAGGAGGATCCCCAGACTAGGGCTAGATGGGGCAGCATCTAGACTCATGACAGATAAAAACTACACTCACATATGCTCACCTGCACATACACACACACACACACACACACACACTCACACATTCTCTCTCTCTCTCTCCCTATTCCTTTCTCTCTCTCTCTCTCTCACTCCCATGCTCTTGTTGGTTAATTCTGTTTCCATAGCTCAACATGACTTAAAGACCCCAGGATATGTGTCTTGTTATATAGAAAGGACACAGGAGGGGACAGAGAGTGGACTATCATCTTTGCCAAATTTTTCTTCATTCAACAAATATTTACTGAGTGTCCATGATGTGCCAGGTACTGTCCTATAACACTGGTGAATACAAATATGGTCCCAACTCTTATGGAGATTACAGATTGTATAATCTGGGTCACAACAGATCGTGGAATTGGGTGTTGAGGTTTTTGCTTGTACGCATCAGAACACATGAGCTTGCCACTGCACTCTGCTTTAAGAAGATGTCTAGATTGGAGTGCCCCAGTAGTTGGTCTCATGAAATAGCCTCCCACCCAGAGCCACCTGTGAGGACCCTGGTCCTCTAGGGATGTTCCAAGGTATGTATCTATCACAGTTCATATGCCAAATGTGGCAACAGGTGCAGCCCAAAGTTGGGAATCCAAAGGAATGGCTGATATTGACATCACACCAGCAGAAACAGCAAGTCCATGACAAGGGACAGTGATGCCACTCTCCCCCTGGCTCTCTTCTAATTCAAAGTCAAGTGCCCAAAGCCCCAGAGGATCCCTATAAGCTTCTAAAAGATTTCATGGATTTGCCAATGCCCTTAGCCCATGTGCCTGGATGACAGGCCTTTTTCAAGATAGGTTAAGACTCCAGGGGGCTTTAAAGTCAAGTACTAGGATGACAGACTTCATCATCCTTTTTCCCAACTATAAATAACAAAAGATTATACTGAAATATAAACCAGATCAGATCATTAGACTTAGTCCAAATCCCTGCTTTGGTGTTTGCTGGCAGGGTAGCTTGAAAAAAGTCACTTGACCTCTCTGAGGCTACATATCTTCCTCCCGTCCCCCAGGATGCTGCCATACCTTCCAAGGCCATTGTGAATATTCTGTTCAGTAATAAGTTAGGGTCCAGCATAGCACCTGGGGCACTGAAGGCCTCCACAAACAGTGGCTGTTTATCTTACAAATGTGAATATGCTGGGTCTGAGAAGGCTGCCCCACCTTCTTTAAGCCCCACCCGAGGGTAGTGAGGTTGTGTGTTGGGAAAAGGGAGCAGATAGAAGAATGGCAACAAAACTCTGCATCATTTGGTTATTCTGTGAACAAACAATGGCCCAGAAAGTCACTTTCAACCCCTGAGATCTGAAGAAAAAAAAATAGTAACACTTGAAGACACATGATAAACAAAAAACATTTTCCAGGTGAGAGCCGAAAGGAAAGCATATTTCCTCACTGCACTATTGATTTTTCCTCCCTAGTCAGCCTCTCTCTCGGGCAATGGGGAAAAGCTCTTATAAACAGGCATCCGATGTGGTCAGCAGAAAAGGCAGGCCACTCCACTCTTGGCAGGAAGGAGGCCTATCAGATTATTCATTAGTCCTGGGAACAAGGGGTGGGTGTGGTTATAGGGAGAACATGTTGATGGATTATCTCTGTAAGCCTGTGGGCCAGCAAACTGCCCTCAGACAGGTCTTTACTCTGAATTGGAGTAGTTGGCTATCCCCCAAAACAAAGCTAACAATTAGAATAATAATCATAGTTAGTTATGATATTGCAGACATCTCATGCCAAGCCCTTCACTTGCTGCTTTCCAACAGGACTTCACCCTCATAAGAACACTATGAGGCAGGAATTACCATTATTCCTATTTTAGAAATGAGTGCACTGAAGCTACAAGATGTCAGATGTCTTGCCTAAGTCTATACGGCACGGAGTGCACTCTTCCTCCGTACATGCACTGGACTTTTAAGGAAGTCAAGCAACACAGCCATACACAATACACACATACAACACACACATACATGCTTTCCCCACCAGCTCAATGGCATCTGCAATTATTTTAATAAGACACAGATTTTTCCCCAATTAGAGATACAGAGATATGACCTTACTTGGGAAATGCAACATGTCGATCTCCAGTCTCACTCAGTGTGGACAACTGAGATCAGATTTTTGCAGAGCAAAGTTTGATGTTTGTTGGAAAGAGGGGAAAGAAAGAATGCACAGGGAAGGAGGTGGAAAAAGAAATGAAGACCCCAAGAAGTTGCTCCTACCAACTCTCTTGTACCTATCATCCAAAGAGGGGCTTCCTTTGCAGCAGCTGATTTAATCAAATAATCCACCCCTCACCTGGATAAGGAAGACTGGCATGTAGAGACCAGCCCAGGACTGGACCAGGAACAGCTCCCGGAATTACCACCCCCTCTTGGGGATGGTTCTTCTTGCTCTGTGATAAGCCTCCCAACTCAGATGCAAAGACTGAGGCTTAGCAAGCATAAATGCCCAACCAAGGCAGAGCCGGGAGTCATGTCCTCGTGCCCTCACTCTAAATCTCATGCCCTTTTCAACTGTGGGGGCACAGATTCTGCGGGCAGCTCTCCTGGGTTGGATTTTTATTCTTTCCTTACCAGCCACGTGACCTTGGGCAAGGTGCTTGACTTGTCAGGCCTCAGTTGCCTCATCTCTGAAGTGACGCTGATAATAGCGCCTACCTCAGAGGGTTGGTGTAAGGATTAAATGAATTAATTCATATGAAGTGCTTATGAGGATGAGTACACATAGTGAATGAATAATAAGGGTGTTAAATTTGAGCAGTGTAAAGTCTAAAATTGAGGCCCAATGTTATGTCTTGTTTTGACATCTGAAACCAAAATGCATTCAAATGTCCTAACCACAAGTTCCCCTCCCTACTCTGCTTTCACAAATAAGGTCCTGTAGCCAAACAACATTTCTTATTGATATGACCAGGCACAGTTTCTGCTTATCTCAGAATAGTGAGTCTCAGCTTCCTGCTAGCTCGTGGAATTATTCAATAAGTCAATTACATCCTCCTGCCACTACCAGGGACCACCCCACCCTCCTGATACACTACAAAGCCTGCCTCCCATAGTCCCTGGCTGTTCACTCTGTTCCTTGTGTCCCTGCATGGCGTGCAGTGTACTCCTCCCCTGGGCTGTGAGTATATGTGGGGAGTAAGCTGCCGTTGATCTCATCTGCCCAGTGTTGAGTGTCATGTATGACCATCCTCATAACCCTAGGGCAGGAATCCCTCCCTCGACGAGAACGTGTATAAGAGACAATGAAAACACGTACTCTACTGCTGTACCCTCCTAAACACACTGGGGTAGGATGGGGGGGGATTGGTGAGTGGACAGTGTGGAAATGTGTGGCCCAAGCCTGGAGATGTCATCCATCTATCCAGCTCCCAGGGCATGGAAGGCAGCGGGACTGGCAGAGAGAGGACCAGAACAGGCCGTGCGGGTAAAGCAAAGCTCCCAATGCAAAGCCTCTGCCTGCTCATGCTGACTCTTCTTCAGCTTTTAGAAAAATGACCCTAACTTGCATTCTTTACCTGTGGCCCCTGACACTGGAACCACAGACCCTTTCTCCTGTGCCCTCAACACAAGGAGACAGGACGGCCATGGCATCCCACTGAGCATTCTTCCCAAACATGCATACTCCGGATCTCATCAAACCCTTAGACCCAACAGGGGAAGAGGAACAAGTCAAACACCCTCAATGAACAATTAGGTGAACCCACGAATAAAGTTAGAATAAAGCTAAATGTTCCAGATTACAAGAGCCCGAAGAGACAAAACAATCAAAAATGAAACATATGTGCTCTGACCAGGTCTTGGGTCAAAACAAACCAAAAGCTATTAAAAAGAAACACTGAGGATGATTGGGGAAATTGTGGGATTAGAGAATGAATTAGATTTTAGGTGACAGTAAGGAAGTATACTAATTTTCTTCAGTGCAGTAATGACATGGATATGTAGAAGAATGCCCTCTTTGTAGGAGAAGCAGCTGAAACATTTAGGGGGGTTTAGGAACCTCAGGTATCAGTAAGTTACTTTCAGGTAGTTCAGAAAAATACATATATGAACAATAAACAGAGATATCCAACCAATATGATTACATGTTAACAATTGCTATATCTAGGTAGAGCATATAGGGGATCATTCTACTCTTTCAACCTTTCTAAATATTTGGAATTTTTCAGGATAAAATGTTGGCATAGAAAGGTCCAGAAGCAGGACCTTAAAAGTGGGGAAATAGCAAGGAAGATAGTGTTGCTCTGAAAGTACAAGGGCTGGCAGCCAGAGCTGTGGAGTTGAAACCCCTGCATCCTGCCTTTGCCTCTTACTCATGGTGTGATTTGGGCAAGGCATATGTCCCCTCCGAGCCCTCTTCTGTAAATGGAGATAACTGCCACTATCTCAGCAGCTGTGGGGAGGAATAAACAGTGAGGTAATGCAGAATGGACGTAAAGAGCCAGGCTGTTCTGTGCTTCCCTTCCTGCAGGAGTTGTCTTCAGCAGCAACAGGATATTGAAAACCACTTCTGCCTCATAATAAAAATAGCAAAACACATTCAAACATGGCTGCTATGGGGCATGGTGTAAACGTAAGCATATTTGGCAGCAACACAATGTGCAGAAACCACATGCATCACCCCAGAAGTCCAAATGTTTAGTGCAACTATTTTCAAACCTTTCTACAGAAGGTGCCTTTCCTTTGGGAGTAAACAACAGAAGACTGAAAATATTTTCATTGTCTGAACACAAACAGAAAATCCTGGTCTACGTAAACCTGGGTGCAGCAGCTGACAGAGCAGGATCCAGTCGAGGCCTCATAACCTGGGTCAAGCAGTTAAGTTGCCCTGCTCATCTATAAAATGGGCAGAGCACTCTGTTAGGAGGTGGTGAAGATTTGAGATAATTGTCAAGATCTCACAAGAGGCACTCAGCAACTGGCATTAATAGTAGTACTAATTACCAAAGAATTCTAAATGAAAAACAAATTATTTCCAAAAATTTGTATACCAAATATGTGTGGACCTTATTTGGATCCTGATTCAAAGAAATTATTATTAATTTCATCAGGTATTACAATAGTAATGGGAGATCACTTGGGTTTTTTTGTTTGCTTGTATGTTTGTTGTTGGGTTTTGTTGTTGTTGGGTTTTGTTGTTGTTGTTCTTAGAGATTAAAATTCCATATCAAAGTATATACAGACATGATGCCATATCTAGGATCTGCTTTAAAAGACTTCACCAAAAAAGGGAGAGAGGGAAGCAGATGAAATAAAAGTGCTGATAATTGGTGGAGGGTATTTAAAAATTTTCACATCAAGAAGTTCTGTAAAACAACTTTGCCCATTGGCCATTGAGATGCTACAAAATTAGGTGTTTTACCAACTAAAGAAACAGCCTATTATTGGGAAATATTTAGCTTCATCTAGATTTCAGTGAAGACAATGGGAAGAATAATGAGAAAAATTAGAAAGTAAAAGGAAGGGCAGGATAGGAAATATCAGAAAGAGAAAGAAAGAGAACTGGAAAGAGGTTGGGTCAGTCACAAAATGAGTCACCTTCAAAATGCTCAGGTTAAAGGTGCTGGTGCCCTGGAGCCTGGGGCACTGAGGAGCCCTCTCCCTGGCTCGGATGTGGCCCTGAATGCCTCCAAAAGCAGCTGCTTAATAACTTTGAGTGATGAGGTACTGGCGAAAGTGAACATCACAGTGGCAGGTGACTTGGGGCAGAACGAGGCCAGTAAGCTTGTGACCCAGGGAAATCTGCAGAATTCACCTCCTACTGGCTTCCTGGGCAACCCAGAGCTCAGATGCACCTTAGCACAAGCCAGGTCCCCTCACCCAGCAGGGCCAGCAGCCCAGAGACCTCCAGAACTCGGCTCCTGTCTTGGCCAAATAAATTTCCCAATGGGAAAGCAGTCTGGGACAGTCTGTATACCCCGCACCAGGACACAGCAAGACTCTAGGACATAACCCTGAGCAGAGATAGGGGCTCGAGGACAGGAAAGAATGCTACTCATCACTCAGGGGAAAACACAGTGAAAAACAGAACTTAGTTTGAAGGTGCTTTTGAGCTGCCATTTTCATTAAAACACAATATACAGAGAGCGTGTTTTCCTAAATAGGGGACTGTGAGGTGTCTTTGAGATTTTCCTTCCTTGTAATGTCATCTGAGTTCCCCTGGCTCCAGTGAGCAGCAGCACAGGTGGCATCAGGCCTTTCTGCTGCTCCCTCGAGATCTCACCCCAGTCCTTGGCAGAAATCAGCACAGTCCTGACCTGACACCCATGACCATTTCTCTGACCTACTGTTCCCCCATGGAGGAACAAGGCTGTGTTCTAGAATGGTCTGGCAGGTGAGAGGAATCAGATGTGTAAGATGAAACAGCCACAAATACAGCCCATGATTAGAAGAGAGGCTGAGGGCAGGCATCCAGGACAGGGCTGCAAACATGTGAGCATTCAATGAGGCTCTGGAATGCAGCTTCCCACAGCATGTCTATCTGCTCAGTGGCTGAGCTCTGGAGAACTCGGGGGCTTCCTCCCACCCTAAGGAATGGCAGGGGCTGTTTTTTAAGCAGATAAGGAGCCCTCATTTTTGTCCCAAAAGTTTTTGCTCACAGTGGATATCAATAAATGTTTTCATGGCCACCTGTACTGCAAACTCTGAACTTCTCAATTCAAATGCAAATGGAGGCATCTCAAGCACGTGGCCTATAGAACTGGTCTTGACTTTGGACAGCTGGAGACATCCCCAAGGTGGGGTCTCTGTCCCCACCAGTGGCCATCACCTGAGTCAAGGACCAGGAATGGTTGCCTGTTTGGTACAACCGGACTTTATGACTGAGGTTGAGCTGCTCACTTTAAGTCTCCCTAAGAAGAGGAGAGGGAATAACCAGGTCATCATCATCATTACTACTGCAAAGATTCAGTGGCCTCAGGCAGAATGGAGGGGTCACAGCAGAACACCAGCTCCACAAGGGCAGCAGGCATTCTTGTCTGCTTGTGGTCTGAGCTGTATCCCCAGCACTTAGAATAGTGCCTGGCATGCAGTAGGTGCTCAATAAATATTTGTTGAATCAATGACTGAACAAATAAATCCATGTCAGCTGTTCCAATGAAGACCCAAGCCTCTGCCACCTGGAATCTTTAATCGGAAGCTGGCAGCTGGCAACCTGAACTAATTGCAGCCTGCTGCATATTTGGTTTGAGCTGCTCCATGTTAAAATTTTTTTTTTTAAATGTAACTCATGGCCAATATTTTAAAAACAGGAGCTCTTACATTAACATCTGAATTTCTGGCTTCTGATGAAGCATTTGATCTGGCAACCTTGAGTCTGCATCTCCCCACGGCAGCACTCAGTCCAAAAAACTAAGAAGCAGCTGCCCACTTTGGACAAGGCAAATGCCCACCCCAAGGTCTTCCCCATCCAGACCGCCACACCCATGTGTTGGTGGCCCACTCCTACCGCAGTTGTGCAGTGTGACACTGTGTTCACACCACCTCTCATGGCTGCTCAAACTGGCTGCTAGCTCGTCTGGGGAGTAGCGGGTATTTAACGGTCACCAGGGCCCCTTGGTCCCACTCTCTGAAGTCTGCTCCCCTGTGAACAAATGCATGTCTATTCTCAGGGAGCCTGGACTTTGCTGGGTACTCATTCGCCAAGTGGTTCATTAAGACGAACTGGTCCACAGCATCTGTGTGGTCAATGTGTCCCTGTCCACCACCGCTATCACCACCAATTCTCCAACGAAAGATCAACTTGCAAACCTTGCGTTCTTCATCATCTATCCCAACTGATGGAGCTATATCAGCCCTGCTGCACTCACTGAGAATTGGATTTGATATATGACAGCTGCCTGAACCGCTCCTTATTCATGCAGTAAATGAGACGTCATCTTCAGAGGCACCTGGAGGGACAAAAGGAAGTAGGGAGGGAGGGAAGGATCAGCTGATCAATTTACTGAGTGCTTCTTACCTGCCAAGAAGCTGCTAGACACTTCTTACATCTTATCTCAAACCTTACAAGTGAAAAGTAGGCACTGTTATCTCCAATTTCCAGAGAGGGAAGCTGAGTCTCAAAGAGGTTTCTTGCCCTGCCCAAAGTCATTCAGCTAACAAGCATCAAAACTGGAACTTAAACTTCTAACCATAATCCTGGGCTATTTCCATTATGACTATTTTTGAAAATGTGGGGCAAGAGCACACTGAGGTGAGGGTGGGACAATGGGTGGGCTGAAGACAACAGCTTGACTCGGTATGTGGTGGGAGGACCCAGAGCCTGCCCAAGTAGTGTGGGATACAAGCTGGAGCTAGTTAGCAGCATGTTGGACTAGAGATCAAAAGAGCTAACTAGCAGTGACTTGACCACTGATTACTTTACAACTGTAGGAGCCTCTTGCCCTTCAATGTTGCTACTTCCTTGTTGGTAAAATGGAAATCCATCCACCTACTTTTCTTTCATGCACTTGCAGTATGGCAAGATAGTTAAATGAAAAGCACGAATTCTGAAATATCCTTCCTAGGGTTTGACCTTGGCCAATCACTTTACTTCTGTGTGCCTCAGTTCCCTCATCTGTAAAAGGCTTATTTTAAATGCAATGACTGGCATATAGTAAGCAGGTTTAATAAATGTTAGCTTTCAGTCATCATTCATTCATTCACTCACTCATTCATTCAGCACATATTGACATTCCACCCACATGGCAGAACTGTTTTAAGGCTTCAAATAAGATAATAAATGTGAAAATGCTTTATAAACCACTCAAGGGGGGCTGGCATTGACTCTGGGCTCCTGACACTGCCCTTCTGTTCTTTGATCACTCTCCCTGATCATTCTTTTCCCCAAGCTCCTCTTCCCTCCATCCAGGCCCTTCCTGAATAATGTCACCCCACAAGGCCATCTTGGGACATGGTCCTTCTCCAGTGGGGACCACATCTGCTCCCAGAGAGCCCCTGACTTCTGGAGCCTTTTCTCATCATGGTCTCCATCCCTTAGTTCCCCTGCCCTCTCCTGTCTTGGATTTCCAGGTGCCTCTGGGTTGAGAGCTTTGGGTTTCCTGCTGGCATGGGAAACAGTCAAGGACCAGGTAAAAAGTAGCCACCAACTCTGGAAGCCAGGACATTCACGTTCTATCCTTGGCTTAGCTGCTAAAGCAATCTGAGTAAATCATTTACAGTTCTCTCTCTTTCTGTGTTCCTCATTTTTCTCACTAAGGAACTGGACTGGATGACTTTAGAGTTTTTTTCTGTCCAAATGCTATGAATCTCCCCTCCCAAACAATGGAGAAGCCAAAAGTTTCAGCACCCCTTCTACATTCCAGGTGCTGAATTATACACTTAACATACATTATTTCATTCACACTTACCATGACCCTATAAGGTTATCTTGTCTATTAAAAAACTGATTTAAAGGTCAAGTAATATTGATAAAAGGAAGCTAATAGTAAGCTGAGAAATAAATCAAATGTTGCTTCTCTGACTTAAATGATTTCCCAAAGTCCTTTAACTTGTGATTTTGTAAGTGACATCAACATGTCTTAAAATGAATCAGTTCTCTGTGCAATTGACAATGTTACCAATCAGAACGATCCCGCTTTAAAATACCAAAGGTTCACCTAAATCACTACACACCACATCAGCGGAAGAGTTGCCTTCCCATCTCAATGTGTAATAGCTTTGTTTAAAAGCGTAACAATAAAACTCCCTGTTCTCACCGAAATACAAAAATCCAAAGCAGAAGAGTTACTCTCACCACGCTCAATCTGTTGGCAGATCTGCTAGACTTATAAGGGAGACTTCTCTGGAACCTGCAGTTGTGATTGTAAGGTCTTAATTGGCTTTTGAGATTTCGCACAGCACAGCAAGTGTGGATAACAAGTTTGGGAAAAAGTGTAATCAAGTTAGTTTAGTTTATCCACTATCATCTGCCCCATCTTCCTCCTCGTTATCTCATTCTGCAATTACTTGCATGGAAAATGTTTCTGTAATGGAGACAGTGAAGGAGAAGGCAGCAAACCCCTTCTGAATCCCACAATAAGCAAGGGCTCATGTCTGTCCATACACCTGGGACCCCTGCAGGAGGCAGCCCGGGTGGGCTGACCTTAAGGCAGGCAAAGTAGATAAGAGGTAAAAGCCCAGGGAGCCTCTGCTCCAAGGCTAACAAGCTCGTCACACCATTCCCTTGGAAGCTCACTGTTACCAGTCCCCAAGAGAGGACTTGTGCCTGTCTGGTCAAGGAGTGGACACCACTGACCAATGCCACATACATTCCAAAGGAAGCCAATAAGCAATGGCAAAAACGTCTGTCGATGTTCCTTACTGGCTCTGACACCTGAAACCACATTCTCCTCCCTATATCAGTAGTAATTTAAAACAATAATATAACGTGTAACAGCTGGCATTTATGTGTCACACGCAGTTCTGAGCACTTTAAATGTATTCCATGTCTTTTCAACCTCACAACCACTATGAATGATGTACTAGTATTAAGCCCATTTTACAGCTGGTCAAACTGAGGCTTTCAGGGACCACACAGTATTAGTGCAGCCAAATTTCAGAGCCACACCTGAGTGACTCCAGAGCCCATGTTCATACTAGCTAATTGGTATTGCCTCATCTAGGGGACAGTAGACATGGAGGCGGAGGCAGGGCGAGTCCATGTCTCCCATCAAAAGCAGATCTTTCAAAGGAGCATTTGAGGAGGAAAAAAAAAAAAACTTAAATGAAATGGGAGGAAAGCCTCTCACAGATGGAGGTTGACGGGGCTGCCCGAATTTAAGACTATTGGCAACACTAGTAAGATAGAGGGTGGGCGTGAAAAATCCACAGAAGCAGGCCCTGGCCTCAACCCGGACACCAAGTGTGACATTACATGACTGTGAGGTTGGCATCTGTGTTTCTAAACCTCGGTTTCTCCATTTATAAGATGAGAGGGCTGCTTGGCTGGTTTTCAAGCAGCATCCTTTACAGAGTTTTAGGGTTTGGGAGCTTCTAACTTGAGACCAGAGCAGACCAAGAATATCGTGCAGCAGTTGGTGTCCCCACCGGCTGCTTACTAGGCTCCATCGTTGAGCTTTTAAAAATATCACTGTCCCTGCCTCACCCTAGGCCAACTAATACAAATCTCAGGGCAGCCAGGGTGGGGCAGGCCCACTGTGCAGTCACCTTACAAGGAGAGATGGGCAAGCAGCAACTCAGGAGGTGAACAGCTCACATCGCTGTATTCTTTTTGCTTTTCTTGTTCTTTTCTTTTATTTCAATTTTCTTTTTGATTTTTGTCTTTACCTCATTTATTTCCCTAATGAATGAATCAATAATGGTCCTTTTGTAAAAATATGGCAAGAAATTCACAGTATCCAGCATCAAAAACCATGTGCATGTTTTGAGTTCCACTTATGAACCCTTCTACTTAACAGGAATTCCCCTTCTGAAGGAGGTGCTATTTGGTGTGAGTTAAGCCAGCAGGCAGTGTTCTCTCTGTACCACTTGCCCTCACTTTAGGCTGGCCTGGGCTGGAAGTAGGTCTGTAGGCCTTGGAGGCCACTCCTAGTGGGCCACATCAAGACTAGGGTTTGGGTATGGAAAAGAGAGACAAAGGGGTCCCCTCCAGTCCTAATGCAGAGGCTCAGCTCCTGAGCAGGTGAAAAGAGTTTAGCAAATGTTTATTGAGCTTAAAGCCTGTGCCAGGCACTTGGACCCAGAGTGAATAAGGCACAGTCCCTGCCTTCAGGGAGCTCTAGGGGGAAGGCACAGGTTTAGAAACAGATGGTATAAGTTTCCTACTGCAGCTGTAACAAATGACTACAAACATAGTGGCTTTAAGTAACACAAGTTCTGGAAGTCAAAAGTCTGATGCAGATCTCCCTGGGCTAAAGGCAAAGTGCTAGCAAAGCTGCATTCCTTTCTGGAAGCTCTAGAATAGAATCTACTTCCTTGCCTTTTCCAGCATCTAGAGGCTGCCCTCATTCCTTGCTTTGTGGTCCCTTCATCTTCAAAGCTAGCAATGGCAGGTTGAGTCCTGTACACATTGCATCTCTCTGACCTCCTCTTCTGCCTCTTCTTTTCCACTTTTAAGGACTCATGTGATTACACTGGGCCCACCAGCTAATCCAGAATAATCTCTCCATCTCAGGGTCATCTGAATAGAACCTTAATTACATTTGTAACCTTAATTCCCTTGGCCATGTAAGGTTATACGTTCACAGGCTCCAGGAATGAGGATGTGGACATCCCTGGGGGAACATTATTCTTCCATTTTTATGGTTCGAATGTGTCCCCCAAAGTTCATGTGTTGGTCCCCAATGCAACAGTATTAAGAGGTGATCCCCAATGCAACAAACTTGATCCCTAATGCAGCATATTAAGACATGGGAACTTTAAGAGGTAATTAGGCCATAAGGGCTTTGCCCCGTTGAATGAATTAATGCCATTATTGCAGGAATGGGTTCCTTATAAAAGCACAAATTCACCCCCCTTTTGCCCTCTCTCACCTTCTCTTGCCCTCTCACCTTCTGCCATGGGATGGTGCAGCAGGAAGGCCCTCACCAGATGCTGGCACCTCGATCTTGGACTTCCTAATCTCCAGAAACATGCACCAATACATTTCTGTTTATTATGAATTATCCAATTTCAGGTATTCTGTTATAGCAGCATAAAACAGACTAAGACAGCCATACACTGACCATTTATGGTGATTGACTATTTGCAATGATATACTGTTAGGTAAAAGGGAAGAATATAGCAGATCCTGTGCTCTCCCTTTTGCTAATATTGTTATTGTTTATAGAACATGCACATATGCATAGAAAAAAAGAGACAAAAAGAAAATCCCCAAAATGTTAACAATGGTAACATCTGCTCACTTACTAGCACATCACATTTGAAATTTCCTGTAGCACTTATACAGATACTTGCTCATTGCTGGTCATCTCCACCAGCCTGGAAGCTCCATGACTGCAGAGCCCTCATTTGTCTCTCTCTCCCTCTGTCTTAGTCCATTTTGTGTTGCTATAGAGAAATACCTGAGACTGGGTAATTTATAAAGATAAAAGGTTTATTTTGCTCAGAATTCTAATGGCTGGAATGTTTAAGATTGGGCATCTGCATCTGCTGAGGGCCTCAGGCTGCTTAACTCCTGGCAGAAGGCCCGGGGAGCTCCACGTGCAGAGATCACATGGCCAGAAAAAAAGTAAGAGACAGTGGGGAGGGGTCAGGCTCTTTTTAACAACTAGCTGTCATGGGAATTAATAGAGTGAGAACTCACCCCATCCCCAAGGAGGGCACTGATCTACTCTTAAGGGATCCAATCCCTTGACCCAAACACCTTCCATTAGGCTCTGCCTCCAACATCGGTGATCAAATTTCAACATGAAGTTTGGAGGAGTCAAATATTCAAATCACAGAATCTTCTATTCCAGGGCCCCATCACTGCAGGGATTCAAGGCCCATGGTGGTGACCACAGTGGAATGCCCAAAGACTCAGTGTATGCCTGGGACATTCTAAGTGCTTTACACTCATTAACTTCATTAATTCACTCAGTCCTCACAAGACCCCTAAGAGAATGTATTAATCAGGGTTCTCTAGAGGAACAGAACTAATAGGATAGACGTATATATGAATGGGGAGTTTATTCAGGAGAACTGACTCATACCATCACAAGGTAAAGGCCCATGATAGGCTGTCTGCAAGCTGAGGAGCAAGGAAGCCAGTGGTGGATCAGCAGGAGTCTCAAAACCTCAAAAGTAAGGAAGCCGAGAGGCAGCCTTCAGTCTGTGGCCAAATGTCTGAGAGCCCCTGGCAAACCACTGGTGTAAGTCCAAGAGGCCAAAATCTGAAGAACTTGCAGTCTGATGTTCGAGGGCAGGCAGCATTCAGCATGGGAGAAAGATGAAGGCTGAAAGACTCATCAAGTCAAGTCCTTCCACTTTCTTCTGTCTGCTTTATTCTAGCCACACTAGCAGCTGATTAGATGATGCCCACCCAGATTGAGGGTGGGTCTGCCCTTCCCAGTCCACTGACTCAAATGCTAATCTTCTTTGGCAACACCCTCACAGACACACCCAGGAATAATACAGAGTCTCACTCTGTCACCCAGGCTGGAGTGCAGTGGTGCGATCTCGGCTCACAGCAAGCTCCGCCTTCCAGATTCACACCATTCTCCTGCCTCAGCCTCCCAAGTAGCTGGGACTACAGGCACCCGCCACCATGCCTGGCTAAGTTTTTTTTTTTTTGTATTTTCAGTAGAGACAGGGTTTCACCCTGTTCGCCAGGATGGTCTCGATCTCCTGACCTCGTGATCTGCCCGCCTCAGCCTCCCAAAATGCTGGGATTACAGGTGTGAGCCACTGCGCCTGGCGACAGGATTTTTCTTTTCAATTGCATTGTCAGGCTGCAAATTTTCCAAACTTTCATGCTCTGCTTCCCTTATAGAACTGAATGCCTTTAACAGCACCCAAGTCACCTCTTGAATGTTTTGCTGCTTAGGAATTTCTTCCACCATGTACTCTAAAATCATCTCCTTCAAGTTCTAAGTTCCACAAATCTCTAGGGCAGGGGCAAAATGCCTCCAGTCTCTTTGCTAAAATATAACAAGAGTCATCTTTGCTCCAGTTCCCCACAAGTTTCTCATCTCCATCTGAGACCACCTCAGCCTGAATTTTATTGTCAATATCATTATCAGCATTTTGGTCAAAACGATACAACAAGACTCTAGGGAGTTCCAAACTTTCCCACATTTTCCTGTCTTCTTCTGAGCCCTCCAAACTGTTCCAACCTCTGCCTGTTACCCAGTTCCAAAGTCGCTTCCACATTTTTGGGTGTCTTTTCAGCAGCACCTCACTCTGCTGGTACCAATTTACTGTATTAGTCCGTTTTCACACTGCTGACAAAGACAAACCCAAGAAAAATTTACAAAAGAAAGAAGTTGTATGGGCTTACAGTTCCACGTGGCTGGGAAGGCCTCACAATCATGGTGGAAGGCAAGGAGAAGCAAGTCATGTCTTACATGGATGGTAGCAGGCAAAGAGAGAGCTTGTGTGGGAAACCCCCCCTTATAGAACCATCAGATCTTGTGAGACTTATTCACTATCATGAGAAGGGCAGAAGAAAGACCTGCCCCCATGATTCAATTACCTCCCACTGGGTCTCTCCCACAACACATGGGAATTCAAGATGAGATTTGGGTGGGGACACAGTCAAACCGTATCAGTTGCTAAATGGCAGCACAGTAGAATCTCAGCATCAGATGCCCTCAGAGTGGGATCAAGCTTCAGTTATCAGCTCCTTACTGGCCATAAAACTTTGATCATGGTCTTTGTTTCCTTGTCTGCTCCACTGAGGTCACAGAGCACCAGACACCTTTCAGGGAGGCTGTAAGGACCCAGTTGTATAAAGCACCTGATGCCCAGGGAACTTCCAGGAAGAGTTAGCTGTTGATATTGTGGTTGCCATTATCATTATCTTTCAACTCTTCCACTTCCAATTTAAAAATCCTCTCCACAATTCAACATTTGCAGTGAATGGACAACTCCTACCAAGCAAGCAGTACATAGATGGTTGGAGCTACAATGGTTTTAAACCCTTTCCATTCTAGGAACTGAGTTATCCCTTCTCCCTGATGTCCCCTGGGCTGCCCTGAAGCCCCTCAAAATAGTCCACACCCTCCATCCATGACAGCCTGCACATGGTACAGTCCTCACCACATCCTTTTGTATTCTGGTTAGGTATCTGCAGTTCCACCATGTGCTTTCCATAGCACAAGGGCTAGAAAGCTGCCACTCCTGGATGGCCTACAGGGGTACAAGATCCAACAGTGTGGGACCCAGACTCCACCCCATGCTCCAGGAATGTATGCCACCAACCAAAGTGTCCACTGGGATCTGTTTGTGCCAGTCACTGTGTCATAGCTCAGGGTGGAGCGTCTCACAGGCAGACACAGGCCCTGCCCACCAGGAGTCCTTAATCCAAAGGGAAGATGTACAATCAGACAGACACTGGTCACATGGTTTGGTGAGCACCCTAATGGGGAAGAAGGGGTACTGTTAGAGTGCTTGGAAGAAGAGCCTAACTTGCTGTGCCTTGAGACTTAGGGAAAGCTCCTCAGATAAAGTAGAGCCCAACTTGGGCCTGAAAATCAAATGGGTTGGGTGAGGGAGCAGAGGACAGTGGGGAAAGTGTTGTTGTAGCAAGAAAGGAAAGACAAGGGGGCAGGAGCAGTGTTGGGGGCAGATTAGCACCCTTTAGGTCTGGATGCCTTACTGCTGTTAATAGTATAGAAGGAAGAATTACTTTTAAAAATAAACATTTAGGAAACCCAGGACCTTACTAATTCCACAAACTGCCTTCAAGCCAGTCCTCTCCCGTCATTGGTGGCTGCTGCCAGCTCTGCTGAAGTGAGCTGCCGACTGCATGTGTAATCCTGTTAGGATTTACCTTGTTAGTTTCAGATGCATCCTCTCTGTCAAGATTTTTATGAATCCTGATTCTATTATTCAATATATTAGCTTTCCATCTCGGTCTTCTGTCATTCGCAAATTTGATAAGGCTGGCTTCTATGTCTTTATCCAAGTTGCTGATCAAAACCTTGGACAAAGGAGGTCAGATTCAGGGTCCTGAGGCATGGCCCTGGACAGCCTCCCCAGCCTGCACCAGATGCACATCCACAGCCAATAATCCTTGGATGCACTCCTTATTCAACCTGTAACTACTGGATTAGTCAGAAGATGTTCTGCTATTGTACTCAAGGGGGCAACACACTCAGTAACAAGAATGGTAAAACCTCATGCACCAGGTACTCAACCGTCAAAACTGTCCCTCTCTAAGAACCAGCCAGTAATCAAAAAGGTCTAGGCAGGTAGAAACCTCCAGCACCTGAACCCTGCAGCTGTCCAGACACTCAGGCTAAACCTAAATATTAAATAAGAGTGATCTTACTTTACATACAATTTTAACAAGGTGACTATCTCCTTTCAAGGCCTTATCGGATTATCAGCTGCAAATCAGAAACAGAAACTAACTTGCTTTAGAGAGCATACCATCCATAGCCTTTCAATAATAGAGAAAACATTTTAAACTATAAGAAACAAACCAAAATAATTACAACCTCCAGTTATTTCATGGAAAAGGACCTCATACCTCATCAGAACAAGAAGGAATTACATGACTACCTGAGGGCCATCTGTCACCATTTCATCTCCAGCCATCGGTTAAATTAAATTTGGCAGCATTTGTTTTAGAATGAAGGCAACGATTTTTATTAAAAAATGCATGATAATATGAGTATCATTAATGGTGTGGGTAAACATTCATTCATCCAGCAAACACTTCCTGCACACCATGGTGAGCCAGATCCTGGGGAATGGTGGGAAGGCAGTGCAGGACAGCAATGATCCCGACAGGCAAGGTCTCTGCACCCACAGAACATACAGCCTGCTGAGCAGAGGCAGATGATAAACAGGGACACCAATAAATAACGGACAGCATCATTTCAGATCGCAATAAATGCCATAAGAAAAACAAAACAGAGGAATGTGATAATGTGACAGAGAAGGGTGTGGAACATGGGACAGATGCTCAGTGATAGTTTTTCTAGCAAGGAACATTTGAGCAGGTCCCATGAGGACACCGGCCAGATCAGGCACTGCTGGGAGGAATGTAAATCAGAAAATTATTTCTGGAGGACGATTTGGCAAAACTGGTGGCAGTAGGGGGGATGGGAAGGTTTTTTTTTGGTTTGTTTTTGTTTTGTTTTGTTTTGAGATGGAGTCTCGCTCTGTGGCCCAGGCTGGAGTGCACTGGCACAGTCTCGGCTCACTGCAAGCTCTACCTCCCGGGTTCACGCCATTCTCCTGCCTCAGCCTCCCAAGTAGCTGGGACTACAGGCGCCCACCACCATGCCCGGCTAATTTTTTGTATTTTTAGTAGAGATGGGGTTTCACCATGTTAGCCAGGATGGTCTCGATCTCCTGACCTCATGATCTGCCCACCTTGGCCTCCCAAAGTGCTGGGATTACAGGCGTGAGCCACTGCGCCCAGCCAGTTTTTTGACTCAGAATTTCCTTATCCAGGAATTAAGCCTAAGAACATACAGAGGTATGCACAGCAATGAATGTTCCAGGTTGTTCATCATGGTGTTAACTACATCAACTAAAAACTGGGTGTCCAACACCAGCAGACTGGCTGTATTAAATTATTTGCTTTCATTTAATGGAGTGTGTTGCAGCTTTTTAAAAAACAAGTCAAGAAAGAATATTTGGCATAGGAAAATGCTGAAGGCATAAAACCAAGGGAAAAAGGCAGGCTACAAAATGTTATTCCAGATGAGACATACCTCTTGTGTAAAGAAAGTATGCATTATCATGGGAGCAGGCTTAAGACTAAAAGACCACCCACAAGAATGTTAACTGTGGTTTTCTCTGGGTAGTAGGATCATAAATAATCTTATTTTCTATCCATTTTCTCTGTGTATCATATAAGTTTCCTACATCAAGCCTATGCTTGTTTCATAATTTTACCAAATAGTTGACTTAAAAGAAAAAGAAAAAATTCCAGCAAAGATAAGTTGTTTAAAAGCTGTGGTTTTGGAAGAGGTGAGCTTCAGCTATGAGGGTAAAGCAGGCACCCTGAACACCTCCCTTCCTGGAAGATGTGCCAAGTATCTGGGCCTGGAAGCTGCACCTGGGGAAACAGGCCAGACTCCACCAAGGACCCCTCACAAGAAGGTGGGACAGTCAGCCCTAGGCATGGGTCACTATGAGAAATGAAAACGTGGAAAACCTTGGTATGTGTCCTGACATTTAGCCAAATGAGCACAAACCCACACAAGCCCACTGTCACCTTTGCCATCTCCCTCCTTGGTCCAACCCTGCACAGCCTCTAAGTGGCAAAGGGCAATGCGGGAGGGCCAGGGGCCACCCATTCCAGGGATCTGGTGGGGTGGCAGACCCAAAGGACATCTCAGTGAAACTCCTGACCCCTTCCTTGTTGTGTGTCTTCCTGGAGAAGAAACTTGTCCTTGAGTGACTCATGCCCTCCTCAACTTGTCCTCTAAGATTCTCTGCATGTCGGCCAGACAAGCCATGGCCCCTGTCTGCTGTACTCAGGCCCAGGAGATTCCCATGGGGACAGCCCGTTCCTCCAGTAGGCAGAAGTGTGATCTGAAATCCCCTCACTGCAGTCAATTCATTCACTTGGTATTTCCTGAGTATCTACTATGTGCCAGGCATATATCAGGGGTGACAGAGACAAGGTGAACACAATAGCCAAGGCCCCTCCTCCCAAGGGGCTCACTGTAGAGAGGGGCAAATGCTTTCCTAGCTCAAGGCCACGCCAGGAAATGACACCCAGACTTCTTTCTCTCTGACACTGATTCTTATATAGAACCTGACTCTGTTCAATATGGCATCAGACCCAGCTCAGTCCAGACCAAGAGCTGCTTTCTGATTTCCCATCAGAGGCAAGAGTTTGTGATTTCCAGCTCAGCGAGCAGAAAAATGGGAGGTGATTTTCAAAGCATCTTGCTCAGAAACAAACAAACAAAAAAACTGACGATGGGAACACTTCTTTCTGGAGCACAACTTTCACAAAGTTCTTTTCTTCTGTTTTTTTTTTTTTTTAACTTGAAATAATTACAATTATTCGACATACCTTTAGATTCTCTGAGAAGGAAAAAGAAAAGCCTCAGGCAGTAATTCCAAATGCTGACATAGCAGTAGAGAAGGTTTTTTTTCTTTTCTTTTTGAACCGTTCTGGATTAATTCAAAGCAGGCAGCTCACATTCTTGAGAGGAAAATGAAGACCATGATTCACTCTTTCGGCATAAAGTACACAGATAATTAATCAAGCTTCGTCCGAGCCTCTTGATGTTTTTTACATTGGTTATTCTAAGGCAGACACTGTTTTCCAACAAGTCTGCTGACATCCAGGGAGAGACTGGATTTAAGAAAGAAGCCAAGATTATGGCGAACTAAGATAATTCTTATAAACAAGTGGCTCTCACAGGCAAGACAAGGTCAGGGTGACAAGAAGACCATTGGGAGAGGGAACAGAAAAACACAGTGCTCTAAAGACAGGGGCAAGAAGAAGGGTAAGGAAAGCTTTAGCCAAGCACCTATGAAGGCAATGTAAGGGCTTACATTTGTGGTGTTCTCCCTGCGTGCCAGGTACTACTCTGCTAGCATTTGTGCCCTGAGAACCCCATCCAGTAGGCACTATTTCTACTATCCTCTTCAGATTAGTAAACTGAGGGAGGAGAGATTAGAGTAATACAAGTAGAGGTAGAGGCAGCATTTAGTCCCACACATTCTGGCTCCTGATGCTCGGATCATCACCACTAGACTGGATTGCATCTGAGTGTGGGTTTGTTATGACCCGCAGTGGGCGGGCCAGTATGTGGGAAGCTGGGGACAAAGTATCACCCCACCCAACTGCAGCAACAGAGCAATGGGAACAAGGAAGTTGAAAGTCAGCCTGGACTCTAATTCCATCTGTGCCACCTGTTGGCAAATGACTATGGGCAAATGACTTCCTTCCCCGAGCATCAGTTTCGCCATTTATAAAGTGAGAAAAATGACAGCATCTACATCATGGTGGTGTTGTAAGGTTTAGATGAGATAATTGCACATACAGCATAAAAACGTTACCTGGCACAGAGTAAGCACTCAACAACAACAACAAAAAAAAGAGAAGAAGCAGTTGTTATAACTTATGGAAAAGAGTCCAAAGAGCTGGCCCTGGGGCTGGAGAGCTGGAGGCAAGGCCTGCACAGGGGGCACAGCTGGCCCCAGGCAAAACGTGTCCCTGATGTCCTCCACTCCCTTTTTGCTCTTAGCTCTGAGAGCCACCATTCTTCCCACCCAAGTCCCAGCTCCACTGCAGCCCAGATCTCCAAGGCCCCTGCTGTCCATGTGGACAGTGGTGATGCAGGCACATGCCATTATTCGTCTCCATGTTCCCTGGGCCTGGCACAGTGCCTGGCACAGTAGGACCCAATCAATGCATGTCCGAGCCTGCAGGAGTGGAGGAATGGAAGTGATTTCAGACATTATCTTAAGTGAGATTAGTGGACACTGGTGCCCCCCGCCCACATCATGCCAGGATAACAACCTGGAACAAAGAAGGTGAGTGTTACCATCTGCAGATATTTTTCCCAAAGTGCAGCTATTCCCATTGTGACATGTGGTGCCCTCTGGGTTTTCAAGCTGGTCTTCATAGAAAAAACACCTCCAGGAACACCCACCCCTGAACTTCAGGTTCCATCCCTTTTCCCGATACTTAGAATAAAATCTACAGGAAACCTCAGGCCAGGGAGACCATTGCAGGAGAATACACCGCCCAAAGGCCGGGCTCACTCATCATCTCGTGTTGTTCTCTGGACCTGTGAACATGTCTGTCTCATGCATCCCACAGAAGTATGATAAATACACAGAAGGGAACTGCCAGGACTTCCTTTAGAGCAAGAGTTTGTTGTAATGAAGAGCAGCTCTCCCAAGTAGCTGCCCCACAAAGCCTGTCTAGAAACATAGCTGCATTCATATAACCCCCAATGAATGGGAAAAGGACAAGGCCAAATGTGCAGAACCCACCCATTATTACGAAGGGAGGAAGTTCCATGCTAACGCAGGCCTGTGGGCCAAAAGTCAAGACATTGAGGTGCTGGGCCCAGCTCTGCCACTGAGCAACAAGGAGGCTCTGAGTAAGGCCCTTGGTTAAGAGGGAAAAAAAGAAAAATCTTCTTAAAAAAAAAAAAAAGAAGGGAATGGATATAATAATCCCTAAGGATTCTCCCAGGGAGCTGCTGGGTATAACATCATTCATGCTGGGGGCCATCTGGTGAATGTCAAAGCCCCACTTGCTCGGGAATTGTCAATCCCCTTTGTATCCATGATTTCACTGAAGTCATTAGGGTCATTTAATTATAAGAAAGCCTCACTACCAGCCCCTTTCTTCCCCCTCCCCATCCAAATCTGGTGTAAATTGTTTCAACACATAAAATACTCAATTTAAAATTTTCACTCAAAACACTGTCATCTTATTTATTAACAATGTGACGCTGGGTGAAATCTTTAACCTCTCTAAGCTTTGAATTTCTCATCCAAAAAAATGAAAGCATTATAAAATTCCTACCTTATAGAGTTGTTTGAATAGTCAAGGAGTAAATTGCCTTAACTATGCCTCTGCCTGGCATATAGAAAATACTCAATAAATATTAGTTATTACTATCATTGTTCTCATCATTATCATATCATCATCTCTAAAGCCAAACAACCCCAGTTTGCTTTTAATGAACAATATGATTTTTTTTGTGTCAGGAGAAACAAAAGCAAAGCATCAATGTTTCACATGGGTTTTCATAAATAAAGCATTAATATTTAAAAGTCTAATTTAATATGTTCTCATTATATGACTGAAGATTTTTTATTGGTCCACAAGAATGAATGAAAACATAATATATCCAGGAACCAAGTATTTCTATAATCAAAAAATAAATAAAAATAAATGTGGGACTTCCATATAACTGTCATCAGTATTATGTACATTAATTCAGGGCTGATATTTCAAACAACACATCACAGAAAAGTAAATTCTGAGCTGAATTTTGTAAAACAGGTAGATTTTAGATAGACAAAGTGAGGTCATTTGAAGGATAACTCAGAGAACCATAAAAATAGTCATGGTAAAAGTAAAAATGGATAAATGATAAATTTTTTTAAAATATAAATTTGTATCTAAAAAATGTAAACCTGTGTCAAAGAAAAACTTTTAGATCTCTTTAAAGAGACATCTAGGTCAAGATGGCTGATTGAACTCATATATTTTGTCTCTCTACCCTCCTGAAACACTACTGAAAAGAATAAAAACATAAACATAAATCCATATACAGGTTGAAGAGCTTCAAAGAGTACCAATCAGCAAAGCAGAAGAGAAAAAAATAATTATGCAAAAGATAAACCAGATAGAAATAAAAAAATACATAATACAACAAAGAAGAAACCTCCATGTAAAGGAGGTTAGCCTCTATATCAGTTCGTTCTCACATTGCTATAAAAAACTACCTAAGACTGGGTAATTTATAAAGAAAAGAGGTTTAACTAGCTCATGGTTCCACTGTACAGGGAGCATGGCTGGGGAGGCTCCTGGAAACTTACAGTCATAGCAGAAGGGCAAAGGGGAAGCGAGCACATCGTCACCTGGCAGCAGGGGAGAGAGAGAGTGAAGGGGGAAGTGCCACTCACTTTCAAACAACCAGATCTCATGAGAACTGTATCACAAGAATAACGAGGGGGAAGTCTCACCCCATGATTCAGTTACCTCCAACCATGCCCCTCCTTCAGTATGTGGGGATTACAATTCAACATGAGATTTGGGTGGGGATGCAGAGCCAAACCATATCAGCCTCAGAAGGGGAACCCAAGTTCTGTGTATAAATTTCCTTCAAATTATTTGGCTAACTCAGAAATTGCAATGTGCAGAAAAAGACTACAAGAACCCCAGTGGAAAGTAACAGTCACAGTCTAAAGAGCCAAGCAGAGATTTCAGCACCCAGCCAGTGCTAGGAGATACAGTCTGGGGTTGAAATTTATCCAACTTAGGCTTTCTACTGAAACCTCAGAAGGGCAAAACCATAGGAGTAAAAACCATGTCCCAGATTAAGGAATACAATCTTGGAAAAAAAAAACAAGATAGATTTGCCCAACAATAGCCTAGAATTAAAGTTCTGAAGACTAAAATGACCCAAAAGTAAATTAACTGCATGCCAAAACAAAATTCAATACTCTTAGGGAAAAATAACAATCCAGAATCTCTACAATGTATGTTTCACAGTGTCCAATATATAATAGTTACTAGACATGCAAAGGAAGAGAGATAATGTGACCCACAATCAACAGAGAAAGTCAAAGGTATAGATCATCTTGATGTGGGAATTGGTGGAAAGGGATTTTCCATTATGAATATGTTAAAAGATGATAGGGAAAGATGAACACAATGGATAATAGACGGAAAACTTCAACAGAGAAACTAAATCTCTAAAAACCAAATGAAAATTCCAGATCTGAACTCATGAATATCTGAAATAAAACATTTATTGCATGAACATACCAGCAGAATAGACACAATAGAATCAGTAGCATAAAGAATTAGTGAATTTGAAGACAAGTCAATAGAAATTATCTTAAACTGAGCCACAGAGAGGGAAAATACTTTAAAAATAGAATAGAGCATCCAAGATCTGTAGGACATTATCAAACTGTCTAATATATATGTATATGTACCTGAAGAACCAAAAATACAGGAGCAACAGAATTGGGTAGAAGAAATATTGGATAAAATAAAGTCTTAGGACTATTTAATTGATGAAAGACAACAAACCATATCTCCAATAATCTCAATGAAAAGAAATGGGAAAAATACTAATGAGACCAACCTAGACACATCACAATCAAATTGCTGAAAGTAAAACATAAACAGAAAGTTTTAAAAACAATCAAGAGCAAAAACACATTACATTCATAAAAGCAACAATAACAGTAGAAGCTGACTTATCATCAGAAACAATGGAATCCACAAGATAATGCAAAGACATATTTAAAGTGTTGAATGACGACTGTCAACCGAAAATTCTACATCCAACCAAAAAAATCTTTCAAAAATAAAGGCAAAATAAAGATATTAATAATTTCAAGAAAACAAAAGCCAGGAGAATTTATTTCCAGCAATCTGCATTATAAGAAATGCTAAAGGAAGTTATTCAGGCTAAAAGGATATAATCCCAAAGGGAAAAACCAAATCTAACCGAACTGATAAAGAACATTGAGAATGATAAATATGTTGGTAAATTTTTTAAAATCTTAATTTCTGTGAAAGTATATTGATTGCTTAAAGTAAAAATAATTTAAATGTTTTATGAGATTTATATATAGAAGTAAAATCTATAACAATATACCAAAGGCATGAGAGAAGAAATGAAAGTATGCTGTCATATGATTTTTACATTGTACATGAAATGGTATAATAAATGACACAGGGAAGATGATGGTAATAAGTAAAAAGTGCATATTATAATTGTGAAATAAACTACTAAAATTTTTAAAGAGATATAGCTAACAATTCAATATAGGAGGTAAAATGGAATACAAACAAGTATCTAACTAATCTAAAAGAAGACAGAAAAAGAGAGACAAAGAACACATGCAACAAATAGTAAAAGGTGATAGATTTAAATTCAACCATATTAATAATTGTATTAACTGTAAATGGCTTAACCACTCCAATTAAATGGCAGAGATTGGCTAGACAGATAAAGTTAAAAGATATAACTAAATGCTATTTACGAGAGCCATATGTTAAAAATAAAGATACAGATAAGTTGAAAGTAAAAGGATGGAAAAAGATAACCTGTGCAGACTTCAATCTCAATAAATATAATGTAGTAACATATTAATGTTAGATAAAGTAGACCTTAAGATAATAATATTAATACAAAGACAAATAGAAATTTTATAATAATAAAAGCTCAAGCATCAGAAGGAGATACAATTTAAGAATACTAATTAGAAATATAGAGATAGAAATTATGACATCCAAATTACTAAAGTAAAAAAGAAGGGTAGCAAAGAACACTTGAGCTAGTCAGCTAAAGAAAGAAACAAAGGGGATAAAACATAAAAATAAAGCACCACAAAAAGAAAACACATAATAAGTTGGTTTTAATAACACAAAATATTAGTTACTTCCAAAAAACAATGTGAAGGCTTTAATTATTCTTGTTTGACAGAGATAGCATACCTTCAAATTAAAAAGACAAAATTAAAAGAATAAGACTACAGAAAATTTTAATAGCATGGCTAACTTCTTTTAATATATTTAGAACTTTGCACTCACCAAACAGAAACTATTCATTATGTTCAAGCTATGTAAATTTACAGCCAAAAAAATTACTATGTATGTGGCCACACAGAAAATCATAACCAGTTATAAAACACAGAAATCATACAAGCCACAATCTCTGGTCTCAATACAATAAAACTATTTTAGCACTATCATTATCTGGCTTAAAGGTTAGGAAATTAAAGCACAGAGACATGAAGCAACCTACCCAAATTATAACCAGTAAGTAGCAGATTTGTGTTTAGGTATCCTGGCACTAGAGCCTGAAGCCTTAACCACTGTACTCTACTCCTTCCCAGTGGGTGGAGTGGGGTGAGTACGGGGGGGCAAATTTTCCCTACAGATATCTAAAAATACTATGAAATTACAATAATTAAAATATTAATTGAGACAATACCAGGCAAATAGATATTCAGAATAGAATTTAGTTGCAATCCCATAAGATGCAAGAAAATAATGGACTATTCCATAACCGACAAACCATTTGAGGGGGACAAGTAACAGATAAAGAACCAAAACATTAGCAAATTAAAATTAAAGAACAAAAGTGTAAAATACTCGATAATACAGAAGAATATTTATGTTTTGGGTGGGAAACGACTTTCTAAATAGGACTGAAACTGAAACCACAAGGAAAGACTCACAGATTTAACTACATAAAATTAAAACTTGTATACAATAATAGAAATTACAAAGAAACTTAAAAATCAACCATAGACATGGAAGAATATTTGCAATACATGAAAGAGAAGATTAGTATTTATAAGGCATAAAGCACACCTATACATCAGTAAGAATAATTCAGAGATCCAATAGAAACACAGATAAAGGAAAAGACAGCTATTTCACTGAAGAAATACAAATTGCCAATACGCTTGTGAAACGATGCTCAACACTAAACATAGAGAAATGCAAAGTGAAGCAAATGTTACATTCCAGGCCATGGCAGAAATACAAAACATCCAACATCGGCAAGGATGCATAATGATGGACACCTTCACACAACTGTGGTGAAATGTAAATATGTGTAGCTCTTTGGGTGGACAATTTGGCAGTATTCATCTGAATTTAAAATGTACGTGGTCTTGACCCAGAAAATTCATTTGTAAGAGTTTATCATGCAGCAATACTTGAACAGGTGCACTACAATGTACACAACAACTGCAATATTGTTTTTCATAGCAAAAAATGAAAATACCCTAAGATTCCATGAATAGGTTAATACAATGGAACACCACACACCCAGTAAAAAACAATGAAGCATGTGTTTATATATATAATATCTTAAAGAGATAATGAGTTTAAAAATTAAGCTATAAATAAAATGTGTTTCCAGTAGTTTTGTTAATTATATACAAATGTGTATAAAAAGTGAAGAGAATGGAATAGGCAGAGAAAGTTGAAGTGGTTCCAGGAGCCTTATACTTTTTGTATTGCTTTAATTTTCACAAGTATTTTATAATCCTGAAATAAATGTAAGTGAGGAGAAATACATTCATTTCCATCACATTCATTGTGGTGTAATTCTTCCTAGTATTGGCCCAAATCAGACATACTTCAAATAGTTGCGGCCGGGCACGGTGTGTCATGCCTGTAATCCCAGCACTTTAGGAGCCCCAGGTGGGCGGATCACGAGGTCAGGAGATCAAGACCATCCTGGCTAACACGGTGAAACCCTGTCTCTACTAAAAATACAAAAAATTAGCCGGGCATGGTGGCGGGCGCCTGTAGTCCCAGCTACCTGGGAGGCTGAGGCAGGAGAATGGTGTGAACCTGGGAGGTGGAGCTTGCAGTGAGCTGAGATGGTGCCACTGCACTCCAGCCTGGGTGACAGAGCAAGACTCTGTCTCAAAAAAAAAAAAAAAAAAGTTGCAGTTCCGAGGTATATTTTTGTATAGTGCTTTTCCTTAACTATTACATCATAAAATTTCACCACGTTTCTTCATGATTTTCAAAATGATTCTTTCAATAACTAGATAATATTCTGTGTGTTCACAATCTACCAAATCATCTTCAAATGTTGACCATTTGAGTTTTAATAATTTTTATTTGACAAATATATTTACTTTGTTTTGTATGGAACACAGCAAAAAAATCTTTGTATGTGAGGATTTTGGTGTCTCTTCCATTAGTGCCTCCATGTATTTTTTACCAAGAATTCTAAGTCAAAGGGCAGGAATAATTTTATGGCTGTTTATGTACTGCAATATTGCTCTTCAAAACAGTTGTACCCATTTACTATTCCACCTGAGCAGCCGATCACATTTGAAAACACAAACTTATACATTCTGGATAGTAATCTTTACTCTCTGATTTTTCTTAAGTATTTTAGTTGATAAAAAATGTAGAAAGGTTGATATTTTGACACATTGTCACTTTAAATATTTCTAAAGCAAACACAAAAAAATCATTCAGTGCCCTATCCTGGAATATTTCATTGGCCTCTCCTTTGTTCTGTAACAGAAAACATCTATATTGATTTTTTTGATTGTGCATGAAAATAATAAATGCTTACTATAAAATAATTTAGACATAAACATTTAAAAAGCAAATATTACATAATCCCATCAGCACAAAATAACCACCGTTAAAACTGTATTATGTATCTTTATAGAGATATAGGCACAATTGATTTTATTACATTACCACATTAAAATAGCATCACGCACACTTTTCTAATCTGCTTTTATCACTTAACAATTGTTATAAATGTCTTCTCAAGTAAACAAATAACTACCTACTATAGAACTAACTTCAATAGCTGCACATTCTTTCATTGTAGCACATAAAAAGCTTCTACTAATGTATACTCATTGTTATTTTGTCGTTTTCAGATCCATATCTTGCATTGCTATGGAATCACATATTTACATTCTATAATAAAGACACGTACACACTATGTTCATTGCAGCACTATTCACAATAGCAAAGACATGGAATCAACCTAAATGCCCGTCAGTGGTAGACCGGATAAAGAAAATGTGGTACATACACACCATGAACTACTATGCGGCCACAACAAAGAATGAGATCATGTCCTTTGCAGGAACATGGATGGGGCTGGAGGTCATTATCCTTAGCAAGATAATGCAGGAACAGAAAACCAAGTACCACATGTTCTCACTTATAAGTGGAAAGATAAGAACACATGAACACATAGAGGAGAACAACAGACACTGAGGCCTACTAGAAGCGGGTGAGTGGGTGGGAGGAGGAAAAGGATCAGGAAAAGTGACTAACAGGTACTAGTCTTGATACCTGGGTGACAAAATAATCAGTACAACAAACTCCCATAATATGAGTTTACCTCTGTAACAAACCTGCATATGTACCCCTGAACTTAAAATAAAAGTTAACATAAAAATATCACGGATTTAAAGTGTGTCAGTTTATGAACTTTTGTTAGTTTTCTGCTCGTATCTGTTGCCTATTTTTCTGTTGATGAGCTCTTCTCTTTTCTTTTTAATTGGTAAGAGCTCTCTGAATGAGGGAGCATTAACCCTTAACTCTGTAAATGAGGACAACGCTACCTCCTGAGAGGTGTCATAATTAAAGCCTATGACTGTGACAAGTGCCTAGTACAAAGGTGGCACATGGTAGGCATTGAAGTGTTCTTCCTTAGTAGCTAGTAGGTGTCTCCTTCTCCACCTCCCTGCCTTCCTATAACCAAGGTGATGATAGATGTCAATTAAAATATACCTACACAGGCCGGGCGCGGTGGCTCACGCCTGTAATCCCAGCACTTTGGGAGGCTGAGGCGGGCAGATCACGAGGTAAGAGGATTGAGACCATGCTGGCTAACATGGTGAAACCCCATCTCTACTTAAAAAAAAATAAAATTACAAAAAAATTAGCCAGGCATGGTGGCGGGTGCCTGTAGTCCCAGGTACTCGGGAGGCTGAGGCAGGAGAATGGCGTGAACCTGGGAGGCGGAGCTTGCAGTGAGCCGAGATTGTGCCACTGCAGTCCAGCCTGGGCGACAGAGCAAGACTCCGTCTCAAAAAAAAAACAAACCTACACATACTTATATACTGGCAATTTCTTTTTCTTGGATTATGATTCAGATGTCTCCTAGGAAATTTCTAAATCCTAGTTGAAGGCTCAGCTCTTTGCTGCACTTTTGAGAACTACACTATTTCATTGTCATTATTATTACACTGTGATGTCAGGCATCTTTTCATTGACCTGTATCTCCACCTCAGTTCTAGGAAGGAGGGAGGTGGAGGAAGGAAAAGAGACTGGCTTTAGCACCTAACACATGCCATCTTTGTGCAAGGTACCTGGCACAGCTTACATCACCTCATCTTTACAAGCTCCCTAGGAGGTGAGAGAGTGTACCCGTTTAACAGACGAGGAGGCTCAGGTGCGTCTCTAAAATCAGCAAAGTCAGGGTGTCACTTCTTCAGCATGATTTGAGTGTTTTGACCTATAAAACTGGGAATGTCATTCAGTTCAACCTAAAAATAGCATACACAAAGAAATGTGCACTGTTCATAATTATACAGCTGCCCAGAAAACTCCCCAGTCTGCCAAGCCCCCTTCCACCACCCTGACTTCTAACATCACTGAACTCTAGAGAAATGGAGCCGTAAAGCGTGTGCTCTTTCACGTGACTTTTTTTGTTGAATACGTTTTTGAGATTTATCTCTGTTGTTGTGGGTAGCAGCAGTTGGTTCATTCTCGTGTGCTCCAATTTATTTATTCATTTTACCCATGGATATATGGGATATTTATCACTTTTGGCTATTAAGTGCAATGCTGCTATTGGTTTTTGGTGAACCTATTTGTAATTTCTTGTACATATATACGTAGGGGTGCAACTGCTGGGTTTTTCATCAGAAGTGGGCCATGCTGCCCATCTGCCTGCAGAATGGGACCCATTTGCCAGGCCCTGTCACTTGCCAGGCCCATTACATGCTTTCTACAAGGTAGCTGCTCAGCAGATGGAGATTACAGCATCATACAGGCTAAATATTGCTTTTAGAGGTATAGCTGGACAGAGAGGCCAAATCCTTCCTTAAGAACTTCTGATGAAGAACCCAGCAGTTCCACCCGTATGTATATACCTACAAGAAATTATAAGATGTTCACCAAAAACCAATAGCAGCATTGCACTTAATAGCCAAAAATGATAAATATCCCATATATCCGTGGGTAAAATGAATAAATGAATTGGAGCACACGAGAACGAACAAACTGCCGCTACCCACAACAAAAGAGATAAATCTCAAAAACACATTCAACAAAAAAGTCACACAAAAGAACACAAACTTTATGGTTCCATTTCTATAGAATTCAAATGATGTTAGAAGTCAGGGTGGTGGAAGGGGGCTTGGTAGATCGGGTAGTTTTCTGGACAGCTGTACAATTATGAATAGTGCACATTTCTTTGTGTATGTTATTTTAGGTTGAACTGAATGAAATTCCCAGTTTTATAGGTCAAAACACTCAAATATCAGCAATTTCATATGGTTCAAACTAATACTTCAATAAAATATGTTTTTAAAAACCCTCTGGTAAAGAAGAAAGAAACATCTAGCTTTGACTGGCAGACTGCTACCTTTCTAGAAACCAACCTAAATGCTCCTGCCTCCTCTGGCCCTGTTTTTCTGCTGCTTTGTCTTTAGTGGAGATAGAATAACAACTAGTTCCTCCTTTCTGTGGGATAATGTTTCACATTCACATATTGAGAGACTGTGATGAAGCTGCCCCTGGGTTCTGCAGCCCCAGGTCCTCTCAGCCTCCTCTCACTCGCCCCAGGCATCCCAAACCTTGCTCTTAACACCTCTGAAGCTTCTGGTTGAATGACGACAAGGGCCCACTGGCAGGCAGCAGTCTTGTCTGAAGGAGCTTCCTCACTGTAAAAACAGTGTTTCTAATTCATCCACATAGAACAGCAAGATAATATTTTTTAAAGAAGCACTATTACCAAGATAATGTTTCTATTTACAAATGCTATCATTGAAAAATAGAGGTAGTGAGCTTTTATGAGCCTTGCATGTGTCACAAAAGGCATATTCTTTACAACTAATTGAGATACCTTTATCCACAAGTTATGAAACCATATGCTTCTTTTGCAGTGCCGGGAGCATTTATCTCCCTGTGGGAAAACATCCATTCTCAGAATTCTGGGTACAGCCAACTCATTTTACAGTGGCAAGTAGTATTTCAAACAGAAGGATGCCCCATTTATCAAACAAGGCAGACGCCTTCCCAGGGAGGGGAGAAGAAACACTCGGGCCCCATTGCACAGCATGCACAGATGGGCTGAGAGGGTGCCTGATGAAAAGCACTCCCTGGATGTGGCTTCTAATTGAGCCCTGTGTGCAAAGTTCACAACGGGGACATAGCATTTTCCTTATGTTATGTTATCTAAGAACACAACATAGCATTTTCTAGTATGTTATCTAATGCAGCTATGCTGAGAGCGCTTCAATTCGATGTCCTGGAACCACTGTTGCAAAGGGCCAGCAATTTAAGCCACTGCTGAGAAACTGCAAGGCTGAGACCAGCCCACCCCATCAGACAGCAAGATCTGGGGTTCCGACTCATCGGACAAACTCATGGCAAGGTACATCCCTCACTTTTGAGGCCTAAAAGGAATCATTAGAAATACACTTCCAGGAGTTTATTCTTGTCTAGAAATCCTGTGGTAAATCATTTGTAATAAGAACATCATTAGACACCTATGGTGTTTCTCTTTAGTGTATATTATGGATTCATTTCAACAAAAGGATAATAATAATAACATCACCATTTGCTGAGCACCTACAATGAGCTGGATACTGTCCCATTTAATACTCACAATACTTCAACAAAATATGCTTAATATGGTTCAAACTTATACTTCAATACAATATGTTTTTAACATATTCTTACATTCATGAATATGACGGACATTCCCATTGAACAGAAGGAGGAACAATGACTGAAGATGGATAAATACTTTCTCCCAAAACTCACACAGCAGGTAAGTTGCAAACCAGGATTTGGTTAGGCACAATGGTTCACACCTATAATCCCAGCACTCTGGGAGGCCAAAGTGGGAGGATCTTGTGAGCCCAGCAGTTCAAGACCAGCATAGGCAATGTAGACCCCATCTCTTCAAAAAATAAAATAGCTGGCTGCGATGGCACACCTATTGTCCCAGCTACTCGAGAGGCTGAGGTGGGAGGATTGCTTGAGCCTGGGAGGTTGAGGCTGCAGTAAGTGGTGATCATGCCACTGCACTCCAGCCTGGGCGACAGAGCAAGACTCTATCTATATATACAAAAAAAAAGAATCCTCTGGGGCCTGTAAGAGCAGGGCCCAAGGAGATGGCTGGAGCTGAGGAGAATAGCTATGGTTGTGCCACTGCACTCCAGCCTGGGCAACAGAGAGAGACTCTGTCTTCAAAATAAAACAAAACAAAATAGGATTTAAGCCCTGGTAACCTGACGCCAAAGGCCACAGTTGTAACCACTGTGCTGTGCTGCCATTCTTAGACACTACATGTATGCAATAGGGATTAACAAGGGTGGCGAGAAGTTACCAATTTTTGTTATATGTACCACAGGCACTTAAAGTACCTTATCTAATCTTATCTAATAAAATCCAGTGAAGTAAGTATTAGCTCCATTTCCTACATGAAGAAACTGAGGTTCAGAGATTGAAGGCAATTGTTAGTTAGTGGCAGAGCTGAAACCCAAACACAGACCTGTCTGGCTCCAAAGCCCGAGGTCTTTTGTTATAGCTCTTTGCTTCAAACAACTCATTTGAAACTTGTTTCTAGGCCGGGCACGGTGGCTCACGCCTGTAATCCCAGCACTTTGGGAGGCCAAGGTGGGCAGATCACGAGGTCAGGAGATCGAGACCATCCTGGCTAACATGGTGAAACTACGTCTCTACTAAAAATACAAAAAATTAGCCAGGCGTGGTGGCGGGCACCTGTAGTCCCAGCTACTGGGAGGCTGAGGCAGGAGAATGGCATGAACCCAGGAGGCGGAGCTTGCAGTGAGCCGAGATCGCACCATTGCACTCATTCCAGGCTGGGTGACAGAGTGAGACTCCGTCTCAAAAAAAAAAAAAAAAAAAAAAGAAAGAAACTTGTTTCTAGAGAGCAAGCAGAATGATTCTGAATGTATTCATTACATAGAAAGGACTGATGGTAGAGTAGCCAATCAACCCCAAAACTTCACTTAACACAAAAAGTCCCCCTCCCTCTTACAAAGGCCACTCTAGTGACAGGGTTCTACAGGGCCACCGCCTGCTGCCTCCACCCTGCGGTGCTGCCATCCATTCGCTAGACTGCACATAAGTATTTCCCAAAGGCAGCGGATGGAAGGAGCCCCTGTTCAAAATGCAGATTCTGCGGGCCTCGATCTCTATTTTAATTCAGTTAGCCTGACCTGGGCCCCGTGTAATCCTGACGCAGGTGTTCAGCAGGCCGTCCGCCCCTTCAGTAGCTTTGCTTTGGACTGATGCAGAATGCTTAGGTCTGTAAAAATGATCCTGGGAAACTGAGTCAGGAGGCACCGACCATGCTTGTGCCAAGGCTAGGCTGGGAGCAGGGGAAAGCAAAGAAGTTAAAGATGCAGATGGCTGACCACAACGCAGTGCAGACAGTACTTGTCCTGGGGAGCTGTGAAGCAGGGCTGCGGCCACGAAGCAGTGTGCAGTCACACATCACAGTCTGCAGGGCCTGTGTGTCTGGCCAAATGGTTCCTTTCCACCCCTGGGCAAACATCTGAGCATGGTACAGTTTTGTTTCAAACCTCCAGGCCCCCCCAGTTTTGCCTCTGTGGGAATGACCCCTGCCCTGCAGGGCCCTGAGGCCACTTGCGTTCTCCTTCCAGGCTCCCTTCCTGCCACTCCCACACCCACCCACCCCAAAGCCCACACTGAGGCCACACTTGGTGACCTCATCTCCACCCAAAATATGCCTCCACACCTCCAGGCCTTTGCCCTGCAGGAATGTCCTTGGGCCTAGGACCTGTACACCTGGCATTCGGTGCTCAGCCCTGGGCAGCCTTCCCTGGCACATGCATCCTCCTTCTCAGTGAAACCTAGCACCTTGCTCCAACTGTCCCCAGCATGGAGTCTTACACTGGGCTCTTAGAGGTAGTAAAGATGAGTCTGTTTTTGTCGATATTTCAAAAATCTACCTGACATCCAGTGCCCTCAAGCAAGTCACCTGGACCAGGTAAAGCACCAAGTTTCCCTCTGTCTTGCTGGAATTACACCAATCAAAGCGTACCAATGAAGGGAAAAGGAAATGACTATCACAAATGCTTGCACCTAGAAGGTGCCAAATATCCATCAAGTGGATGAACAATGAAAGAGAAATGTTTGGAGGCAAAATTTTCAAAGCCAGTAATTGCATTGGAGACAATAACAAATGGTGGCCCACTGTGTACTTTCCCTACTGGACTGTAAGGTACTGGGGGCCACCTGGCCTTCTCTCCTCTCATCCCCTGTGCCTGGCAAAGGCCTCTTGCATCCTAAGAGCTCAAAGAAGGATGCTGGATTATCTAAGGGGAGGTAAACACCATTACCTGTGCACCCTGGCATCCTAAGCAGCTCCTAGGGGGACCCTGCAGACAGAGAGCCACCAGAAATGACAGGGAGGGATAGGGAGAAGGGCAGATGGAAGGAAGGAAAGAGGAAGATAAGACGCCAAGGAACTCAAGCCTACAAGTGAAACAGACAGACCATCTTTCCCCCCGTCCAGCACATGAGATCGTCATCATCTTTCTAGGGTCCTTTCTGCAATCTTGTAAATACAGAGTGCTTGAACTAACAGATGTCCTGGGAGATGACAGCCAAAAACGGTGGAAGAAAGCAGTGTATTCCTAGTTTCTTACTACTACAATTGATGTTCTCACCGGCAATTTACTCACCACATCGTACTCTTAAAATCTATGCCATGATCAAATCCCATCTTTTAGGAAGTGTGAACCACTGCTGCCATCCCTCCACCTTTGAGGTGTCATCCTAGCATGAGATTTTAGAGCTACAGTGACAGCTTCCCACACATCACTCCAGGCAATGTGTACTTGCTCTTCTGGAGATAAGGAGTCATGGAAGGAATTGCTCACAGGATGTGGTCAGTTTAGCACCAGTCTGGAAGCCTGGGGCTGGATGTCTTCTGTCTCAGAGGCTGACCACTCAGGGACATGGGGTCAGCTGCCTGTTTGAATCAGGGTTATACCTCCTGCTAGCTGAGTGACTTCAGGCAACTTACTCAACCTTTCTAAACCTTGGTTTCTTTGTTTGTAAAGTGGGAATAATGAACAGAATCCAGTGAGATGAGGCTTAAAAGAGAAATCACATGGAATACCTTTTGCATGAAGTTAGCCCTGGACTGACCAAAACTGGCTGCTATTTTTTATGAAGCAAAGTGATTGAGAGTCCAGACCTTGCAGATGGAGCATCTAGATTTAGATCTCAGAGCTGCCCTTGTTAGCCCTGTTACTTGGGAAGTTCCTTAATTTTACTGTGCTTCAGTTTCTTCATCTATGACAAAGAAATATCAATATACCCCCTTCATCAGGCTAAATGGCATACGGGATAGTCTTCATTGGTGCCTGACACACAGTAAGATCTCAGTAAATGATTGCTATTGTACTGGTGATAGTGGTCAAAGTGAGTAGCATGCTTCTAGTAGTGCACCATTGGTCTGCTGGGTGTTAACCAGCCATCTCATTTCTACACTATGTGCTTGCTGAGTAAGGTCTGTTGCTAGCCTTGGCATTTGCAGAAATACTCAAAAGAATCTCTCCTGGAGTCTTGGGTAGCAGCAGGACAGAAGAAGCCCAAAAGTGCTTCTCCTTCCTGCTCTGCCCACAATCCATGAGTAAGAGCAATAGGACCTCAAGGCCTACACACTTCATGGTACTAAACACAGCCTCAAAGCTTCACATTTTACTTTTATTTTTCCTAAACACTGGGTTCCTGTAACCAATTTATCTTCTGTTATGTTAAACTTTATATGCCAGCCTTGATTTGCATTACTCTACTAATTTCCTTCCCAGCGATTTGAAGTCCTTAGGCAGGACTGAGCATCTACGGGTTGGTTGCGGGAGCGGGGGTGCCTGGAGAGCAACCTCTCAGAATTCTGAATGCACAAAACCTCAGCACTGTGCCTAGTCTAGAAACAGAAAAAGGGATCTTTAAGAGTCAGTAAGGAAAAGCTTGCATCCCTACTACCCGTGGGCCCAAAATGCATTTTCTTAGCTCTCACTTGGAATCTTTGAGGAGCATATGGGCTACGGGTAACAGGATCCCTGCTCTCATGCAGAGCAAATGTAGTCAGAGAACAGGCACATCTACAGGTGATGTTTCTCCGGGGGCATAAGTTTGCAAAGAAGCAAGATACCCCCTCTCCCCGCAGATAATTCTTTCATCCTGAGCAATAGGGTAGAAATACCAAGCAAAACTAGCTGCTGAGCTACACTGGCTGAAGCAGGGAAATCGGATTCAGCCTGCCCAGGGGCACTTTCTAAACCCCTGTGCTGCTAAGACCACCATCTTCGTGAGCAGAGGTAGGTACAACCCAATATTGCCATCATTTCCAGTACTGGCAAAAGGAAGAATTAAACTTCCCCCAAAAGTCAGCCTCTGTCAAGGTGCCAGACGCTTATCTGAGAAAACAAAGGGTCATCTGTTTCTGCATGCTCCCAGCCGTCCTCCCAGAAGTCGGTACATGCCTGATACTAACAGCATCTGAACATCCAAGATCTGCCCCCTAGGGAGGCTCGCATCAATACCAAAGCTGGTTTTTGCAGGTAAAAGAGCCACAAGTTGGACACACTGTTAACAACTTGATAAGAAACCTGGGAGTCATCCAAAAATGCTATCAATGTCCATGTGTGACAACAGATCCCCTATTAAGTAACACAAGAGGGAACTTCAGAGAACAGAACATAAACTGCCTGTCCAGCTTTTACATGACACCCTTAGAAAAAGCAAGACGCGCATAAGCAATAATTACCAAGTTTTCAAATTTACTGCATAGACCATTGTATATCTGTAAACATCTCATAAATATTTGGGGGGGATATTGGAAGGGACACCTGAAAACTATAAATATTTTTACATATTGTTGGACCCTTTTTTATCTGAGCACCCCCAGCAGCAGTCAAACCAGATAGTGAGATAGTGTAAGAGCCTATCTCACTTTATCTCAGCATTCTTCCTACATTCACCCAACAAATGTTAAATTCTACTGTGCACTGAAAACTAGTTTATCATTTCTATCACATAATAATTTAATGAGGTTTTAGCCCATCTGCCAATTAGAAACTGTCCCCATCTGATCACACAGCAATCATTAGTTTTAACGTACATTCCAAAGGTAGAAAATAGAGTAGGAGAAGGGAAGAGTGTTTTGTTTTTCCAAATGCATCAAAATCCAACTGAAGTTCTCGTTCCTTCTTCCCAGTGAATAACACCAGTGTTCGGGCAGAAGGCGGGAGAGGGGGGCTTGCTTGCATCTGGGGGAGCTCATGGCCTTTTCTGATGGTGTGAATAAATACTCTGGATGAATTTAATCCCTGCTAAAGAAAAACATGCAAGAAAGGGCATTTCTTTCCATGTGTATCCCCTGGGCTGCCCAGAACAGAAGTCATCTTTGACACAGCACACCTGCCATGGATGACTCCAGATTGAGGCAGAAATTCAAAGAGGGCCTCCTGTTTGGCTCGGGAGGGCTTTTCCAGAAACGAAAACAAAAACAAACAAATAAATAAATGCATGGCAAATCCAAAAAGTTCATGTAACTTTAATACTTAGAATGTGGCAGAAAACATCCATGGGCAGAGAGGGGGAGAGAATTTGGCTCACTGATGGAGGGACCAGTGCAGGTGTGGGTGCCTAGGTGACAGCAGCTCACGGGAGGCTGCGGGGTGGCTCTGAGCTGGTGTTCTGGGCTCAGGTCTGAAAGAGAGATGTGACAGCTCCCTGCAGCTTGGGCCCTGGAAGTCAATGAGCGGTGGGTCCCTGGGCGCACGGAGGAGGCTCAGGCATCTCTGAAAGAACCTGCGCCACCACCCCTTCTTCTTTTCGGGATCGCTGTTCTCAGTGCCAGCCGCTCAAAGCCACCCTGGGCATTTCACGGCTACCCCTGGAGGGCCTCCGCCCCCAAAGCGGACATCGACCGGGCACAGAGCTCCAGGGTGTGTGTATCCCACCCCGGCCTGCAGCCCCTTGACTTCTCAAGCCTCCACAGCAACAGTTTCTCAGTAGGAGAAGCGCCGCAAACGCCCGCTGGGAAAACGCTCGCCAGGACCGCGGGCGCTAAAGCCAGGGACACGGAAGGAGTCTGGCCCTGGGCACAGCGGGGAGGAATCGGAGACGGGGCCAGGGGTAAAGACTTCCAACGTGGGCCTCAAAGATCACACAGAAGGAGAAACTTCCCGAGGGCACGGGCCAGGGTGCGCGTCCCTGTTTAGAGGTGCAGCCCTGGATCCCCCGGGCAGGTGGTGCGGGGCTGGCGACAGGCGCGGGCCCGGTGAGACCCGGGAGCAGGTCTCAGCCTCGGCGCGCGGTGGTCGCTCCGCGCCTAGGGTCCCAGGAAGGAGAGAGGAAGGGTCTCTCTTGGTCCCGTAGGACACGTTGCGGGCACTTGGCGGGGAAGGGACCTCGAACCCAGGCCCCAGTGGGAAGCGGCTGCGCAAACTAAGTTAGGGCACAGAGAGGCTTGGTCGGTTGTTCCCCCGCGTCAGTGCGCCCTGCCCGCGGTGCGCCACTACTTACACGAAGACTCCGAAGAGCAGGGCTCGCACCCCGATCTCAATGGCCAGCTCCCGCATGGTGCGGCCGGAGCAGCTCCCGCGGCGTCAGCTGGTGCTCTCCGCGGCTCCCGCAGCTCGGCCGGCGCCGGCTCGCCAGACCCTGGGAGGCGAGGGAGGCGCGCTCCAGGCCGCGGGCGGGGGCGGAGGCGGGCGCCGGGCGGGGGCAGGCGCCGGGGAGGGCTCAGCCTAAACCTCGCGCCTCGGGCTCCGGGGCTCCGGGAAGCCGCGCCGGCCGCTGGCGATACTGCGGACCCCGCCTCCTAGTGCGGAGCCGGGGCCGCCTCAGGGACTCCCGGATCCCTCTCCCCAGGAGCCGCCTCCGCCTCCTGGGCCCGCGCCGGGCACCCGCGGACCGGGGAGGGGAAGCCCGGGGAAGCCCCACCGCCGCCGCCGCCTCCCTGCGCGCTCCCCGCCTCCCCCGCCAGTGGGCGGCCCCTGGGCTCCGCGCCAGGGCAGCGCGCTCGCTGGGGCTCTGCCCGCGGCCCCTCTGCAGCTCCTGGTCCTGCCTCCGACTCCCGCTGTCCGGGCTCTCGCTCCCTGGCACACGCACGCACGTGGGCATGTAGTGGACGATCGCTCTGGGGATTCTCCAGGGCTCAGGGCAGCCCTGGCCAACCTTGCTCCCGTGTTCGGCCCTCCCTACACCGTTCGAACCTGAAATTCTTTCTTTTTTCTAGGAAGTTCCCCAGAGATCACTCGCGGGCTTCGCTTTGCTCTCAGGAGATGCCAGCCAGGGTCCAGGGCTCCGGCACAGAGAGAGGGCAAAGGCAAGCCTGGCTCCCCGCCATGCCACCAGCGCCAGGTGGCCCCTGGGGACCGAATCCTCTCTCCCCCACCACCTGTCCTCCGCCCCCAGCAGCTTGGGGCTGCTGAACTGTGGAATATGAAAAAGCTCCTGCCACCGTCCCTGGCCTGGCCGGTGTGTGGGAAGTCAGGGTCGCTCGTCGCTGACACAGCATTCAACCAGCCGTCAGCCAGGCAGCAGGTAGAACCCAGAGCCTCATCCTCAGGTTAAGAGCCAAAAGCCCAACCCTCGCAGCCTAGGGGTCACGACCTCCAGCTGGAGCCCAGCAGGAGCTTGGATTTGCTTTTCCCAAACCGGTCAGAATTTTATTTACTTTTCTTAGAATTTTGACTTCTTGGCTTCACTAATTTAAACCAAGCAGACATTTAAAATGCAAAACACACAGTGATTATAACCATTAGGTTGTTCCTGGGGAGCCCAGGCCTCTCTTGGATTTTAGGAGAGACCCAGCCAAAATTGTGTGAGCAGAGGACACGGATTAGAAGGTGGTTCCTGGGACTAAGGAGCTATGGCTCAGTCCTGGATAAAAGGGGGAGCAGGTAGAAAGAACTTAGGAGGAAGCCCTTGGCATCAGCAAAGGGCAAACAGACCCTACCTCCAAAGGAAACACGTGCAGATCAGAGATACCTGAGCCCAGATATCTCAGGGTCTAGAGAGAGAGAGGCAGAGGGAGTAGGAACAACCCAGGCTCTGTGTGGGAGGGACTCCAGCCCTGAGGCACCACAGGCAGGAGCTGTATCTGCATTCCTCATCACTCTATGCCCAGTGCCCGGCACACTGTGGATACCTGGTTGGTACTTAGTAAATGAATAAATATTTATTCATACATATATATATATATATATGGCTATATATATGATATATTCATTCATATATATTATATATGGCTATATATATGATATATATATACACGTATATATCATCAGGCACATGGGGTGTCAGGTGCAGGTAAGGTAGGAAGGTCTTGGAGGGAGGAGGTATGCTTCTGTCTCCTCTGTATCTTGGGCCCAGCAACTACCTTGGACATAACAACTCCCACGGATTGGCAAAGTGCTGTAGGAGAGCCCATAGGCAGCCTAGTGAACACTGATGATCTCGGTCTGAGATTGTCAGGTGGCCATATTCCAGCAGGGCATTCTGACAATAGCCCCTGACATTGGGGCACCACTTACCTATAAGCATCTGCTGAGTTTGAGTACAGCCTGTGCAAAGTTGTGTGCTGGGTGAGACGATTCATAATCTGTCTCTGCCTTCAAGAAGATGGGGAGCTGATAGACCACAAGGAGACATCAGGGAAGTATGCAAAGCAGTATTAATAAGTCACAAACACATGCTTCAGAAATCTGGATCGCTCAGAGGTCAGAAGTTGGAACCACATCATCAGTCTGAGATAGCCTGAGGACACAGCCTCACGGAAAGGAGCTGGCTTTTGGACCAGGCGCGATGGCTCATGTCTGTAATCCCAGCACTTTGGGAGCCCGAGGCAGGAGGATCATGAGGTCAAGAGATCGACACCATCCTGGCCAACAGGGTGAAACCCCATCTCTACTCAAGATACAAAAATTAGCTGGGCATGGTGGCGCATGCCTGTAGTCCTGGCTACTCAGGAGGATGAGGCAGGAGAATCGCTTGAACCCGGGAGGTGGAGGTTGCAGTGAGCCCGAGATCACGCCACTGCACTCCAGCCTGGGCGACAAAGTGAGACTCCATCTGAAAAAAAAAGAAAAAAAAGAAAAGGAAAAAAAAATGAGCTGGCTTTTGTAAGGCAAAGAAAGAAAAAAATAAGGGGGAGAAATTCTTGGTAGGGGCAAGAAAGTAGGTGCAAGGAGCAGAAGGTGGAAGTGGTTTTGGAGGGCAAAAGGAGTTACCCTGTCTGACAGAGCAGAGAAACCACCCGAGGTTAGGTTGGTGGAGGAGACGTAGTCGTGACAATCCTGCCCACCAGGGTCTGTTACCAGGGTCACAGAGAGAATATTCAGTTTATCACTTCGTATTTGTATAGAGATACCCAGAGAGGGAGTCAGAAGGGGCATGTAACTTCACTTCATGGTCATTAAGAGACTCTGAAACACATAGATCGAAAGAAGTGCCCAATAAAACCCCCCATTTTGCTGGAATTTATTCTCCATTATCTCCCCCAAGTGCTCATCCAGTGCAGGGTGCAAATCCTGCCACTGAAAAGGCATTCACCCTTGAGGGAGCATGTACCCTCTTCAGATGGCTCTTTCAAAAGCATTTCCTTACAGGGAATTGCTACACACCACCTTGCAACTTACATCATTGCATCAGTCCTGTCCCACCAGCTACTCGGAACTATCACAGTCAACGCTTCTATGGTGACAAACAACAGATGGCTCAACCTAAACTTATTTAAGAAAAGACAACTGAAAAGTCCAATGGAAGGTCAGCCTTCACACATGACTGAATTCTGAGTGCAAGCAATGTCATCAGTACCTGGTTCTTTCCAACTCTCTGCTCTGTCTGCACTGCATTGACTTCAGTCTCAGGCTCCTGGTAGTTTCAAGATGGCTGCAGGCATTCCAGCTTTACACCCTCTCAAGTTCAAGTCTGACTAGAAAGACCTCTGCCTAGGTCCCAGCACTCCCAGCAAAAGTGTCGTAGAATGTCATTGTTGCTGCCAACCCTGAACCAATCACTGCAGTCAGGGAACCATGATGAATTGATTGTCTCAAGCCTGGTCACATGCTTCATCCCTACCCAAAGCTTCCGAGACTGGGGAGAGGTGACCCTACATATACAGGGCTGATGCTTTGGAGCAGGGAGAATGTTTGATGGGAAAGTAAACAACCAGGGGCCATCCTGTTCCATGCTGCATGGTGGGGTCATCCCCAACCATTCTTGTCCAACCCCACGATCATTAACCAGTAAAAGGGAGTTATTCTGGGTGCTCCATGATAAGGCTGCCCAATTTCTACAACTGTCAATACAGATTTGCAATTTGTTGTAAGTTTGTGTTCTCTGAAGGTGGCTTTAAACAAAGCTATGATGTCATCCTTGATGCTTGTCTTCAGCTGCCCAGTCTCTTCTTTCTCCAGTCCCTTTGGCAACCCTGTCATCTCCTCTAATGATCCCTTTTTCCATTTACCAAAGCCTGTTGTCAAGGGAAAGCTCTAGCCTTATTCATTATATAAACCTGGATCAGGATGTCTCTGGGGGCTCTCTCACACAGAAGGATCTATAATTTAATCCAGATCCTTCTTGAAGGGCAGATAGGCTCTGATACCTCTGAAAAGTACTGCAGATGGCATCTTCAGTGCCCCAAATCACAAAAAGCAGGAAGCAACACCCACCCCCCTACCCCCCACCACCCGCCACCCCACCCCGCCACCTGCCACCCGCCACATTCCTTCCATGTGTTTGGAGGTAGCTGGCTCTCGCAGCTGTTCAGCTATGAGCATATGCCAAGCAGGTAGAGCCCTCCTGAAATGTCATGTTGCTGCACCAGCAGACAAATGAGCTTACAGGGAGTCAAGAAACAGAGCCAGGTTAGATAACATGATCCAGCCACAGCACCTAGGTGCCAGGCTTGGCAGCCCCTGCTGGGTCTTTTTAAGATCCCCATGGAATGTGATGAGTCCTCTGGTGACGGAACCATGGGTCAGAGCTTCAGCAGCCTCAGAAATGCTTTATCATAAGAAAGAGAATAAACATGGCAATCCCCCTACCAAGACATGATGAACAACATAGCTGTAAAGTGCGAGACTGATCTTTGAAAAATCACTTTGAAAAATCTAGACACTCATTGAGTGTAGCTTTCTCCAATGCTTTTGTGGCTGCACACATTTTCAAAGTGCCACTTTGGGGAAATCTCCCATTTCCCCATATTTCATATTGAGCTTCATATTTCATATTCCCCAATATTTCATATTGAGCTTATGGGCATGCCAAGAAAATAAATTCCATCCCTCTGTAGTTATGCTTATGTTGTTAGAGTTTTTTTTAAACCCCCAAACAGTATTGTCCAGCATGCTGACCCCAAATTGACCAGACTTTTGACTGTTTCCAAAACCCAAAGCCACCTCAGAGAGAACACAAACTTGCAACAATTTCTTATCATCTCATTTCCAGAAGTTATACTCTGTATCTGAGTGCTACCTACCCAGTTGCACTAAGAGCTGTCCTGGTAACAGGCAGCCAGCACAGCGACCCTTATCCACAAAGATGCACATATCCAAACTTTCCTCTGTAGCTGCCTGGCATGAACTTGATGATGTAGCTGCGATCCAAGAGGGATTTTAGAAGGTTACCAACTTCAAACTGGTCCATGAATATCTTCCATAATGGTCTCAATAAATATCTGCTTGACACCTCCAGGGATGTAGAAATCACTCATCACTCATTCCATTTCCAGGGAGAGTAGAAACAGATTTTTGAGTAGAAACAGATGTTTGAGTAGAAGCAGATGTTTGAGTAGAAAGAGATTTGCCTCTAGCCTACATCGATGGGCCCAAATTGTTTTTTGGGGGCCACATAGAATAAATGTAATGTCTATTCTTCTACAATATAGCCCTTTAATTATCCTACAACTACAAAAGAAGATAGGGATAGATATGTAGAGCGAGAGGGAGGAAGACAGAGTCTTCTCTTTACCAATCTAAATATTCCTTCATTTCACCTTCTTTCAAGCAGCAATATTTATAAGACCTCTGAGAATATGGCACTAGACCTGATGCGGAACTGCATTAGGCCAAATTCCACATAATAAAAAGTAATTTTCTGGCCAGGCACGGTGGCTCACACCTTTAATCCCAGCACTTTGGGAGGCTGAGGCAGGCAGATCACTGGAGGTCAGGAGTTCGAGACCAGCCTGGTCAACATGGTGAAACCCTGTCTCTACTAATAACACAAAAATTAGCCAAATGTGGTGGTGGGTGCCTGTAGTCCCAGCTAGTCGGGAGGCTGAGGCAAGAGAATTGTTTGAACCAGAGGAGAAGGTTGCAGTGAGCTGAGATCGTGCCACTGCACTCCAGCCTGGATGACAGACTAAAACTGTGTCTCAAATAATAATAATAACAATAAAATAAAAGGTCATTTTCCTACTTCCAGGGAAGAAGTAAAGCACAGTAAAATAAATTAACCATTTCATATCTTTTGTTTTGTAATAGTTTAAATTTATATTAAAGCATAAAATATTATGTCTCCAAATTCCAGAATTACTCTCTTTAAAGCTCGTTAATAGAAATTATTGGTTGTCCATTCAAATTTAGATATTTGACAGCAAAGGTAAACATTTGCACTTACTTTTTTTGTTGTTAATAATGCCTTTAGCATAGTCAATTTCTTTTTTTATATTTTTTTTATTATACTTTAAGTTCTAAGGTACATATGCCCAACATGCAGGTTTGTTACATATGTATACATGTGCCATGTTGGTGTGCTGCACCCATTAACTTGTCATTTACATTAGGTATATCTCCTAATGCTATCCCTCCCCACTCCCCCCATCCCACAATGGGCCCTGGTGTGTGATGTTCCCATTACTGTGTCCAAGTGTTCTCATTGTTCAATTCCCACTTATGAGTGAGAACATGTGGTGTTTGGTTTTTTGTCCTTTTGATAGTTTGCTGAGAATGATGGTTTCCAGCTTCATCCATGTCCCTACAAAGGACATGAACTCATCATTTTTTATGGCTGCATAGTATTCCATGGTGTATATGTGCCACATTTTCTTAATCCAGTCTATCATTGATGGACATTTGGGTTGGTTCCAAGTCTTTGCTATTGTGAGTAGTGCCACAATAAACACGTATGCATGTGTCTTTATTGCAGCATGATTTATATTCCTTTGGGTATATACCCAGTAATAGGATGGCTGGGTCAAATGGTATTTCTAGTTCTAGATCCCTGAGGAATCGCCACACTGTCTTCCACAATGGTTGAACTAGTTTACAGTCCCATCAACAGCGTAAAATTGTTCCTATTTCTCCACATCCTCTCCAGCACCTGTTGATTCCTGACTTTTTAATGATCGCCATTCTAACTGGTGTGAGATGATATCTCATTGTGGTTTTGATTTGCATTTCTCTGATGGACAGTGATGATGAGCATTTTTTCATGTTTTTTGGCTGCATAAATGTCTTCTTTTGAGAAGTGTCTGTTCATATCCTTTGCCCAATTTTTGATGGGGTTGTTTTTTTTTTTCTTGTAAATTTGTTTGAGTTCTTTGTAGATTCTGGATATTAGCCCTTTGTCAGATGAGTAGATTGCAAAAATTTTCTCCCATTCTGTAGGTTGCCTGTTCACTCTGGTGGTAGTTTCTTTTGCTGTGCAGAAGCTCTTTAGTTTAATTAGATCCTATTTATCAATTTTGGCTTTTGTTGCCATTGCTTTTGGTGTTTTAGACATGAAGTCCTTGCCCATGCCTATGTCCTGAATGGTATTGCCTAGGTTTTCTTCTAGGGTTTTTATGGTTTTCTTCTAGGGTTTTTATGGTTTTAGGTCTAACATATAAGTCTTTAATCCATCTTGAATGAATTTTTGTATAAGGTGTAAGGAAGGGATCCAGTTTCAGCTTTCTACATATGGCTAGCCAGGTTTCACAGCACCATTTGTTAAATAGGGAATCCTTTCCCCATTTCTTGTTTTTGCCAGGTTTGTCAAAGATCAGATAGTTGTAGATGTGTGGTATTATTTCTGAGGGCTCTGTTCTGTTCCATTGGTCTATATGTCTGTTTTGGTACCAGTACCATGCTGTTTTGGTTACTGTAGCCTTGTAGTATAGTTTGAAGTCAGGTAGCATGATGCCTCCAGCTTTGTTCTTTTGGCTTAGGATTGACTTGGCAATGTGGGCTCTTTTTTGGTTCCATATGAACTTTAAAGTAGTTTTTTCCAATTCTGTGAAGAAAGTCATTGGTAGCTTGATGGGGATGGCATTGAGTCTGTAAATTACCTTGGGCAGTATGGCCATTTTCACGATATTGATTCTTCTTCTCCATGAGCATGGAATGTTCTTCCATTTGTTTGTGTCCTCTTTTATTTCATTGAGCAGTGGTTTGTAGTTCTCCTTGAAGAGGTCCTTCACATCCCTTGTAAGTTGGATTCCTAGGTATTTTATTCCCTTTGAGGCAATTGTGAATGGGAGTTCACTCATGATTTGGCTCTCTGTTTGTCTGTTATTGGTGTATAAGAATGCTTGTGATTTTTGCACATTGATTTTGTATCCTGAGACTTTGCTGAAGTTGCTTATCAGCTTAAGGAGATTAAGGGCTGAGACGATGGGATTTTCTAGATATACAATCATGTCATCTGCAAACAGGGACAATTTGACTTCCTCTTTTCCTAATTGAATACCCTTTATTTCTTTCTCCTGCCTGATTGCCCTGGCCAGAACTTCCATTACTATGTTGAATAGGAGTGGTGAGAGAGGGCATCCCTGTCTTGTGCCAGTTTTCAAAGGGAATGCTTCCAGTTTTTGCCCATTCAGTATGATATTGACTGTGTGTTTGTCATAAATAGCTCTTATTATTTTGAGATATGTCCCATCAATACCTAATTTATTGAGAGTTTTTAGCATGAGGGGCTGTTGAATTTTGTCAAAGGCCTTTTGTGCATCTATCGAGATAATCATGTGGTTTTTGTCTTTGGTTCTGTTTATATGCTGGATTACATTTATTGATTTGTGTATGTTGAACCCAGGGATGAAGCCCACTTGATCATGGTGGATAAGCTTTTTGATGTGCTGCTGGATTCAATTTGCCAGTATTTTATTGAGGATTTTTGCATCAATGTTCATCAGGGATATTGGTCTAAAATTCTCTTTTTTTGTTGTGTCTCTGCCAGGCTTTGGTATCAGGATGATGGTGGCCTCATAACATGAGTTAGGGAGGATTCCCTCTTTTTCTGTTGATTGGAATAGTTTCAGAAGGAATGGTACCAGCTCCTCCTGTACCTCTGGTAGAATTCGGTTGTGAATCCATCTGGTCCTGGACTTTTTTTGGTTGGTAAGCTATTAATTATTGCCTCAATTTCAGAGCCTGTTATTGGTCTATTCAGAGACTCAACTGCTTCCTGGTTTAGTCTTGGGAGGGTGTATGTGTCGAGGAATTTATTCATTTCTTCTAGATTTTCTGTAGAGGTGTTTACAGTATTCTCTGATGGTAGTTTGTATTTCTGTGGGATCAGTGGTGATATCCCCTTTATCACTTTTATTTTGTCTATTTAATTCTTCTCTCTTTTCTTCTTTATTAGTCTTGCTAGTGGTCTATCAATTTTGTTGATCTTTTCAAAAAACCAGATCCTGGATTCATTGATTTTTTTGAAGAGTTTTTTGTGTCTGTATCTCCTTCAGTTCTGCTCTGATCTTAGTTATTTCTTGCCTTCTGCTAGCTTTTGAATGTGTTTGCTCTTGCTTCTCTAGCTCTTTTAATTATGATGTTAGGGTGTCAATTTTAGATCTTTCCTGCTTTATCTTGTGGGCATTTAGTGCTATAAATTTCCCTCTACACACTGCTTTAAATGTGTCCCAGAGATTCTGGTATGTTGTGTCTTTGTTCTCATTGGTTTCAAAGAACATCTTTATTTCTGCCTTCATTTTGTTATGTACCCAGTAGTCATTCAGGAGCAGGTTGTTCAGTTTCCATGTAGTTGAGTGGTTTTGAGTGTGTTTCTTAATCCTGAGTTCTAGTTTGATTGCACTGTGGTCTGAGAGACAGTTTGTTATAATTTCTGTTCTTTTACATTTGCTGAGAAGTGCTTTTCTTCCAACTATGTGGTCAATTTTGGAATAGGTGTGGTGTGGTGCTGAGAAGAATGTATATTCTGTTGATTTGGGGTGGAGAGTTCTGTATATGTCTGTTAGATCCGCTTGGTGCAGAGCTGAATTCAATTCCTGGATATCCTTGTTAACTTTCTGTCTCATTGATCTGTCTAATGTCGACAGTGGGGTGTTAAAGTCTCCCATTATTATTGTGTAGGAGTCTAAGTCTCTTTGTAGGTCTCTAAGGACTTGCTTTATGAATCTGGATACTCCTGTATTGGGTGCATATATATTTAGGATAGTTAGCTCTTCTTGTTGAATTGATCCCTTTACCATTACGTAATGGCTTTCTTTGTCTCTTTTGATCTTTGTTGGTTTAAAATCTGTTTTATCAGAGACTAGGATTGCAACCCCTGCCTTTTTTTGTTTTCCATTTGCTTGGTAGATCTTCCTCCATCCCTTTATTTTGAGCCTATGTGTGTCTCTGCACATGAGATGGGTTTCCTGAATACAGCACACTGATGGGTCTTGACTCTTTATCCAATTTGCCAGTCTGTGTCTTTTAATTGGAGCATTTAGTCCATTTACAATTTAAAGTTAATATTGTTATGTGTGAAATTGATCCTGTCATTATGATGTTAGCTGGTTATTTTGCTTGTTAGTTGATGCAGTTTCTTCCTAGTCTCGATGGTCTTTACATTTTGGCATGATTTTGCAGCGGCTGGTACCAGCTGTTCCTTTCCATGTTTAGCGCTTCCTTCAGGAGCTCTTTTAGGGCGGGCCTGGTGGTGACAAAATCTCTCAGCATTTGCTTGTCTGAAAAGTATTTTATTTCTCCTTCACTTATGAAGCTTAGTTTGGCTGGATATGAAATTCTGGGTTGAAAATTCTTTTCTTTAAGAATGTTGCATATTGGCCCCCACTCTCTTCTGGCTTGCAGAGTTTCTGCTGAGAGATCAGCTATTAGTCTGATGGGCTTCCCTTTGTGGGTAACCCGACCTTTCTCTCTGGCTGCCCTTAACATTTTTTCCTTCATTTCAACTTTGGTGAATCTGACAACTACGTGTCTTGGAGTTGCTCTTCTTGAGGAGTATCTTTGTGGCATTCTCTGTATTTCCTGAATTTGAATGTTGGCCTGCCTTGCTAGATTGGGGAAGTTCTCCTGGATAATATCCTGGAGCGTGTTTTCCAACTTGCTTCCATTCTCCCCGCCACTTTCAGGTACACCAATCAGATGTAGATTTGGTCTTTTCACATAGTCCCATATTTCTTGGAGGGTTTGTTCATTTCTTTTTATTCTTTTTTCTCTAAACTTCTCGCTTCATTTCATTCATTTGATCTTCAATCACTGATACCCTTTCTTCCAGTTGATCAAATTGGCTACTGAAGCTTGTGCATTCATCACGTAGTTCTCGTGCCATGGTTTTCAGCTCCATCAGGTCCTTTAAGGACTTCTCTGCATTGGTTATTCTAGTTAGCCATACATCTAATCTTTTTTCAACGTTTTTAACTTATTTGTGATGGGTTTGAACTTCCTCCTTTACCTCAGAGAAGTTTGATCATCTGAAGCCTTCTTCTCTCAACTCGTCAAAGTCATTCTCCGTCCAGCTTTGTTCCATTGCTGGTGAGGAGCTGCGTTCCTTTGGAGGAGGACAGGCACTCTGATTTTTAGAATTTTCAGTTTTTCTGTTCTGTTTTTTCCCCATCTTTGTGGTTTTATCTACCTTTGGTCTTTGATGATGGTGATGTACAGATGGGGTTTTGGTGTGGATGTCCTTTCTGTTTGTTAGTTTTCCTTCTAACAGTCAGGACCCTCAGCTGCAGGTCTGTTGGAGTTTGCTGGAGGTCCACTCCAGATCCTGCTTGCCTGTGTATCAGCAGTAGAGGCTGCAGAACAGCGAATATTGGTGAACAGCAAATGTTGCTGTCTGATCTTTCCACTGGAGGTTTCATCTCAGAGGAGTACCTGGCCGTGTGAGGTGTCAGTCTGCCCCTACTGAGGTGTGCCTCCCAGATAGGCTACTCAGGGGTCAGGAACCCACTTGAGGAGGCAGTCTGTCCGTTCTCAGATCTCAAACTCCATGCTGGGAGAACCACTACTCTCTTCAAAGCTGTCAGACAGGGACATTTAAGTCTGCAGAGGTTTCTGCTGCCTTTTGTTCGGCTATGCCCTGCCCCCAGAGGTGGAGTCTGCAGAGGCAAGCAGGCCTCCTTGAGCTGCTGTGGGCTCCACCCAGTTCGAGCTTTCCGGCTGCTTTGTTTACCTACTCAAGCCTCAGCAATGGCGGGCGCCCCTCCCCCAGCCTTGCTGCCACCTTGCAGTTTGATCTCAGACTGCTGTGCTAGCAATGAGCGAGGCTCCGTGTGCGTGGGACCCTCTAAGCCAGGCGCGGGATATAATCTCCTGGTATGCAATTTGCTAAGACCATTGAAAAAGCGCAGTATTAGGGTGGGAGTGACCCGATTTGACAGGTGCCGTCTGTCACAGCTTTGCTTGGCTATGAAAGGGAATTCCCTGACCCCTTGTGCTTCCCAGGTGGGGCGATGCCTTGCTTTCCTTTGGCTCACGCTCAGTGCGCTGCACCCACTGTCCTGCACCAACTGTCCAACAAGCCCCAGTGAGATGAACCTGGTACCTCAGTTGGAAATGCAGAAATCACCCGTCTTCTGCGTTGCTTATGCTGGGAGCTGTAGACTGGAGCTGTTCCTATTTGGCCATCTTGGAACCACCCCCATTTCATTTCTTTAGAGTAGATGCCGTTCTATCAAAGGAGAACATATATGAATTAATAACATCTTCAGAAAAAACATGGTACTTTATTTCTTTTTTCTTTTCTTTTTCTTTTTTTTTTTTTTTTTTTTGAGATGGAGTCTCGCTGTCACCCAGGCTAGAGTGCAGTGGCGTGATCTTGGCTCACTGCAAGGTCCGCCTCCCAGGTTCACGCCTTTCTCCTGCCTCAGCTCCCTGAGTAGCTGGAACTACAGGCACCTGCCACCACACCAGCTAATTTTTTGTATTTTTAGTAGAGATGGGGTTTCACCATGTTAGCCAGGATGATCTCGATCTCCTAATCTCATGATCCGCCTGCCTTGGCCTCCCAAAGTGCTGGGATTACAGGCATGAGCCACCGCTCCTGGCTGGTACTTCATTTCTTAGAAAAGTTTAAGTGAGGAACTATGTGTATTATTTTCAAATTCATCATGTGAAAAGTCAGAGTATCATTTCCCTTACTTCATCCAGAAAGAATCGTGTGGGAGCCTCCAATAGGATTCTCATTGCCATAGATCAGCAGTCCCTAACCTTTTTGGCACCAGGGACCGGTTTCATCAAAGACAATTTTTCCATGGACTGGAGTGGTGGGGATGGTTTCAGGGTGATTCAGGTGTATTACATTTATTGTCCACTTTGTTTCTGTTATTATTATATTGCAATATATAATGACATAATTATACAACTCACCATAATGTAGAATCAGTGGGATCCCTGAGCCTGTTTTCCAGCAACTAGACAGTCTCATCTGGGGGTGGTGGGAGACAGTGACAGATCACCAGGCAGTAGATTCTCATAAGGAGCATGCAACCTAGATTCCTCACATGTGCAGTTCACAATGGAGTTTGTGCTCCTGTGAGAATCTAATGTCACCACTGATCTGATAGGAGGTGGAGCTCAGGCAGTAATGCCAGCGATGGGGAGTGGCTGTAAATACAGATAAAGCTTCACTCTCTGGCTCACTCCCCACACACCACTCATCACTCACCTCCTGCTGTACAGCCCAGTTTCTAAGGGGTTGTGGCCCGGGGGTTGAGGACCCCTCCCATAGATGCTGTGGCAGTAACTAGAATCCAGCAATATTAGGGCAAGAACAACATAAAAAATAAAGACATCTTTGTACTTCATGTACAGCTAGTTCTGTTCCTTCATTTGTTGGAAGTCCAGAGCCTTGCCAAGATGCCCGATGGAGGGAGGGACAGGATCTGGGGCAGAACCGGAACCCAGATTCCCTCTCTTGCACTCCTGTGCTCTTTTATGGCACCAGCTGCATCTTGGGTGACATCTGGTTTTGACTTTTGACATTGTAGTTTTGATTTACATTTCCTTCATGGATGATGAGGTTGAGCATATTTTCTTTTTATTTTTTTATTTTTATTTTACTTTAAGTTCCAGGATACATGTGCAGAACATGCAGGTTTGTTACATAGGTATACATGTGTCATGGTGGTTTGCTGCACTTATCAACCTATCACCTAGGTTTTAAGCCCCACATGCATTAGCTATTTGTCCTGATGCTCTCCCTCCCCTTGCTCCCCAACCCCCACAGACCCCCATGTGTGTTTCCCCTCCCTGTGTCCATGTGCCCTGTTGAGCATCTTTTCTTGTGTGTTTTGGCCGTTCTCATTTTCATAAAGCACCTATGCATATATTTGGCCTATTTTAAAAATTGGATTGTTGCTTTTTATTATTGATTTTAAAGAATGTACAATATATTCTGAACAGTAGTCCTTTGTTAGTTACACATATTATGAATTTCTTCTCTTCATCTGTGGCTTAACTTTTCATTTTCCTACCAGTATCTTTCAACATGAACATGTTTTTAATTTTGATGAGGCCCAATTCATCAATTTCCTCTTTTATGTTTGTACCTTTTGTGTCCTAAGAAATCTTTCCCTACTCCACATTTGTAGATTTTCTCCTATGTTTTCTTCTAAAAGCTTTACGATATTAGCTTTCATATTTAAGTCTGTGTTATATCTCAAATTAATTTTGCATGTGGCACGCAATAGAGATGAGATTTTTTTTTCGTAAGGATATTCAGGTTTTGCAGTATTGTTAGTTGAAAAGATTGTCTTTTCATATTGAATTGCCTTGACACATTGGCAAAAACTGATCATTTGTGCGGGTCCACTCAATTCTTTTTATTTTTTCCACTCATCTCTTTTGGGTCCTGATCTGTGATAGCCAACACCAAGGGACTTGCAGAAAATATTTATAGTGCTTTATTAATAATAATCAAATATTGGAAACAACTCAAATGCTCATTAACATAAGAATGAAAAATAGTGGCATATTCATACAATGAAATACTACTCAATAGTATAAAGAGTTACTGATATATGCAAAACACATGAATAAATCTCAAAAGCATTGTTTTAAGCAAAAAACCACACATAAAAGAAGTTCTACCCTATAGTTTCATTTATATGAGGTTCTAGAACAGGCAAAACTGAGCTGTGGTGAGAGAAAGCAAGATGGCAGTTACCTCTGGATGGAGACAAGAAAGGGGCATGGGGAACTTTGGAGGTGTTAGAAATATTCTGTACCTACTGAAGATGTAGGTGACATAGATGCATATATTTGTCAACATCCATCTAACTCGATACTTAAAATTTGTGATTTTATTATGTGTAAATTATACCTCATTTTTTTTAAAAAGAGGAAGAACAAAGGGAAAACAAAGTAAGTCACAGGATATGGAGGTAAATTCTCAGTGGCATCCCTCAAGAAAACCACACCAGCTTCTCAATTTGTCCAAGCATTCTATTTGCCATGAGATTAGATTTCTCCACAAATAATGCTATGTTTGTCTCACAGAGACCCCAACTAAAAGATTGCTTCCAGGAAATATTTGGAAACTACTCAAATGCTCCTTGCAAGGAGACACTCAGGTAATAGTGTAAATTACTTCCCCAGAAACATACACACTCTGAAAGAAAAGCTTACCCTCAAAAGCGTGAGTCAAAATATAGCATTATGTTTCTTGCTGCAACTGGTTAGAGGGATCAAGAAACATAAGACAATCTATGTTGTCTTTCCCACTGCATGCATGCTAAATGCTGAAGGTATGCAGGAGCTTCACATCTTTGAGTTGGAGAGAACCAGTATATCATCCACCCAACATCTCTTCAAACCAGAGTCCCTTCTCCAGCATTCCCACTGAACAGGAATCTGGCCACTGACCTGATCCCACTTGTGAGCTCAATACTTCCCAGCCCATTCTTCTGGAATGACTTTTTGTTTGCTTTCAAGTTCTTAGCCATCTTTTTTGTTTAATTTTTAATTTTTTATTTATTATTATTATACTTTAAGTTTTAGGGTACATGTGCACAATGTGCAGGTTAGTTACATATGTATACGTGTGCCATGCTGGTGCGCTGCACCCACTAACTCATCATCTAGCATTAGGTATATCTCCCAATGCTATCCCTCCCCCCGCCCCCAAACCCACAACAGGCCCCAGAGTGTGATGTTCCCCTTCCTGTGTCCATGCGTTCTCATTGTTCAATTCCCACCTATGAGTGAGAATATGCGGTGTTTGGTTTTTTGTTCTTGCGATAGTTTACTGAGAATGATGATTTCCAATTTCATCCATGTCCCTACAAAGGACATGAACTCATCATTTTTTATGGCTGCATAGTATTCCATGGTGTATATGTGCCACATTTTCTTAATCCAGTCTATGATTGTTGGACATTTGGGTTGGTTCCAAGTCTTTGCTATTGTGAATAATGCCACAATAAACATACGTGTGCATGTGTCTTTATAGCAGCATGATTTATAGTCCTTTGGGTATATACCCAGTAATGGGATGGCTGGGTCAAATGGTATTTCTAGTTCTAGATCCCTGAGGAATCGCCACACTGACTTCCACAATGGTTGAAGTAGTTTACAGTCCCACCAACAGTGTAAAAGTGTTCCTATTTCTCCACATCCTCTCCAGCACCTGTTGTTTCCTGACTTTTTAATGATTGCCATTCTAACTGGTGTGAGAAAGGATTCCCTATTTAATAAATGGTGCTGGGAAAACTGGCTAGCCATATGTAGAAAGCTGAAACTGGATCCCTTCCTTACACCTTATACAAAAATCAATTCAAGATGGATTAAAGACTTAAACGTTCGACCTAAAACCATAAAAACCCTAGAAGAAAACCTAGGCAATACCATTCAGAACATAGGCATGGGCAAGGACTTCATGTCTAAAACACCAAAAGCAATGGCAACAAAAGACAAAATTGACAAATGGGATCTAATTAAACTAAAGAGCTTCTGCACAGCAAAAGAAACTACCATCAGAGTGAACAGGCAACCTACAAAATGGGAGAAAATTTTCGCAACCTACTCATCTGACAAAGGGCTAATATCCGGAATCTACAATGAACTCAAACAAATTTACAAGAAAAAAACAAACGACCCCATCAAAAAGTGGGCAAAGGACATGAACAGACACTTCTCAAAAGAAGACATTTATGCAGCCAAAAAACACATGAAAAAATGCTCACCATCACTGGCCATCAGAGAAATGCAAATCAAAACCACAATGAGATACCATCTTAGCCATAATTAACTAGCAATTTTCTTCCTAGTATCTTTAACCTGTCAGTCACTTTCTTACCTTCAGAAAAAGGAAAGGACAGCTCCACACAGCTCCCTACCTGCACTCTTCTTCGAGTCAAGGGAGGCCAGGCTGTTCATTTGATCCATCCTTTTTCAACACCACTTCTTGCCTTATGAGTGCTGCAGAAATATCGACCAATGAAAAGAAAAATATCCTCATTTATGAAACAGGAACCTCCAGGTCTTAACTACTATCCTTGGAATGAAGTCAGCTGCAAAGCCAAGGAATAACTGGACAGTGAAAAAGGACCTTTTAACCTCAAAATATCAACCCTTGCTAAGGCTTTTCTTTCACGGCGATAACTTCATCCGTATAAGGAATCAAGGGGCTTCCCTCTTCAAAGACCCCCTTTTAACGTGTGGAATTTCCCAAGTAAAGTCATATATTCATCTGTTTTTTAACATCTTATTTTTCATGTTAATTTGCTGTTCATAACACACTTCCATGTGTTACCTGATTTGACCCTCAACCAGGAGCTCATACAGAAGAGAAAGTATTATTATTGTTATTATTATTATTACTACTACTACTTCCACCTATCTTTTTGGAAGATAAATCTCAAGCAGTTATATGGCTCACCCAGACCACCAAGATGGGCAGTTTCAGAGCGGGAACTAAAGGACAAGTCTTCCCATAGCAGGTTGTGTGCTCTTCCCATATGCCAAGGCACCTGGCCCTCACTATTCAAGTGGAGATTGCTTTCTGTGACAGCAGAAATAGAATGCAGGACCAGTGCCTGGGAAAGGCAAGAAGAGTGCATGGGCTGTTGTGTTAGGGGTAAGGAGAAGGGGCTTATGACACGAGGGAAGGGAGGACCAGGCCCACCTTCACTTGCACAAGTTTTGCCAAGCATATCTGTCCTCTGAGAAACTTGCATACACTAGATGTATAGAATGTGATTGTAGCCACAACTACTTCACCAAGTCTTCCAGGCCGGCAGGTGAGTCAATTGATTCCTCTAGTACCAACTGATAAAAACCCAACTCAAATTGCCCTGGAGAGCAATGTCCAGAGGGGCCCAAACAACGTTACAAAGCCTCGGTGCTTTTGCCAATGTCACTCAATCCTCCTCTGTTGTCTCCATACTCAAGATTTTGTCTCCTTTTGCAGCAAGTAGCTCCAACTTAAAGCCTCTCAGGTTCAAGTTCAGCAGAGAAAAAAAATAAAAAGAAATAAGAATGTATATATACATATATTCATACACACACACACACACATTTTTTTCCAATAACTTCTTCAAAAAAATCCCTAGATTTTTCCTAATTAGACCAGCTTGGGTCCTGTGGCTATCGCAGCTGGAGTTTGCAGTGCAATTATGCTGATTGGATTAACTCTGGGTCAGAGATCCATCCCTCAAACCAAGAGAATTAAGAGTGAAGAAGGGGTATATCTTTAACGTCATGTGCTGTTACCAGAAGGGAAAAGGGATGTTTGGAAGACAAGTTTCAGCTACCCACCACATGGCTCTCCCTAGAAGATAATCACCATTACAACAGGACCTTTGTCATGTTCACTGCTATGTCCCCTAGAAAAATACCTGGCACAGAGTAAGAATTCAGCAAATATTAATATTTGTTGTATGAATAAATAAATGAATGAGCTTCAAGCACTGAGGGAATCTGCCAAATAGGGCGTTATGTAATTTTGTTTTGCTCCTCTCTTCCCTTGTCCAAACAAGGAAGAGGTGGGTCCCCAGTACCTCCAGTGGCTATCCTAGGTCATGTTAAACTCACCTGTCTGAAAGTCTGTTTGCCGGTTGAACTTAAATCAGACAGCCCATATTATTTTCTATCATGGTGCAGGTAACATTGATGAATTTCACAAGTTAATATATATATGAAGACTGCATCTTAGAGCCCAACTTCTAAAAAAAGTCATTTTTACTCTTTATTCCCCTCCAAAGATACTAAAAGTCTGCTGCTGGGTAGCAACATGCTTACAGCAGTGACGGATGGATATACATATATGTTGACACAGTGATCCCAGACAGCACTGCCAATGACTGATAGCACAGGCCACCTGGATTTCCAAAGGTTTTGCCCTGTGGATGTAGAGTCTTTGCAGACCTAGAACATAAAGCTGCCTCCCTCCTGGGAATAAAGCTTGCCTTAGCTGACCTGATACTAATCAATTTCTCCAAATATGACTCTCAAAGCTATGGGGTTCACGAATCATGATGTATGTACAATGCTGGGATTTTAGGGGCTACATGAAGCCCCAAGAAATTGCTTGTAAAGTTTGGGGTATTTGTTTATATTTCTCGTAAGTCCATAGTTTTTCATGTTATTCTCAGAAAGCTTCATAGAAAAAAAAAAGTCAAGAATCTCTGCTTTTATAATTATCACATCAAATTACCTATGACCCCCTTAAAACTTCATCAGCAGCAATTCCAGGACTGCCCCAGCTGCATTAGATGACACTTTTTAAAACAGTTCCAATTGAATAATAGAGATTTCCTACCATGATCAGACTTGGAATCAGGTCCAGCCAGGTATCTGAACCCTGTCTATCAAAATATTCAACCTAGCAAGGGCCTCTGAACATGATGAAAGAGGAAGGACGTGGCCTTGAGCAGGGCAGTGGGCCCATCCAGGGTGCCCCTGAAGTCTGGCATTTCAAAATACTGTCTGTAATGAAGTCTCTCTCCACAAAAAAAAAAAAAATGACTCATCTCCCCAGGATAGATATCCTCAAGGCTTTTCCTGTGCCATCCGCATTTACTTGCCTCATCTCCTCTATTAGGACCCTAGAGACATTTATGTGAGATTCTGAAGACTGGGTGAGCATAAGAATGATCAGTCCAGACAAAGAGATGGCATTTGATGACCAGCTGCCAGTGACCCCTTTCTTGAGGTTTCTTGATTCAAGGATAGTGGACACATATTACTCCTCCAGTGAGCTCAGCATCCATTTGCCCTTCCTATGCTAATAGTTCCTAATTTTCTTCTGGGGACCACTGCAGTGTAAGACTTAAAATTAAGGTCCAATGTTGTTTTGCCTTGACATCTGGTGAAACTGGGAGGGGCTTGAATGGCCTAACTACAAGTTTCCCTCTCAACTCTGCTCCCATGGATAAGGTCCCCTAGCCAAACGGCCCTCCTTACAAATGGGACAAGAAGCAGTTTCTACTTATCCCAAGTGTCAGGTTTCCGTTCCCGACCAGCCTGAGAGTTACTCAAACAGGCCAATCACGTCCTCCCCCAAGAAACCAGGGGTCACCCCATGCCCTTGATACTACAAAGCCTGCCTCTCACAGACCCTAATTGTTCACTGTTCTCAAGTGTAGCCTCCATGTCACCCTGCATAGCATGCAGCATCCTCCTCCCCCAGGCAATAAACTGGTGTTCATTTCACGTGTCCGGTATCAGGACTCATGTGCCAGCCATTCCATAACAGCCCTCCCTTGCCAATGAGGTGAATAGGAGGTGACTAAGACAACAACCCCTCCATGACTCTCAGATCCGATGCTTCTAGTGAAGCTGACCTCACTTCTGGCTTCAGGGATGTGTATCTGCCTTGGGCCTAGCCAATTAGAGTGGACATTCAACCAGCCACAGTGATTGGTTCAGGGATGGACACATGACCCACTTAGAGCCAATGAGATGCAAGACAATTCCTCCTACTGCTGAGAAAGGCCCTCTTTCTTCTCCTTTGGACTTAGACCCTAGAGGATGTGGGACTACAGCAGGAATCTTGTCACCACGTAGATCCTGAGAATTAAGTTAATATGGAGGAGAGCAGACATAAGACTTGGAGAGATTAGGCTCTACTGACACCATATGGGGCCCCGAGGCAAGCTGTGCGTAAAGCCACTAATACTTGGACTTACAGTTATATGAGCCACTGCCTTCCTGATTTTGTGTAAGACGGGTTGATCTGGGTTGTTTTTTTTTTTTTTCTGTCATTGAGACCTGAGTGAATCATTAAAATGTATTGTATCAACCACAGAGTACTTGCCAAATATCTACCATGTGGCAAGCACCGTTGAGGGATATGTGGGGGACACGGGAGGTATAGAGGCTACAAGGGCTTAGTTAGGAGAGCAAGATCAGTATCCACAAAGCAAGAGGCTCATGACTAAGTGCCACCTTAAAGGGCACAGATACTGGCAAGAGGAAGGAGAGAGTGGTGGCTTTGGAGATGTCCTTCGTCGGCTGAAGAATAAAGTTCCATTCTGGAGTGACTCACTCTCTCCTTTGCCCTGTAGTGATCCATGTGCATGATGAGGTATTGCCAGCAGAGAAAAGAAGGGAAGAGTGATGTCAGGACAAAGCTGACCCCTTCCCATCTTACCTGAAGTTCATCTCCTTATTCAATTCACAGGTCTGTTTTAGAACTTTCCAGGATGGAAGATGTTCTGACACTTGAGTAATAAGTGATATTCACAAGACGTTTTCCCCTATTCCATGCATAGGGTGCTAATGAGAACAGGTGCCATAGCTCTTCTCCTCCCAACCTTTGTCAAAGTCGTACGGTAACAGTCCTCCCCCTTTCAAGTTTCATATCATCATTAGGTCTAATGTTATGCTTTGGTCTAATGTTATGTTTTTCCTTGTGTAGATTAAAGACCAACAATGTCTTTAATCTACACAAGGAAAAAGCCAGAATGGAGATGTGGTAACTCAGACCATACCAATAACCTAGAAGTTTTGCTTTAGTTGTGTCTGCTGAGTTGAAGCAGAAGTTTAATAAATAGGCCAAGGTCACAGTTGGCCCATCAGGAAGGACAGCCAGCTATCCCTTTAATCGCCAACAGCTGTCTCCAAAGCAGGACCCTCCCCCAATCCCACCCCCTGAAACCAGGTTAGGGAGGGAGGATGTTGAGTGGATCAGCCACTGGTCATTGACTGAAACACAGGGTAGGAGCACATCCCACAGGGGATGGGTCTGCACTAGCATTGGAAATAGAATTCAAATCATGTAGATCTGTTTTTTCCTGATTTTTTTCATTTTCAAATATGTTAAATTTACAGAATAGCACAGTGAACATCCATACCTAGATGCACCAAGTATTAACACTTTTGCCACATTCTCCTCTTTCTTTCTTCTTTCTCTCTCTCTCACTATATATATACACACACACACACACACACCTGTGCATGTATGTGTGTGTATCTATGTCCATATATATTTCTTTCCTGAATCATTTGAAAATATATTGACAACATTATGACATTTTAACCCCCAAAACTTCAGCATGAATCTCCTAAGGATTTTTTCCTACATAACAACAATACCACTATTAAACCTAAGAAAAATCAACAATAATCCCATAACATTATCCAATATCCAGTCTATACTTAAACGTCTCCAAAATACATTTGATTATTCATAAAAAATTTGACTCAGCCTATGTCATTTAGTTACTATGTCTCTTTGGCCTCTTTTAATCCCACCTCCCATTTTATTTCGTGATGTTGAAATCTTGAAGAACTCAGGCCACTTGTCTTGGGGAATGCCAAGACTGTCAGAACCACATTCTGGATTTATCTGATTGCTTCCTCCTGGGGGCATTTAGCTTGTTCCTTTACCTCCACCCCTGGGCAATCCCATCGAGCTGGGAGTTTAGTCCACAGACTTGGTTGGATTCAGGTTAAGCATCCTAGGCAATAAAACTTCATGGGACATCTGAGCATCTTATGTTGCATCACATCAGGTGCTCATAATGCCAGGCTGGTCCAACAGCCACCCACCCACCCCAAGTTGTCCCCCATCTCCATGACAGCCACATACAACACCCAGAGGTCTTGCAGCCAGGAGTCTGCCTAACCTGGGTTCCAACCCCACTCTGACACCACAGGACCTTGGGGACAGGACTCAATCTCTCTGAGCCTCAGTTTCTCTACTTAGCATCTCTTAGCTAGTACTGTACTTTTGGTCTTAGTTTCAAATCCAGACCCTGAGGAGACTCCTTTGTTCCAGGGAATCCACTGGAAACATCAGAGAGAAATCCAGCTGTTCCCTATTTGACTCTAAAGCAAGTAAATTAAAAATAAATAACCCAACTAGTTGCATATCTGTCTGTAAACGTCAGTTCCCGCCCATCAGGTTATTTTTGTAGTGGCTTTTTTTTTTTTTTTTTTTCCTGAGAAGGAGTCTTGCTCTGTCACCCAGGCTGGAGTGCAGTAGTACCATCTCGGCTCACTGCAACCTCCACCTCTGGGGTTCAAGAGATTCTCCTGCCTCAGCCTCCCAAGTAATTGGGATTACAGGTGCACACCACCATGCCCAGCTAATTTTTGTATTTTTAGTAGAGATGGGGTTTCATCATGTAGACAGGCTGGTCTCGAACTCCTGACCTCAGGTGATCCACCCACCTCTGCCTCCCAACGTGCTGGGATCACAGGCATCAGCCACTGCACCCAGCCTTTTGTGGTCTTTACTGTAAACACAATTCCAAAAAAATTACTAGTAAAGAGAACAATTTGGGGATGTTGAACTTCTATCAGAAATAGATACTGCATATTCTGCTCATTGAATGACCTGTTTTAAACATAGGGAACATGATTGTACACAATTCATCAGTTTTTTAGTTGAATCCTATGAGCATCATGTAGACAAAAAGATAAATGAGCATCATGTAGACAAAAACTTTCCCAGAGGGGAAAGTTTCTCATTTTCAGTGTTTCCTCATCTGTGCCATTAACAACAGCTAATAAATTTGTGTAGTGGAGCAGGAAGTGTGCACATTTTGCAATTAGACCCATCAGAAACGAGGTCTTGATGTAGCCTTTGGAGTCTGACAGACCTGGTTCGAAGCCCAGCTCTGCCACTCCATCACTGGGTGGCCTCAGGCAAGTGACCTAATCTCTCCGTATTCCAGTTTCTATAAAATGGTGATAAAAATTACACCTGCCTCGCAGAGTTTTGGGGCATGCAGCAAGATGAAGCACGTAAGCACTGAGCACAGGGCATGGCACATGGCCTGTGCTCAGCAAACAGAGCAGCAGGTATTATTTTGGGGATGATTTTATTGCCAGGAGCAGAGTGGATAGGCAGAAAGGTTCATTCCACTAAGCCACCTTGGTGATTCTCAGCCAGTCTCTTCCGCAGTTTGGCTTTGCCTCTGTGTCCATCTGTCTCCTCTGGAGCTGTTCAACTGAAGGAGGAAGGAAGGGGCTGTCATTTCTGCAGGCTGCATGCTAGAATGAGAGGGTTTTAAACCTGGTTCAAGGGCCTCTAGTCAAGCAGGTGGTGTTGTAAAATATATTTTAACCACTTCAAAAACTGTAATAAAAAAGAACATATGCCTCCTTGAGCGGCATGCTAAATTTTAACAGACTTAGAGCTTGACAGTGCATGAACTGGTGCAGCCACATAAACTCATTTTTGTACAAACTTTGGGGGAAAAAAAACCCACCTTCCATCTCTATGTAAGTCTGGCCTTCATATAAAGGTACTGGTAAGTGGGAGTGTGGCAAGCCGCACTGGTGATTTTGAAATTTCTGGCCTCTGCACATCTCCTTGCATCAAATGCACAAGTGAGCGCAGCATTCACTTCCCAGTGTTTGCCCTTGTCACCGTGAAACAGTCAGTTGTGCAGTGACAGGTGAATGTACAAACATTCATGCCATGCAAACTGTGCAGCTGTCCCACTAGGTTAACATCGGATGCTGGAGGCAGGTTGTGCTTCTCTCCAAAGGTTCTACCGCTTCTTGCTTAAGATTTGAAGAGTGGAAACGGTTATTAGATTCTGTTAATGGTCCAATTCTGAAAACAATGACTATCCATCTCTCATGCTTCTGGAACATTTTTACTGAAGAATATATACTGTGATTGCAAAGCAAGATCTCAAATATGTATTGTTAGTATTTGTAACTATCTGTGTGAAAATGGAATTTTTTTTTCTCTTCCATACAATCCAAATCACATACAGAAGGGAATGGGAAGGAAGAGTGAGAGGAAAATAAGGTAACATCTAGCAGGCATAATAATGTCTTAGCTTGGGTTCCTCTAGAGGCCATTCCTAAGCAAGGGCACAAGTGCTTGGAGCTTATTTGGGCAGCGATCCAGGGAGCCCAGAGGGCAAGTGAGGAAATAACACATGGAAGGGAGAAAAGGCAATACAAGGCGCATTGCAAGCAGGTGACCCCTGTGGGCAGATGAGACTTATTCCTGCTGGGGAAACACAGCAGTGTCTCAGAATCATCCCCTAGCCCCAGCCCCACCTGGAGCCATGGTTTTCATTCACCAACTTCTGTCGGTTTGTAGAGAGCCACTTCTGGGGATCCAAGAAGATAGCTCCTGGCACATATAGCCTTCCCTGAACTCCAGCCAAGCAGAGGACAACAGCCAGAGAAAGCCCTTAAAAAAAGTTACAGGTGCTTGCAGCTGGCAGCTGAGACTGGCATGGAAGAGGTGGTGAATACTGAGGGGTAGGGATAGGGCAGGGTGGTATTGGCAAGGCATGAATATTATCTGTCACTCTCCCCTCTCTCCCGTCTCCTCCACTTTTAGTGACAGCTAGCAATGCTGTGTGCCAGGCGCCTTATCTATATTACCTCACGTGATCCTCGCACCAATCCATGAAAAAGGTGCTATTTCTATTCCCATTTTACAGATGAGGAAACTGAGGCTTGGAGAGGTTAAATAATTAGCCCCTGATGCCATCTTATAAACTATAGCTTCAGCATCAAACCTGGAGCCATCTGACCTCAGAATCCTTGCTGTTTCATCACTCCACCATCAGTTTTATTTGTTCTCATGTGTAATGCTAACTAATTGGTTATTCCATCTTTCTCTCCCATGCAGATTGAAACAAAAAATGCCAGACAGACATGCGGCAGCTGTGTCTCAGCACGCAGGGACGACGGGCAATCTCACTGCAATGCTGCATGGCCTAATGATGAGTACGCAATGCAAGTGATCGTGCAAAGGTTAAGTAGTGTTCAACACCTCCTCTTTTAAAAGGAACAGGATATGATGTGGTTTCTGAAAGAGTTCCCACAAGAATCATAAGAGACGTTCAGGTTTGTGCTTCGGAAGAGTCTATTTCAATGATCTGGATTATCCATTTCTTGGCAGTGCTGGGCAAATGAAGTGTTACCTTCCTCATTACAGAAGCTCTAAGCCAGCTGGACTGGTTTCAGAACTAGAGAGCAGATGTGGCTGAAGGGCCTGCAGAGGGGATCCTTGTGGTGCATTGGCAAAGTCCCACTCCAGGAGGAGGGCTGAAGCCCGTACTGCAGGTTTCTCCGGCCCCACAGTTCCTAGAATCGCTGTCATGGGAGGGAAGGCTGGTTTTAGGGGGAGGCTGCAAGACCAGATTAAATTAAGGGGGGAAGTGGCATGAACAGAACACACCTCCTTTTATCTTCAAAGCCGTTTTCAAAAACTGAATTCAGAAACAGCCTAGCCTCCTGGGAGGCACTCCATGGGAGGGCTTCTGCAGGCCAGTTTTAAAGAGAGGAGTGAGGTTCAGACACCTGCGGGGGTCAGAACCAGAAGGAAAAAATGTCTCCTCTGAAGCAGGTGCTCTGTTCTGACTACCCGCCACTCTTCCAGAGAGTTCTACAACTTTGCAAGCCCACCCTTCAAAGGGAGCAGATCAACAATGATTCCTTTGAGACACAGCCTTGAAAATGGGATGTATACAATACTACCGTTCTCATCTGACTTCTTGTTCCTACAGATTAAGTGGCATGGGGCAGGGGTGGAATTTCTATGAATTGCTCAATAACAAGCCCTGCCTCTAGGGTGCAGGTCATCACTACCTAGTGACTCTCATATCCATAGCATTATAAATCGGTCAAATGATAAGCCTGCACCCTATGCCTCTTACTTGAACATCAAACAGGATTCACCAGGAGGTCTCTTCCACTCTACCTTGGTTTAGCCGACCCTAAGATTACTCACTGGAAACAAAGCAATTGGAACACACAGGGAGCAACATTTAATGCAAAAGCCTGAAGCTGACAATAATATTACCCTCTCCAATCCCATCAGCATCAACAGAATCATCCTCTTCTGTGGTTTCAAATCATCCAATGGAATTTTTAGGTCTCAATCAACTGAAATTTGAAAAAAAAATCACCTACAGGATGTGTTAAACTTCTACTTGTAAGAGTCCATGTGAGGACTTATAAATCAATGAACTACATGAGAAAATTCCAGAAATGTTAAGAGCTTAGCCAGTGATTCTGGGAGTTTAACCATTCGCTCAGCTCGTCTCCTGCTGAGTGTCACTCAAGCAACCCAACAGCCACTTGCCAGCTCTAGAATATCAGAACAGACTGGGAAGGGGGAGGTGAGAAAGAAGTTTTATGTATATATATATACACACACACACACACACACATATATATATATATACATACACACACACACACACACACACACATACAATGAAATATCAATCAACCTTAAAAAGGAAGGAAATCCTGACATATGCAGCAACGTGGGCGAACTTTGAAGACATTATGGTAAGTGAAAGAAGCCAAATCACAAAAGGATAAGTATTGCATGATTCCATATATATGAGGTACCTAGACTAGTCAAATTCATAGACACAGGGAGTAGAATGATGGCTACCAGGGGAGAGGAGATGGGAGAATGAGGAGTTAGTGTTTAATGGGTCTGGAGTTTCAGACTGGGAGATGGATGGTGGAAAGTTACACACTACGGATGTGATTACTCCCATAAAACTGTACATTTAGAAATTGTTAAAATGATAAATGTTATTTTATATGTATCACCACAATACAAAAAAATCCCTACTGGAGGGATTTCCCATCTTGATGTCTTTACATTGACCAAGGCTCCAAGCACAGCAATGATCCACAGCAACCCTCAGAGCTCACATTGTTGACTATTGTAATCATACCCTGCTTTCCCGCTTGCATTTTTCACCTTCTCGTTTTCTCTGGCTGACAACGCGTTATTTCTTGGCAACTGACTATTCTATGTCAGAAGCCCCATGGAGTAGACATTCCACTGGATGTAAGAAGTTGGGAGAAAAAAATTTTTTTAAAAGACCAGTTTATAATAGCATAATACTCTAGGCTTCCTATTTTAAAGAATCTGGCAAAGAAACTCATATTGGGTTCTTTTTTTAATATAGAAAACTAAAAGTTCTGATTCATTTTAGCCAAAGATTTTAGGCACATATAATATTATGCTCATAACTTAAGAACAATTTATATAATTTTTCATAATGTGCAAAGAATGAAAAAGATCAAACAGGGAAAGTGACTTAATGTCTTTGAAGCTCTCTGTATTATAAATTCATCCTTCTTTGCAACACCATCACTCATCTCGATCTGGCAGCATTTTTCACTTTCTTCCTGTCAAAAGAGACTGTTGCTGCAGCAAAGAGTTACACAGATGATACTAAAGCAGTAAAAACAAAGGAACATTCTCCTTTAAAAAGAAACGGAAGCAGGATTCCCGAAAGTGTATCCCGTGAACTATCAGCATCAGAATCACTAATGTGCTTAATAAAAATGCAGACATCCTGCTGAATCAGAATCTCTGGGAATGCAGGCCTGGGTCTGCTTTTTATTAAATAAGGTCCCCAGTAACTACGGGAAGGCCTGACTGAGGCAAGCTCATGGAGAAAACTAAGTTCATTTTTGAGTCTTGAATCAAAGGCTGGCTTGTGAGGAGCAGAGACATGGGGCTCAGTGCCTGTCTGACTGCATAGCCCCCCCGTCCCCATCATGGATGCCGCATCCATTCTCCCTCATGACCCCAATATCCTCATTTCCAATATCCTTCCCATATCCTTAGACTCAACATTGGTTGGCTTTGAAGGGGAGAGCGGATCACTGTTCCCCTAAGGACACTGAGTGGATGAAGACAATCTGGTCATGGTCATGAAGACAATCGGCCATTGGATGATAGCCAATCTGGTGCTGGAACCTCAGTGGTACTCTCTGATGGGTCTCACCACTGTGGGGGTTGCCCTGCCTGGAGCCATCAAGGTCCATCCCTCACTCAACCACAGCCCCTGCCCCAGATGCCCTGGGTAGCCAAACCAGTGTCTGTAAACTGTAAACAGATCTTGGTCTTAAGTAACTTTTAACCATTGCTTGTGGCTACCTGGAGGGCTGTGGCCAGTGACTTCTGACAGCTGAATCAGAAACTTGCCTTCATGGATTTGCAATGTCTGAATGGGCTGGGGTGGGGCAAGGACAGCCTCAGATTGCCAGAACACCATCTCTGCTCTTTCATTGCTTTTAAGACAGTATTTTTCATACTTCAGTGAATTATTTACTTATATAAAAATACATGTACTTGTATTTATTTACAAGTACTTATGTAGTACTTTCTATATTCCAGACAGTCTTCTAGGGGTCTTATAAATATTAACTCTTTTAATCTTTATAACAATATTGAAGCAGAGGTTGTTTTTATCTTCATTTTTTAAGTGAGGCAACTGAAACACAGAGAGGTTGAGAACTTTGCCCACAGTTGCACAGCTGGTAAATGGCAGAGCCAAGGCAGTCTGTCTTCCTAATTTGTGTCAAGCTGTTTATATGGGGTATATATAAGTTAATGGCAAAATAAAGCATATCAATAAAAACAAACAATGTATTAAATTCTGGTTACTGTTGCCTATCCTGAGTCTTACTTTCTGTTTGTTGAAGGGGAGATTAAGGAGTGTTTTTAGAGGCATTAAAGGAAATAGCACAAAACTGATGCCTTCTCATTGACATAATTGGAACTGAAAGAGAACTGCAAAGTGAGTAACTTTCTTATTTTGTGGGTCAATGTTATTTAACACCACAACAGAGCACAATTTATGGTACCTGTTAGGGAGAAAATGTGCTGATAAATTATCACTTTTGTGCCATAAGTGTCAGAGGGCAGTTTGTTTTCTCATAGTTTCAACCTCTTCTTGATAACCCTGTGTGCTGATGCTTTGTTGGAAAGATCTTATCTTTTTTTGCACAAACTGTCTTAGCCCTAGTCACGTGATTAGAAAATCCCTATAAGTTGGGTCTAAATTAACCAAGCCTTTATGGTTGAATATTTCCAATCAACACACGATCAGCAGTTAATAGGGATCTAGGATGGTGGTTCTTAACTTGAGGTCTCTGGACCAGTAGGATGGGCATCACCCAAGAACTCTTTAGAAATCCATATTCTCTGAGCCACCCTAGGCCTACTAAATTAGAAACTGTGAAATAGGGCCCAGCAATCTGTGTTTGAATAAAGACCTTCAAGTTCAAAAAATCTGGTCTTTAAAAAATAGGCAAACCTAGTACACAACCATAGTAAAAATTTCATGGAAATTTCTTGTCATGAGTTAGATTTTTAAGAGCTTATATGGAATCAAATCCTGCCTCTACAATTTACTGCTTATGTGACCTTCGGCAAGTCATTTAACCTCTGTAAATCTCAGTTTCCTTTTCTGCAAAATAGGAACGATAAGACCTGATATATAGGGTGTTACCCAGTAAATTAATAATGCATGCAAAGGCTGAACAGTGCATAGTATATGACAAACACTCAAGATATGTTTGTCACTGGTATCATTACTCTTACCATCATTATTGGTGCAACAGCACTTGATGAGAAGTATTTTAAAAGGAAAAGGAGGCCAAGCATGGTGGCTCATGCCTGTAATCGCAGCACTTCGGGAGGCTGAGGCGGGTGGATCGCTGGGGGTCAGGAGTTCAAGACCAGCCTGGCCAATATGATGAAACTCCATCTCTACTAAAAAAAATACAAAAATTAGCTGGGCCTGGTGGGTCACACCTGCAATCCCAGCTACTTGGGAGGCTGAGGCAGTAGAATCACTTGAACTCAGGAGGTGGAGTTGCAGTGAGCCGAGATCACACCACTGCACTCCAGCCTGGGTGACAGAACAAGACTCTGTCTCAAAAAAAAACAAAAAACGGAAAAAGATTGTCAGTGAGTCACAGATGAGAATTCTAAGACAGGAAGAGGTATTCCAGCTCGGCAGCTCAGAGGGTAACTAGGCAAGGATTGTAGACTGAATCCATCTTGTTCAAAATATGTGACTGCCTACTCAAACTCTTCCTCCCACTAGCCTACTACTAACTAGAAACATCTACATTCCTCTCTCTGAAGATCCCTAGAATGCAGAAATGGTCCTTTCACTAGGTATTTCCAGCCAGATTCTTCTCAACTAAGGAAAGATAGGAAGAGAAAGAGTTGGGGAGGGAAACGGGGTGGCAAGGAGAACAGGCAGGATAGGGGCAGGGAAGAGTAAGAAGGGTGGACCACTCCTAGGCAGATCTCAGCTCTTCTTCCACCCCACCCCCTCTCCAAGGCCCCTCACCTCTTGCAGCCCCCATGCCCTGCCTTTAAAATGTGTAACTCTCGTTTCCTTAATGTTCCCCCATGCAGGCTGGAGTTTTGTAATCCAAGCTTTACTAAAACCAAAGGAGAGGAAAAAGAAAAAAGAAAAAGAAGCCTGAAGAAATAAAAGAAACAAACAAAATCCAGAAAACAAGTGGTGCACTCTGAGGACTGGGGTTTGATCCTACAATAGTAGCACAACAAGGACCTGCTAATTGATTTTCTCCATTAAAATGTAATCAGAGGGCTATCCAAATAGAAATGCCATCATCCCAGGGGAGCCCAAGTTGATAGGCAGATTTTTTTCTCTCTCTCACCTGAAATTCTACCCCCAGATCACATATCTTTAATCTTACTCCTACTTGCTCCTTTGGGCTAAGTCAACCAAAGGCAGGTAAGATCAGGACACCTGGCACAGAGGTGACTTGAGAAGATGTGAAAGATGAGAAAGAGTCCATCTGATAGAAGATGAGACAAAAATGAACAACAACTGAGTACCTAATATGTGCCAGGAATCTTAATTAATCCACATAACAAGTCAACAAGGCATTAATAAAAATAGCTATTGTTATTGAGTACTCACTATGTGTCAAGCATTGTCCTCAGCACTTCACGTAGCTTCATGAATTTAACCCTTATCACGACTTCATGAACTACATATTATTATGATGCCCCTTTTTCAGATGAGGAATTTGAGGCATGAAGAAATTAAGAATCGGGTCCTAAGTCATACAGAAGCAAACAGCAGAGCCTGGAGTTGAACCCAGGCACTCTGACTTGAAAATCCACCCTTTTAAGCAATGTCCTTGTAGGAAGAAAGACCAACAATACTACAAAGGTACAGAGGCCTGAGGATGAACAGATATCCAGAAAGAGTCAGGAATTAGTCAGGAAAGTTCCTCAAATGTTGAGAAAATGTTATGGTTTCAGGTTCAGGAGATTGTTTGCATGAGATAAAGAGGATGGAGCTGCCCTGAGGCTTGAGGCAGGTGCAGAAAAAGAAAACTCAATTACAAAGGGGGAAAAAAAATTGAGACCTGAAGAAGATGAGCTGCTATAGCAAGAGCTACATCAGGAGTCTTGGTTGTAAGGAAGAGAAGCCAGATCTAACTACCTTAAGTAGACAAGCAGTTTTTTGGATGGATTTCTATCAGTGATAGAAAAGAAAAAGAACCAGACTTAAAAAGCAAAAGCAGGCAAGAACAAGTGAGATCAAAGCAGCAGAAATTGCATCATGGTCACACCCAAAAAACAGTTCAGTTAGGACACTATCCCTGTGCACTTAACTGTGACCTGTCCCTGATTCTGCTACCATGGCTTTGAGTGACTGCTCAGTATACCCTCATTGGTATGCCACACCCCCAGGTGGGGCATCAGATTGAGCCAGGGTCCATGTCCCATTGAGCTTCTAGAATCTCTGGCAGAATCCTTTCTGCCATCAAGAGTCACACAACACAAGATTAATTATCCTATCCCTTCTCCTCCAGAACCCACAGCATCCATGGCAGCTTGAACAAAGATGCTCCTGTGCAAGTTTAGCTGAGATCCTGATGACCAGCTAGCCTGCATGCCATAGTACACAAACAGCTAGAAAGGTGTCCAAGAGAGAAGGGAACCAACATGCCTTCCGTCTCATTAGATATTTTAGCTTTAAAGACTTTTTCCTTGGGAGTTGTCATCAGCCTTGTGACAAATTCTCCTTCACTCAGAAAGACTCCAAAACCTTGAGGTCCAATGTCATCCAGATGACAAGGTTCTTATTATAAGTGATAGATGAGCAGTGGTCGACAAGGATGACCAAATGCTCCTGGAGTCAGCAGGCTGCAAACACCTCTGCCTCGTGACCCCTGTGAGCACATTGCTCTTTGAGTGACACGCGGAGGAACTGTAATAGGGGAAGGTGCTGGAGAGTAGGGGAAATTCATGCCTGTCTGCTGATCTCATATCCACAGAAGAAGTCCCCGAGACTGTAATACTTTCTTTTTCATCTGAGCGAGGGTTGGACCTGCATCCAAATTTCCTTGTCTACACTTGTGATGACCTGAAGATCACGGTGTAAACACTATGGCAGTGATCCACTTTGCCAAGCTCCCAAAGCTCTCCTATGTTGCAGGTTCATCTTTTTGCTTATTTCCAATTTGTCACTGGAAGGTCAGACAATGAGTCACTAAGCAGGATGCTATGAACATACTGAGTGCTTAAAGAATCTGGCAGCTGAAACCAAGGCAGAATGTGCACATTACGGAGAGAGCACAATTAGCACTGTGACTAAGAACCAAGCGGCTGACCAAGGGTGACAACAAAGGGAAACTTTTAATGATGAGATTTAATTTCCAAGGAAAAACCTCTAGAAAATTATAAACGCAGTAATTTGATTTAATCATCTGCATTTGAATAGCTCTGCATGAGCAACACATTTAAACATTTATAAAATTAAGATGCTAAAATTAATGTTGAGCTATTATAGAAGTGCTCATAATTGTCCAATGATCGTGCATAATTAAATAGCAATCTCCAACATTGCAGGATGGGGCCCCATTCAATGAAACTGTCAAGAGCCAACCTGGAAGATTTATTGGATGCAAAGTCTATGAGCCGTGAGCCCTCTTGTGGCCACAAAGCACAGTGCAGTCTAGGCCCTCCCTCTACCCTTGAGTCCTGGAGGAGTTTAGGGGGCCAAGAATCTAAGCATGAGGACAGGACCCCTGATTCTAAGAAAACTTCTGGGCAGTAAGCACACCCTCTCCTTCTGGATGCCAACAGAGATGCCAGGACAGAGCCCAAACCTTTCCAAGCCTCCAAGGAGGTGTTATCCAAGAACAACTCCTCCCATTTATATAGCTTCAAGTTGCTTTGATGTACAGTAGCCTTTGATCTGTAAGAAAAGCACTGTTGTCCCCATCTAAAGATGTTGAAACTGAGGCTCCAGAGGATGATGTGGCTTGCCCAAGGTCTTTCGTCCTTCAGTCTGATTTTAAATGCTGCCTCCCAAAAGAGGCCTTCCCTGACCATCCTGTATAAAGTTATGCCAGCACCCACCCACCCACACTAGGTCCTGTCAAGCACTAGAACCTCTTTATCCTATTCACTTGCTGACCACATGTTAGCTACATGTCTCCCACACTAGAATAGAAACTCTAGTGGGTCCAGATCTGTCTCACTCACACATGTGCCCCTGACCAAAACACTCAGGTATTAGCTGGGTGTGAGTGCCTAGACACCCTGCTTGGGTTGACCACAGGCCCCTCACACTCTGTGTCCAAAGCTCAACTCTTGAGCTGTCTTGTCCCACAGACACATTCCTCCTCCTGTCATTCATCATCTCAGTTTGGAGGCACCATTTCCTACCTAGTCGCATAAGCCAGAAATCAGAGTGTCTCTTGACTCCTCGGCATTTGAAGAGCCGGCCCCACATCTCCCATCCATAAGTAGCAGACACTGCCTTCTGCAAATCCTACATTCCAGTCGCTTGACTGTGCCCACCGCTCTCCATTTCCAGCCACGCTTTCTTTACAGAGGTCATGATCATGACTCATTTGCATTACGGCAAAAGCCTGCTGGCTGTCCTCCCCAGTTCCAGGCTATAGCCAGAGGGTACTTCCAGAAAGACAAAGCTCCCTTCCCTCTGTCACTTGGAACCCTCTAGGAGCTCCTAAAAGCTCCCTAGTGCTTTTAGGAGAAAGTCCAAAATAGCAAGCATGCCCAACATGGCCTGCATGATCCGGCCCCTGCTGCTCCTCCACCCTCCCCTCCTACACCCCATTCTACACTAACCCCTTTCATGGACATCATCTTACTGAATTCTCACAATAACCGTGCAAGGGAGACATTACCATTCCCATTTTATAAAATGAAGCAAGTTTGGAGAGGCAAAAGTAACTTGCCTGGGGTCCTGAAGCCTCCTGGTTTAAAACCCATTGCTTTTTGTACCTCCATCTGCTGTTCCCTACTGTCATCCTTGGCATTGGTAATGTTTGTTGAGCACCTCCTGTGTATAAGACACCATGCAAGACAGACTCTAGGACACCTTTTCTCTCCCTCCATCAGAAATGCACTAAGCAAGTTATAAAAAGCATTCTTGTTCACACACAGTTAGCAAGATACTAACTGGAGACCATCTGACTCCAGCGCCTTATATTCCAACATCTAGAACTGTGGCCCATCACAGGTACTCAATAAATAATTGTGAAGTGAATGATTGTCCATGCCCCTTCCTCCACTCCCTACCACCTTTTGGGAAGAACACTTGTCTGTAGTGTTATTAGAGCAGTCCATCTTATAAAAGGTAATGCCTAAGAAAACATGAGCCTCACTGATATTCGTCTCTGCTTCTTCAGGGTCCTATGAGTCTAGAAAACTTTTTTGTTTCGCCCCTCCATGAAGATGATAATTCTACCATCATACACGCCTCCCATTCCATTGACACATCCTATGGTGATGCTGATAAATAGCTGTTGTAAAGATGCTGGAAGACACCAGCCACACGTGGACTGTGTCCTGAAATTGCAATATGTCAGGGGCTTCAGATATGACCTGTATTGAGGTTAGAGTATAGACCCAAGTTCTTGCAAAGCCCTACTAAGGCAATGGCTGCAGGGAGGCAGAGGCAGTCCCAAGTCAGAAACGTGTTCCAGGCAACTGCTGATGACACGAGAGTTGTCCATTTACACTAGTTGCCATGGCAACCTTACCATCAAATTTGGAAAGTCTCATGAACAAGACAACCCTAGTGTTAGAGATTTCATGAGAAACACAGACAGATCCAGCCCCAGGGGATGGGTTTTCTTTTGAGGACTTCTCCATAAAGCCAGCCACAGGGTAGAAAGACTGTAAAGGCTGATAAGTGTGAACAGGAAAGCAATGAAAGCCTCTTGAATTTTCAGCCCACTAACTCAGGCTTTGTAAATATCAAAAACAGGTTGTTTTTTAATCTTTGCCCTGGCATGCAATTGTTTCAAAAACTATTTTTTGAATACACTAATGAAGAAAGGAATATATTTTTATAAAATTGGATTTTCTTATAAACTGAAACATAGAAATATATATATTATATAATTTTTCCATAAAACTACCTAGAAAACTAAAGTGGCTCTGAAGATTGGTTGTTCCAATGCACTGTAATTTGTGATTAGAACATCAACATTGACTAGTAGGAAAAACCAGGGATGTTAACCTAGGATCTTATGCTACTAGTAAGCTATTTGTCTCCTTTGAGGCTGGACATGATAATAAATAATATAGTACATGGTTGAAAACAGTTTGGAAAAGCTAAAATGCTAATCCAATATTAATAATGTTTGTTTAATCTCATCTCACCAGCCTTGGGGACTTGTTTCTGCTCACTTGGACCTTACTTCCTTTTTTCTGTGGGTATTAAATATTCCTATTCTGTTGTCTTTGGCCATCACATGGAACCTGAGGTCAGGCTGTGAGGACGTTGTGAAGTGAGTGTGTTTATGGGCACATGGCCACTTATCTTCGTGCACGGGTGGACACATAACATTGAGTGGAAACCTCTGGCCATCCTGACGTGACAAGCAAAAGCCTGGTGATTGGACTCTGACTCTTCTAAGCTTGGTTCAGGGCAAATGATTTCACTAAATTTGGTGGTTGGAATGTCCATTGTCACCTTTTCTGGGCACATGGTCCATAAGGATCCCTTCTTTTATTGGATGACAGCCCTGCCCTGCCCTGCCCACCGCTGTCCCACCCCATTCCATAACCATGACCAAGGCAGCCTCCAGCATGCATGTTGTAGGCTTCAGCTCTTGGGCTACATGAGGATCCTGTTTTGCTTTTGTTGAGACTTAATATATAAACCCCAACATAATTTGAGAAGAAAAAGAAAACACATTTTTATGAAATCTAGTACACAGCAATACCTGTGGTTCTTCACAAAGCTGCGCTTTATTATTTAAAATGCATAACTAGGACAGGCACAGTTGCTCACCCCTGTAATCCCAGCACTTTGGGAGGCCTAGATGGGCAGATCACTTGAGGTCAGGAGTTCAAGACCAGCCTGGCCAATATGATAAAACCCCATCTCTACTAAAAATATAAAAATTAGCCTTACCATAGGTGCCACATGTGATTTGAGGGGTCTTCAATACCCCTCACTGGATCAAAATGTCCACTCATCTCTACGCCTACCAGCTTATTCTCCAGAAGACTAGAGTGAATGAAAATAGACAGATGCTGCCTGAGAGCAGAAGAAAGCCTTTAACCATTCAGATCATCCCTTCCTTTCCCCACTCATTCTTTCATCCACTTCTCAATCATTTATTCTAAGAACTTGCTGAGCACCTACACAGTGCTATGCCCTGTACTAAGCACCGGGGACCATGGTGAAGAGGACCCAGACCTGATCTCTCCCCTTTCTCCCCATTCTCCCTTCACATAGGCTTTGCTCTTACCCTAGGACAATTGCACTTGGTGTTTCCTTAGCTAAAGTGTTCTTCTCACAACTCTTCAGCAAGCTCACACCTCCCCTATCCTTCTGGCATCAGCTCACAGGTCACCTTTACAGAGAAGTCTTCCCTGGCTACACTATAAAGGAGTCTCCATACTCTGCATTTATTTTTCTTTTTTTTTTTTCTTTTCTCTTTTTTTTTTTTTTTCATTTTTTTTGAGACAGAGTTTCACTCTTGTTGCCCAGGCTAGAGTGCAGTTGCACGATCTCGGCTCACTGCAACCTCCGCCTCCCGGGTTCAAGCGATTCTCCGGCCTCAGCCTCCCGAGTAGCTGGGATTACAGGCATGCGCCACCACGCCCGGCTAATTTTGTATTTTTAGTAGAGATGGGGTTTCTTCATGTTAGTCAGGCTGGTCTCAAACTCCCGACCTCAGGTGATCGGCCTGCCTCGGCCTCCCAAAGTGCTGGGATTACAGGTGTGAGCCACCGCACTCAACCGCATTTATTTTTCTTATAGCTGGTATACTTTTTTTTTGAAGTTCTTGGTTTATATTCTTCCTCCAGATCCTCTGCACCTGGCACATAATAAGGCATCATAGAATTTTTTTAGCACTTACTGTATGTCAGTTGCCCTTTTGAGTGATTTTTGTGCATGCTGCAATTTAATAATCACCCCAAGCCTATGAGGAAAATACTAACAGAGGCGGACAGAAGCAATATAACTTGCAGTTAATAAGGGGTGAAGCTAGATTTTGAACCAAAGAAGTTTCTTTTAGTGTCCCGTCTCCCAACCTCTACATTACATCAGCACTCAATTTGTCAGTCAGTATTTTGAAGAAATGAATGAAAAAACAAATATGAGAATGAATGAATGAGTGAAACTAAGAGTCTAGGGTAGAGGAGAAATATTAAAAAATTATTCAATCCCTACATAACTGCAAATAAATGTAGGCTGCAGTGCAGCCTACAGAGATGAAACCTAGTTCAAGGGATCAGAAAAGACCTGCCTAGAAAGTGATAATCTATTTAAGTGACAATGTAGAGGGTGCGTGACAGTTAGTGGGAGAAGAGGGTTATTCATCACATGGTTTATTGGTGACATTCGAAACATGGAAGGCAGATTGAACACTAGAATCAGACCTCACATTACAAAGAATATCTCCTGGTGATGATGTGGAGAAACAGGCAGGAATACATGGAGAATCCATGCTTTCTATAAGCACCTTGAAAAATTTAAAAGATACTCACTTTCAGGGCCGGGTGCAGTGGCTAATGCCTGTAATCCAGGCATTTTGGGAGGCTAAGGCGGCAGGATGCCTTGATGTCAGGAGTTTGAGACCAGCCTGACCAACATGGTAAAACCCCATCTCTACTAAAAATATAAAAATTAGCCAGGTATGGCAGTGGGCACCTGTAATCCCAGCTACTCTGGAGGCTGAGGCAGGAGAATCACTTGAACCTAGGAGGCAGAAGTTGCAGTGAGGCAAGATCACGCCATTGCACTCCAGCCTGGGCGACAGAGCCAGACTCCATCTCAAAAAATAAAAATAAAATAAAATAAAATAAAATAAATCCACTTTCTAACCCACCAATTTCACTTTTAACTGTCTATCTCATCAATATACTTGCACTTCTGTAAGTAAATATCTGCATTAAAAAGTTAACTATTGAAATAACCCAAAATTGAATGAAAAACAAATATTAATAAGGAAATTGATTTGGGCATTAATGAGGAATTAATTAATTTGGAAATTAATTATGCATTTTGGTACCACCATATTGTGTAAACTATTCTGCAACAATTTAAAAAATTTTGATCAAGACATTATACAATGGCATGTTAAGATCTGCAAGACATAGTGCTAAGTAGAAAAAGTCAGATAGCATTTTAGTATGGACTGAATGATGTCATATCTATATGTTTAAAGGAAAAGAAACTAGACCTGTAAGTGTGTGCACACAACACACACACACACACACACACAGATGTAAATGCATGTTCTGAAATATTTGGGATGTTTTGTAAGAACATTTAGCAAATTCTTATCTGTGATTTCCCAGGAAGAAAAGAAGGAGAAAACTGACTGACTTTTAAAATAATTCTGAAATGTTTTAATTTTTACAATGAAACTGTAGTCATATATTGCTGTGATTTTTAAAAAAACATGAAAAATCTCATATCGAAAGAAAAAGGTAAAAGAGCACTGCGATATCACTTCACACGGAGGTCCCCCTGGTTGGGTTATTTTCTTGCTATTGCATTGTTTGAATTCTTTATACATTTTGGATTTTAACCCCTTATCAGATATATGATTTACAAATATTTTCTCCCAGTCTGTGGGTTGTCTCTTCACTCTATGTATTGTTTCTCCTGCTGTGCAAAGCTTTTTAGTTTGGTGCAATCCTATTTATTTATTGCTGCTTTTGTTGCCTGTGCTTTTGAATTCATATCCAAGAAACCTTTGCTGAACCAACGTTGTGGAACTTTCCCCTTATGTTTTCTTCTAGTATATTTACAGTTTCAAGTTACATTAAAGTCTTTGATCTATTTTCAGTTAATTTTTGTGTATGATGTTAGATAGGGGTCCAATTTCATTCATCTGCTTGTGGCTATTCAGTTATTCTAGCATCATTTATTGAAGACACTGTCCTTTCTTCAATGTATGTTCTTGGCGACTTTGCCAAAATTCAATTAATTTTAAATGCATAGGTTTATTTCTAGAATCTCTATCCTGTTGCATTGGTCAATGTGTCTGTTTTTATGCTGGTACCATGCTGTTTAGATTACTACAAAATTGTCATAGATTTTGAAATCAGGTAGCCACCAATTTCGTTCTTTTTGGTCAAGATTGCTTTGGCTTTTCAAGGTCTTTCATTTAGACAGGAGCAATAAACTTTAGTCATCTATTGGACAGAATGGTGACTATATAATAAGTAATGCAAGGTGAATTTCAAAATTACTGAAAGAGTAGATTTTAAATGTTTTACCACAAGAAAGGTAAGTATGTGAGTTGATTAATTTGCTGATTAGCTTGCTTTAATCATTCCACAACATAAATATGCATGTCAAAACATCATATTATATCCTATACATATATACAATTATTATTTCTCAATTAAAGATAAAAGTAAAGAAAAGGAAGAGGTTCCCCTGGGAGCTATCCCATAAGGTTTCACAGGAGGCCCCTCTCAGCTAAAAACCCTGCTGGGCACATGGCTTGATCCAGGCCATCTTAGCATTTCTAGCTTGCCCTGATTGCATCCTTATTCACCTGGCCAGTTGTTTGTGGATTCAGACTCCTGACTTATTCGTGGCTGAGCATGTAAGCACCATCCAAGGTTTAGGACGTCTGTTATGTGTGCCCTCCACCATTTGGCTTTGAGCCTGCTTTGGGTCAATGCATGTCTTTTCCTTTCCTTGTCGACTATTCCTTACCCTCCCCAGGAAGTAAAAGAAAATGTGTTCTTCAATCCTTAGTCTCACAGCTCATGAGAAAAGAAACTCAGCATTTCTATAAATAAGGGCAAATTCATAGCATTACCCGGTGATAAGGGGAAGAGTAAGCTCCATTGGAATTTTTCCTTCTCTGCTGTGGATAATGAATCACCCATGTGGTTTTTGGTTTTCTTTTGAAGATTCTGAAATAGATTAGCTCAACATAGGGGAAGGCTAAACCATTTTTGGTTCGTTGAATTTTAGTCACATCAATACAATAATGTCTTGATTAACTGAAGTGCTTGGGCACTTCAGCTGTGACTGGGTTCTCATCAGATTCACATTTTCCTGGGTGGCCTGGCTTCTATCTCATTCCTGCCCTCCTTACCAGTCCCAGCAGCAACTGTGACCTGTCCAGGCACTGTGTGCCCAGCACACACTGACTGCAGGAGAGAGGAAGAGAGCACAGAATGTGGTCTTGAGAAGGGAAGCGTTTCCCATTTCAATTCAGTAAGCATTTTGAGCCGCTAAGAAGAGTTATCCCCTGTGTTAAGGCCTGGATGATGAAGGCCAATAAGAGATAGACCACAAGGTCTTCTTGGAGCTTCTCATCCAGTTTAAGAGACTGCCACATGCACACATAATATCAGTCTCATCTGGTGACTGATAAAAATAGTGCCATAGGCCAGGCGCGGTGGCTCACACCTGTAATCCCAGCTCTTTGGGAGGCCGAGGCAGGTGGATCACGAGGTCAGGAGTTTGAGACCAGCCTGGCCAGCTTGGTAAAACCCCATCTCTACTAAAAATACAAAAATTAGCCAGACATGGTGGCACGCGCCTATAATCCCAGGTACTCAGGAGGCTGAGGCAGGAGAATCACTTGAACCTGGGAGACGGAGGCTGCAGTGAGCAGAGATCGTGCCACCACACTCCAGCCTGGGTTGGAGTGAGACTCCATCTCAAAAAAAAAAAAAAATTTGTGCCATAAACAGAGACTTATGAGTTCAAAAATTAGGGGTCTTTTGCTTAGCCAGAAGAGTCTAGGAAGGATTTCTGGAGAGATAGATGATAACAAGTAGGAGTATTTCAGCAAAGAAAGATGAGAAAGGCATTCCAAGCAATGATAAAGGCATGAGTGAGTGCATGAAGATTCGAGACAAGCAGATTGGCATTGCTCAAGCATGAAGGATGATTGATGTGGGCACTGGGAGGAGATGACACAGGAGAGGCAGACAGGGCCCAGGCAGTGGGGGTCCTCAAACACCAACTTAGACAATTTCGACTGCATCAGAACATGCCAAAACTGGCGTTTCAGTGTTGACTCTTCAAAGCAGTGACTCTTTTTTTTTTAATTTATTAGAAATTTATTATTTATTATTTATTTTTATTTTTATTTTTTTATTATTATTATACTTTAAGTTTTAGGGTACATGTGCACAATGTGCAGGTTAGTTACATATGTATACATGTGCCATGCTGGTGTGCTGCACCCACTAACTCGTCATTTAGCATTAGGTATATCTCCCAATGCTATCCCTCCCCCCTCCCCCCACCCCACAACAGTCCCCAGAGTGTGATGTTCCCCTTTCTGTGTCCATGTGTTCTCATTGTTCAATTCCCACCTATGAGTGAGAATATGTGGTGTTTGGTTTTTTGTTAGACTGGATTAAGAAAATGTGGCTCATATACACCATGGAATACTATGCAGCCATAAAAAATGATGAGTTCATGTCCTTTGTAGGGACATGGATGAAATTGGAAATCATCATTCTCAGTAAACTATCGCAAGAGCAGTGACTCTTATACAGAAATTTCAACACTCCTGTAGTGAGCCCATGGTGTATTAAATAGGTTGAGGGAAAGGTATGTTAAATACTGGTTAAAACTTGATCTTAACTCTTGTTGCCATTCTTTTCTAAAATAAAATGGTCCATTCTTAGAAAGTTCTAGATAATGAACACCAGGATGATTGCTTTTCAGGGAGGTGAACGCAGAGCTTGGCTGATGGTGCAAGTCCTGGGATGTGTCCTGAAGCGTTTCCATCTATGCTGCTGAATTGTCTATGGAAATGGAATGTGTTTGTGCAGAGGTGATCGGCTTCTCTCCTCAAATTAGAGAACAGCCAGGTGTTCCACGATATTGGAATTTTGCAGTACAGCCTGGATATTGGCATCACAGTCCTCCAATGGAGACGGAAATGATAGATGACCTCCTAATTTATTGTAATACCTCCAAGTGCCTATAGCACTTGAGAACCAAATGATTCAGCGCAATATTCTATTCAAACAGGCATTTTTTTCTTTTTTTTTTATTAAGCAAATGCAGATAATTTAATATTAGGCCAGCCAGAAAACTTGTTGGGTTTACTTAAGAGTAGATTTTCTTTTTTTTAAATTTGCCTGGAAGTTTTGTGATACATGTGCAGAATGTGCAGGTTTGTTACACAGGTATACATTTACCATAGTGGGTTCTGTGTGCTGTGTTCATCATGATTACCTCAGCCTTCTATTCCAGCTCTCTTAACTTGTTTTTAGCCAAGTCTATTCTCTTTCTTACAACTTCATTAATTTTTTTAAAGTTCTGTTTCTTTCTTATCTAAGACCTGATATCTGTTAATATTTTAATCTCTTCTTTAAGCTCTTGCTTTACTGAATTTAAATTCTTCCATACAGCAAAGCACTTGTTGGAATTAACCTTTCACTCATTTCTCTGACTTCTTTCCCTGTTGTGTCCTTCCCTTCGTGATCTCTAATGTTTTTACACAGTTTCATGTTGTTTTCTATTCATGGTACTCACTATGATTAAGATCTTCCATTTCAACATAGTGCAAGTGAATCATCCACAAATTTATTTTCTCATCTTTCTTGAAATTTGCTTATTTTCCTCTTAGAGCTTCTCTTCCTTTGCACTTTCATTAAAAGCACTGCCCTTGGGCTCCTGATTCTTTTTTTTTTTTTTTTTTTTTTTTTTGAGAGAGAGCGAATCTTGCTCTGTCATCAGGCTGGAGTGCTGTGGTGCAATCTTGGCTCTCTGCAACCTCTGACTCCTTGGTTCAAGCAATTCTCCTGACTCAGCCTCCTGAGTAGCTGGGATTACAGGCATGTGCCACCACACTCAGCTAATTTTTTTATTTTTAGTAGAGATGGAGCTTCACCATGTTGGCCAGGATGGTCTTGATCTCCTGACCTCGTGATCTGCCCGCCTCGGCCTCCCAAAGTGCTGGGATTGCAAGTGTGAGCCACCATACCCAGCCAGGCTCCTGCTTCTAAAGTGGTAGCTACTGCATGCCATGGGGAGGGCCATCTGCCTTCAGGGTACATTTCCTAATTCAGAATGGAGCCCTTGGCTTCCAGTGGAGACAACCAACCCCAGTGTCCACTTTCCACATTACTCCTGGCTTGTCCCATGGCCCATTTCCACTTCAATCTTAGGACTGGGGGTGGGTGGGGGGTGGAATTAGACACAAATGTTGAGGTTGGCCATGGCATTAGTCCACTGGGCAGGAGGGACTCCATCTTTCCTCTCCCTAAAGGTCTCTGCCATTTTGGCCCTGAGGATTTCTCCTCTGGGCTCCCACATTGAGAACCGAGGGAAGTTGTTCTTCCTTCGTCTCTCTGGAGCTCCTGGTGCTCTGGCTCCTGCAGTCGCCTTACCCACGCTCCCTGTCCAGGAGGGTAACCTGAAGCATGATAGCAGTTGGCTAAGGCAGCGTCTGCCCTGTGTGGACACCTGGTTTCTTTATCCTTCCTTCTGAGTGTCAGCTGGGCTTGGTTTCAGCAGTGGCCACTGTGGTAGTCAGCCCCTCTCAGCTTCTGCCTCTAGGAACTAATGGCAGAGGTCTCTCCAAATAACCCCCACAGTTCTCTGCTGACTGCCTAACCTCACACAAGCTTTCGTTTATGGAATGGGAGACACTCAAATTCTCAGCTTACTTCCCAAGCAGAGAGGAGAGACATGATTATTCACAAAGATGCCAGAGCAAATTGCTTAAAATATAAATCAGTTCATGTCATTTTCTTGCCTAAAACTCTTCAACAGCCTCTCTCATTGCATTTTGAATAAAATCCTAAGACCTCATCATGGCCCACAGCCCTCCATGGAAGAGCCTCTTCTCTCTTCCCCCATCAACTGTGCCTCTTGATGGGGATCAGGATATGCCACCCTCCAAATACGTCACTTTGGTATGAGGCTCATTGTGAGCTGAAGGCATTTGAGAATCAACAGTGGCAAGAATTCTCTTGCCTCCCGTTTGCTGCCGAAAAGCAGGATACAAATTTCCCTTTGTGAAGGTGTCCCCTTCACCCTACCAGGAACAGGAGAATAACCTTCATCACTAGAGAGAGAGTCGGCGCCAAGAAAAGTTGCCATGAGCAAACCTTACTAAAATAGCCCTTCTCTTCCATTACTTTCTCCCATATATTTTCTAGTCACTTTTCCACAACTTATTGTGCCTTGAAACCCAACCCCACCTTACTTTGCTAAAATGGTATCATATATATGCTGCTGAGTTGAACTGCTTCTTTGAGTTTCACTTCCTTTCTGTAAACTCCTATCCACATAAAATATTAATAAAATTTATATTACTTTTCTCCTGTTAATCTGTCTTTTTTCCATTAAATTTGCAAGCCCTGGCTGCTGAACTTAAGACAAAAGAGAAAGTTTTTCCTCTTCGACAGTCGTTTTTTGTTGTTGTTGTTGTTTTTTTTTGAGACAGAGTTTTACTCTTGTCGCCCAGGCTGGAGTGCAATGGCACGATCTCGGCTGTCTGCAACCTCCACCTCCCGGGTTCAAGTGATTCTCCTGCCTCAGCCTCCCGAGTAGCTGGGATTACAGGCATGCACCACCACGCCCAGCTAATTTTTGTATTTTTAGTAGAGACAGGGTTTCGCCAGGTTGGCCAGGCCAGTCTCAAACTCCTGACCTCAGGTGATCCGCCCCCTTGGCCTCCCAAAGTGCTGGGATTACAGGTGTGAGCCACCACGCCCAGCACCCCCCTTGACACTCTTTCCTCCTTCCCCCAGCAACCCAGCCATACCTGCCTTCCCCAATTCTTGAAATGCACTGACCTCTTCTCAGCTCTTCCACAAGCCCTTGCCTCCCCTAGAAATGCTCCCCTACCACTTCCCATCTCATCTCCAGGTTTCAGCTTAAATGCAATAAGAAGGTCTTGTCTGCTAATCTCCCTCAAGCACAGGTTATTTCATAGGCACTTCTGAAGGCGTGTGTTTGTGCTCAGCTATTGTCTCATTAGAATGCAGGCCTCAAAAGGCAAGGACCAGGTCTGATATGCTGACCACCAGATCACCCCAGCACCCAGCACAGCATCCATACACAGCAGGGGCTCAGAAACATTTGTTTATGAATGAATGCCTTGCCCTAAATAAATGATTAGGGTCAGGACAGGCACCATACCCACTCCCCAGTGTTCCTCTGGATAACTTCCAGTTCCCCATGAACTAAAGACCCAGACTTCCAAGACTAAGCCCGCAGTTTCACAGACTCTAAGCTTCTTCACCAGTCTGTAAGTCAGGAGATATTTCTCCCAAGAAAAGGAGAAGAGGGCAATCTTCTCCCTCCTCCTTGATATAGCCCAGCCCCAGGGCCCAGGGTTTGTCCATACAGTCCCCAAGACAACGTTCACCTCATTGGGATGGCCGGGGTAAAATGTTTTAGAGAAGCTGAACATCACCTAAAATGCTTCCTTGTGTAACTTTCCTGAGAAACTCAGAAACAAATGTTACAATATTTTTAAGAGATTTGGCATTTGGTGCCATACGAGGATATATAAAATGAATTAATTATTTAGCTCTTTCTGTAAAGTAGCTCCATAATACCTTTGAGGGCTCTGTGTTTAATTCTACTAAAGGATTACAGTCAACCTAATTTCTCCCTTTCTTATTTTACTAGCTTTTAAGTCTATAGCAGCATAAAAGATGAAAGGATGCATTCGATTGTTTTAAAAAGCTAATTTCACCAAGGCTTTGGTGGCTGTTCAAGGTGATTTCTCCTCTAATGAGGAAATGACTTAGTGAATCTGACTCCCCATGTAAACTGTTGGGTGTTCTGTTCACAGCCTCACTAATTTGGGCATTAATTTGATCAAGAGTAGTTTACATTGCAAACCTACAAAACCCGTATTTCCTTCACTATTGGCAACAACAAGGAACCAGCTCCATGTATATAAATCAAGCGTTTGCTCTATTTTGGAAGGCAGAGTGGTAATAATCATAAAGTAATGCAAACCACACACTAGTAGCAATTCCACATGCACAGAAGCTATGAGGAAGTAGAAGTTCACAGTAGTGGCTAAAATAGGCAGAACGTATTGCTTCCATGACAGCTGAACTCCAGGACAGGGAGCAATGAATGGCTGCTGCAACTGGGAGATGCAATAATGTGGCCTCCAGAATGGTGGCGGAACCCAAATGTCCTCCCAGTTCTCTTATGAGGCCCAGCTCTACCACTGATCTCTGTCCTCCTAATTTGGGGAGTATACTTACATCTCACTATTGGGGTAATCTAAATGGGTCCTGGCAAGCAACAGTCTCAAGGCAGTGCCACTGGTCCTACAAGGGGACCAGGAGGCAGGCATGTCTGGCTCAATGCAAACATACCAATGCTAGAAAGAAAATCAAGTCAAATGCAGGCACTGCCGAGGGAGGGACCGCAGTGCGTAGACAAATGAAAGAATATATCTATGGTCATGTTGGAGAACAGTCTTCATCACACGCTCAACCATGTGAGCAGCAATGTGCCTGGCACATGATAGCCAGAGCCAGACATATGTGCACACGGACTGTGCAAAGCTGCAGCCACAGGTCCAGCTGGGAGTACAGTGGTGACCAACACAGAGTCCCTGCCCTCAGGGAGCTAATGCTTTAATGGGGGTCACAGGTAATAAACAAGTAAACAAATAGCTCAGTCCTGTTTGGCATTTTCAAGAGGAAAGACTCATGTGAATGGAGGTTGGGTGAGAGGGAGAGGGTATGAAATGCAGCCAGAGAGGGGGAAGGGGCGGTGGTGAGTTGCTTGGATTTTACGCCACATTTGGTAGGAAATTATCCAAAGATTTTAAGCAGAGCAATCACATGATTTGATTTCTGCATTTCAAAGATCAAGCTCACTCTGGTTGTTCTGTGTAATTAGACTACCTTGGAGCAAAAGTGGAAGCAGACGGAAAGGAAGTGAGAAGCTATCACAATATTGCAGGTGGGAAGTGAAGGTAGCTTGGAGTGGGCACTGGTGAAGGTAGCAAGAACAAGATGAGTTTGGAGTGCAGTTTGAAGACTGGGAAGACCCTGAGCAAAGATTTGGGTGATATAGTCCCAAGAAATCAGTGTGGGCATGAGAAAGTAAAGCAAGGGAGGGAAGAAAGTCAATAGAAGATGTATTAACCTCTGTGGACAACTGGGCCTCCAGATACCTGGGAACTCTCAGAATTAGCACTGCTCTGATGATGGGTAAATCAGCACTTGCCCCAGAAAGGGCAAGGACACTGATGTGTCTGTCCACTAACTCTCATCCCTTGTTAACTGAGGGTTGCTCCCGGTTATAATTTCTGGGCCATTCCAGAAATTATATCTGGGCCAGATCACCCTCAACCCCCAGCCAGAGAACACCCTTGGACAGAGAACCAGGAAGCTGTTGGCATGTAAGAGAACTGTCCCTGGTGGCCTCCAGGGTGGGCCGAGGGACCTCCCACAGCACCTTTTACTCTCAGATTCTCTTGTCTTCTGGAAAGGCTGGGGCTGGTGCCCATGGGGAGTGGCTGGCTTGAAGAGTAACCATCACAGTTCCATTGTGACCGATGGGAGGCTGAGAGAAGGGCACAGAGGAATCATATTGGTAGATTCAGGAAGATGGGGCCATTCCATCTATTTTATCAGTGAAATAAGAAAGGGGGGTCATCTGTTAAAGAAGGTGGGCAGGTGAAATTGCTGGAGATTTGTTGAAAGTGAAGGTGTGAGGTGTCATCAAGAAGCGTGGAAAGTGAATTTACCAAGAAAACACAGCACAGGTGGGAGGAGGGCCAAGTGCTCATTTTGAGGTCAGAAACAGCCATCCCAGTTGTGGATCTTTGTCCAGACACTTTCAGGTGTGTGGGTGTCAGCACACAGGTGACCTGGATTAGTAAGGGCTGGGACATTGACAGGTGTGTGTGAAGAAGTGGGGAGGAGCAGCAGAATTGAGGTTCATGCTTTGGCATCCAGGGGAATCCAGGTTTTATGGGGCCTGAAACTTAACACTTTTGGGTGCCGTCTTTAAGAAAAAGTTTACAAAATCACAAATATAAAATTAAAAACAAAAGTGAATATTTGTTTAGAATGATAAAATAGATCATGACAAATCACAAATTTTGAAACTCAACACATCCCAGAAACATCACTTAATCCATGAAAATAACTTTTACTAAAGAACACAACTTTTTATTATATTAATTTCCTTACTTTTTCACCTATTTATGTGCCAACAATTTTGTGATATTTTCTATACAGAGAACAAAAAGATAACTCAGCCTTTCTTTTAACAAGATTGATTGATATTTATTTGTTCTTACTGATGGTTGGGGCAAATAAAGCATGTGACTTCACACAGATACTCTTATTGTTTGTAATACTCCTATAGGTTTTATGCTACGAATAGAGACATTTTGACAAATTCTATTACACATGATGCCCATAAAAATACATATTGTGTTTCTAATTGTAAATGTTGCATCATTGAGGATATTCTTTCTGGCAAGGCATCTACGAGAAATTTCCAGACTCACTTCTAGATCTATAGAGTTCAAGCTCAATTCTCCCCCACTACTCATATACTTCCTGTGCTGAGCACTGTAGGACATGATCAGATCACGATATAACCTCTGGCCCTGGCCTCTCATGTCATAATGATGGGTAAATCAGCACAATAGTCAGGAGGCATATTCCTGGAAGCCATTTCTACATGAAGACAGCTAGCAATAGTGTATCCATACCTAGATGTTATCCCTCTAAACCCAAACTAGATGCATGCCCCACTCAACTTCCCCTTAGCCATACCCCAAAACTGCCTGTGGCTATACCAGCCCCACCCACCAGTCCCACCCACCAAAAGGGATGTGCAACAGAGGGGAAATTTGAGGAGGAAGAGACAAGTGATTGTAACTCCCTATGGTTTAATATCTCACAATTGCAAATTTTACAATTAGCATGAGACCTGTGAACACATTGCTAGAGCCTCTTTTAGGTCCTTGGAAGAGGCCCCTGTTTGTGGAGACCTCAAAGCCTAAATACCATTAGCTACACACTCAAAACTTCTCTGTAAGGCATAATTGTAGTGGTGGGTCAATCATCTCCAAGCTAGTCAAGAACTATGCACATAAGGGGTATTAGGCAGTGTGATACTGTATCTTAAGTATCAGCTTGACTGGGCTAAGGGATGCCCAGAGAGCTGGTAAAACATTGTTTCCGGACATGTCTGGGTGAATGTTTCTGGAAGAGATTAGCGTTTAAATTGGTAGACTGAGTAAAGAAAATCATGTTCACCAACACGGGTGGGCGTCATCTAATCTGTTGAGGTCCCAAACTGAACACAAAAAATGAAGGAAGAGCAATTTTTTTCTTCTTGAGCTGGGACATCCATCTTCTCCTGACCTCAGACGTTGGAGCTCCTGGTTGAGAATTTCCCTTTGGATTCCGGAACTCACCCCAGCAATCCCCACCCCTGGCTCTCAGGACTTTGGACTCAGACTGAATTATACTCCCAGCTTTCCTGGTTCTCCAGCTTGCAGATGACATATTGAGGGACTCTGGGGCCTCCATAATCATGACAGCCAATCCCCATAATAAATAAATCTCCTTATGTATGTACACACACACAGACACAGAGACACATACACACACACACACACACACACACACACACACATATATCCTATTTGTTCTGTTTCTCTGGAAAGCCCTTATTAATACAGGTAGTAAAAATAGAGCAAAGTAAATGAATGGAATGTGTGGCTCATGGTGAAAAGAGTTGAAGTGGGTGGCAATGGAGTTAATGTCCTGGGAATACAGATGATGTGGGCCACAGGCTGAGAAGCTTGGATTTGAGACTTTGGATTCAGTGAAGGTTCAACAGAAACAAGAACAAGAGTGTGACCATGGGAGTCATGGGCCTTAAACAGCCTGGAAGTGGTGATCACTGGACACAAGCAGGCCAGGGAACTTAAAAGGCACTGAATGGATTCTAGAGAGGCACTGTCCAGTATACCAGCAACCAGCCATATGTGGCTACTGTACTCAAATTTAAAATGGCTACAATTAAATGTGGCTGGTGGCTGCTGTATTGGACAGAACAGATAGAGAACATTTCCAACGTTGCAGAACATTCAGTTGGAAAGTGCTGCTCTAGAAGATATTGGAATTATCTAAGAATTATGACCAAAGTGTTTAGGTATAAGAAGACAATAAGCCAGGTTAACTGAATTCAAATCCTGGCTCCACCAATGACTAACAAAGTATCACCTTAGACATATTGCTTAGCCTGTCTCTGTCTCATTTTCCTTGCCTCTGGAATGTGGAGTAATAACAGTACTTACCTTAGAAGGTTGCTGTGAAGATAAGTTAATACACAGAAAGCACTTAGAAGAGTGCCTGGCAGGTAGGAAACACTATTCAAGTGTTAGCTAAGGTGATTATATGTTAAAACCTGAAATGAATGAAGGAGAATAAAAGGGAGAGAGAATCAGAGTAAGAGGATTATTGTCGCAATGAGGGGCAGCAGATGGCATAGCTCGATGGTGGGGCTTGCAACAAGCTGGGATATTTACGGGGCACAGGTAATGGAAGAGAGGAAGACACCAAACTCATTTGAGGCTCCGCAAAACATAGTATGAAAAATATGAAAAACAACCCACCTCTTAGGAAGTCTGTAGCGAAGCTGAATACTCAGGGTGCAGCTTCATATCTGCAGATGTAAGAATGTGAGAAAAGCCTTCAGAGAAGAGACTGTGCTGCATCGTGTTTTGATGATGGTGGCCCCTGTGTCCCAAATGGTCCAGTGGAAAAGCCAGAAAGCAGGGCAGGTGGGGAACTGGGTCAAACTACAGTCAGACCAGCATAAGAGTCAGGGTGGCAATGGTTTACCTGGAGGCCAGCACTTCTGGAGGTGCCCAAGGCATTCAGGCTTGGAATCCATGACAGGATGCAAAAGGCCTGATGTCCCCCAGGGGAATGTCTGCACTCATCATACTCACAGCCTCCTCCTCATGTTACATGGGTGTTTACAGTTGTATGTCAGGCAGTGTGTTAGGGGTCTTCAGAGAAACAGAATCAATAGGGTATATATGAGTATATGAGATCTATTATGGAGGCTGGCTCATGTGATTATGGAGGATGAGAAGTCCTTCATTCTGCCTTCTGCAAGCTGGAGAACCAGGAAAGCCAGTGGTGTAATTCAGTCCACATCTGAAAGCCTGAAAACCAGAAGAACAGAACCAAGGGCAGGAGAAAATGGGTGTCCCAGCTCAAGAAGAGAGAGAGAATCTGCTCTTCCTCTATCTGTTTGTTCTGTTCTGGTTCTCAGTGGATATTAGATGATGCCCATCCACATTAGTGAGGGCAGATCATCTTTGCTCAGTCCACTGAGTCAAATGCTAATCTCTTCCAGAAACACCCACACAAACACTCACTACCAGAAATAATGTTTTACCAGCTATGTGGGCATCTCTTAGCCCAGTCAAGTTGACACATAAAATTAACCATCACAGGCAGTGACAGAGGAGTGGCACTCCAGGTGAGTTAATAGTTTAAAATCAGGTGATTCTTTTGTTTTAGTCTACCTACTCACCAATATACCCCTGCATTTATCCCTCCCTCAGTCATCTGTCTACCTATTTTTCTACTCACCCACAAACTCATCCACCCACCTGTGCATCCAACTGTCCACCCTTCCACCTTTCCACCTGTCAGTCCACCCATCCACTTGCTACCCATTCATATATCCATTCCTTTGAGTCCCTATTAAGCACTTCGTAAGTATAAGACATGAAATTCAGTGTTTCATTTAGACGACCTTTTCATTTCCAATCATATATCTCAATTTCTCTTTAAAATGATGGATTTTATGCATGTAAACCCCTTGTCTTATTTATAATTTTATCTTCAAGGCTGCAATTCAAGCCATTTTTCTCTCCATAGAGGTCCCTTCTCCTCCACAGTATTTGCATTACTTGTGCATGACTAATTAACTTCTTTAATCACAATAAGCCTCCTTCCAACACTGTCAGTGTTAGGAAAGAACACATCATAAGCATTGTGGTGTTGTTTCCTTAAACATAATAAGGAAACAATAGCTTAGGGTTTATAATTTTACTAACAGTAGAGACATTTGCCCAGAGAGAGATGGATAAATAAAATCTGGTTCAGCAGCTAACAGAAATAAATAAATAAATAAATAAATGTATAAGCAGAAGAAAGGATTATGGAAAATATGCACTAAGCCTGCTTGTGCTCTCTCCAGAATAGTGTTTTGAGGAAGGATAGTAACAATAGCTGACATTTATGAAAGTCTTACCGAGTGCTGTGTTCTGTGTATGAATTATTTTATTTAATTATCACCACATTAAAATATAAATTTAGCTATTACCCCACTTTGTAGATAGGGAAACTAAGGCATTGCTCCATCTTGCAGCCAAGCATAGGTGGTAAAGCTGGGATTACAGAGAGGCACCCTGACTTGAGCCCAGGATCTACCCCTGACCCTCCCCCTTTGTATGGAGGGGAAACACTGAGCGTTCAGGCGTCATAGGAGGCCGGGTGTAAAGTGGAAATAGCAAGGCCTAAGAGCCAAAGGCCCCACATACTAGTCTCAGTCCTGCTGCTGCCTAATTTGTGACCTTGGGTAAGTTACTTTACCCCTGTGGCCCTTGTAAAATGAGAAGGCTGGACTACATGATCTCTTATATCTGTTAGCCCCAAAGCCTGAAATAGCTACATTACCATATTGCTATCTCTGGAATTCATCTGTGGTGTTAAGCCAAAGTTGCCACAAAGTTACCCAAGCAATCAGAATTACCCAGAGCAAGGATCATAGGTGGAAATATCAACACACCAGCAATGAAACACAGTCCGGGCAATTCCGTGCCTGATGAGAATGCCAGAGAAGATCCCAGCAATCAGAAACTATGGCACAGAAGCACCTTGATGCCATCCCCTGGAGGACCTGCAAACCACACAGCATTCTTTTTTTTTTTTTTTTGACAGAATCTCGCTCTGTTGCCCAGGCTGGAGTACAGTGGCATGATCTCGGCTCACTGCAACCTCCACCTCCTTGGTTCAAGCAATTCTCCTGCCTCTGCCTCCCTAGTAGTTGGGATTACAGACACCCACCACCACGCCAGGCTAATTTTTATATTTTTAGTAGAGATGTGGTTTTACCATGTTGGCCAGGCTGGTCTCGAACTCCTGACCTCAAGTGATAAGCCTGCCTTGACCTCCCAAAGTGCTGAGATCACAGGCATAAGCCATTGTGCCCGGCTTCCCACCGCGTTCTTTACAAGTAACAACTTACAAGGAGGCACATAAGGAGGATCCAGCACAAAGATGATTGACTCATTGATTTCTCCATTCAACACATATGTGCTGTGTACCTACTACATGCCCTGGAAGCAACCAAGTGCTGGAGATGCAAGGTGAATAGAAAACAGAGACAGGAGACAGCCAAACACCCAACTTAGAGAACTATGACTCACCCTGTCTTAGAAGTATGCACAAATGTTTTGAGGGCACAATCAAGAATTATTAATCCATGCTCTTTTTCATACCATTGGCTTCCTTCAGTTCCTTAAACTCCTTGAGCTTTCTCCTTCTGCTTTCCCAGGGTCTGAAATGCTCTTCCCCTTGCCCTAGGGATGAATGCCTCCTATTCATCTTCCAAGGATCAGATTACAAGTATCCTCCTCCAAGAGGTCCCCTTTGATCTAGAATTCCTCCATCATTCTCCAGCTTAGCATCTGATTAGCATTATGTTAACTACCGCTGTTTTAAATCATTTGTATTTATATATTTACTTATTCCTTTACACCCTCAGGAGGGCAGGCATTACAACTGCTATGTTATCCATGGTATTCCCAGTGCCCCAGTTACTGCCTATGTGTAATTTCAAATGTTTTCTGAATAAATAGATGTCTGGGGAGGACAGGGAAGTCTTCATAGGGAAAACATCTAAAGAAGAGCAGGATTCCTCAGTATACAGAGTGAGGACAGGGGTTTTTAGGAGATCAGCATGTGCAAAGGCACTGGGGTAAGATCAAGAAGGCTGATCCCAGAAAACTGCCTGATGGGGACTAAGGGACTTGTTCCCCTCTTGATGCCTGAGAGCCTATCCCTGAAAGTGTCAGCCCTTCCATCTTTCTTCATTGGGAAAATGTTGAGTCAGAGCAAAAAAATTGCTCAATTTAAAATAAAACAAGGCTAAGAAAACCAAGGAAATGATGCAAATACAGCTTATCAGATGCATAGGTGGGGAAAAAACCTCACAGTTGATGAAATTGCACATGAAAATGAAGCATGATTTGTTTCCAGATTGTTCTACAAAAAGTATACACTATGTTTGCCTTCGTGTAATTTACTAAAAGGACTGGCAGACAGTTATTAACACATTAGTTTAATTTATACTTGCTAATAGGCCCATTGTGTCATTCTCATCACCCATAAGATCAACTCTGGATAGCACAGTTCTGTCAAAAAGAAGCTAGGCAAGGCCTGTCTGCCTTCTCATCAGCCCCAGGTACTAAGTGCCTTCTTCTCATCTCATCCTTCATTCATAAGGATGGGAGGATGCACATGAGGCTTCCTCTGAGTTGCAGAGCATCATAGAAATTTGGTTTGTGGCATCTTCCAGCCCCTACTCAAATGCAGATGCCAAGTCTCGTCCCTTTGTGTTACCCATTTGCATAGAAAGTGCACTCTGGAGCTCCTAGTTTTGAGAGCGGAAATTAACCAGTGATACAGAAAGGATGCCACGTTATATTTAGATTGATTCCAAACATGCTTATGGCAGGGCTGGTGCCACAGTGCATACACCAACAGAATTAATGATGATTAGATACCCTCCTTGTCAAGTAGAATTGGAGAAGTCGTCATTACTTGAGTTTATGATTCCTCAAACAAAACAAATCAGCACACCCTTCCTAAGAAAAAGCCCCCCCGCCCATCTAAGCGTTAGCCACTCCCTGGAGTTTCAGTGGATGCCAGTTCCATTTCTAAAGGAAGCATCTTACAGAACAAAGGCTGGAGACTATAGCAGAACCTTGCTAGAACTAACTTTATGGTGAGATTGTTCTGGGAAGCTACAGCATCATATCCCATAGATTTACTGTGTTATAAAACACAGCCAAAATTATGCTTTGAAATGCTTATTGAATGAGTATAACGAAGGTTTCTGTATGTCTTAGTCAGTTTGGGCTGCTATGACAAAACTCCATAGACTGTGTGGCTTAAACCACAAACATTTGTTTCCCACAGTTCTGGAGGCTGGATAGTTCAAGGTCAAGGTACCAACAGATTAGTATGTGGTGAGGGCTCTCTTTCTGGTTTGCAGATGGCCACCTTCTTGCTATGTTCTCACATGGCACAGAGAGAAAGAGAGAGAGAGAGAGAGAGAGAGAAGGAGAGAGAGAGCATAAGAGCAAGAGCACACTCTTGTCTCTTTTCCTCTCTTATAACGGCACTATCCTATGATGGTAGCTTCACCCTCATAATTTCATCTATAGACCTAATTACTTCCCAAAGGCCCCACCTCCAAATACCGTCACATTGAGGATTAGGGCTTCAACATACGAATTTGGAAATTGGTACAAACATTCAGCCCAGGGCAATAAGTAATAAAATGTTTTTGCCTCCCTTTTCAAACCCAGCTTTGAAGTCTACTGTTGAAAAACTTGATTTTTATCCCCACCTAATAACACTTTAATTTTTAAAATTATCAGTGTTCCTCCAAAGGGAAGTTACACTTTTGAATCAATTAGAAACTTCTTAGTAATCAGGTATTTAAACAATGCCCTATCCTGTGATTTAAAGTAGTGTCTGTCTAACCTGTCTGGGGGACACCTGACAGTGCAAAATGCTCAGACAGCTCCTGGGGACAGCTGTTCTACCGTTTTTCTACACAAATAACAACCATGTTCCTGGAATTCCCAGGAAAATGAGGTAGGAGGTATTCCTATTGCATTTTGATGTATTTAAACAGCTCCATAAATCAAATAGCTTGTGCTGAGGAATTTCTTGTTTTTCACCAAGAGAACGGTTAGGGGACTTCAGGACCCAGCTCCATTGTCACAGGTTAGATGAAATGATGACTGTATCTCACAATGACTCTAATGCAAACAGCTTCACTGAGTCTCTGCAAAGTTCAAAACACATCTAGGAGCATGGAATGGTTCCTCCAGGAAGCCACTTTGCTAGCATCTGTGATATGCAGGCATAAAATATACAGCAGACAATTATTCAAAGACAGAACTATTCTCTTTCCCTCTCCCTCTCCCTCTCCCTCTCCCTCTCTTCCTCTCTCTCTCTCTCTCTCTCCCTCTCTCTCTCTCTCTCTCTCTCTGGCAAGTAACTCAGTAAATGTATGGTGCCATTTTATCTATTATTAAAATGACTATATAAAATGAAGGAGAATAATTCAGTAATTTGGCCTGTAAAAATGAAATGGACTGGGTCGTCCATGAACGGGAGCCTGGTTCCCAGCATTCTGGAATGCTCTGCTCATTCCAGAATGTAACTTCATTATTTAACCTGCCTTGCCCTGCCTTATTTATCATGTCCCCCTCCTGCTCGGCTTGTTTCCCACCCTAGGCTCAGGACCACTCTGCAGAGACTTGCCTGCAAATGCAAAAAAATGTGTGCAAGGGAACTTCCATTATGGCCCTTCTCCCACATTATCATTATTTTAATAAAAGCAATGCAAGCATAAGGAGGGAAAAAGAAAATCTCAAACTGTACAGGGAAAGGGTTAAAGTGAGAAAGGACCATTCTCTCTCCCCTTCCACTTTGAGTCCTTTGCAAAGATAACCATTATCAATATTTCTTGCACATCCTTTCAGTAAAATATTAATGTGTGTAACTGCATACATTTGCATATGCTTTTAACATATTCAATTAGGGTTATGTTTTATATATGCGTATACTATTCTTGATTTTTCTTTTAACACGTGTTGAAAATCATTTCACATCACATACATCTCTTTTTAAATTTATATTTCATTTTACTTTTTATTCTGGTAAAATATGTATAAAACATCATTTTAATTCTTTTTAAGTGTATAATTCGGTGACATTAGGTACTTTCACAATGTTATATAGTCATCACCACTATCTATTTCCAGAACTCTCTCATCATACCAAACAGAAACTCTGTACCTATTAACCCATTTATGCTGGAGGTTGCAATTTTTGGAATTGCAGACATGTGTGAAAAATCAGACCCTGGCAATGACCTTGAGCAATAGGATATAAATAATTCCTACAGGCTTACTGTTCCAGTAATGGAACACTAGGCATAAATGGGCAATAACTCCCCATTTTCCCCTCCCACTAGCCCCTGGGAACTTCTTTCTACTTTCTGTCTCTACGGATTTGCCTATTTCAGGTACTTCATATAAGCAGAATCAAATATGTGTCCTTTGGTGCCTGGCTTATCTCACTTAGCATAATGTTTTCAAGGTTCATCGATGTCATAGCATGCTCAGAATTCCATTCTTTTTTAAGGCTGAATCATATTTCATTGTATGGATATGGCACATTTTGTTCATGCATTTATCTGTTGATGAACACCAATTTTTGGTGACTGTGAATAATGCTATTACCGTACAAGTATCTGTTGAGTCCCTGCGTTTTATTATATTAGGTATAAAGCTAGGAGCGGAATTGCTAGATCATATGGGAGTTCTATGTTTAACTTTTTAACTGCCAAATCATTTTCCACAGCCACTGCACCATTTTACATTCCCACCAGCAATGCACAAGGGTTCTAATTTCTCCATATTGTACCCAGTGCTCGTTATTTTCTTTTTGAAAAAATTAGCCATCCTAGTGGGTATGAAGTTGCATTTCACTGTGGTTTTGATATGTATTTCTCTAATGACTAATGGTGTTAAACATCTTTTCATGCCTATTAGCCATTTGTTTATCTTCTTTGGAGAAATATCTCAAGTTCTTTGCCCATTTTTGAATTAGATTGTTCTTTTTGTTTTTTAGTTTTATCTATTTATTTTTTAAATAAACTTTTTAAATTGAAGCACTACATATATAAAGTGCCAAAATCATCAGTATAGAACTTCATGAATTTTCAAAGTGAATACATTCAAATAATCACCATCTTTTTCAAGAGATAAAATATTACTCAGCACCCCAGATGGCTCCCTCATGCCCTATCCTAGTCATTAGTTACCCTCAACAAAGGTCCGCCTCACTCCGGCTTCTATTACTATCATTTAGTTTCTCCTGCTTTTGAGCTTTAGACACCTGGAATCATAAGCTATAGTATGTCCTACAGGTTGAGTATATTTTATCCAAAATACTTGGAACTAGAAATGTTGTAATTTTTTTTCAGATTTTGGAACATCTGCAGTATACTTACTGTCTGAGCATCCCAAATCCAAAAATCCAAAATCCAAAATGTTTCAATAAGCATTTCCTTTGAGTATCATGTTGGTCCTCAAGTTTTGGATTTGGAGCATTTCACATTCCAAATTTTCAGATTTGGAATACTCAAACTGTATTATATTATCTTTTTTATGTCCAACTTCTTTTACTCAACATTGTGTTTGTGAAATTCATCTATGTTGTTAGTTTATTCATTTTAATTGGTGTATGATATTCCAACAGCATGTTTATTCTACAGTTTATTGATCCAATCTATGATGTTTGGATATTTGGATTGTTTCCAGTTTGGGCTAATATAAATACTCTACAGCAGTTAGGAACATTTTTATAATGTCTTTTGGTGATTATATATATGCATATCTGTGGTGTTTACACATAGCAGTGGATCTGCTGGGTTATATGGTATGCATTTTTTTTCCAAAGTGGTTGTACTGATTTGTACTCCAACCAGTAATATAATTATCTTAGAATAAATATCCCAATTAATTTTAGTAATCCATTGTATAGATGTGCATAACTAAACTCTCTATTCTCCTACTAAAAATGTTTAGCTTGTTTGCAGTTTTTAAATTTTTTTATTTTTGCTATTGTAAACAGTGCTGCAATGAGTATCCTTACACATATAAATTAGCAAAGTTTTGCAAATATAAACATAGGGTAAATTCCTAGCAGGGTAACTCCTTTGCCTACATGTCTATGCATTAAACATTTTGACAGACATGACCAAATTACCCTCCTACGTGGTTACAAACATTTCTACTCCCACTGACATTAGGAGGTTGACTGCCAAATACCACCTCCCTACCCTGTCCCAACAACAGTTAATTTAATTGTTTCCAACTTGATGGGTGAACAATGGCATTACTTTGTTGCTCTGATTTGCATTAATTATGGAGTGAGTTTCTTACTTTCATTTTTAACCTGTCACTGCAGTCAGTGACAAGAGGAGGCAGCCACTTAACCCAAAGATAGGAGAAGAAGCTTCCTTCTCACCACATCAGCATCCTCTCCATGCAAGACAAATGGTAAATCCTACTCAAATTTGTTTGTCAGGCTCTAAAGTTCTCAAAAGCATCTGGAGTATATCATAACGTTGCCTTTTCCATTACAATTATTGGTGGCATCCCAGCTGTGAAGTGGGTCTCGGTGGGCAGTATGGCTCTCTCATGACTGGCTGCTCCTTCCTGCCCAATCATTCTCCTAAGAGCAACTCCGTTTTGTCTGTTGAGGCAACAGGTGATCACGGCTTCACCAGCAGCAGCAGCATGGCTTGTCAGGACTTGCCTGGGCTGATGAAGGTCCTCACGGCTTCCTTTGACCAAGAAAGTTTGAGTGTTGAATTCTCCTTATGGTTGGAGAGTACCATCTCTGCTAATACTCTAAATGTGAGTCCCGTGCTAGCTGGTTTCCAAGAAATACTGAAAGCTGCTGTGTTTGCTTCCTATGGCTGCTATAACAAATTACCAAAAACTAGGTGGCCTCAAAAACCAAAATGAATTATCTCATAGTTCTGGAGGCCAGAAGCCTGAAAACAAGGTGTCAGCAGAGCTATATTCTCTGGAAGGCTTCAGGGGAGAATCTGTTCCTAACCTCTCTCCTGGCTTCTGGTGTCAAGGCAAGCCTGGGCATTCCTTGGCTTGCAGCTGTATAGCTCCCATCTCTGCCTCCATTATCATCACATTGCATTATCCCTGTGTGCACCTGTGTCCACATTTCTCTCTTTTTCTAAAGACGCCGGTCATACTGGATTAGAGCCCACCCCAAAGACTTCATTTTGGCTTGAATACATCTTCAAAGAATTTATTTCCAAATAAGGTCACATTCACAGGTACCGGGGGTTAGGACTTCACCATATATTTTCAGGGAGACACAATTCAACCCATAACAGCTGCCTAAATCTGGAAACTTGCCTCTAAACTCTCACCTTCCCAACCCATTCTTCACCTTAACACCAAGTGACCTGAGTCATTTTTCTAAATTATGGGAACCATCCTGCCACACCCTTCCTAGGATATACGTCACAGCTCTGGTCATTTGCAGAATCAAATCCAAACTCCTTAGCATGGAGGCCCTCCAGTACCCATCCCTTTCTCATTTCTGCCTCTTCTTCACTACTTCCCCATCATATGCCTTGCATTCCAGCACCCCCTGGCTATTTACCCTTCCCCCAACATACCCTGCTTTTTGACTTTTATTTCTAAACCCAGAATGTTATTCCCTCATGCACTCTACCTCCTGAACTCTTTTTTTTTTTTTTTTTTTGAGACGGAGTCTCGCTCTGTCGCCCAGGCTGGAGTGCAGTGGCGGGATCTCGGCTCACTGCAAGCTCCGCCTCCCGGGTTCACGCCATTCTCCCGCCTCAGCCTCCCAAGTAGCTGGGACTACAGGCGCCCGCCACTACGCCCGGCTAATTTTTTGTATTTTTAGTAGAGACGGGGTTTCACCATTTTAGCCGGGATGGTCTCGATCTCCTGACCTCGTGATCCGCCCGCCTCGGCCTCCCAAAGTGCTGGGATTACAGGCGTGAGCCACCGCGCCCGGCCCTGAACTCTTTATTCATCCCTCAAGCCATCCCCAAAGCAAATGCCACCTCTTCCAAAAAGCCTGCCCCAATCCTCCCTTGGGGTGGGAAGGTTAATTCATCTTCCTCTATAATCCAGACCCCACTCCTTGTATTACTTCCTTCTGCCTATAGCTAGGCCTTGGTATGCCCATCTTCCCTGCCAGGGCGTCTCTTCAAGCTAGGAACTGTAGCCTGTATGAGTGAATGCCAGCACATGGTAGGTGCTATTGAAGTTTCTGGAAGAGAGACATGGATGATTTAAGGACAGTGGTGTGAGCTTCTAACTGGTTGCAGCAGAGTAGAGTCAGCACGCCTCATGTCAGGTGCTCATGAAAATGAATAGGGACCACTTCAAGCCAACTCCCTTCCCCCTTCCCTTGTGAGGAAACAAAGCCCCTGGTACCTACTCTTGGCATAATAACAACACAGCACTGACTCATTCTCCCCACTCTGAGGACAGGGCCATGTCCTATTTGTCTTTATACTTCAAGGGCCTAGCACAGCACAATAGGTCAATAGGTCTCTGGTGAGTAATGTCTGTTTGATAAATTAATTCCTTGACCACTGAACCAGAACTAGGCACAGTGCTTGCTGGTAGTCAGAATTGGAACCAAGCTTAGGTAGGGTTGCCAATGTTAAACACCTAGCACAGTGGCCCTCCAACAGCAGGGGCTCTTGGTATTGTCATTTATTACTGAAAGGAGAGTGAACTTGACTCTTAGATTTGGTCTCGATGAAACTGCATTTCTTTCAGAGGTTGAATTGAGTTTCCTGACAAGTACCAAAAATGCAACAATTTAGTGGTATTGAGGAGAAATCTGAAAGCTTGTTCCCAGAGGTGCTGGTGGCACAAAGTTCAGAAGCAGGTTCTTCCTTTGTGTGGAGTGGCCACAGGACACATACAGGCAAGGCCCAGAGAGTGCTGTGACGAAGGGTTCAGGGTTCTCCATGCCCTACCTCCAACCCATCTCCCCTGCCCACCAGCTCTTGTGCAGTTTTCTTATCTCAGCAAATGACCCCACTGTCCATCCTGGCATCAAGTTAGGAACTTAAGCGTCATCCTGTACCCTGAACCTCTCCACTACCTTTCTAAATCTAAAACTACATCTTGTCAATGTCATCTTTTGAATTGCTTCCAAAGATCCAATTATTCCCACTACCATCTCCATCCCATTTCCCCCATCTCTCCCGGGTTCCCTGCTGCTCTCCCATTTCCATTCCTGCCCCACCTACACCGTAGCCAGAGAGGTCCTTGCAAAATGGAAATCAATTGCATTTAAAACACAGATTCACAAACACTCGTTCTTAAAGGACTCGCTCTTGAAACCCTGTAAGAGTTTCCCCTTGGTATGGGAATAAGTGTAACAGGAATTTCTGGCAATGCCTACCAGACCCTGCATAGCCTGTACAATACTCCCTGCCCTCTCAGACCCACCTTGACTTGTTCACCCCTCACTCACTGCCACACTGGCCTTTGCTCAGTTCCTGGTACATGGGTGCCCCTTCTCACCTCAGGGCCTTTGAACTTGCTGATCCATCTTTCTGGAATGTTCTTCTCTCACCTTGAACCAAGTAAGCCAACCTCAGCCTTCAGATTCCCTTCAAGCACTGCTTCCCTGGAAAGCCTTCCTTATCACTTCTGCTTAAATCTGATCTCCCATTGCACACTCTCTGATACTGTATGCCTCTCCTTTCTTCCACTTTAGTGTTCACTGTACAATTATTTGATGCAGATGCATATTTCTCCCTTACTATGCTGTAGGCCCCATAGGGAAGGCACTGTGTTTTCTCCTCATTATCACATTCTCCTGACCTAATCAGTACCTGGCATGTACTAGGTGCACAGCAAACACTTATTGAATTGCTACGTGATGAATGATGAATGAATGAACATGTGCATGCCTTTGTAGTTGCCTGTGTGCCCACTTGATTGAAATTCTGGTATCTTGCACTACACAGCAGGGTGGGAGAGATGATTTGTTATTTGGACACGTGTAAAGGAAGTGCCACTGATCACCCAGCTTGTCATAAAATAATCTCAGTAAGGCAACCGCTGCAGCTACCAGGACAGTGAGTGAGCAAACAGTGTGGGCCTCCCCATGGTTGGCACTAGTTGAAAATGTTCCCCAAGTACCTCATATAAAACTGTTCAGGGAGGTTATTTATGCTGATTTATCCATTGGAACATTAGAGGATGTTTGCCAAGAATAATGATTTCCATTGCAACACAGGTAGTGCTTCTTCTGAGAAAATTACCCAACAGATTTGGCTGCCTCTCTAGGCACCTGTTTGAAGGTAGAGAAACAATGTCAACAAAATAGAAACGAACCCTGTTTATCCTTCATTTGCTATGCCAAATGGGCAGGCAGCCATTCAACTAAAGCCCAATCAAACAATTCAGACAGATATAAAATGAAGAGGTGTAGCAGCAATAATGGTGAGAACAATGCTGAGCGTGCTGGGTGCTGTTTATTGAGCTCTCTCTGCATGCCATGCACAGTGCAGGACACCCTCTAGGTATGCTCTTGTTTAATTCTCACAAACACTCTCCAGATGCGAGTCCCTTTGACTGAGGAATGGGTTGCTCAGAGAGGTTCAGCGTATCAGCCAAAGTCCACAGCAGGAAATTGTGTAGCCCAGAGCTCCAGACCTCAGTATGTGTGACTCCAGCAGAGTGAGTCATTGTGGATTATAAACCAGATAAATCACCTCCCTGTTGCCTCCACTTCCCCACCCTCTGCCCCAGTCAGTTCTGCTACAGCAAAACTGGGGGACTGAGCTCACATCTGAATGTCAACTGTGTGACCGGAAATCTGGATAATCCCCACAGCCCTGTGGTGCACAGTATTATCATCCCATTTTACAGATGGGCAAACTGAGGCCTGGGGAGGTTAGTACATGCCTACAGTTCATCATTAGTAAGTGCCTTTCCAGGTATTTGAACTCAAGACTCTGGCTTGGGAGCTCCTGCCTTATTTGACTCCCCTTCCCCTATATAACGTGCCCCTCTTCTGTCCATAGCCAGTATCACTCTCAACCCCAAGCAGCAACACCTAAGAGAAAAGGATTAGAGAATTGAGACCCAGGCTGATGGAGAACTCCCTGCCTAGTTTTTTTAACCCAGGTCTGGTTTCTTTGCATTTCTGGCAGGTGCTGATTGCAACAATTACTCTTCTCTCTTTACAGAGCTGCTGAAAATACACGAAGTCAGAGGTCACTTAGCAAAATAAAGACACTCTATTGAAATCATAGGTCTGATTTAAATTAATGTTCTGTAGTCTATCCGTCCATTTTGGGGGAATCAGAAACCACAAAAGGATTCTATCACCAAATCTGCTATTCCTTTCCCAAGAGCAGGCTTATCACAAGACTGGCAAAGTGAGCTGAAGCTGCCAGTGCTGAAACTCTGAAAATGACCCCCCAGTTTCTAAAACACTCCCCCTCCATTGGAAGTTCTAGAAAGATATCAGGTTTCATTGGAGACCTCTGTCAGTCCCCAGCTACTTCAGGGCCTGAGGGTGTCTTGGAATGATGGATATTTGAACAGGTTAAATTACATCTGCTGAGAAAGGAAAGCAGACAAAATACAACTGAGAAACTCCATCAGTGTTTCCTTGACAAAAGGTCTCTTCCATTATGACTTCAATTGTTCTCTCAGCCTTTCTGATTAAAATAGAATTACCTTCACATTGGTCCACAGGAGACAGGACTCTGGAATGGAAACTAATCTTTCTACATAGAAACAAAAAGTACAGAATTTTAAATGACACAATCTAAAGTTAGACATGCGGGATTTGGGCAGGACCTACTCTGAGCACTGTACCCCAAAACATTGCCTGGGTGGTTAAGGAGAGGGTACATGAGTATCTATGGCCACAAACTCCCTGAGTGCAAGAATCTTGGTCTAGAACAGAGGCTGCCATTCAATAAACACTTGAAACATATTTATTAAATGATCAAATAACAAAAGTAGAGACAACCCAAATATCAACCAATAGAGAATAGCTAAATTAATGAAGGCATACCAAGACTACAGCTCAGAGATTAATGATAAAGCAAGAGCCAAAATGTTAGCTGTCGATGGTATATGGCTAAGGGCAAAGGGAACACCTTACATTGTCACACTTTTTTGCCAGAATGAAAAGAACAAAGCTATGGACAAGTGTGTGTGTGTGTTTGTGTGTGTGTGTCTGTCTCAGGGTCTGGAAGAATACACACCAAACTGCTAGCAGTGTCATGTCGCAGGAGCTGGACTACAGAAGAGGATTTAGGGAATGGAAGACTACCACTATTTATGCTCTTCCGTTGGGTTTCAATTTCTAATGATCAATGTGTATTGATTCTCTAATAAAAAAAGATAAGTAAATTAATAATACAAAAAATAAAATTGGTTTCCTGTTGACTTATAAATTGAGATATTGGCTATACAGGCTTCCAAGTTTCCAGTTCTCTGAGAGTGTGGCATTCATTCATTGGCATTGATCTGTCTCTCTGGAACTCCTGGGGCTCCAGTTTTGAATATGCAGTCAGTGATTCTTGGCCGCATGACAAGGGAGATGGCGGGCAGGGATGGTATTGGAAGTTTATAAAATACAAGGCTGAGCCCTAGCCAATCAATTTGCATGAAGCATCAGAAATTAAAATATCTGCTGAAAATAACTGGAAAAATCATGTAAGTTGTATGTCACGGGAACTTTGAGACAAAGCTCTGGAGTGGGAGCCACCACCACCAACAGTTCTATAGTGAACACAGTATAACCACTGTGCAGGGGCTCATGATAACAAACACAAGCGCTTATTCACCTGGAAGGTCCCAGGCACCAAACTGTGGCTGAGGCTAAGAAGGACATCAGAGGCAATAATTTGTTGCTGATATAGTTTGGCTGTGTCCCCACCCAAATCTCATCTTGATTTGTAGCTCCCATAATTCCCCTGTGTCATGGGAGGGACCCAGTGGGAGGTAATTGAATCATAGGGGACAGGCCTTTCCCATGCTGTTCTCATGATAGTGAATAAGTCTCGTGAGAGCTGACGGTTTTATAAAGGGGAGTTCCCTTTCACCTGCTCTCTTGTCTGCCACCATGTAAGGTTTCCCTTTTCTCCTCCTTTGCCTTCTGCCATGATTGTGAGACCTCCCCAGCCATGTGGAACTGTGAGTTAAACCTCTTTCTTTTGTAAATTATCCAGTCTCAGGTATGTCTTTATTAGCAGCATGAGAACAGACTAATTCAGTGGCTCTGCAGTCTACCCTACATCTCCTCCTTTCTTGTCTCTTTTTATCTCTTCTAAACCTTCCAGAGGGCCTTTCTTCCTTCCCTCAGTCCCTTAGGGTTATCGCTTTGAGCTTCTCACAGTTATCTTCCCCAACTCTACTTCTTGGGGTTCTTCTTTCCATCCCATGCTAAGCTCTGGAAGTAAATGCAAATCCCCAACTTCCTGGCTGTTTAAAATAAGCACTTCAGGCCCTCTCTTTGTTTATTTGAAAAGGTGTATTGCCAGTTATGAGGGACAGATATGTGATTACAAAAATATGCTAGTTGAGAATTTATCAAACCATTAAGCAGTGGCTCCAACTTTAGGACTCATTAGAATCACCCTAGAAGCTTGTAAAAGTCCCTGTCCCTAAAGACTCCTAAGGTTGATACATGTAAAGATAAAAGTTTTCATGTACATTTAAAATTTTTTCACATGTACTTTAATGAAATCACTGGAAGGTTTTCTAAATTCACCCAAGGCCGGGCATGGTGGCTCATCCCTGTAATCCCAGCACTTTGGGAGGCCAAGGCGGTGGATTACCTGAAGTCAGGAGCTCAAGACCAGTCTGGCTAACAATGACGAAACCCCATCTCTACTAAAAAAAAAAAATTACAATAATTAGCCAGGTGTGGTCCCAGGCACCTGTAATCCCAGCTACTTGGGAGGCTGAGTCAGGGAGAATTGCTTGAACCCGGGAGGTGGAGGTTGCAGTGAGCTGAGATCATGTGACACTGCACTCCAGTCTGGGCTACAGAGTGAAACTCTGTCTCAAAACAATAATAATAATAATAAAATAGAAAAATAAAAATAAATTCACCCAAGTGGAAAACTAAATACAAGACTGGCAGTCCAATCAATCTCATTCCCGAATAACGTGAGGAACTGGGGAGAACAGGAAAAAAAGGGGAGGCCTCAAAGAAAATTTTAAAAAACTGCACATTTATATGCCTAAAATCAAGTTAAAATGTTTTAGAAAAGACTCCAGAAAATATTCAAATTGAGTATTAACTGTAAATCCATTTGTTTATATTGGAGATATGGATCATTAGCTGCTGCTTAGAAATCCAGTAATTCAATCTTTAATATTTAGAAATTAAAGAGAAAAAGAGACAATATAGTCTGTCATTACATAAAACTGAAACACCAAAGACATTAACACAAAGACCAAATGGTAGCCAAATGGAAAAAGCTATTGACAGCAGAGAGAAGAACCTTACATGAAACTAGTGCAGTAGCTTCTGGGGTCACAGTTGGAGGAGGTTCCCTCAGGCACTTCCTGTCCGCCTTCCCTACAAGCATCTGCTGTAGTTCAGAGCAGAGTTGGCCAGGAAGGGGACGCACAAGAGGGCTGCAGCCCCTAAACCAGGCTTGGGGCAGACTATGCAAGATGGGAGGGGTTGGTCCAGGGACCATGGTCTCCCATCTGGCCACCTTCTGGAACACTTAGGACTTAATAAAACCCCGGCTGGGAGGGGGCCCGAGAGTTTCTGGTGGCCTCTTTCCCTGCCCAAACTACTAAAGTTTCTTTGATTTGCAAGGGATAGACCAACTTTAGCTAGATGGGGGTGTGAAAATTCTTGAAAGGATACTAGAGTATCTCATGGAGAGGATAGGAACCAGGGAGTTGCACAGCTAAGGAGTCTAAGGCCTTCTCTCTAAATGTCTCCCCTTAATGTAACTTGGCTCCTGTGACACTGCAGGGCACTCCTAACACTAATTGTCCTGAGTTAGCACAGACTCCACAGGCTAAGGACTCAGTTCCTGGCAAGACTGCCCTTACTCCAGATGCCAGCCACAAGGTCGGAGGTCCCAGGCCACCTGAGATTCTTACCAATTAGCTGCATATTCAGAAGATTCCCGGGACCACCACAGATTTAAAAATTCACTAGAATAACTCACAGGACCTTGGAAAGCACTATACCTACAATGGAAGTTTTATTATAAAGGATACAAATCAGGACCAGTGAAATGAAGAGACACATACAGTGAGGTCTGGGAGGGTCTCAAATGCAGAGCTGTTCCCCGTCCCATGGAATCATGGCCCATGCCCCTCTTGGCACATTGATGGGTTCACCAATCAGAAAGTTCATCAGAGCCCCAGTATCTAGAGTTTTTATTGAGATGTCATTCTGTAGGAATGATTGATGAAATCAATGGCCACATAACTAAACCCAATCTTCAGCCCTCCTCCTCTCCTCAAAGGTGGGACTGATGGCTCAAAGCCCTAAGCCCCTAATCACATGGTTGGTGTTTCAGACATGACCAGCCCCCATCCTGAGTCATCTTCACATAAATTTGGATGTGGTCTAAGGGCATACCACGAATAACAAAGACACTCATACACTCAGGATATTCCTAGGGTTTAGAAGCTCCCTCTCAGAAGCCAGGGACAAAGATCTGACAAATACTTTATTGTATATCTCTCCATGCCCTGCTTCCGATTCTCCATGTTTTCTTCAGGAAACAAATCTAAGTGGCCTATCTTGGGTCCAGAATCCACTCTTAGTTTAATAAACCATAGAACCAAGGAGCCAAAATCAAGCTCCTAGCCCAAACCCCTGTAAGGGATATGTTGGAGAGGAGGGGCAGGCAGATCCCCTCTCCCCATAGATGTCTACAAGGACCTGATCAGTAGCATTAAGTCAATAGTCCAGCAGCCAGGAAGAGGAGACCTGGATTCTAGTCTCAGTTATTTCCTTGGGAAAAGAAAGGCAGTTTATGTATTACTAATGAAAGATGGAATGTGTCCTGGAACACTGTCAGGGTTGAAACAAGCATTATAAAATCTGTCAGAAATGAGACAGAGATGCCTGTAGAAGGTGGAACTTTGTGTGAGATGATGTATTTCATGAAAATGACAAAATTTTCTCCAAGTAATTGAACCCTTCTTCAATCTTACCATAGAAATAGCACAAATGTGCTGATTGTATGAAGTTCAGAGATTATATTAGGTCCTCTACTTCATAAACTGATGTAGGAAAATTTCTATTTAGGAAACACCTGTCACACCAAAGACTTTAAATTTAAAAATAGCCAATGATGAAAAGGAAAATGATTGGATAAGTTTGAAATATTGAAATAAATGGTGTGTTATTTCATCAAAACCAGCAAGCTGAAAATACGATATGACACTGTCCTGCCTGAATACACACAGGCAAATTAATGTGATACAAGAATGGAGAAATCTCACCAAATTGCTAATATCCAAAGACAGAACATTCTTTATGCTTTGACCCAGGTTTAATAATTTATCCCACAGAAACTGCTATGCATGGTCAGTTTATAAAGTGAGTTGAAAAGGAAGCTTTTAGAAACAACAGGACAAAAAACACTTGGATTCTCAAGATCTAGTTTATATTTATGCCACATTCCCTTTTCCAACCTGTCAAGTCTAACTGAAAAGAAAAGATTGATGCCCGTAAACTACCCCAGGGAGCCTGTCCTCTGCCCGTGCACTGGCCCATCCAGCATTGACTTAAACTTCCAGTCATAAAACAGGAGGAGCAAGTCCTGTTTCTAGTTTGGCTCCAGACAGCATGATACAGTTGGGAGGATTTATCTCCAAACAGATACAGTCATAACCCCCTTCTCCTAATTTTGCAGACAGGCTGGCTGTAAGCTCTGCACACACATGAAGTAAAATGCATGTAGGGGAAGCATGAAGCCACCGCAGAAGCCAGCAGGTTTCAGTGCTGCACCTTGACCATGCTGTCTAATCAAAAGGATCGTTTATCTCAGTGACGGCTGATCCACAGGCCACAGACCTGAGGGACACAGGAGTAATTTCAAAGCATTCATGAATACATATGGCAACAGACACTCTCATTTTGATCTGCATTTCCATAAAAACAAAATAATGCTAGATTTATGCCTGTAGGTGCTATTAAGATTAAATAAAAATACTTTTTTCAAACCCTACTTTTTAATCTTTTTCAGAATTTCAACCTTTATTTTAGATTTAGGGGGTATATGTACAGGTTTATTACATGGGTATATTGGTATATTGGATGATGCTGAAGTTTGGGATAGAAATTAATCCATCACTTAGGTAGTGAGTGTAGTACCCAATAGTTAGTTTTTCAACCCTTCCTCTTTCCCCACTCCTCTTTCTAGCAGTTTCAAGTGTTTATTGATGCCATCTTTATGTCCATGAGTACCCAATGTTTAGCTCCCACTTATAAATGAGAACATGTGGTATTTGGTTTTCTGTTTCTACATTAACTTGCATAGGATAATGGCCTCCAGCTGCATTCATGTTGCTGCAAAGGACGTAATGTCATTCTTTTTATGGCTGTGTAGTATTCCATGGTGTATATGTACCATAGTTTCTTTATCCAGTCCACCTCTGATGGGAATCTAGGTTGATTTCAAGTCTTTGCGATTGTGAACAGTGGTGCAATGAACATATGAGTGCATGTGTCTTTTTGGTAGCAGTATTTACTTTCCTTTGGGTAATGAGATTTCAGGGACCCAGTAATGAGATTGCCAGGTTCAATGGTAGTTCTGTTTTAAGGTCTTTGAGAAATCTTTAAACTGCTTTCCACAGTGGATGAACGAACTTACATTTCCACCGACAGTGTATGAATGTACCCTTTTCACCTCGGCCTTGACAGCATCTGTTGATTTTCGACTTTCTTATAATAGCCATCTGGCTGGTGTGAAATGGTATCTCATTGTGGTTTTGATTTGCTTTTCTCTGATGATTAATGAGGATGAGCATTTTTTCATATATTTGTTGGCTACTTGTATGTCTTTTTTGTGAAGTGTCTGTTCATGTCTTTTACCTATTTTTTAATGGGATAATTTGGTTTTTGAATTAAGTTCCTTATAGATTCTGGAGATTAGACCTTTGTCTAATGCATAGCTTGCAAATATTTTCTCCCATTCTGTAGGTTATCTGTTTACTCTGTTAATAGTTTCTTTTGCTGTGCAGAAGCTCTTTAATTAGGTCCCACTTGTCAATTTTCATTTTTGTTGCAATTGCTTTTGAGGACTTAATCATAAATTATTTCACAAGGCAGATGTCCAGAATGGTGTTTTCTAGGTTTTCTTCTAGGATTCCTATAGTTTGAAGTCTTACATTTAAATTTTTAATCCAACTTGAGCTAATTATGTTATATGGTAAAAGGAAGGGGTTCAGTTTTATTCTTATGCATATAGCTAGCCAGGTATCCCAGCACTGTTTATTGAATAGGGAGTCTTTTCCTCATTGCTTATTTTTGTCAACTTTGTCAAAGATCAGATGGCTGTAGGTGTGTAGCTTTATTTCTGGGTTCTCTGTCCTGTTCTCTTGGTCTACTTGTCTGTTTTTAGACAAGTACCATGCTGTTTTGGTTTCTGTAGCCTTATAGTACACACACACACACACACACACACACACACACACTACTTTAAAAGTATTCCTCGAATTATCCATATCATTTTTTATTATATCCATTCTCAATTAACAGGTACTAAAAGTATAACTACCATAAAGTGAAGATCTGTTGATGTTTTTGTCATCAAAATTGGGGTATTCCTCAGTCCCCTCCAAGTTGAGGCTTGCTTTTTCTAGTTCATGTTTGAGTACCCAGCAAGGTGGCTTTACTCAAAACCCTAAGTACTGGATCAACAAGCAAAGAATCGCACACCTAGTGAGCCATGTTGGAAAGGGCCTGGAGAGCCCCGCTTCATGCTTACTGGGTCGGTGGTTAGTAAATGTACTTAGAAAAGTCCCCCATGGACTCAAACCGTTTTAAACAGGAATGTTTTTAAAACAGCAATAAGAACCCTTTTGTGAAGCCTATTTTTCCAAGCAAAATGTTCACAGTTGTTCAACAGAAAGGATGCAAGGATTAATCATTCATTTGTTCAGGAAACATGTATGGGAGAATTCCCTGAACGTACTTTATTATAGAAATAGGAGAGCTAGGAAGTAAACTCTGTCCTCAAGGATTCCCACCTGGTAGGAAAGTGGACAAATACAGATGGTGAGACTCCACAGCATGCCCCATGTACACATGTCATTTGAAGATATCCAAGTGAGAAAGTGGAAAACCTCAATAGGAGAAGTACAGTTGATGAGCCTCAGTAAACCAGATGGAGAAATATTTGTGGCTGCTGTAGATCAGGGAAGACTTCCTGGAGAAAGCAACATTGGCCCTGGTCATTAAAGATCATCTCATATTGCTACTGAGGGAGGAGAGCATCAGATCTTAGGCAAAGTGCAGCATTGAGACTTGGGATCTATGCGCACCTCATGGGGCATGAATTTGTTGAAGCCAAAAGACAGGTGCAAATGTTGATGGTTTCTTTGTTTTTTTTCCTTAGTCACTGTGGGCCATCCCATGTCTACCCAAAAGATGACATGGGAACCAACACTAGTTCAACATGTCACCAAAGGCTCCCCAGGCCTGGTGCACCAGCCTGTGGCTACAGTGAGTGTCATATGCATCAGCCCAGGTGTCCCTGGTTCTTCTCCCATGTGCCCTCCAGCCCTGGAAAAAAATGCATGTGTATGTTCACACACATGCACACATTCCCACACAGCTTCTGTAGACGTGGCTGCCAATTTCCTCACAATATCCATTCATCTCATGCACATTCACACACATACCTCCAAAGAGTCACCAGGGAGCCCTTGCATTGGCTCAGGACACTTCCTGCCTGCTTTTCCATCCTGCTAGTGCAGGCCAGTGTTCACAGTGGCAATGCTAACATTGGAGTCAAAGGGGCAGTCCTTTCATTCTCCCAGTGCTGCCAGTCTTTGTAGGCAGGGGAAAGCTGCTTCTCCTACTCTGCAGCTATGTGGTGCCCCTCCATAGGTGGGGGCATCCTCTCTTCCTCACGTGTGGTCATGGCTCCTACTCAAAGCCATGCCATGGTGTCCCTCCTCACCTCACTCCCTCTCCAGAGGACTCAGACACAGTCCTTGGGGTCAGAGCAGGATCACCAATGTCTGAGACTCACCCCATCCCAATCTTGTTTCCTCCCTACAAAACCTCGCTGCTCAGCTGAACACATGCAGGCCAAGGCCTCCTGGAAGCAGGTTGTTAGAAGGTGAATGAGGTGGGTGGGTGGGGGAAGCCTAGACTTGAGAGAAAGGAGTAGGGGACACCTCACCTCCCCTTCTCAGTCCAGGTTTGGCACTCTGGTCCTGAGCGATTCTCATGAACAGGTTTGGAGGGGGGTGGCTGAGCACTGATATTGATCAGCATGTCTGTAGATGAAGCTAGCATGCATCTGAGGCCAATGAGCAGTCTAGGGATTCCTTACTGCCAGGAGGAAGTCAGCATATTTGATCACCTCAAGCCCTCTGAAAAAAGAAAAAATATCACAAATACCAAGGATTTTTTTAAACCAACTAGCCATTATGTTAAGCTATTAAATTTGGGCTCAGATCTAGCAGAGTGTGAATTCCAATAACTCCCATCTTTGGATGTTTTTGAACCAGGCAGAGGGAGTGAGGGATCTGAAATTGTCCCAGGGTGCTATCCTGAAGTTGTCCCAGCATGTCTTTACCCAAGTTAAATTCATGATGAAGAAATTGGAAACACAGACTCATCTCAACAGATCTCAGCTGGGGGAACAGTGCCAACACGACTGGCATGATAAAGACTGAACTAACCTGAGACCCAGCTTCAGTGGACCCTCAGGGAAAAGCCCGTTCTCACCGCTGTTCATATTCTAGTGAGCGACTCATCTGTCTTCCCAGGACACTCCGCGCAGTCATTCCCACACAGCTTCTGCCAATTTCCTTACAGCATCCATCCATCTCAAGAAGGGCAGAAGGGAGCTTCCCGACACACTCTATTAGGGACCCCAGGCAGACATTCCTCATCATTTACATTTCACAGATTCCTAGTCATCTTCAAAATGGAGGAGGAAAAAAATAGCCCCATCTGGCTATTTTGAATGTTTATATTTTTAAATAATATTGTACGAGACATGGTATTTCAAAATAGCATCCAGAAATCAGTATTTTTAAATCTTATAAACTCATTATTCAAATTTTTAAAAATATGCTCACAAAGCATTACTTTGTTCTGGGTGGCACAAAGAGCCATTAGAAGTGGATCTTATTCTTTTAACCTTCCTGTAAGTACATTTCTATTACTGCTCAAATCTGTGTTAATATCATGATGACTCTATACTGCCAGCTAATGTAATGCATTATGAAGTATGAAGAACTGAGTAATTTTCAGATTATGGGACTCAAATCTATTTTTAATGGGCACCTAAACTCATATTTATATAATATTACTTTTCAATAAATCACAGAAATGACCCAGAAGTTTTTAAGGACGTATTTGAAAACTCCTAACAGCTCCAGAAACCCTAATAAATCTGATCATACAAATTAATATATAATGATTCATTTGACTTACACAAGAAAAATGTATTTCAAATGCCAGTGAACAAAAAAAATACATCTATGTATGTCACCTTTGAGTTCATTTGCCAAGAGGAGAAAAGGGGAAAAATGATGTGTCATATTACTGAAAAGTATGTTGACTGAATTCCATTTTTCATAAATCAGATATTTTATATTAAAAAGGAGACTGCTTTGAGGACAAAATATGAGTTTATTATCCAGATAATTTAAATTGAATTAATAGTATTTGAAATATTTAAATTATTAGATCCAATCTGAGGTAGAATGATTTGAATTAGTTATACAACATGGTGCATCGTCTTTTTAGTATTTTTGTCACTTTCTGTTCTAGAATTGTTCTTACTCTCAGCAAGACCAATTGCTGCTATAAAATTTTGATGTTTTCCGAACTATCTATCCAAAAAGATCTAGATTGCTTTTCCCCCACGTAAAGCAAGAAACTAATTTTGCTGACTGGAAACTAGAAATTGCCCTGTAACGAATTGCAACTCGTTAGTTGCAAATGGGCTTTTTCGGTGGCATAGACTCAACTTCCCAACTTCTGGGCTTGTTTCAGAGCCATTTGGCCAGAAAGCTAGCAAGGCAAGCCCTCTTCACCCCACATTCACCCAGGAGCAGGATCTCAGCTTCGTGTCTGGATAGCTTTTGTTGACTTCTCCAGACCTGCCTTTTCCCTTCCACCACTGTAAGCTGCATCAGCTGGACGTCCACTTGGTTCCACCTCAAGAGGCACTGCCAGGAAGCAGAGAAAGGGAGGAAAGTGAAGCTGGGATGCTGTGTTAGTCCATTTTCATGCTGCTGATAAAGATAGAAATTTACAAAAGAAAGAGGTTTAATTGGACTTGCTGTCGAGGCCTCATAATCATGGTGGAAGGCAAGGAGGAGCAAGTCACATCTCACATGGATGGCAGCAGGCAAAGAGAGAGCTTGTGCAGGGCAACTCCCATATTTTAAAACCATCAGGTCTCCTGAGACCCATTCACCATTACAAGAATAGCATGGGAAAGACCCACTCCCATAATTCAATCATCTCCCACCAGGTGCCTCCCATAACACATGGGAATTCAAGATGAGATTTGGGTGGGGATACAGCCAAACCATATCAGATGCCGGTGTCCCTTGGCCCGTTTGTGGTCTCTGCAGTTTGGCTGGCTTCCTCTACCTAGGGCCATGTCCTGGTGGGAGCTCCTATCCTCCAGCTTTAGCTCCTCCCCTCCAGCTTTAGCTCCTCCCTCTGCATTCCTGTAAATACTCCCTCCTCTTGCCCCTCAAACCGAGGGCTGGTAGGAGCAACTCTAGGGTCCTGCAACATCCCTTGCTGTTTTCTCCTAATACGGCCGACACCTTTATAAATAGCCTCTTTATTAAATGCTGCCCAGTGACTCTGTGTAAACCTCCCTGGTTCCTGCTGGGCCCTGGCCATTGCACTCCATGAACTATTTCCTTTGTTGTATGTGACCCCCAGCAAATCTCTTAGGAATTATGTGTCCTTTTTTTTTTTTTTTTTTTTTTTGAGATGGAGTCTCACACTGTCACCTAGGCTAGAGAGCAGTGGCACCATCTTTGCTCACTGCAACCTCTGCCTCCTGGTTCAAGTGATTCTCCTGCCTCAGCCTCCCAAGTAGCTGGGATTACAGGCACCCACCACCACGCCCAGCTTAATTTTTTGTATTTTTAGTAGAGATAGGGCTTCACTATGTTGGCCAGGCTGGTCTTGAACTCCTGACCTCGTGATCTGCCCACCTCTGCCTCGCAAAGTGCCAGGATTACAGGCGTGAGCCACCGCACCCAGCCATGTTTCCTCTTCTCCAAAAGTGAGAGGAAACGAGGATGCACATGCCAGAAGGCAGGCAGGTGCCCCAAGCAGACAGTTATCAAGGCCTAGGTGAAAAGGACAAAAATCAAGCCAGTGGCATGAGGAGAGGCGAGCAATGGAGGAAAGGAGGGAAAATCCCAGTGAGGGGAGGGGAAGAAATGGCACAACCCATAGAAAGCTGGTGGAATTCTTGAGTCTATGACTTCTGGAGTGAGTTATGAATTATGTAAGTAAGTCCTGGTTTCTGTATCATTAAGAAAATGTAAAAAAGAAGGAAAAGGAAAAAGAAAGGGGAAAGGATCCTCAAATTTGCTTCTATCAAGACAGAAAAGAAAAATGAGAAAAACTATGTGTGCTTTGGGAGAACTCAACTGACAACGACCTCCAATCACGTCAATTCCTTTCAGGGGGTGTACTGGGTTGAACAGCATCCCCCCAAAATTTATGTATAACCAGACCTCAGAATGTGACCTTATTTGCAAATACAATCTTTGCAAATGTAAATAGTAATAGGACAACGTCATTTGGAGTAGGCCGGGCCCGACTCCAAATCCAAGGGACTGTCCTCTTCTAAGAAGAGAAAACACGGACACACACAGAGGGAAGACAGCCATGTGAAGACAGGCAGAAACTGGAGGGATGCCGCCACAAGCAAAGGGACCCCAAGGCTTGCCAGCCACCACTGGAAACTTGGAAGGGGCAAGAAAGGATCCTCCCCTGGAGCCTTCTGAGGGAGAACAGCCCTGCTACCGAAACCTTGAATGGGACTTCTAGGCACCAGGACTGTGTGGGAATACATCTCTGCTGTTTTAAGCCCACTGCCCCCACAGTTTGTGGCACTTTGTTCTGGCAGCCACAGGAAAGGAACACGGGGCGAGTGTTCTCATGTGACTTGCTGCTGTCTCAGGACATGAAGTCGTCATCCCTGCTGCTCTGTTAATGCATCAGCCACTTCTGCATGTGCCTGAGATTGGTAACTGTTCTACTTTGACAATGTGTCTTCTCCCCAAGGATCTCCCGGGGCCTGTGTGCCCATAACAGCCCCTGTCCCATCTCTTCCTTCCCTCTCAGTCTCTCCTACCTCCCTCCTTTCCACCCAAGACCCTTTCTCCACTTCCTGGGACAAGACAAACATGGGGTCACAAGAGTCCTGTAAGAGAGAAACCGCAATACTCAGGTGGTGCCCAGGTGGCCCCTCAGGCCATACAGCAAGCAGCTGTGTTAAGCGTCAGCCTATGTCACCAGTGTCACCCCTTTCCCCAACACGTTAGCCAAGCAAAGAGCTGGGAGACTTTGAGATGATTTATATTTTTCTCCTGAATTGTCACCTTTCCGCATTGATGGTAGCAGGTTCTGTGTTGAATATTCAGGCCAGGAATATGCCAGAGCAGAATGCAACCAGCCTGCAAGACTTCTTGACTTTTGTTCTCCAAAATCCTAGCCCACAGAATTGAGCAGAGCTTGAGGAAGAGGCAGAGGGGCTCTGAGAAGCCAGATAATGCAGACAGTGTCTTCCCGCAGAAAAAGAAGAGAGGCTAGGTGTGGTGGCACATGCCTGCAACCCCAGCACTTTGGGAGGCCAAGGAGGGAGGATCTCTTCAGGCTAGGAGTTTGAGACCATCCTGGGCAACATGGCAAGACCTCATCTCTACCAAAAAAAAAAAAAAAAATTAGCCAGGCTTGGTGGTGCACCCTGTGGTCCTAGCCACTCAGGAGGCTGAGGCTGGAGGATAACTTGAGCCCAGGAGTTTGAGGCTGCAGTGAGCTTTAATCGCACCAGTGCACTCCAGCCTGAGTAACAGAGCATGAGACCCTGAAGAAAGGAAAGAGAGAAAGAAAGAGAGAGAGGAGCAGAAGGGGAAGGGAAGAGAAGGGAAGGGATTTCCCTGAGAGCAGCAGGAATATGGCTCCCCACAAAGAGATAGCCACCCAGGAAGGACCCAGAAGGATATCTCAAAGATGTCAAGAGTCCTAGCCTCCCCAAACTCCCACACCCCAAGCATAGCGCAGAAAACCCTTTTGGCCTGAACCTTGTCAGCTTGGGAACAGACAGGGCTAGAGACCCTTTCCTCTGTCTTCTGATCTGGGTTACTTCACTGGAAGAGGGAGAATCAAAAAATGACTAGAATTGGATTTTTCCCAGTCTGGAGCTTAAAAGTAGATTTAAATTTTAGAAATAAAATTCTATTTCTTGCACACCTGAGTTTATGGCCTAAGCATCACTCAAGACTCCCTTTTCATTTCAGTGAGGACTGAGATGATTGAAGAACAGGTAAAATTTATAATAAAGGAAGCCAGCATTTCTTCTCTAGGTATATAATCAATGGAAATGGAAGCATATGTTCAACAGAAGATATATACTAGAAGGTTCCTAGGAGCACTGCCCATAACTGGCCAAAAGTGCCCAGGGACAGTAGAATGGATAAGCTGTGGAACAGGTATGCAATGACACAGTGTCCAGCAATGAGAATGAGCAATTTACAACGACACACAGCATGGTTGAGCCTCACAAACAGAATGCTGGGTGAAAGCAGCCACGTGACTCCATTCATATGAACTGTAAAAACAGGCCAAAGAATCAATGCTGTTAGAAGTCAGGAGAGGGGCTGTCCACGGGGAGAGGTAGTGATTAGAAGGGAATACAAAGCAGCTTCTAGGATGCTGGTTAGAGTTTAGGAAAATTCCAAGCTGAGCTCTTATGGTTTACGTAATTTTCTGTGCTGTATGTGTATTATTCATCAACATAAAAAAAAGTTAAAGGTAAGGAGAGATTTTTAGACATAGCAAGCAAAAAAAGATGGAGTTGGAGGCAAAAAGAAGGACAGATGGAGGCAGACGGGGCAGGCAGGGACCAGTGTTAATAGATGTTCTGCTGTCTCTCAGAGCATTTGATATGGGGCCATCATTGGGATACTAAACATTGGCATGGGGTGGAGGATGAGAGCAAGGGATGAGATATTTGAAACTATTTGTATGGAAAAGCCTGGCACATAGCAGGAAACCCACTAATGTTTCTCCCAGACTTCCCTTTCTTATCACTGCTGACTACGAACATTGGTGCTAAAAGTTCTGAATTGTATAATGAGCAGAACTGTTCGATCTTATAAATACCTAGTGCACGAGAACAAGAAAAAGAACTTCCACAGCCAGAGACAACTATTTGCATTGGTTTGTTCCTGACAGTGTTAAAATACATAGCTTTCAGTGTTTCTTGGGGGGTGGGGAAATGCTGCTCACTCATATGTCACAGCAATTTAATGACTGTTACAAATTGCTATTTTTTTGGGAAAACATAATACTGTTGGAATCATGTAGGGGCATATAAAAATGTGCTCAAAATAATTCCGTTTTGGAAAGCTAGGCTCTTACATGCCCTTCCTCTCACTCCTGATGAATTAATCTGCATCCCACCCAACCCTGTACATGCCACAAATGATCTTCAAACTTCTTAACTGACACTCACCATGGGTTTTTCCAGTGGCCTGAGAAATACTATTTCAGCAGGGGACTCGCAAGCCCCACGAAGGACAGGACCTATAAATTATTAGTTGCTGGCATTAATATACACCAAAAGAGTTTATATTTAGATGTGACCCTTATTACTTATCAAGCATTTTTCGACTTGATTTATTATTCTTCCTTACAAGAATGCGTGTTCATAATCTGCATTACCAGTCCTCTAATGATGCCATGTCATAACCAAATGTCACCTCATTATTTCTGACACTCACAGAACCCACCACAGTAAAAGCCAATTATAGACTAGAGAAATCCTAGGAGACCTCGCCTGCTACAACAGCTAATAAACTTCAACATCATTAGACCGGGAGATGATGGCCCCACACAATGGGTGTCTGTGCATATCTGTCCTGGGCAGCAGGCCTCTCTGTGCATGGGATTGAAGAGATCTAACTTGGTATAGCTGGCTGGTTAAAACTATTCTGAATGTCCCAGCAAAAAGCTATGGGATTCATTAGCAGCTCAAAGACTGAAGGGCCCTGAGTGTTTTATTCCAGCAGACACAGGAATGGGTTTTAGATGGTGGTTCACTGACTGAGTCACCTTGGCTGGGCAGGGACATTTCCTAGAATGCCTTCTGTGTATATGGATCTGATGTAAAGTTGGCCAGAGGAGAAATCTGCCCAAGATCTGAAAGGGAGAAGTGGAGCAGCAGCTGTTATTTTCAGGAAGTTATCATGGTTAGGCAAGGTGAAAAGAGAGGCTGAACTATTGGCCAGGAAGTTCCAGTTTGTCCTCCCATATTGCCTCCAGTTCTTCTTCCCAAATGCCATCCTGTTGACCAGAAGCATGGTCAGGCCCACCTGAGACAGAGGAACAGCTGTCCACAGACCCTGCCCCCAGCCCCTGGGGCATGGCCCCTCTTTAACACCAAGACCTGCCTGGCAGCTTCCCAGCCTTACTGCAGGCTCTGCCTTATCTGACCCTCCAACTCTTCTTTCCAGATTCTTCTTCCAGTGTGAAGCACACATGTGGTCTTGAAGGGGTCTTGATGGACCCCTGGTCAGTAAGCTCAATGGAGGTGATATGGTTTGGCTGTGTCCCCATCCAAATCTTACTTTGAATTGTAGCTCCCATAATCCCCACGTGTCGTGGGAGGGATCTGGTGGGAGGTAACTGAATCATGAGGGTGGGCTTTTCCCATGCTGTTCTCATGATAGTGAACAAGTCTCATGAGATCTGATGGTTTTATAAAGGGCAGTTCCCTTGCACACGCTCTCTTGCCTGCCGCCATGTAAGACATGCCTTTGATCCTACTTCACCTTCTATCATGATTGTTAGGCCTCCCCAGCCATGTGGAACTATGAGTCCATTAAGCCTGTTTTTCTTTATAAATTACCCAGAATTGGATATTTCTTCATAGCAGTATGAAAATGGACTAATACAGGAGGCAACAAGAAGGAATCCATCCCTTCAACAGATATTTATTGACAACCTTGGTGGGCCAATCTTTGACCAGGAGATAGAAGGGTAAACAGCTAGTACCCTGTCCTCAGGAGCTTGCACATCTAGCAAGGGAATATAAACTGTCATTTACTGGGTGTTTACAATATAGCAGGTGCTGGGCTAAGTGCTTTATGTAAACAGTTTCATATCCTTGCAAGCATAATTTTATGATGTAGGTACTATTATTACCTCCATTTACAGACAAGGCACATTTAAATGACTCCAGCTCAGGAAACTGTTAATCCTGATCAATCCTACTACAACATCCAAAAAAAGGACTTACTAAAGGACAGTGGACCTGGGGGCAAGGCCAGCTGCTAGCCAGGGGCACAGCCTGACCTAAGGCAGCCCAGGTGCATTTGAGTTGTTTTTTTTTTTTAATGCATAGAGAGATGAAGCCACAAATCAAGCTCACAATGTATTACTGGATGTTTTCTCTGTTAACAGATCAATGAGTGTTAGTACCAGCACAGAAAACAATTGCAGGAATACCCAACTCAATGGTGGTTTTCTCTGAGATGAGAGAGAAAGACAGTGATTCAAAACAATTCTCACATTCCAAGTCAGACATTTCATAGTATGTGAATTTTTAACAGTGAGGATATATGCTTTTGTAATCAGAAAAATAAATGAAACTGCTAATAAGGCCAGGAGCTTGTGTTGTAATACTGATTCAATTAGAAGACTTTGTCACTGCAAGCACCACTTGTGCACAGGTAGCTGACTTGCCCAGACCATTCCATCCTCATATTCTGCCCCCTCTCTCCCTTCATATACATTCAGAGAACAGAGCTGAGTTTACTGATTGTTCTGTGATAATGAAGTCCAAGTACACCCGTAATTGATCTTGCCTTATACTTATTTCACAATTCAAATCAAGGCCAAACCATTAATCATTCTGGCAGAACCCAGAAAAAATTGCATACATCAATATTTTGAATGTTATCACCTGCTGTTCAAGAAGTATTGAACCAAAAAAACTTGACAGTGATTTCATTACAATTTTAAAATATCATTTATAATGTTTTTGTGGTTCTGTCACAAAACAATCAGTAAGTATATATTATTCAAACTGTGTTACTAATGAAAAAGGACAGATTTGAGTTTGCCAATATTCTTCTTGGATAGATTTTACCTTCTTATGTCAAAGAAAATAATGCAAAACTGAATGGAAACTTTACAAAAAGACAAGTTTTCCTCATTGACAGCATCAATAAAAACCAGAAGTCTAACTCTAACTATACAGCTAGGCCCCAGGAGAATTCATCTTTTTTAAGTCAATAAGTGATTCCAATTTTTAGGGACTTCTAGTTTCATTGTATAGGTTTGGAGTGCCAACAAAATGAAAATAGATTTCAATCATAATTTCACGTGTTGGTGAGTGAAAGTGTTCAAAGGGCACAAAGTTGTGGGTAAAGAGCCATATTCGTGTCTTCCAACCTCAGGACATTTGCACCCCTTTCCTTGGCTCTCTGTCTTCCAACTGTCTAACCCCTCCAACCCCCCACCTTATTCATCCTGCTCACCTTCAACCAGCCCCCAGCTCTGGGGAACGTTAGTTTCACATAGTCTGTGTATGCAGAACCTCCCCCTGTTGTTGAGAGCTCCCTGTAGCCAGGGACTGACTCTATTGCCTTCGGCCCCAGCACCTATTCCAGAGCACACATTCAATACTTGTTAGTAACAAACAAAAGGTGTTTGACCCAAATTGAATTTCCAGCTTTGCCACTACCAGCTGCTTCATGCTGAACAAGTCATCAGCCTCGCTGAACTACTGTTTTCTCATCTGTAACATGGAGTGAAAAAACAACCAGTGCATTGCATGATCCAGAACTGCAGAAAGATCCAATGCTACAGGGATGAGAAAGTGATTTTAAAGGCATAAACTAATACATGTATTATGGGGCTATTCAGGGCTCAATTCAGAGCAAGTCAATTCAATCTAAAGGGAAGAAAAAAATGTTTTCCAGTTTTAATTTTTTCTAATTTATTCAAGTCCAAATAAAGAATCCATTTACATTTATTCTTACAACTCGTCTATAAGTGAATTTAAAATCTTAATAGACAATCTGTAAGTTCTTGACTGCCTTATCGTCCAATTTTTTTCCCAGTTGGCCTCTTGGTATGTATGTATAAATATATATATATATAAAATAATTCTATACGATAACATTACATATATAGCATTTTATTGGAAAACTAGGAATACATGAAAAGAAAATCAAATTATGTTTTCTTCAACAAGAATATTCTTTTTCAAACTGATGTCATCTGGTCTATTTTCTTGCTCAGAAGTTGTCTTAGGAAATTATCTTAATATCCTCTCCAGAGTTTTTAACAGATCTACTTTGAGCTAATTTTCTAGAACATTTCCACTTCATTTTCCAATTTTCTCCTCTTCTTACTACTTTCAACCAAAGAGCAACAAACACACATTTTATGGACTTAATTATCCCTAAAGTTAAAATTAATCTGAGCACTTTTCCAATGCCGGGGCCGAAATTCCAAAAGCAATGATGAGTAAGCAGATGGGTTGCTCGTGGGTAAACATGAATGAAAATTATGCAGCTTACTTTATACACCTTCTCCGGGCAAAATAACTTCAGATTCTTTACCACATTATTGAAGTTATCAATTAATCCAGCTTGAGGGCTTGGCAAAGAAATACCAACTACAGAGAGAAGAGAGGGAGGGAAAGGATGAAATGAGAAAGAACTGTGTTGTCAGCAGAGGAGCTGGTATCAGCCATGAGGCAGGATCTCAGCTAGGACTTCCTGCCACCTCTAATGGGAATGACTTCCACTGAATGTATTCCAAATCCTTCCTCCTGATGTCTGATAATAACTGAGAGTACACAAGGTAGCATTCAGTATAAGAACTGGGGACGGGTGCGGTGGCTCACGCCTGTAATCCCAGAACTTTGGGAGGCCGAGGCGGGTGGATCACGAGGTCAGGAGATCGAGACCATCCTGGCTAACACGGTGAAACCCTGTCTCTACTAAAAATACAAAAAAATTAGCCGGGCGTGGTGGCGGGTGCCTGTACTCCTAGCTACTCGGGAGGCTGAGGCAGGAGAATGGCGTGAACCCGGGACGCAGAGCTTGCAGTGAACGGAGATCACACCACTGCACTCCAGCCTGGGCAACAGAATGAGACTCCGTCTCAAAAAAAAAAAAAAAAAAAGAACTGGAAGCCCAGGAGAGTGCATAAAGAGTGAGAGGTCCCTCTGCAGACCTTGATTTCTATCTTGGACTTGGTCATTGCACCACTTTGGACACAGCACTACATGCCTTTTGGTGAATGGCCATAACAAATGCAACTCCCAATGTGAGAGCTGTAAGTTCAATGGGAATAATAGCAAGCGTACTCATTAGGACCTGTTGGTACGTAAAAATAGTGTGCGGGACAAGAGTTCAACAAAGTGATACATACTCTATTTTCTTTATTTGCAAATGCCAGACACCAAAGTGTTTGCAAATTAAGCTATCTTGTTCCTCCTTTCTCTGTGAAATAAATGAATCACTAGTTACAACCCTAAATTATAAATACCACAGAATCAACTAATCTGCTAATTATCCTTAGAAGTTAACAGGTTGTCAATTTTTAGACTCACCATTTAACAATGGCTATTTACATACTCAGTCCTTTACAATTTCCATAACACTTAAGAAATTTCCAGGCATATAGGAAAAAAAATCACATAAAATTTGTATTTTAGCTGTTAAAATTTATGGTATAATTCCAAGCTTTCTAGACAATATTCTTTAAAACTGATCATTTACTAGGGTAAGAAAAAAATGTCAGGCTTAGAGCCAGGGTACCTGGATTTCCAGACCTAGCTCTGTGCCTTACTGAGCCTCCATGTCTCCCTGACGTAAAATCTGAAGTTTATTAGATCTAGAGTATAAAGAATCTTCACTCTAAAAAATCCAAACTCAGCTGCTTCTGTATTGTATTGAAGATTGTGAAGCTGCATCC